>NC_000010.11:122871033-123496116 GCF_000001405.40 Homo sapiens | reverse complement strand
AAAGCAGAATGCCCATCAGCCTCAGAGATCTCAGATGGCTTCCTACGAGCAGGAAAATTAGGAGAGGCCGGCTTTTAACTCCTTCTGACCCTGGCATTGATGCTGCCCACAATTTGCATGCAGACCCCTTTTTATTCCATAATTTCCCACAGAGTTCATTCTTTGCTTCCTGCCTGTCACTGCACAAGGACTGCAAGGCCAGAATGGTCACTCCAACATCTCTCTACACCCTGGCTGTGGTCCCAAATGGAACAACAGGCTGCTCCCTGAACACAGCTTGTTCCCAGGCTGTAGCCTCCACAGAGGTGGCCTGCCTTTCACTGCACCTGCGGACCCCACCTGTCCCACAAGGGTCTTCTCAAGTATATCCATGAAATTCTTCCAGATGCCTCCAGTCAGATGGCTCCTCTCCCTCCCTGAGCCTCCCAAGCAATTCTTCCAAACCTTTCTTGCGGGAATGACCAAATTCTATAACTCATTGGTCTTATCTGCTGCCAGGGAAATTAGTGGTTTCCATTTTTCTTGAGTGCTACAAAGATGCCGAGATGGGTTTGGTGAGAATGAAAACAACACTTAATGGAAACTCTGCCCACAGACCCTGAATTCCTTTCATATCAGTTGCCCACAGAGGAAGTTGGTGAGTCCTCAGATGGGAACTCTGTCCCTGTGCCTAGAAAAAAGGCTGGGGACCTCCAATAGCCAGAGCCAAGAAGAAAAGCCCAATGAAGATGATGGCAGCTTCGCAGAGCCTCCAGGACAAGGTGAATACACCTGTGCGTTGTGAATGACCAGCCAGGATTAGGCCAGGAGAGAAGGCTGCCTCCTCACTATTTGTGTGGGCAAGGAGGAGAGGACCACTCCAACCAGCACCACCTTCTTCACCCCTAATCCTGGCAAGGAAGATGCAGTGTTGGCCATCAGACAGCCTCAGTTTTGTGCCAGGCACCAGGGGAAGTGGAAAGCAAAACAGGCCAGGTCGCTGTCTCCACAGCACATGCATTCTGGCCCCTGACCCAACCCAGGAAGATGTGTGAGCCCAGAGATTCTGGAAGTAGGAGGGGCCACAGAGCCCTCACCCTCTGCCCTTAAAGGCACTGGGATGTGCCTCCTAGCAGAGGCCAAGGACCATCCATGGGCAGGAGAGAGACAAGGATAACTTAGGACCTTGTCTGAACGACCCCTCCTGCATCCACCTTGGCAGCCATCATCTTCTTCCTGGGTTGGAGGAGTTTTCAGAGGGTGCCCTTTTGAATCTGAAAGTGGAGAGGTCACTGGGAAGTGAATCCTCGTACTGCTCTTGTGATACCAAAGAGAAGAAGCACGTGCAGGAGCCTTGGGCCTCCAGCCATGCCTGGGACTTAGGTGGCAGGCTGGAGAGCTGGTCCCAAGTGTCAGAACAGCCCAATCACCCTCCAGACTTCCTAAGGGTTTGGGGATGGCTACAGGGGCAGTCCCACAGCCACAGAGTCAGACTGACTCAGGTGTCAGGGCTGGTGTCCCGAGATGGCTCTGAGTCATGGCCCCTGGGTGGAAACTGGGCTCAGATGATGAGAAGGGTTTAGCCCAGATTGCTAATGATGGAGCTGGGGACCCACGCTGTCTGCACAGGTGGCTGCCCTCAGGCTCTGGGTTGGGTGGCCAGTGGATCCATCTTTGTGCTGAGTGACTCAGAGCAGTAGGTCATTCACCCCCACCCAACCGAGGCTCCTCTGTTCTCCTCTGGTTGCGAGGGTGGTTCATGGTCAAGGAGAGGTTCAGCAAGTTTGCCAAAAATGCTCCAAGGCTATCAATACTACTAATTGTTCAGGAGCCCTTCTAAAGCCAGAGCAGGTCCGATTGGCCTCAGGCTCCCCGAGCCCAGCATGGAGCCTGGCACACAGTGAGTGCTTTTGCCGAATGAGCCTGTGACATAGCTCCCCAAGAGGAGCTAAGAGACTCCCAAGGGATCTCCTCTTGCCCTAGACTGGACCCTCTTCCCTCTCCTTCCCTCTGGGCTTAACTCAAATATCAAGAGAGGCTGCAGTGTGCTGCATTACAGGAGGTTTCCTCGGTCTTCTGGGAAATCCTATAAAAATACAACTTTTCAGCCAGGTGCGGTGGCTCATGCCTGTAATCCCAGCACTTTGGGAGGCCGAGATGGAGGTCAGGAGATCGAGACCATCCTGGCTAACACAGTGAAACCCCATCTCTACTAAACATACACAAAATTAGCCAGGTGTGGTGGCGGACACCTGTAGTCCCAGCTACTCAGGAGGCTGAGGCAGGAGAATTGAGTGAACCCAGGAGGCCGAGCTTGCAGTGAGCAGAGATCGTGCCACTGCACTCCAGCCTGGGTGACAGAGCAAGACTCCTTCTCAGGAAAAAAAAAAAAAATACAACTCTTTGTCTCTCCAATAATCACAAAGTTAAGCTAAGCCTGGGGCCTGACTTCATAGGTTGCTACCTGGTTGGAGATGCCACACAGGTAAGACCTACGGCCCCATGCTCTCCTCCTCTCTGCCATCGAATCTCCCACAATGGTGGGATTTCAGGCACAACCAATACATGGGCGTCAGCTGCGCCTGCTGTCAACACTGCAAAGGCACCGGTGCATGAGCAAAAGAGACAATAGGGGGTCAGGCCTTCCCAGTGACTTCCCAAAGTGGACCTCTAACGTGCTCTAGTCCTTTCTCTCCCAATTCTATGACTCATGCAAGCCCTAAGCATTTCACCCCACCCCTGACAGTTGATGTAGCCTTGGACCTTTTTTTTTTTTTTTTTTTTTTTTGAGACAGGGTCTCCAGGCTGGAATGCATTGGTACAATCATAGCTCACTGCAACCTCGAACTCCTGGGCTCAAGTGACCCTCCTGCCTCAGCCTCCTGAATAGCGGGGACCACAGGTGTGCACCACCACACTCAGCTATTTTTAATTTTTTTTTTTTTAAGATATTAGGTCTCACTGTGTTGCCCAGGCTGGTCTCAAATGCTTAAGCTTAAGCAATCCTTCTGCCTTGGCCTCCCAAAGTGCTGGGATTCCAGGTGTGAGCCACCATGCCCAGTCCAGCCTTGGACCTCGAGTGTCTTAAGCCCTGGCCTTTGCCAAGATCCAAAGAAGGCTTTATCTCTGTCACTATCTCCTCTCCCCATGGAAGAGTCTTGCCTGGTCAGAATCAAACTGGGCACAGGCCAGTTCATAACAATGCTTTGAATCCTCAGTGGCCTTCCCAAATGCCAGCCCGAGCAGACATCCCTGTTCAGACACCTGAAGGGGACACCTTCTAAGGATCACTTGTGGAATGACTGTCAAGGGTGGGGGAAGGGTGTCCTCAGCTCCACGCCTTATCCCACAGGAAGAGCCGATGAAGGATAAAGTGCCTCAACACACTCGCTGTCCCAGCCAGGTGCACCAAATCACTGCAGCTAGCCCACTGGGAAGCAGCTGACAGCTCGCAGGTGCCCTCAACCCATGAGGCTCACCAGGCCTGTCCTCACCAAGCCAATGCCCTCCTTGACTGCCCACACGTGCAGGGTCTCTCCCCAGCCTGTTCTCCAAACCAGCGGACGAGGCATGCAGCCCTGTGTGTTGCCGGAGAGTGGAGAGCCATCTGTTTCTATCAAACACTGTTTCCATCACCCGTTGCTATCCCATTGGCTCCTATGCCAATCTCTGCCTTTAACTGGAACCACCATGGCCTCCTCCGAACCACTGGAGAATCCTCCCCCTTCTCCCTTAGCTGCTCCCCCTTCTCCTCCTCTTGTCTCTCTCTCAATTTCTTCCTTTTTTGTACCTTGCACAGGTAATTGTGAGACGGTGAGGGAAAGCCCTTGAGTATTCGGTTCCAAACACTCCCCAGCAGTTCTCAGCAGGGCACAAAGGATCGCGGTGAATGTCACATTGAGACTGCTCCAGCTGCACCTGCCGGCAGGCCTGGCCCCTCCGGTTCACCAGGGGGTCACCGAGCGCTCGCATATTCTCCGATGGCAAGGAGAGCGACTATGTTTTCAGTTCACAGTGAGATTAAATCTACAACGTTTGACCCGTCTAATTTATTTTGTAGTTGACAGAGCAAGGAAAGCCCGTAGTAAGATCTGGATCCATTTCTTCCCCTTAAACAAAACACTGGAATTTGTAGGAAGCCAGCAGCGGCGAGGGGTTTCATTCCGGACCCGAATGGGTAAACAGGGATAATGAGCACTGGACCCCAGAGCTTGGGCAAAGTCGGGCAGGCCCATCACTGCCTGTCCACTGAACTGTAGACATGTGCTAAGCAGCAGGGGTGGCGGGAGGCCCTGGAGGAGTGAGAGCACCAGCTGGGGCGGCCGATCTGGGCAGAGATCAGGACCTCAGCTGAAGTTCGCTCGATTTGGCTGACTTTTTACCATTCCTTTTACATCCTACTTCTCCTGTTTACCTTTCGGCCCAACCCATCCCTTTATCAGCCAAAGCTGTGCCAACGCTCTCCTCCTCCCTCCTACCCCTCTAAGGGTTCTTCCTCGCAGCCAGAGGAAGCACACTCATCCCTGGTTTCCAGGTTGAAGAAATTCAGCTGCACTTCCATTCCTGGTCCTGAGCATGGTGAGGGACAGGACAAGTCGGGAATACTTGTCAGCTCCCTTCTAGGGCAGAGAATCAGTGATGTTATTATGAGAAAACAGAGGGGTAGGAGCAGACTTGAAGGATGCAGGATGGTGAGCTGAGGGAGGGCAGGCGGAGTGTGAGCCACTAGGAGACAACCAGGGTGATGACGAAGAAGAGGATGGCAGTGACAGCCACTAATCTTTGTTGAGAACTGACCAAGGGACTCTCCAAAGTGCTTTCTATTGCTCTGTTTGATCCACAAAACAACTGGCTGCGGTTGTGTTTTCTCTCCTATTTTACAGGTGAAGACACTAAGGCTCAGAGAGGTGAACGGATTTGCCCGTGATCACACAGCAAAAAGCAGGGAGGCAGGATCTGCATCTACCTCCATTTGATTCCGGGGCCTGGGTTCTTAACAACACTGCCCACATAAACTTACAGACGCAGACCCAGAGCTGTGAAATGAGGTTTGGGGTCCTCTTGTTGGAGTGCATCAAGTCTTCAAAAGGTGTTTGCAAAGGCCAGTTAGAAATGCGAGTGAGTCCTCTCAGGCACACACCCCTAATGTGGCTAAATCAAATCCCCTCCCAGCCTCAGGGTTCCAGGCCTGTGCAAGGAGGCTCTTCATTAACACTAAGGATGTCTTGAACTATGGGCCCAGGAACTGTAGCTCTGCTGAGATGCATGTGCCCTCTGGGACTAGTATATGAATTTCAGCTCAAGCTGGGGCAATGCTAGTTATTAATTATAACACATTAATTATGAAATTTGGTGAATGCTTGAAACAGAGGACTGTGGCCCACTCCCAAGGCCATAGCTTAGTCTCGTATTTCTCACTCGAGGCCGTGACTAAGCTGCAGAATTAAAGGCAGATGAGCCTTCATGCTGGTTGGCATTCAGGGTGGAGAGGGGAGGGAGGGAATTGTGCCATTGCTAGTCTTTAAAATGCTGACCTTTGCACACAAGAAGCTGAAAAGACATCACACATATAGAGAAGTCCAGGGAAATGTGATAAGAGGTTATGACCCAAAAATGAACACAAACCTTGCAATAATTTCAGCCACTAAACAGTGAAGCAGATTAGGCGTGAGTTTTTTACAGAAAGAACAAGCTTGTATTTTCAATAATTATCCCAAAGTGAAGAAAATGAAGAAACTGGGAGGTGCTACTGGCCACTTTTCTGGTTTGACCAGTGTGCATTTCATCTTTGGACCATTATAAGGGGCCAGTGGAGATGACGCTGGTGTTTTTAAAGAAGAATTTCTAACTCTGACCTTGGCTCCCCAGAAGGTAAGAATAAATTCAGCAAGAGAGTCTGCGGTGAGCTCCTTCTGGCGTGTGGGTATAGCATTAATAACAACAGCTAACATTCACTGGGCACCTATTATGTGCCACGCAGGGTTTTAAGGAATATTAATAGATTAACTCATTTAATCCTCACTGTGATCCTGTGGCAACAATGTATTTCTCATCACTATCTGACAGATGAAGAATCAAGGCACAGCGGGTGGGAAGAGGGGGCAGTAACCAGTAGTAAACAGTAGCCCAAAGTCTCCCAGCCAGTAAGTGCAAAAGCCAGGAATTGTTCCCAACGGTCAAACTCCATGGTTTACCTCTGAACCATTCTGCCAGACCACTCAAATTTAGAAGTAAAAGAACCACCTGATGTATATACCCAAAAGAAAGGAAGACATATGTCCTCACAAAAACTTCTATACAAATGTGCCTAGCAGCATTATTTATAGTAGCCAAAATGTGTAAACCACCCAAATGTCCATTAACTGATGAATAGATGAATGTGGTGTGTATGTATTTATATATGTGTATATATATATGCATGTATGTATGTGTATATATATATGCACATATATGTACACACACACATATACACTCATGCAATGGAATATTATGCACCTACCAAAAGTAATGAAATCCTGACATGCCACAATGTGGATGAACCTTATTAACATGATGCTAAGCGAAAGAAGGCAGACACAAAAGATCACATATTGCATGATTCCATTTGTATGAAATGTCTAGAATAGGCAAGTCCATAGAGATAGAAAGCAGGTGAATGGTTGCCAGTGGCTGGAGAAGGGAAAAATTAAGAATAATTAATAATAGATACGGGTTTCTTTTCAGAGTGATATAAATGTTCTGGAATTAGATAGTAGTGATGGTTGCCAAACATTGTGAATATACCAAATAAAGTCACTGAATTGTACACTGTAAAACAGTAAATTTTATGTTACATAAATTATCTCAATTAAAGTTCTTTCTCAAAACAACAAAGAACCACCTGACACATCAGTGATAACACTCTCAGCCTTGCCCTTGGCTGGCCCCTGGGTTGCAGCGTGGCTGCTCCAGCTCCAGCTACCATACACAGACACAATGCATGTAGTGGAAGAGAGGATTTCTCCTCTAGGAGATTGTCTTAGTCTGTTTGTGATGCTGTAACAAAATACCTGAGACTGGGCAACTTATAAACAACAGAAATGCATTTCTCACAGTTCTGGAGGTCAGGAAGTACAAGATCAACACACCCACAGGTTCTGGTCTGCTAAGAGCTCCAGTCTACTTCCAAGATGGCGCCTTGGTGCTGTATCCTCTGGAGGAGACAAATGCTGTGTCCTTACAGGGCAGAAGAGATGAAAGGTCAAAAAGGAGTGAATGAAGTATGAAGCCTCCTTTATAAGGGCATTAATTTATTTACAAGGATGGTCTAATCCTCTTAATCATGGCCTAATCACCTCTTAATAACACTGCATTGAGATTTACATTTCAACATGAATTTGGAGGGGACACAAACATTTAAACCACAGCAGTGATTTTCAAAGAACAAAGAAGCCTGCCCCGCAACCCCCCGCTGCGCAGAGCAGACATTCTCTCACATTTCAGTGGTCTGGACTGGGTCTCTGGCCCTTCACTAAACCGGCACTGGCAGGGGGTCTAGGGGATTATTGATCTGTTTTGACCAATCAGGATTTACCTTTGAGTTTCTTTTTTTGTCAGGAGGAGTGGACAAAACTAGGACTCTGTCTGAAGAAAGAAAGGCAATGGCCATTTGTAAGCACTCAACAGTGTCTGGGATACCTGTCACTTTAAAATACAGATTCCCAAGGCATGCCCCCAGGGCTTGGTTTAAGAACCCTGCATTTGACACAAGCACTTCGGGTACCTCGGAAAGGAGTGTCCTGCAACCACACTGCAAGAAACATTTTTCAGTTGTTCAAGCTTTCCTGTTTCCCCAGATCTTCAAATAATTTACTATTCTCCCCCATGCTTCCTCCTCTGAAAACATACTCCAAAAAGGGAGGGAGGAAAGAAGGAAGGGAGGGAAAAGAGGAAGATGAGAGAAAGGACAACATTTCCTGAGCATCTATCCTGGGCTTTTATACACAGCTCCACACTGTCACTTCAAGGCAACTATTATTCTGCCCATTTCAGAGATGTGGAAACTGAGGCTAAGACTATCAGCAACCCACCCAAGGCCATGTAAAAGTGGAGGACAAGGAATTTAGACCTGGGTCCTGGGTCTGGAGCTGCTTCCCCCAGATCCTTCCTTCTCACCAGACATACTGATCAACAGACCAACACATAGAACTTCTAGCTTAACGGAGGGTCCAACTTGCCTAGAAAGTGATGGTCTCTTACCAAAGAGAGTTCAAGACTCGTACCTGGAATAGAAAGTCTTTCATTTTTTTCATATCAGAAAAAAAAAAACAAATAAAGAAAAAATTACTCATTCTCCCAGTATTAAATTTGTGCACCAACACCCTTTGGCCTTTTTTGCTTTGATAGTGTATTTTTTTCTGCACTTGGCTTTGAAGTCACTAAAAAGATAAACTGAATGCAGCCAATCATCATGCATTTATGCTAAAAAGACAAGCATTCAGAATGCACCCACTTCCATTTGTCTAAAGCTCTGTGCCCCCACACCAGTGGGTCTATTTGCTACTTTACCAGAAGTGCTTTCACCTAGAACCAGCTCATTCCCCTCTTCCATCAAAAGCGCTTTTTTCCCCTTTTGCTTCCCAAGTTCTTTTCTATGGATTAAGAACCCCTTGGGACTATGGTTTTAGAAGAAGTAGAAATCTGAATTTCAATGTAAATGTCAACTGTGCACTCAATTTCCCTTGAGATTTTCCCAGGACTGTTCCTGAGGGAGGAATCCAGAAGTCACTTGCCATAAACATTACTATTGGAAGTTCTCAGACAGAAAGAACTTCTATCTGGCTACCAAGAAGACACGTGTGAAGGCTTTGGGGCAAGGGAGTTCAGACATGATGGCAGTCTCCAAAGAAAGGTATCAGCTGGGCTGGGATGTTGAAATATAGAGTAGGGGCTGAGAAGGTGAAGTTCTGCGCATTCAGGGAAAGGTTGGTTTTTCTGTTTTGTTTTGTTTTTTGAGAAAGGTCTCTCTCTGTCACCCAGGCTGGAGTGCAGTGGTGCGACCATAGCTCACTGCAGCCTTGACCTCCCGAGCCCGAGCAGTCCTCTTGCCTCAGCCTCCCAAGTAGCTGGGACTACAGGCATAAGCCACTGTGCCCAGCTAATCATTATTATTATTTTGGTAGAGGCGAGGTGTTGCTCTGTTGCCAGGACTGGTCTTGAATTCCTGGGCTAAAGCAATCCTCCTGCCTCGGCCTCTCAAAATGATGGGATTACAAGTATGAGCCACCACACCCAGCCTCAGGGCAAGGTCTTATTTGTGCAAATCTAACTGAGTTGCTGGTGAACATACTTGTGAAATCACCCATGTGGATTGGGAACAGCTCATTAATCTGCAGGTTGGGTAGAGAAAAAAAAGCTCCATGGGAGGCTGGAATTCATGTGGGGCCTGGCAAGTAAAGAAGGATTTCCATGGAAGGAGGAAGGCAGTGACTTAGAGTATAAGAGTAAGTGCTTGTGGGCAGAGAGTTTCTAGCAAGGGAGGGCTGCAGCCCAGGCAGAGCCAGGCTTGAAAACTAAGAACATTTGCACAAAAGCCCTGTGAGCTAAGTCTGATTCATTAGCCTTAAAAAGTAAAGTGTTTCTGGGAACATCCCTTGAGCATCAGGGAAGCTCCGATGCAAAGTCCTCTCACGTGCAGTAGATGACAGGTTCTCAGGAGATGAAGGATTTGGCAACATGGAGGAGAAGGATCTGCCAGCACTGTCTTCCAGCCCCCAAGGCAGGATCATTTCAAGCTAATAGAGCATTACCTCTATAGAGTTAGCTAAGTCAGCAGCACATCAGACATGCGAGGACTCCTGTGAGATGGGTGGGCCTCTGTGAAACACTGACCTAAGGAATTAGTGTAAGAAGGCATCAGCACAGCTCACACCAGATGGGCACCAATGACAACGTGGCCAACCTTCTGCCTGCGTGCCAGGCACTGCTCCAAGCGCTTAGCCTGCATCATCTCATTTAGCTCATCTCCAGCTCACCACAACCCCCAAAGGAGTTTCTGTTATGATCATTCCCATTCTACAGTTGGGGAAACTAAAGATCAGAGAGAGGTAACAGGGCCTGGGTCATACAATTCATAAATGGTGGAAACAAGTTCCAGTCTCAGAGAGCCCCACTCCAGGGCTGGTTTTCTCTCCACAAGGAGTTGAATCAATACTTATTGGCTTGAATGTGAGTCAACGATCCCTGCCTTTATTGATCCCAACTCTCTTCATTAGGGTTGTGACCTCCATGCTGACCCTTCACTGAGGACCTTAGATGAAGCGGGCACTAATTCAAGAGGAAACGTCCAGGCCGTTCCATCTGCCATCATGTCATCCTTTGGAGGAACTGAAAGCAAGTCTCGCAATTTATATGTTTGCATCTCAAGTTGGGAAATGTCCTATTAAAACACCAACTAAAAAAATGCAACTCAGAAAAGTCTGGGGCTGAGTCTTCACTTAGACATATGCAAAACCATGCCCAAATTATGCTACTCACTTTTCATCCTGCTGTTAAACTGTCATGATGGGAAATAAACAAAGTCCCAGTGCACTGTTTGGCAATTAGCAATTATATCTCAACCTCTTTGGTAGCCTTCACACTGCTCTGTAATTGTGAGATTAAAAAGCTATAATTCACGTGGTTGGCTATACGTGTGTGGATATCTTGCTACAACAAAGCAATTACCCAAGAGTCATTATCCTCATAAAGTAATCTGCAATTGTAGGTAAATAATGATTATGTAGCTAACAAATTCTGTATTATTGACCCTTAAAATAAATATTAAGATTTATCTTTTCATGCAGCCATATATGTTATATATATTCTAGGCCTCCGAGGTAGAGTTGCTTTAAACTAACAGAACATGAAATAGATTTGCATGGTACTTCTGAGTCTACAAAATACTGTGAGGTGCCTCTTATTCACGATCCACACGATCATGACATAAAGAAGTCATGGTAACTTAAGTCAGGTAACTTAATTCTCCATGTTTTACAGAGAAGTTTGAGTCTCAGAGAGGCAAAGTAACCCATCTAAGCAGATATAAAATTCCTTTTCTTAGGGACCCTTAAGTGCATGAACAACTCTCTCCCTGGACTGCCTGCCCTTCCCCTCCCAAGGCTCATGGACTAAGCCCAGGACTTTTCCTTCTCTTTAGAATGCTATGACTGTAGTCCACGTCAATGAAATAGAATAATTCACGCTATAATGACATTCCCTCCCCCACAAAATCAAAAGGCACTATATACTTCAACTATACTTTATTGCCTTGTTCAGTAAAGTTAGCCAAAGGTCATAATTCTTTCATTGTGTCTATACAAAGCCAAATGGCCATTTGAAAAATGTGAAGCTAAAAATGTTCAAATGAAATGATTCCATATCTACCACTTGAATTTTATTACTTGCTTCAGTTTGACCAATATTATCATAAATGCAGCCTGATTGCTTTGTAAAAACAGAGTCAAGAGACACAGCAAGGAAGTCCCCACAGCATCTGGCCCACAGGACAGGACTTCAGATCTGAGCCACTCAAACTCTTGCTTTCAGAGACCCTCATGTGGAAACAAGATGGGCTTCATCCTCTTTTATATGGTCACAGAATTGCAGCCATTGAGAACCTGACGTTTCTTTGATTCCTTCCTTTTATCACTAAAAAAATACACACTGAAGCCCTACTCTGTGCCAAGCAATGGCCCTGGGGCTCCCATATGAGCAGCATAGGTGGGCCTTCTGCCTTGCAGAGCTTGGCATCCATCCCAGATGGGGAAAGGAAAGGCAGGAAGAGGAGAGGTGATGATCCCATTTCGAAGGCAGGCTTGGATGCTGTTCAGATTCCAAAGTTTTATTAAATTATATCCATTTTCCTCTATTTCTATGTCAGTATCTTTAAAATATCCCAAGTTTTATTCTTCCTTTATTAAAAACAAAATAATAATTTAACAGAAAAATCACCAAGTCAGTCTGTAGGTAAGTATGTGTCATCCCAGTGAAGCTAGGTCCCAAGTGGTTTAGTCTCTGAATGGCATCATGGTCAAATGAGCGTGGTCTGGCAACCAAAAATTTACTACAGCATTTCAACTTCTCTACATACATTTCTTCTTACACTCATTCCTACATACATGCATACATGAATACATACATACATATATACATACATGAAGGGAATATGTGGCCCAGGACACTTCTTAAATTACTTTTCCATTGTGTCACACTGCAGCTGCTCAACTACTCCTCTCTTCCAAACATCTAGAAGACTCCAGTGGCTTCCTTTGAGGGTCCTCCCAGCAATATTGCCCCCAGCCCCCAGTCTATACACTTTTCCCCCTCTACCTCTTCTCTTCCTCCTGAGCCTGCCACAAACGTCCAAGAAACCTCTCCGGTAATGAAGGGTGCTTCTGAGAATGGGGAGGAGCAAAGGCCGAATGGACAACTCCAGAATGTCCCTATATTAATGAATCATGTCCCTCCATTTGGATATTTACAATCAAGTTCTATGGAGTCTTTTAAATAGATCACCAATTTTAAATAGATCACCAAAGTGGGCTACTGATGAAGACTGTAGAATTCCCATCTCTGGAGATAATGAAAAACAAAAACAGGAGATTCACACTGGGGCTGATTGGAGGCATCAAAATATTTGTTTAACATCTGCTTTCGTAGGGATGGTGAGGGCCAGCAACAATCAGCACCATTGTTCCTGGAGCTAATCTCATAGATTTACCCCTTTCTTGAGTTTTAATTGAATTGCCCTACAGGTAAATACACGGAGCCCTTTCCAGTGCAGACACCCTGTTGTGGGTATCATCCTTGCCCCGGATTCTTTGTGTGTCAAACACAAGCCACTCCAGACCCCCAGAGTCCAAAGTAGTTAATTAACAGAAATCAAAGGAGCCTTTGTTGCTGCCCCAAATCTTCCTCTCTTCTCCAGATGGGGACAGATTCACTCACAATTTAGTTCCATTTCTGAGAATGGTTTCTCAGGTTTCCCTTGTCGGTGACTAGAAAGGGCCAGGTGCCATCAAGGACTCCTGCTCCTGGGTCTCTGCCAAAGACTGAATCAAAGGAAGCAGAAAGGCCTCAAATCAGTGGTCCAGGACCATCAGGGACCACGAGCCTATTGGATGGGGTCCAGGTTGGGGGTGGTGTAACCTGCAGAGAGAAGTGAGGGGGCTGGGGTGGGGGCTGCCGTGGAGGGTGATTGATGATGTCACAGAGTGCTGCCTAGAGCAGAAGCCCCAAAGGAGGGGGCTCTGAGGCCTAGGGGGCTCTGCTCACCACCCGCCCACTGGAGACCCCATGCAAGCAGAGTCTAAAGGCACCATGCTGGTGCCTGCTCACTTCGATGAAAGGTCGGAGTCAGAATTAGCTTTAACAAATAAAAAATAAGGGGGCTGCTTTAGGCATCAGCTTTATAGAATCAGAACAGTCCAGAATAAGCAAAGGGCATTCCTTCTGTCTTCAGCCAGGTCCAGGTTATAAACAGGGAAGAGTAACGATGAGGTGCAGCAGAGAGGATATGGTATTCAAAAGTCAGAAAGAATATGGACAAGTGAACCAGGAGTTTAAAACCCAGGACCCCGGGAGAAGGAAAACATCACATGCAATGTCTAATTCAATAAGCACAAATCTTTGCACAGTGGATATTTGCCTAGGAAAGAATTGACACTCAAAGAGGAGATCGTCAATACTTAGCACCACCCAGCTGGGATTAAACCCAGGCCTGTCAGACTCCAGAACCTGTGCTTTTCCCAAGAAATCATGTGGCTTCCTGCAAAAACTAGAAAGCACTTTTTGGAGCTTGAAGGAGACAGTTTTAAAAATGAAAGGCGGTTCTGCTTCATACAGTGTGTAATGAGGTGCCAGGGTTTATTTTAATGCTAAGAACCAAGCATAAGCTGAAAATAGACGTAGATTCAAGAATATTTTCATATGGTGCTTATGCAGACCCAGGGGCCAGATAAGAAGGAAGGGGAAAGGGAAGGAGGAAGTGAGGAAGGGATGGGGAGCAGTAGTGAGGCCCCATTCTCTTCTATTGTCAGCTCAGCACATAATTTATATCTATACCTCCCGTCTACCTACCCATCCATCAATATAGATATGCCTTTAATTGTTTTTAAATCATCTTAAAATTCCACTGGTAAAATAATAAGTTTAAAATTAACAGTTTTGGCCAATCATTTTTGCCAGATGGGTCTGGAAATACTGGGGCAATCACATGAACCCACAAAAAGAAAGAGCCCCCCACCCCCGCTCTGACCGTACCTCTGTGTGCCAAGCCTTCAGCATGGCATGAGCACCTGGGCGTTTTCAAGGCCCCCAGGACATACAAGGCCATGTTTGCTTCTCTGCAGGAGCCCAGGTTTCACCAGCTCCATCAAAAGGGGAATTTGAGTGATGGTTGCTGGAGCTACTACACAGTGACTCTCCCCACCCGCCATGTTGGTGCTGTGCTTGGCGGAGGGAATGCTGTCCCTGGGCTCAAGTCTTGTTCCACTTTCTCGCGTTGGGTGGTTGTGGGATCTCTCAGAGCCCTAGATGAGGTCAGCGAGATGGGAAAACGAGCACTCCCTTTCCAGGATTCGCTGAGAATGAGTGAGGTGCTGCATTCAAACTGCAGGATATGAGATGCGTATTGATACTGGGAGAGAGAGATTGTGGGGTTTGTAAATTTCCACTCCACCCCACGGTGCATCTTGAAGCTGCTCCCACTTGGGTCTTCCATCCTGGGAGTTCCTGGCAGCACCGAATACCAGGAGATCAGGAGCCCTGCAATTTTATTAGCATGTGTGACATGGGGCTTTCCCTCATTTGTCCTAAACAAAACAACTCGCAATGGTGAAAAGTCAAGCAGTTCAGAAAACAGTGTTTTGTGAAATACAATTCTCAGTGAACTGGGAGCAATATCAACTGAAAATAAATAAATAAAAAAGAATCATCATAAAAATGAATAGAATCTACTAAAACCAAAGGGGACAGAAAAGCCTCAACCTCAACACTGTTTCAAATTGAGTCATAAAGTGAATTCCCAAAATGCACCAAAGGCACTTGCTACCAGCCTGGAGCCCCGCCCTACACCCTTGAGCCACTCCATCCCGCCCACCATCTAAGCTCCCCGAGATGGCAGCATCTAGGTTGTCCGGAGCTCAGTGCCAGGCCTAGATCGCAGCCGGCTAGTTCCTGCTCTTCTCCCCATCCTCTCCCAGTCTGAGTCACGCTAGTTCCTCAAAGTCTGTGCCGCGCTCTCTCCCACTACCATCCCCACTGCATGGAACACTTTTCCTTCTTCCGACATCACCTTTTGTCCTTATCTTTTACCTGGGAAAGTCCTAGCAACCTTACACTCTTCCAGCATCAGCTTGAAGTCCTTTCCCCTGGAGGCTCCATCCCAGCGTGGCAGGGTGCCCACGGGTGCCTTCCAGCAGCATCTGTTCTGTGGTCACCCTGCCTTGAAACCCCCTCCAGGCTGTCAACCACCTTAGGCAGGACTGGCCCACTTGTCCCCACTGCACCTGTAATGCCCAGGTCAGTGCCTGGTGCTTCATAGATCCTCAGTAAAGCCATGTTTGGAGAGGGTGTTTGCCAGTCCAGGGCTGTGCCCTCTCGCTTCTGGCAGGAGAAGCCATGAAGTCACTGGTTGTTCCTTTCAGCCTCAGAGGAATGGGCAGAACACAAGCCCCCATATGTTGCTTTCTAGCAGTCTTAGTGAAATTCCCCGGATCTCTTTCCAAATCCACAGATGAAGACAACTTTATTATGAACTTTCTAGAGAGTCCTGGCCTTGCCCTGCATTGCTGTCTGAGCCTCCGGTCTACACTAATCCCCAAAGCACACGGCAGGGCAGCCCAATAACCAGCCACCCCTTCTTCTTCCCAGCCTCCCCGTCACCTCTAGGGCATAACCAAACCGTGGCCATGTGGCTGGGAGACATTTATCACGGAATTACAGCTCCGGGACGCGGTCTCCGTGGCTGTGACGTGATGACTGTGTATTTCACGCCTCTCAGTTTCCCAGCTGGGATTCAGAGATTTAAAGACATGGGAGATGTATTTTTAAATTTATGAGAGGGCCATTGATTTAATTAATTGTGCCAGAAGAGTGCAGTCAGTCACAATAAGAATTCTTAAAGGGAAAGGGGACCAAAGGAGGCTGGTCTCAACTGTTTGGGGCTGATAAAGCTTGTGTTTCTTCAATAAAGCTATCTTGCTAAGGATCTGGGTGTAGAACAAATTCTTTGGAGGGCATGTCCATAGGCAGATGATGCACCCACAAGCATTTGGGGAAACACCCAATTGGGGAAACACCCACCAAAACAGCTCTTCTTTGAGAAACTCCGTGTAATATGATCCTTCAAAAAGGACAAAAACCGATTCATCTGCCAGAATTCGCTTCTCCTTTCACACTGGTTCATTCTCTCATCTGATTGGCGCTGGCTGGGCTGGAGCCCATTCTCCTGGATTCTGGGAATTAAGCTTTCCCCAGCAGCTACACTAAAGACAATGTAGTCCCATTGGCTGACCAACTCCCAGATTCATGCACCAAAGACACCTGCAACCTGCCTGGTCCAACCTGCGAATTTTACAGATGGGAAAACTCAGTCCTGGAGGCCTTTCCTGGTGAGAGACAAAGGTAGGGTCAGAATTCAAGTCTCCTGATCCCATTCAGAGCTCTTTCTGCTGATGGTACCCTCTCTCTTGGCTGGGAGGGCCTCAGCTAGTATTTTTTTCAAAATGTGCAATTATTTCCTTTACTTTTAGATTTTAACTCTTGCACAGGATGTTTTAAATGAACTTAGGGTAATTTCTGCCAGCATTACCACCTCTTTTTCTTTCTACGCACTTACAATAACATCAACATTTTACTCTGGTATCTTAAACCCAGAGGCTGGGCCTGAGCGGAGACACCGCCCAGTAGACACCAAGGTCGAGGCTGGGGTGAAATCACTTCCACTGCCAACTGAACTCCATGTTTCTGTTCTGGAAGATCTAATGGAGAACCCAGGAGAGAGGACAGCAGGGAGGAGAAGGCAGCCCTAATTCAGATGCAGATGTCACTTAGAACTTTTTACTTACACCTATAAGAGGAGTCTGTCAATATCAGAGACATGCTGGCTGTCATCTGGATATGATCCCCCAGATCGTCTCCAATCAAGAACTCTCAGAAAGGGCAGGTGGGTAAGTCTGAGACTTTACAGTCAGAACTGGCAACTAGCATTGCTTACCCCAGAAAACCTTTCTTTACCCTATGCCACCCAGCCTAGGTCATTCCTATCCCCCAACACGAGGCTTCTCTCTCTTCCTGAACACCATTGTGACAGTGCGGGCTGGGTGTCTGTTGGCCCATCTGACTCCCCACTGGGCTGGGAGCTCTTTGAAAGCAGGGACCTTGTCTGCGCTGTTGCATCTTACTGTTCTAGCAGAGTGCCTGGCACATAATATGTGCTCAAGAAATGCCAATGGCTTGAATGAATGAACAACCTCAGAGATCTGGCTCATTCACTCACTTTATAGAAGAGGAAACTAAGGTCCAAAGGGTCAAGTGGGAAATTAGAAGTGGAACCAGAGCAAGGATCAGGGCCCCCACCCTGACTTCTCTGGACTTCACATCTTTGCGAATTTACAAGGAAGCAATAAGGGTTAACCTGAACTGCTTTGTTCTGCTGTCCCAGTGTCATGCAAACCTCCTTTTCTCCACCTCTCACTCTCCAGTCCACTGCCAAGGCCTTGGAAATCCTGCAAGTTTTTATGCAAATGACCTTTGGAAACTAAAAGAAGCCAATGTTTATTTTTCATTCAAAGGTCCAGATGGGTTATATCTGCTGGGCCTGGCTGTGCCCCTGCTATCAGATGGGCATGCAAATGACCCCACTAGAAAAGACCTGGAAGAGAATAGCTCTGTTTCCAAACACACAGACATTTGCCTGGACATTTCCCTAACTCGTTCCTCTTTTCCATTTCAAACAATATATGGATCTCACAATTCCCCAGCCTAGTAAAATTCTAACAGCAGGTCGATAGAGGCCTATTGACTGGGAAGAACTTAACTGCCTTCCAGCTAGGCAGTGAGAAGTGGCCTTACCTCCTCACCTCAGCACCCAGAAATTTTAATCTAGCATGAGACCCACTTTACTAAGAAAAAAGAAGACGGGCCATTTGCCACCATCAGGGACCCAGGGGCACCTGGGAGGAAGCCCTTTGAAGAAGGCCCTTAAAAAGAGCCATTGCAAACCAAGAACCATTATTCTAGGTCATCGGCTCAGAATATCAAGATGTGAGTTTTTTGAATGCTAGTTTTATCCCCAGTTCCCAACTGCCTGTGTCATTGGGAGGGCCTAATGACCAACCTCTGAGCACTATGAGATTACTCCAGGCCAGGACAGGTAGATCTTAACCCACAGGCAAAGCACAGGCCTTCCTGTGATACCATTTTGAAATGATCTCAAGCACTTACATAGTTTGCTACATGAATGACATATGTTTTACTGTGTATTCCACACTCCCTTTGAGAGTGGGATATCTCATCAGACACTCTGTGTGAAAACTTGGAGTGAACTCCCTCCTCTCAGGAATGTGATGTCAAACCTTATCAGAATTCCCATTTGTGAGTTATGGACCTCAACTACTGGACTTCAGAATACATATTCTGTTACCAAGAGTTTAATGGACATTTGGAGAGCTTAGGCCGTGGTAGTCTACACAGTTGGCTGCTTCTAAAGACAACCAGTATGTCTGCCATCACAGCTGCTTCTCCAACACCAAGAGCTCAGGTGCAACTAGGCGACACCCTGTTAGCCTCGGGACTAATCACCAGCTCCAGCACAGTCCCCCAGTATGGAGGGTCCTTACGCTGGACCTCCAGATCTCTGCCCTGATGGTTGAGCCAGCTTCTCTGAGAGCTGCTTGTAGGAAGGTATACTCCAACCTTTACTCAGACCTTACCTTCCCCAGAGAGACCTGCTTCCATCCTAACTGAGCAACCAGACTGTAATAATTTTGGAACCCACTCACTAAGTGGTTAATGTACTTTATCTATCAAGCAGATTCCCTGTGAGCTTTCTTCTCTTTATTCTTTAAGCATCGTGACCCTAAGAAGAGATTTTTTTTGGTACGGCAATACACTATGAAATTCAAAAAATCATACTTTGATCATCTCCTTATTTCCACCGTATATAACATTCTCCCTTCCCAGGAAGGACAGAACTAGGGGCCTTATTTTAGGGTCCCTGGGACCCATCTGGATCCTGAAAAGAAAACTGGTTGCAGGAAGCCACCTCTCTGAGCAGGAATATGATGACATACTTACCATAGGACCCAGCAATTTCACTCTCGAGTACAGACAAAAGCTACACACCAATGTTTAGAGAAGCTTTATTCACAATAGCCAAAAATGGCAAGTAATGCAAATGTCCACTGATTGGGGAAAAGATAAATGGTGGGGTATCCAAATAAGTGAATACTGTTTGGCAATAAAGGAGTAAACTACTGATGGCTATAACAGGAGTGAATTTTAGAGCATTATGCTAAATAGAAGCCCAGGCTTGGAGTGGAAGGCTATAAAGGAGTGTGTTAGTCCATTCTGCATTGCTATAAAGGAATATCTGAAGCTGGGTAATCTATAAAGAAAAGAGGTTGATTTGGTTCATGGGTCTACAGACTTTACAAGAAGCATAGCTCTGGCATCTGCTTCCGGTGAGAGCCTTGGGAAGCTTCCATTCATGGTGGGAGGCGAAGGGGGAGCAGGTGTGTCCCATGGTGACAGAGAGAGAGAGAGAGCAAGAGAGATGCCAGGCTCTTTTAAATAGCCAGCTCTCACGTGAATTAATAGAGCCAAAACTCACTCATTACCACAAGGGCATCACGAAGCCGTTCATGAGGGATCCACCCCCATGACCTGACCACCTCCCACCAGACCCACCTACAACACTGGGGATCACATTTCAACATGAGATTTGGAGGGAACAAATCCAAACTATATTACTTTGCGAGGTGATGGGAATACTTTCCATCTGATTATGGAGATGGTTGTACAACTGCCTACATGTGTCAAAATTTCTCAAATTATACACTTGAAATTGGTGAATTTTATTGCATATAACTTACACCTCAATAAGAATGATTTTTTAAAAGAAGTAGTATCATCAAGGTGAGGTCATTTCTGTTGAATTACAGATTAACTTTCTCTGGGGATTCTCATTATCTGCCTCAACAATGGTATTCAAAACACACACCAAAAAACCTCTTCCTTACAGAGTCACAGGACAGGAGTGCCAGAGAACAAGAATGTTTCCCCCTTTTAACCCAGGATAAGCCGTTCATCCCTGTGGAGGGGAGAGAGTGGAGACTTCAAAGGCCAAGTTAATACTCAGTTCTGCCACTGGCTGGCTGGGTGAACTTGAGAGAGAGTCCAACCCTGAATTCTCTTATCTGTGAAATACCAATAAAAATAGCACATCCCAGGGTGGAAATAGCCCAAGTGTCCTTCGGCAGATAAACAAACTGTGGTCTGTGCACACAATGGAATATGACTCAGCCATAAAAAGGAATGGAGTTCTGACACATGAGCCAGCATGGATGAACCTTGAAAACATGCTAAGAAGCCAGGCATGAAAGCACATGCATTGTAGAGCTCTGTTCCCATGAAATGCCCAGAACAAGTGCATCCATAGAAGCAGAAGGCATATGGTCATTGACAGGCTAGGAGGAGAAATGGAAAAAACTCTTCAGTGGGTACAGGGTTTTGTTTGGGATGATGCAAATGGTTTAGAACTAGATAACAGGTGGTGGCTGTAGAACACTGTGATATACTAAATACCACCCAATCGTTCCCTTTAAAATGGTCAATTTTATATTATATAAATTTCATCTCAATTTTTAAGAGTAGCACTTCCCTCCTTGGTGCAGGAGGGATGGAGAAAATGTGTAAGACAGGAAGCACCTCCGCGACGTGCCACTGAGCTTGCACCCCGGCCTTTTTTCTGGAGACTCCAAACTCCTGTGGCTCGTGTGTGCCGCCTCCTCTGCGGGAGTTGACAGCAGCTCCTGGAGAAGGCAGCCTCCCACGCCAGTCCAGATCCCAGCCTCCAAACCCCTATCCCTGCTGCCCCTTGAAGGCTTCCCCTACCTGGAATTAGGCTTGGACTGGAAGATAAGCCACTTAGGAAAATAACATCATTTGTGTGTCACGGGCCCTGCCCTGGTCCCAAGTGCCGACATTTGATCCCTGTCCTCTGACCCCGGCTCTGACCCATGCCTAATCCCATGGCCATGCCAACAGCAGCCCAGGCCTGTCAGGAAAGCAGCTTTCCCAAGGAGGACCAGACAAGCCTTGACTCCTGGCAGCTTTTGCCTTTTGAGGGGCCTGTTAGACCAGGTATACAGAGCACAGTGCAGGATGGCCCAGGAGATTTTTAACAGGCTTGTAAGGAGGGGACTAATTAGTATCTCATCAGAATCTTATTAGTGCGGGAACATATTGAGGAATAGTAATCCTCATTCATTAACACTGTGTTTTCTAATGGAAATCAATGAGTGGCCCTCATTCTGGGTGGATTTCTGAGAGCAGCACTCTGTCCAAGTGTGAAGGGAGGGCTCAGACACCATGCAGGCTCCAGAAACAGAGGAGGGTTTGGCCTGGGTCTTCCTGATGTCCATGCCAATGAAATAAACACCTCAACCTCCCTAGCCTGTGGATTATTTCAAGACAGAGTCTACCTGCTGAAAAGGAAAGGCCCCTTTGGACGAGACGCTGTGTGCATGACACAGCCACTTAACCCTTCCATGGCCTAGGACTCCCATCATCAAAGTGAAAGGCTTGTGCCAATAGACCTGTCCCCAAGACTTCGTCTAGCTCTTTCTGTGAATCTCGTTCATCATCCTGAGAAAGTGCTGAACTTTCATAAAAATCACTGGGCACAAGGAGGGAAGGTCCAGGCTAGAGAGAGAGACTCAGGCATCATTCCCTTATCACAGGTTAGGAAGGCTGTCAGGATCATCAGGCCAGGCCAGGCCAGTGGACCACACAGGGTGCTGGACCCACTCCCAGAGTTTCTGCTCCAGTGGGCTGGGGAAGGGCCGGAGAGGTTGCAGCTCTAACAAGACCCCAGGGGATTCTGGCCTTCTGGTCTGGGGGCCACACTTTGAGAACCACTGGTGTGGAAAGAGGAAAGGGGAAGGGGAGAGGAGGTCCCCGCGAGGCCAGAAGCATCCCTGAAGGGTCAGGGTGAGGGAGCAGCCTTTGAAGGAACAGGCAGGGCGGTTCCAGCGAAAGGAGGGCCAGAAGGGGTGGAAGTGTTCCCCCAGAGGAAATGGAGCTTCAAAAAGCAGGCTGTGCCCAGTGTCGCAGAGACACTGAGCACGAGGAGGACCAGAAACAAGGGGAGAGGCAGCCGGCAAGGCTCCCCAAAGAGGGCGGCAGGTGCAGGCCCAGGAGGAGATGAAGGTGGGGAAGAGAGGCACGTGGCCACTCTTTAAAAACAAGAGACCTGCTTCCTCGACTCAGCCGCATTTCTGACACACGTGGTCTAGGCATGACAATGAGCTCTCTGGCCCTGACTTACAGAAGGTCCATGAAACACCACAGTTCTCAACGTGGCTTTCTCCCTGGAATCCAGAAGGAATGCAACTTGCTCAGGGACACACGAAGAGACAGGGCCTGGATTTGAACCGAGGTCTGGCACAAGTGATTCCAATCCTATGCCTCTCAGTCAGGCCGGGGATAGGCGGGCATCATGAAGTCCCCATCTCCAGGGGCATGTCGTTGGGAAACAACCACCAGGCTCGCCCACCTCTTCTGTTCTATGGGGCTAATGCTGCCAGCCAAGGGCTGCATCAGCTTGTGCCACGGAACCACCCTGCCCATGGAGAAGCATCACGAGGCACTTTCAGCATTTACTAATGGACCCTAGAAAATGTCTCTCAGCTCCACCAGTGTGATGATTAAGGCTGACCACAGAAGCCAAAACAGTAACATTTAGGATTTTGTAGGTCAGTCCTTGCACGGTTGCTCAGGCCAAGGGGCATAGATTGGTGATGCTGAATGGCATTTTCTTTCAAAGCTGAGCCCGGCAGAGCCCTGGGGCAGGACCTTGCAAAACCATTGTGTGAAGGAGAGCGAGTCCCTTGGGGAGGTGCTAGGAAACTCGGCTAACCCCGAATCCCTGCAGATCAGCAAAGGATGCCTGTCAGCTGAAGATCGGAGGAAACTTTCCCTGCAGACTGCCAGGCACCAGGGAGCCTAAGAGGTCACTGGCCTGGGACCCCAAGAGCCAGATGTTATCACAGGCTTGGCGCGTGAAACCTGAGCCTGGACACCAGCCCGGCCCCTCGCAGCACAGATGACATCCTGGGGCAGGCGCCAGGCAGAGATCAAGGCAAGGAGCTGTTCCTGGCCTGGGGTGCTAGGGATGCAGACCAGGGCTGGCAGTCACTTCCCTCTTTCCCATCCCCTCCTTGCTTCTCCCTCGGCCTAGTGCACAGCACCATTGCAGGCACAATCTGCCCCCTGCCCCTGAGCCAGAGGGAAGTTGCCAGGCAGCTTCCTGGTGATCCTTGGGGATTTCCTTAGGGTGTTGGGCTGGGATGCAGGACAGAGACGCAAAGACAGGGCAGGGAGAAGGAACCCCAGTAGAGCTGCTCCCACCTGACCCAGCACCTCGGCTGGACTCAGATTCCCCTGAGGTCCCGCTTGGGCACCCTCCCCACAGTCCACTGCATGCCACCTCTAGTTCATTCCAGGTCAGCTGGAGATAACAGTTTAAGCACCTCTCTCTCAGGGAGGCCTTCTTGATCTCATTGATTAGGTCAGATCCACCTGCTATATCACACTCTCCTATGCATTTATCTCTGCAGTTATGTGCTCATTAACCTCTCCCACTTACGAGAATCTCTGACATGTGGGGTCATGGCTACTTTGGCATGGCTTTAGTGGTGAAACAGTGGTGAGCCAGACACCATGGAGGTGTAGACAATACCTATCTACACCACATTCAGCCTGGGCACAGAGAACCAAAACTACACCTGTCTACATGAACAGGTCTGTGAGTCCCATTGTCTTCACTAGCATGACTTGTCTTTTCTGGAAGCCTCTTGCCCAGGCAAATGACTTCATTGTTCATTAGAAAAACTTCCCCAAATTGCGTCAACTCTTCAATGGGAATTATCAACAGACAGTTTTCACCCTAAGACACTTCAAATCCTTCACTCCCAAAATACTCACCTCACTTTTCCATCAATCCTGAACTGTTGTATAATGATCTTTAGCTAATCCTAATCCAGCCTTCCCACACTTCCACACTAAAAGATCCCCCCAAACCAAACTGTCAATTCTCAGTAAATTCCAACCTTGCCTTCTATTCCAGAGGTTACCAAAACTCTGTAGAGGCCGCGTTCTTTCTTACCACAGTGAGCAATAAACAGCTTTGTGTTATCAACAGCTTGTGTTGATGTTATTTGGGGAACCAGCATTCAACAGAGAAATTCAATAAGTATTGCGGAATGGTGAGTGGATGTGCAGATGGATGGGTAAAGATGGATGGATGGATGGATGGGTTGGTGGGTGGATGGGTGGATATGTGGAAGGGTGGGAGGGAGGGAGGGAGGATAGATGGTTGGATGGTTGGATGGTTGGATGGATGGATGGATGGATGGATGGATGTGGGTGGATGGATATGTGAGTAGATGGATTAGTTACTGGATTCCTACCAATGCTGATAAAGCAGGCTTCGGGTCTGGGGTGAGGCAAGGCTGGGGTAGGCCCCATCCTGGTCTCATGAGCACAGAAGTCTGTTTGGTGAGAGAAGCAGCATTCCCTCTGCAAGGAAGCCCCTTGAAATTATAAAAATTAATTCTCAAATAGCAAATCAAGATGATTTCAGTTGAAATTTGCAACTGAAAAGCCCCATTTGAAAACAGCTCTAGAGATGGCTGCCCGTCCCAACTTGATATGATGCGTGTAGATCAGTATCAAATTAAATTTCCCTATTGTGCGTTCTCTGTGGTGGGCACAATGCAGGGTGTTTCTATCCCCCATCCTCCTCTTGGTGATATCCTTTTCAGCTTAAATTATACAGAAGCAAATAATTATCAGGGCCTTCTGTTTACCCTCCTTAGAAGATTTAATTTATCCCAATAAACATGGGGAGGCAGACCTTTTGGATTTGAAATAACATATAATTTACTTCTAACAAATGCTCGGGGTCTGGGAGAAAGCCCATTCATCAAGCCGATCTGAATCCCAGGCAGCTTTACCAAAAGGACCTTTTGTCTAATTGTTTTCCATCACAAACAACACGTGGGGAGGAGATTTAGGCAATATTTCCAAACACTGTAAGCTACGTAATTATTGTCCTTAGCAAACCTGATGATAGTTTTAGAATCACAATGGTAATTTATCTGCCTAATCCCCCATTCACTATGGCCCATCACAAGTATCATGTGGTTGAGGAGGCATTTAATAACATTCAATTCAAAACCCTAGATTTAAATAACATTAAGGTGATGACTCAGGCCCAACAAAACCCAGGAAATCCAAAGGGGGCTAGGGTACCATTCTCGATGCCTGGCATTCGGCCAAGGTGCAGGATGGCAGAGAGTGGGCTCCAGGCCACCACTTTCTTTCCCTGGACCTGGCACAAAAGACATCAGCACTGAGAGTAGACAGTGGCTGAACTCAGTGCTACCAACCTGCCTGTCTGATGCCATCCAAGAGGCTGTCAGCCTAGCTTGTAGCTCGCTCTTTTTTTTTTTTTTCCAAGCAGCAATGGCATGGCTTCGACTGCTCTCCATGGACCTAACTCTGTCCTGAGCTCCAGATCTTGGTACCTAACTGCCCACTGGACATCTCTTCTGATTATTCACTGATGCCTCAAACAAGGCTGTCCAAAATTCAACTCCTCATTGTATACCTCTCTCCCTTGCTCAATTTGCTCCTCAGTAAATGGCCTTGCCATCCACCCAACCACCCAAACCCAAAACCTGGGGGTCAGACCTAACCTCTCCTTCCTTCACTTACTGCATTTTCACTTGGTCAGCAAGCCCACTTGTGTCTGACCCCTCCATATTTCCCACGCCCAAACCCTTATGCCCCACCCCATGGCCACTTCCCTGGTCCCGGATGTCATCTTTCGCTATGTTACTACAAACCCTCCTAGCTGGTTTTCCTGCCTCTAGTCCTTTTCTCTTCTAACCCATTCTTTTTTTTTTTTTTTTTTTTTTTTTGAGACGGTCTCACTCTGTCACCCAGGCTGGAGTGCAGTGGCATGATCTTGGCTCACTGCAGCCTCCGCCTCCTGGGTTCAAGCAATTCTCCTGCCTCAGCCCTCTGAGTAGCTGGGACTACAGGTGTGTGCCACCACGCCTGGCTAATTTGTTTTGTATTTTTAGTAGAGACGGGGTTTCACCATATTGGCCAGGATGGTCTCAATCTCCTGACCTCATGATCCACCTGCCTTGGCCTCCCAAAGTGCTGGGATTACAGGCGTGAGCCACTGTGCCCGGCCTAATTCATTCTTTTCAAGACAGTGGATATAAAATATAATTCTCTAACAGCAAATATGGACTATTTTGAAAGAAAGATACAATTCAAAGGCAGTGTTTGAGACACAGTCTTGGCAAGTGGGAGGCATTCCCTTGTTTGATAACTGCAAAGACTTTGCTACCCTCAGGGTCAAGTCCAAGTTGACCATTGTTTTCCTCTCCATCTCTCCCATAGTCTCCAGTGATACTAGGAGTTCTCCACATGTGCCATGTCCATAGTATCAAAATCAAGAAGATTCAAACCCAGGGTGATATAGGTTTCCATGAACTTCCCCTCAGAGCAATTGGGAGCAGGGGGTGCCTGAAGAAGGACTCTGGGGTGTGTATTTCACACTAGTCCTTCAACCTCAATCAGCTCCTGGGATTTCCACATGGAAGAAGATATGATTCCTACTAACAAGATGAAGATGATTCTACCTCTGTGCCAAATTCCACAACCCTTTAGAGAGAGAAGCATATGAAGGACGAAGGAATAGAGAAGACACAGGCTTTGAACTCATGAACCGGGTTTTCATTGTTGGGTTCCTTACTTCCCAGCTTGGTATTGCCGGCTTGGTATTGCCAGCTGGTAAGTTATGGAGTCTTTCCATACTTTGTTTCAAAGTAGGGGGTGGTACAATGAGATGCCATCTCACCCTAGTTAGAATGGCGATCATTAAAAAGTCAGGAAACAACACATGCTGGAGAGGATGTGGAGAAATAGGAATGCTGTTGGTGGGAGTGTAAATTAGTTCAACCATTGTGGAAGGCAGTGTGGCAATTCCTCAAGGATCTGGAACTAGAAATACCATTTGTGGGCCGGGTGCAGTGGCTCACGCCTGTAATCCCAGCACTTTGGGAGGCCAAGGCGGGTGGATCATGAGGTCAGGAGATAGAGACCATCCTGGCTAACAGGGTGAAACCCTGTCTCTACTAAAAATACAAAAAAATAGCCCGGCATGGTGGCGGGCGCCTGTAGTCCCACCTACTCGGGAGGCTGAGGCAGGAGAATGGCGTGAACCCGGGAGGCGGAGCTTGCAGTGAGTGGAGATCGCGCCACTGCACTCTAGCCTGGGCAACAGAGCAAGACTCCATCTTAAAAAAAAAAAAATACCATTTGACCCAGCAATCCCATTACTGGGTATATACCCAAAGGATTATAAATCATTCTACTATAAGGACACATGCACACGTATGTTTATTGTGGCACTATTCACAATAGCAAAGACTTGGAACCAACCCAAATGTCCATCAGTGATATACTGGATAAAGAAAATGTGGCACATGTACACCACGGAATACTATGCAGCCATAAAGAATGAGTTCATGTCCTTTACAGGAACATGGATGAAGCTGGAAACCATCATTCTCAGCAAACTAACACAGGAACAGAAAACCAAATGCCACATGTTCTCACTCATAAGTGGGAGTTGAACAATGAGAATACATGGACACAGGCAGGGGAACATCACACACCAGGGTCTGTCTGGGGGTTGAGGGGCTAGGGGAGGGATAGCATTAGGAGAAATACCTAATGTAGGTGACGGGTTGATGGGTGCAGCAAACCACCATGGCACGTGTACATCTATGTAACAAACCTGCACATTCTGCACTACCCCAGAAATTAAAGTATAATTAAAAAAAAAAGTGGGGGGTGGTAATAGACCTTGTTACCTAAAGATTGTTATGATGGTTAAATTAAAACTCCTCACCCCTGTCAAGCTGGAATGTAGCCCCTGTTAACTTGAGATCCCCCTTCTTTGGCTAGCTAACTTCTGCTCTCCCAACAGAATCCTATCTTTCATGTCTCATCTCCCAGGACACCCCCCTCCCCACCGGGCCTGGGAAGGATTAGGAGGGCCCTGTCCAGTGAATTCCTTGGCCTTCTCATTCAAGTCTGGTTGCCTGTTTGTTCATTTGTCTTTCACATGGGACCCTGAGCTCCATACATGCAGGGACCAGGGCTTGCTTGTCTGTGCATCTCCGGCGCTTGTGACATGTCATACTCAAGAGAGCTGAGGCCGACCAGCTGAACGGAGGATGCCCTAGCAAAGCACCTCATGTGGGCCACAGGTATCAATGGACAACCTCCCCTCACTGTCCTCCCCTTCTCCTTAGCTGCTTGTCAAAAGCCTGGGCCAATTTTTATTCTGTGCCTTGAGGTCTTGTGTACTTTTTTTTTTTTTTTTTGAGTTGAAGGAAATGCCCCACCTTTAACAGTCGTAACAGCCTCAGTTGCAGATACATGTGTGGGCTCTGGGGGTCACAGCTGCCTGTGCCTTCACTGACTTAAGGATGCAGAATGTCAGGGTCAGCTTCACCAGGCTCTTCTTGGAGATGCCTTCCTGGGTCCTGGGGTGACTCTCTGTCCAGTGAATTCCTCTGGCCTGACAGCAGGTCTCGCTGCTTCTTGGCAGTGCAGGTGTAGGTAGCAAGCTGTCAATTGCCATGCTTTAAAAAGGAGATTGGGGCCTGCTGGACCATCATGATTCTAAGCAGCTGTGTGTGTGTTTCTTTTTTTGCAGGTCACTGTCTGGGTGGTCAGGATGGTGGCTCATGGGGGCAGCACCCACATGGGGATGACACGTGGAGTGAAGTGTCCACCTGCCTGTGTCCACCCAGTGAGGCTGGGATGAGACCCTGTGGATGGATGGCTGGTGACACTTGGGAGCAGCCGCAGACAAGCCGATCACTCAGAGACTTAGGGCTCACTGGGGAGGCGTGAGATTTCCTTTAGTCCTTGGACACCAAGTGAACACCACTCTACACCCGTATCCAGCATTGATGACAAAGAAGACAGATCCCAAGAAAGGGCTGGTGGGGGTTACACCATGGCAGGAAAGTTCCTGGGATTGGGAATGAGCTAGACTCCACCTATTGGTTGTGTGACTTGAGAAAGCAACTTAATCTCTCCAACCTCATTCATTCGATAACTACTCATCAGGTACTCGCTGCATGCCAAGCATTGTTAGAGACTTTCGATGCAGCCTTTTCTACAAAATAGGGATTTTTACCACCTACCTAATAGGACTGATGTTAAGTCCATAAGACATAAAGCAATGACTATAGTACCTGGCCCTCAATTAAGGTGAGTTATAATCTCCTACTAACATACCTCTCCTTTTGGAAATTGGGGGTCGGGGTGTGATGGACAAGAAGCAAGTCAATTCAAAGCCTGGCATTCAAGAGAAAAATACCTAATGGGTGACAATAGCAAATTCCCAGCCATTTTGCTCTCTTATTTGAAAAGAACAGACCAGGCAGGGTTTGGAATGACCAAAAGTTAAGGCAACAAGTGCAGTGGCAAGGACACCAGGCCTAGTCTGCCCCGCTGTCTTGCTGTGTGACTTAAGTTAAAAGCTTTGCCCTCTCTGTTCCTGGCTTTCCTCATCTGTCAGAGGAAAATAATAATATCTGCCCTGCTTAGTCCTCATCGTAGTAACATAAAACATAAGAATGTATCTTAATATGATAATGTAAAACTTAAGTTATCTGTGATGCTTAAGTTAATGTATCTGAAAGTGCTTTGAAAAATACAAAATGTCTTAGTCCATTTGGGCTGCTATAACAAAATACCTTAGACTGGGTAATTTATAAACAAAGTTGTTGCCCATAGTTCTGGATGCTGGGAAGTTGGAAGATGAAGGTCCCAGCAGACTCGGTGTCAGTCGAGGGCCTGTTCCTCATAGATGGAAGTTGGAAGATGAAGGTCCCAGCAGACTTGTTGTCGGTCGAGGGCCTGTTCCTCATAGATGGAACCTTCTACCTGTCTTCACATGGTGCAAGGGATGGACAAGCCTCCTTGCGCCTCTTTATAAGGGCACTGATCCCACTGATGAAGCTTCTGCCCTCATAACCTGATCACCTCCTAAAGGATCCACCTCTCAATACCATTGCATTGGAGATAGGTTTCAACATAGCAATTTTGGGAGAACACAAACTCTCAAGCGATAGCAGATACCACCTGCAAAGTAAAAATGCTGCTTTGACAGTATTTCCATGGTTTTGTCACCATATCTTAGTTTGTATTCCCCGAAGGCAGGCCCTGAGACAATGGTTGGGCTGCAGATCGATTATTTGGAAGAGGATCTCAGGAAGCAGGCGCTTGATCGTTGGGCAAATGATGACAAGAAGGGGAAAAAAACAGTCAGGGGTGTTAATGAGCAGGTTACTGCCATGGGCAACTGGGGCTCAGTCCAGCTGGAACACTCAGAGGAAGTGTTTGCAATGCACCCCGGGATTATCCTACCAAGAGACAGGCAGGCTGGGGTGTTTACTTAATCGGATTCCAGCCCTTGTTGCTTGAAGATCATGTCTAGGGCTGTTCAATCTCTGGCACTTCTAGGCTGCCTGAATGTGAACTGAACATACCCCCAAATATAAGCTGAGAGCTTTCTTGTGCCAGAGAAAGCTCTCAGGCCTAGAAGCAGAGAGACAGTGTCCTTTGCTGCTGCAGAAAACTGTGAGAATTTATGCCCCAGGGGACATGGTATCTGCCATACCAGTTACTCCCACTCATATGACAATACTATAGCCAACATATTTTCATTATTCTAGCGATGCCTTGCTTATCCAGACAATATTTACTCAACAACTTTAATGATCAGAAAAATTTAGAAAACAACCAAGAGATGAAATTAGGTGTCCAAAAATCCATGTGCTGAAGTGCATTTGACAGAAGCTTCTGCTTGCATACCATGTGCTATGGGTTAAGCCCTGGAAGTAGCCTGGTGAGTAAGGCAAAGATGCCTTGCACTTGAGGAGTTCACCTTTTAAGGGGAGACAGCAGCCCCTAAATTTGATATGTACTAAGGATAAATCAAACAATGGGCAGAAATAGAGAAAGGAGAGAGTGGGAGAGCCTGTTGTTATCAGGTAGTCAGGAATAGTCATTGAGGAAGTCGTTTTTAGGCTTAGAAGTAAAAAATGAGGAAGAACCAGCTATAAGAGTGGGGCAAAGGGTTGCTCTGGGACTAGGAGGTAGCCTGTATAAAGGCCCTTGGCAGAAAAGACCAACGGTGAGGAAGTGAAGGAGGCTCAGTGTGGCCAAAGTGGGTTAAAGCAAGGAAGAGAGTAGTCAGATATGAGGTTGGAAAGACAGGCCAGGCCAAATCACACAGGGCTGAAAAAGCTATGGGCAGGATTTGGGCTTTATCCTTGGGGGCAATAGGGAGCCACTGAAGGTTTAAAAGCAAGAGAGAGAGCTGCTTGGATATGAAAACCCCAATGACCACTGTGTCTTCTGAGTAGGGAAGATCTAAAGAAGGGTAGGAGAGGGAGGGGAGGCCAAGTTGAAGGCTGTGGATGGAATCCAGGCTGGAGAGGTCACTGTATTTTAGCCCTAAATGAACCCTTCCAATCTTCACCCAGAGGTGACTTACTGGTAATTTACACTTCGGTCTAACACCACAGTTATTGTGGCTCCTAATCCTGAAGTAGGACTTCCTTGACCCCCAACGGTTTCATAAGCCTGGGCCAGTGGACTACTCTTGAAAAGGATTGTCACCAGACACAGCAGCTTCTTTTTCCAGGAAATCCACTTCAGTGCTCCAGGGAGGCAAGTCGGCAGCGAGTGCTCATAGCAACAGTTCACACACACACAGAGCTTTCTATGCGCCGAGCACATTCCACACACTCTGAACGCAGTAACTTATCCAAGCCTCACAAGAGCCTGGTGCTGCAGGAACTAGTATTAGCCCATTTCATAGACGAGGAAGCTGAGGCATGATGTGATGAGGTGACTGGGACATAAACCCAGGCCATCTGCCTGCCTCCAGAGGGCAGGATCTTAAGTCCAACACTGCTGGCTTCACATTCTATTCTAACTGAGCCAACAAATGCAGGCGCCTCTGAGATCCGGCTGCCTTGCGGACCCTGTGCTGGAAGAGCTGGGTGTCTGGTTGTCGGGGATGGAAATGAAGATATTAGGGAGCGTGAGCCAGGCAAAATGATCCCCCATGTGTTCCTCTCCGGGTCACGTGCACTGGTTCACTAATCTGCTGGGCTTTTACAAAGCACCTCCTGTGTACAAAGTACTGTGCTGTAGATTGGACATGGAATAACCAGAAGAGCAAGGGTTTCAGAATCCCACTCCTGCTCTGCTACCTACTAGTGTCATGACCTTGGGCTTGTTGCTTAACCTCTCTAAGCCTCAGTTTTCTTAACTCTAAAACAAGAGTTGCAGGGGTTGGGATGAGGAAATAAAAGAAGGAAGGAAAGAAGGCAGGGAGAGAGGCTCGGTGTGAAAGCTTGCAGGCTATAGAGGCCGCACAGCTGTGGGTTGAGTAAATTCTGCAAAGGCAAAGCACTCATGAGTCAGGAGCTTGCAGCCTGGGCTCGGGAAATTGTCTCCCAACCCATCTGGCTTTTCAGCTCTTTGGGAAAACAAAAGTTTGCACTTTGTAAATGTGAATTATTTGGGCCTTAGGCTCTTAGATGTACAGAAGTAGGTGAAACCTTTCTTTCAGCGGATCCAAATTTCCTTCTATAACTTGAATCCCAGTACATCCTATTTGCTCCCAGTGAAATCAGCTTGATTACTACCAGTGTCAGGGACCTCACTGCCTACAACGCAATCCCTTCCATCTTAGTCATCCTCTTGTGAGCTCTCTTAGGTTGTATCTTAAATGAGTCACTTTTCTTATGCCCACAGTAGACTGTTAAATGAATGGGCTTCCTGGGTACCTTCTACTCAACAATTAAAGGTCAGAGGAAGGTCAGGTGGCCAAGGAGAAGTCCCAGGCCAGGCCCTCACATCTCCCGGATTTAGAGCAGCATGTTTTAATAAGCATATGATTTATGAGGGCCATGTGCCCAGTCATTATTTGAAAATGGTGACAGTGGCTTTCTTCACGTCAACTGAGAGGATGAATCCCATCCCCCTTTTCTGTTTTTCTCCATATTGTGCTCCTTTTGGAGAAAGGCCACTTCCCAATAAATAAGTAACAACAAATCACAAATAAAATAACACCGAGTCCTTTCCATCGTAGAGTCACACATGATTTACCAGGACTGAAATTCACAACCTGCAGCGTCTGAGTAAGGGGGGGCAGAGGGGACAAGCTCACGGAGCCTTCACATTATCTGAATCCAAAATATGTGCCTCGAAGGGAAGGGTTTCGTTTCTATTCTCCCAGAGAAGAGAATCAACAGAGAAATAATGACAGTGTGCAGTGAAGGGAACGAAATGAATAAATAAGCCCTCCATGAGCTGGAGTCAAACATTTATTTTACATGAAAGGGGGCTAATGACATTCAATAGGATAGAGGAAATCAAAGAGTCACAGCCAGTAGCCACCCTTTTAAACCAGATTTTGAGCACAGCCCCCCAAGGGCTGTTTCTACCAATTTTCCAATAAATCACGCAGACTTTTAGAAGAGACAGATATTTAATTAGTGCATTAGAACCACAACAGGACCATAACCAAAGGCTGCGGCCCTGGAGTCCCAGGTTCTTCTTACACAGTCCCTTAAACCACCTGGCTCTAAAATGACGGGTTAATTGGGTAATGAAGCATTGGGCAGGCTGCAGGATGAGGAGCTGATGGCTGACCTCGGGGGCTGGGATCAAAGTTCATGTGTTAAAGGACCTGGCCCATGTGGAGCCCACTGCTTCCTCTTCTACTTCAGGTAGTTAGATTATAATTAATTAAACACACGGATCTGTCCAGAGGTTGAGTACCTGAGAGTGGCTCATTACACACCTCCTCCCCGCTTGTCCCAGCTGAAGTCAGTCAAATTTGCATCTTGAGGGCAGGAGATAGGAAACACAGCGCTATCAAGGCTGGTCCTCCAGGCAGCCCAGGTGGCACAGGAAGGAGACCCTCATGCTGATGGGAGCATTTCAACCCCCGGCCTATACACGACCTATGCACATACTCCTCCTTTATCTGCTCATTCAACAGCTTGTTCACAGCTGATCTGGACGATACAGTGGGACTTCCGGTCAGTCCAGTGGGAGGGGAAGATGGCAAGGAAGTAGCACAGCCCTGATCAGCTTCCCAGCGGTAGAGTCCAGGGAATGGAAAAGGCCAGCAGGTTCAACACGGCTCCCAGAAACCAACGTGTACATCTGAGGAAGTGTCCAGTGCCTACTCTCCTAGAGGAAAAACCCAACAGAGAAATAAGGGCCGGGCTCAGATCATGCCTTTAATCCCAGCACTTTGGGAGTCCAAGGCAGGCAGATCACGAGGTCAGGAGTTTGAGACCAGCCTGACCAACATGATGAAACCCCATCTCTACTAAAAATACAAAAAAAAAAAAAAAAATTAGCCAGGTGTGGTGGCACGTGCCTGTAATCCCAGCTACTCAGGAGGCTGAGGCAAGAGAATTGCTTGAACCTGGGAGGCGGAGGTTGCAGTGAGCTGAGATTGCTCTACTGCACTCCAGCCTAGGCAACAGAGCAAGACTCTATCTCAAAAAAAGAAAAGAAAGAAAAGAAAAGAAAGAAAGAAATAAGGACATTGTCTGAGAAGGGGAGGTACCCAGTCCTGATAATAGGGAGATATTCCCTGGCATAGAGTCGGGGGCTTCCTGAGGAAGCAAGGAGCTGAGATCTGAAGGAACCAGGATCCCAGGGGAATGGAGGAGGCAGCAGAGAAGAAGAAAGAGAAACCTGACCAGGGACTGAGAGGTCAGAGTGGGTGGGGAGGGAAGGGTTAGGGCAGGCGAGCTAGGCCAGGAGGACCAAGCACCACCAGGCTGGCTCCTGGGATTTACCCTGCTGCATAAGGGTTTGACAGGCATATGGGGGGTGAGTAACCAGTTAGGTTCACAAGGTCTCAACAGGATCCAAATCCAAGCCCAAAGCAGAGGCCTCGGCCCAGCTAGGAGGAAGGATGCTGAGGTCTGGCACCCCCACGCCTCCTGTAACGGAAACAGCACTCCTTTCCCCCACCATATTCCATAAGGCAGGTGGCTTGGCAGTGGGAGCGGGGAGAGCCCAGGCCTGGGAAGGTTTTTAGTTCCTCCCGAGGAGCCCCTGGGGTGAAGGCATGGTGGCTCCTGGGCTGTCTTGTGGTGGTGGAAGAGCAGGGGCTGCACGGAGGAGCCTGCTGGGAGGATGGGGGCTTCTCCTGGCCATGCCTCTTCGGCCCTCTTTGAGACTGAATGACGCTGCTGGCACCAATGCCTTGAGGAGAACCCAGACTAGGCCTCTAGTTCCATCCAGAGCTGGGCACAGCACAGGGAAACGCAATCAACTGGACTGGGAGTGGGGACTAGGGCCCATAAACTGCGCCCCACTCTGGCCTGCCTCTCCTTGGCTTGCTCACCTCCCACGCTGGAGGGCTGCCCCTCGGGGGCTCCCTCTGCCCTTTGCACCCTCCCTGCCTGCAGTGCACATGGCCCACTAATGTTCCCAAGTTCTCACATGCCTGGCTCCCCCAGACAGTGGGCCCTTCACGTTCTCCCTCCCTTCCTACCCTCAGCCTTCAACACAAAACTGTGTGAGTGGCATCATCCTAGTGGCAGCCCCGTTCCCACCTGCCACCTTCACTGCCACAGGAATAGTCCTGCATCAAGAGAAATGGCTTACTGGGCACATCAGAGCCAGGCCACAGGAAGCCAGCCCAGCACTGCACCTACAGGGGCTGTGAGGCTACGGAACAGCACCCCTCAGAGCTCAGCAGGGCAAACACAGGCCAGTCTTCCACAGGGCACAGCCACGGTGACAAGGCAGCATCTGTGTACAGATGGGAAGCTCTGCTGCTGCTCTCTAGGCAGCTGGAAATTCTACCCCAAGTTTGCACCATAATAGAAGAGAATGGAGAGGTTTCATCCCTCACTGCAGGGTAGAGCGCTTGCCCTGAAACATAAATGAGGTACAGGCATGAGGCTTAGAAAACTCTCAAATTATAACACCTCTGAGATGCCCATTGTATCCACGCGGACTCCAGCAGGTTTGCATGTCCCTGCATCCCCAAAACAATAGCTTCAGTAGTCATCAGATGGCCAGAAACCAAAGCCACTGTCATTAAAATCCAAGAGGTGCTATTAATTAAAGTGCCCCTCACTCATTATGTAGAGAGAGCTGTTATTTCCATTTGAAGCCTGCTAGTTGGATAACTGCTTCCATTAAAACAAAAACCTCCCTCTGAGATGCAATTTAACACGCAAGTGCTTGGGCTTTCAGACGGGCTGCTCCTGCTGTTGAAACACACACACCTGACTTTCTGGGCCCACAGTTCCCAGAGTCTGTCTGCCCACAGGACTGCCAGGAAACAAGCACCATCTCCTGAATTACACCCTGCTTGCCATAACATTATCACCAAAGTCAGCAAGGCATGCCAGGCCAGAAATCCAGCAAATGCCTCGAACGTCAGCCTTTCAGAAACCATTCACTCACTTATATTCATGTGTGCACTCTGCTCTCAGGGTTTGAGCACCTCTATGGGGCTGGCCACTGTGACAGGCACTGGAATAGTACTGTTAATCCAGCAGATACGTGCCTGCCCACATGTGGTTTCCAGGGAAGCCAGGGGGTAAAAGCAGAAATGAAACCAAGAACAGAACAAACGGATGTACAGTGGGTGTAGCCCTGGTGCAGAGGCCTGCTAGCCAGCCCATGCCATCAAGGCACGAGGGGCACAGAAATCTCCATGCAGAACCCCTGGGAACCAGCTGGCACCAAGCAGAGACCCCAGAGCTGTCCATGTGCTGACAACCTCTGGATGCAGTGAGGTATTCCAAGAGATGTTGCAGTCTCATGAATTCAACTCAAGAGCTACAAACCAATACAAAGAAAAATGTTAGCATGTGCTGTAAAATGGGGCATTTGAAGGGTCAGAAGGCCCATCTTGAGCCCCTCTCTTTATTTACGAGATGCAGGCTCCTCCCTGACAGTCTGCTGTGAGATGCTGTAATTCTGGAAGCAGTCAGTCTCCCAAAGCAAGAGGAGGAAGAGACCAGGGTCTTCTATCTTGCATCACACTCAGCAACATCGACCCATGCCCACGATGTGGGCCAAGGGTCAGTCACATATTGAACTTAAACTCCCAAGTCCCGAGTTTGCAGTATGAGGGATAATTGGAGGGAAGAAAGGAAGAAAAGAGAGGGGGGAAAGAAAGGAAGAAAGGAGGAAAAGGAAAGAGAAAAAGAAGGGAGAGAGGAAGGGTGAGGTAGAGAGGGAAAGAAGAAGGGAAAGAGGGAGGAAGGGAGGCAGAGAGAGGAGGGAAAGAAGGAAGGAAGGGAGGAGAGATGGGGAGGAAGGGAAAGAGGGAGAGAGAAAAGGAATGAGGAAAAGATCCAGAGCCATTTTGTTCAGAGACAAGCTCACTGCTTGACACACAGTAGGTCCTCAAGAAATATTTTTTAGAGAAGAAATAGATGAAGTCAATGGCTATGACCTAAACCTGCGATAAAATTCCTTTTCGGTATGGCATAAACCACTAGGTCATTGGTGAACTGGTATTATTCCATGAGCACAAATGATTGCTCATGAAAGCCATGCAGGTGATAAAGGAACTTGAGAAGCAAAAGCTGCCGGCCTTGGGTTTGGAAGCAGCTGTGTCCTTAATTACGCAGCTTGATTTATACTCTATTAAATCTGTATATAAGTAACCCATTTCTCTGAAAGCATTTAAACCTCTTATACTCCACCAAACACAGTGCTTTTATTTGAAATAAATGTATCCAGCTCTTTGGGGAACATATGGTATATTTCTCTCTTATTAATAATTCAGTTCAAATGAGCAAAAATTAGTTGGTGCAGTTACGGCTGATTTTGTCCTGAAAAGATCTGCATTAATTTTAGACGTTTTGTAAATTGGGCTATTAAATAAAAGCATTATATGTGAATTACCCTTTAAATTTTAAGCAACTTGGTAGTTTAATGGTATTTTCTAGTCAGATTCATTTTCAATCTCTAAAAAATTATAGTCATTATGGTAAGACAAATTTTTAAAAGCTGTGCCTTCTATCCAATTACATATTGTACTAATAAGTAAACTAGCAAACTTTCATGTTCTCCTTTCAGTGTTGTCCTGCTTGGCCACATCTTTTGATGGCATCTGTCTTCTGAGATGTTCCCTGGAGGGAGGTTGGTCCTAACTGAGCAGCTCCAATAAAGAAGCGGACTCCAAGGGAGCTGAGTTCATCTGGGAGGGGATTTGTCATGGCGCCCTGCAGCATGTCTTTTGGAGGATCCACCCTCTGCTGATGGAGAGTCTCCTCACTAAGACTCTGGAGCTCTGGGACTGCAGAGGAAGCCGGCAAGGCCCCGACCAGGCAGCCCTGCTAGGAAGTCCGAGGGAATTCCTAAATGGCCAGGGAGATGGTAGTTCTAGGGAGATGAGCACACAGCTTATCAGCTCCACGGTCCAGCCTGGCAGAGACCCCCAAAGCCAGGCCCACTGGTGGTCCCTCCCCAGCTTGCCCCAGAGAGGCAGGGCAGGTTCCCAGGGATCGTCTTCCCTGAGCTTTTGTGTGGTTCTGTCCCATTAGGGGAGCCTGGTAAAATGAGCAGGGCTCTGGGGTCTGGTTCTAGGACTGGCCAGCTTTGAGGCTGGCTGACTGTGTGGTTTTGTGGCAAGTTGCCTAATGGCTCTGAGACTTAGTTTCCACATCTGCAAAGTGGGAACTCTAGTGGGCCAGGGAAGCCCCTGGCACACTCCTGGCACGTGACAGGGAGCTGCCGGTCACCTTCCTTTCTCCACCTCCCAACTTGGCATTTAGCAGTATCCTGGCATTGGGTTTTTTTCCAATCCAGCTGATGGTTCAGGCACAATACTTGCCTTTAGTGGACATGACATTGGGCCGCCTGACCATGTTCCCAAAGCAAATGGATCATGGGCAGCTTGCCCTGGCCCCAGGAAAGCGCATACAAACTCTCACCACCTGCACCTCAGGACAGCAACTCCAAGACTGGAATACCTTTTCACCCCTTCTCCCAGCCCCCAATTCCTTCCTTCCTTCCTCAGGCTGTGTGTTTTTCCACGTGGCTGGCTGGACATTCTGAAACAGGCAGTAATGCTGCCACCTTTATGGACAGCCAGAAAGAATAGGGAGTCCCTGTGGGGGTCACACCCAAGCATCCAGCCCAGCCTTTCTGCCTTACTCAGGCTGCCTGGCATGGAACTTTCTGGAAGGGTTGGAAAGTGGAATAAGCAGAGGGATTGAAATGGGGCAAACATCAGTCCTTACGATATGCCGGCAACTGTAGGTTCTCCATTTTTTGGGGTACATCTACTCTTGCCAAGCAATGCAAGTCGCTGCCTGGGGCCAGGACAATAAAAGAGATAGCTTCAGAACCAGAGGAAATCCCAAAGGCCAAGGAGGGCCACACAGGGAGGATTCCCATTAGACAGATGGGGAAAGTGAGGCTCTGGGAGGGAAAGGGACCCCCCCACCAAGGTGACACAGGGGAGTCTGGGAACCACTCCAGGGTGACGGTTGATGCAACAAGTCATAGAGCCCTCTTAGGTTCTGGTTTTCTAAGAAGGGCCTGGTCACATGACAGCCTCTGGTAGCAGCGGAGAGTAGTGGTTGGGAACGTGGCTTCTTGTGTTAGACATCCTGGGGTCAAGCCTGGGCCCTGCTGCTTGCCAGTATGTGACCTTGGCTGGTGACTCAATCTCTCTTCTCCCCATGTTTAAGATGAGAGGAATGCTACTGACCTCATAGATCAAATAAGTTAATATACAACATGCTCAGGAACTCAAAACCTAAGCCAAAGTTTTTCAGAAAAATAAAAAAGTAGTGCAAGCCACCAGGTGGTGTCCACATGCCCCACTCCTAAAGTGCTGCCTCTGAAGGATCGCTTCTGAGGATGCGCTCCCGCCCGGGCCTGCTCTGCATCACTCAACCGGACTTTAGGCCACTCTCTGGCTGCCCATGATCAGCCATGGCCAGGGAACCCAATGTGATGTCCACTAAAGGAGAGCTGCCCATGGTACCCAAGACAGCCTCATCATTGGGAATTCCTGGCTGGAAACACCATTCTGGTGGGGTCAACGGAGGAAGTGCATGTCCAAGCAGAAAATAGTAAATCCAGCTCATTTCCTGAGCTTCATGCGTTAACACTTTCAGGGCACATTTCCATGCACCTTCCCATTTCCTCTCCCCATCAGCCTGGGGTGTTACTCCTCCCAGCACTTATTATTTCCAGTGAATGCGGGAGGTTGAGCTACTTTCCTAAAGTCTTATGGTAAGTAAATGAATTAAGATTCGAATGCAGACTCCAGAGCCCATTGTAGATAATGACACTGTACTGTGTAAATCCCCAAATACCTCCATGATTGTCTTCCTCAAAACAGAGAAAGAGGGCTGCAATGGTTCATTTTATGTGCCAACATAGCTGGTCCGTGGTGCCCAGATACATGGTCAAACACTATTCTGGATGTTAGTGTGAGGGTGTTTAGGATGAGATGAACATTTAAACTGGTGGACTTTGAGTAAAGCAGATGCCCTCGATAATGTGGGTGAGCCCCGTCCAATCAGTTGAAGGCCTGAATAGAACAAAAAACAACATCTTCTGAGCAAGGCGGAATTCTACAGTGGATTTGATTGTCTTTGGACTTGAACTGCAACATCAGTTTCCCCTGGGTCTTCAGCCTGCTGGTATACCCTGCAGATTTTTAACTTGCTAGCCTCCATAATTGTGTGAGCCACTTCCTTAAAATAAATCTCATCCTACACAGACACACGCACAAACACACACACAAGCACACGCACACCCTATTGGTTCTATTTCTCTGGAATATCCTGACTAATACAAGGGCTTAACAAAAATGACACCTACTTATACTTAAAACTTTAGCATTTGGACACTGAGAATGTAGAATTGGTTCTAGCCATTCTTCCATTCAATTGTCAAATCTGAGCCAGGCTCCATGGGGGAGGTACAAATGCAGGCCCTGGTGTTACCCTCAGAGAGCCTCCAGGCTGGGAGCCAGATGGTGCCAGTGTGAGGGGAACGCAATACAAGTATGGGTTAAATGCAGCCCTCGATGCTGCTTGGCCATGTGACCTTGGACTTGACCCTTCTGGGCTTTAGTTCCTCTATATATCAAGTGGAGGTAGTAGTTTCTAACATATAGCATTGGTTATGAGGATCAAGTGAGAAAATGCATGCCAACCACTTAATACAGCACCTAGCTCGTCATCAGCACTTGATAATTGGTAGTTGTTACCAGTATTATCATCAAGAAACAATAAGCTGAACAAATAGACTACAGGATTGCTCCTGAAGTTCCAGAGCCAAAACTCCTCATGGGGATGGCCATACTAGGAGAAGTTAAAAAGATTAAGCATTTGGTCTAAAACAGGGTCATGTAAGAGGATACTCATGTACTAAGATGACTGCCCAAGAGCAGGTGAATAAGTGTCTCTGTGTACTCACTGGTGATACAGGAACAAGAGGGCACTTAATGAAATTAAAAGAAAAAAATCTGAAAAGCACAAAAGGAAATACTTATGTACATGTTGTGTCATTAGCCTGTAGAACTCTGAACCACAGGTTATTAGGTGAATGGCTTAAGGGAATTAGGTGCATTGAGAGTGACAGCACAGTTGGGTTCTGTCACCCCTGCTGGCATCAAGTGGTCCTGGTGATTTACAGAAGAGCTACCCAAATGCTTAACCATGAGCAGCTCTGTGTATAGGGATGGTCTGCCAGAAACTGAAGCAACAGCACCATCTATCACTATTGATCAGAGGAGGACACTCAGGTGGTGGCATGCCAGTGGCCTGGCATCACAATAAAAAGGATTCTCAGTACTTAGGGTTGAAGGCAGAAATTAGCCAGGAACTAGGCTGCTCATTCCCCCAGGTGCAGCATGAATGAGGTATCATGGATATTTCTGTAATATAACTGATGGTGATGGTGATGATAAGATATGAATAATATGGCAATGACAATTAGATCACCATCCTGTCCTCTGAACTCAGGGTAGAGGGAGAAAGATGAGCAAACAAACTAGAGTCCAACATCCTAGGTGCTGTGACAAGGCAGTCCAACAAAAGAGAAGATTAGGTCTTTCATGGGTGGGAGGAGAGCTGGGCAGAAAAGGTTTCAAGGATGAACTCACGCTTGAGCTGAAACTTGCGAGATGACTTGGGTCTGTGTTCCAAATATGGTGCATAGTCTGGGACAGTCCTTCCAGACACAGCAAGTAACATGAACAAAGCAAGGAGGTGAGAATGTGCTTAGCTTATCCAGTGAACACCCAGGGAATGAGGATTTTTGGAGCCGGAAAGCAAAAGACACTGAGGGTACGATGAACACTGAGCCCAGAAGTGGGTAGGAGCAAGACTGATGTACCATGTGCCGACAATGTACCATGTATCTCGATGAATTTCAGTTACATGGACTTCCTTGATGCTTCTATTGAAAAGCAGCAGGGAATCTATTCTCTGAGTTCATGCCATGGTCTCTGAGATTCCTTCAGCTGGATGAAAGCATAACACATCAACAAGACCTTCAGCAGATAATTCTCCCAACACATGTTAAATAGTTATGTGTAGAGAGGTTAGGGAAAGAGGCCACTAGAAGATGGGGGAGGAGAAAGGTGACTGATCTCCATCCAGCTGTCTTTGTCCATCACACCTAATGTGGTTAAGACTAATGCTGCCTAAATCTACAATCAGGAAAACAATCATCAAAGACGTACACCATGTCTCAATGAGTCTTCATATTTAAGTGAAAATGTCTTTCTTGAAATTGAAAGCATGTTTGCTACCCTTTGTTCTTGATATAAATGCAGTATTAGTGAGCTGCTCATATATTTGTAAAACCAAAATCCTTTCCCATTTACTAGTGATCATATTCCAGGCCATGGTGATTGAAGGCAAAATGGGAATGCTGTTCATAATCTATGGATCATGCAGAGATCAGCCTATGCTTGGTCAGTGGCAGTTCCATATGTGAAATACACAAATAATTAACTGTGAGACTGGGGAAATCAATAAATCTATTCCTTATACCATTGTGTTGGATATAGCTTGTTATTGGGATGAGTAATCTTAGCTGCTTAAATAACAAACCCTCAAATCTCAATGGTTTAACCCAATAGGAGTGTCTTTCTAATTCAGGTAAAGCTTCACAGACTTCTCAGAGACAGAAGGAAGAGTCCTCTGAGTTCTTCCATTTATTAGGCGGGTGGTGAGACAGCAAGGATCATGCATAGGAGGTTTTTATGGGCCAGGCCTAGAAGGGATACATGATCACATTCTTTTGGTCAAAACTTGGTCAGAAATCTCCAACAAAGGAGCCAGGAAGGCTGGAAAACATAGGTCAGCAGTGTGTTCAAAAATAAGACGAGAGCACAGTTGTGGGCGACATAAGCAGTCTTTGCTCCATAGCTTAATATACACAAAAATCAAACTTTAAAAATATTATAAAATAGCCATAAATGTTTTGTAAAAGCTTTTTCCTTTTATTCTTAATCCAAATCAAAATTATTCCTTTCCCTTTCCCAAATGAGATTCACTTCCTTCATTCCCCAAAGTTGTACTACCACGACCCATGTGCTATAAATCAATACGTTCTGATATAAAACCTTACACAGAGGAAATGCTCATGTTGGGTGAGAGCTAGTGCTGGCAGGTGGGGCCGGCTTATTTCCAACACATCCTACTCCTCACTCACACTCTGTAACCACATCCTAGAAATCAACACAACTTGCCCCAAATCTTTATGTGATTGTTTAAACCATAGAGAATCCATCAACTTTCAGAATCTGACGGCTTTACTGTAATCAAAATAGCTGTCAGCCAAAGAAATCTATTCTGCTTAGAAGTAGCCAGAGCCATTGCTTGGCCAGGTCAGGAGTGTTCACGTGCACAGTGGACCAAGGCTATGGCTCAGCCCAGCGGCCGCCCCCTTGCTGTGCAAACAGATGATGCAGGCAACCATCGCTCTGACCCGGCCACTTCTCACACAGCCAGAGTGACCTCATAATTTCTCCATCCTGGCTTCTTAGGGTCTACCGAGATGAAGACACATCACCATGGGCTATCCACGTGACAGCCGCGAGACGGAGGGCAAAGCCTGCATGATTATGGCTAATCATTGTCTGCCTGTCCCTGGGTAGTTAAGACTTATCAATGAATTGCACCAAATGTGGTGTAAAATCCCAGCTAATTAACTGTGAATCGAGAATAACTTATCCCAGGCCCATTTCGTTCATATTGGAGAGCAAAGATCACTGGTGAACAACTCAACCTGCAGTGTGCCACCACCAAATTTGGTAAGGAAGTGTCAGTATTGTCTCAGACACTGTCGATGCAAAAGAAACCACAATTCACATCCTGCAAAAGGCGAGCCCCAGACCGACAGGGCAGGGGAGAATTTATTTTTTTCCCTTTTCTCCTTAGCCGAAGTTATTATCACAACTGCCGGGGAATTTGTGAGATTGGGAGATAAGGATCGTAATGATTCTTTGGAGACCCGTCAATCACTGCAAACTGCTACCAGAATCGAAATTACATCTGCATTTGAATTAGCAACATTACTCGCCAATTTAGATCAGAGTGAACATTTTTCCATTGAAGATGGAATTAAATTAGAAAATGAGTGAGTCTTTAATTTCCAGATTATAAATCACTGAAAATAATTCAACTCCTGTACCTTAAGGCCAATTACATTATCCTAAGCGACATTTTATCTCCTAGCCTTCCGAGTGATTTGGTGACGGGAGCCTTCACACAAATCAGTCTTGCTCTAGTAGCAAGAAATATATCTGCCCACCGAGTCACACACATAAAACACCAGGAACCATTTTAATGCTGAAGCTTATTTTACATGAAATTTGATTGTCTGTTTGATAGTGTATTTTTGTGTTCTAATGAACTGATGCATTCGCCAGATATGAGGTCTGAATTATGTTGGGTTCAGCAATGAAATTTTAAAATGATTGACTTGTTCCAGGTTGGGGCATCTTCGTCCCTTCTGTCACCTTCTCCCCGTTTGGCCTTACAAAAGGCAAAAATAATGTGGATGTTTTTAAGCCTGAACATTCTCTCATCTCTCTATGCCCACACCACTATGTGTGTCCTGCTTCTGCCACCTTTGACTCAGGTTATTTTCTGATATCTGCATGTCTGTCTCTCTAGACTGTGAGCTCCTCAGAGGACAAGTCATGATTGACTCATGGGTGTATCTGTCCAGTCAAGAGACTGGCAAAGAGTAGGTGCCCAGTAAATATTCACTGCATAAATGGCTGAATGATGACACCTGACCCTTTCCACCTGGCCCCATTACAATCAAATGGCAGCAGTGGGGATTAAACAGATAACCAGGCGGTCCATACATCTCACCACCACCTTCACCAGTAGCACCGCTGAGGCCAACTAGAAAGCCAGGGAGGGGCTCCTCTGTCACTAGCAAGGTCTGATTTTCTTGGGTTAACTGGCCTAAAGATTAAGGAGTCACCCCATCAATTGGTAACCCTTGCCCATCACCAATGAAAGGTAGACTTGACCTAGAAGATGTCTGAGTCCCTGATGCAGGGACGGAGTAGGGGAGGGGAAGGAAAAGGAAATGCAAGAAATTTGGACACAGGGTAGGTGTCTTACATGTTTTACAGGGCAGAGCTTTTAACAAAAGGCCCATTTACAGGCAGGAAAGGGTGCAGAAGAAGACATCATTTTTTTCTCGAGGTGCTGTCTGCTGACTGAGCGGGTGTCACTGACTCAACCTGGGGAGATGCATGGGGCCTTTGCTGGCTCTGGCCTGTGATGTGAGCTGAGCAAGTTGCTGAAGCTCTGTGGGTGTCCTTCCCCAGCTTCTAAAGTGAGAGACTGAGCCCCCTAGTCTAGCCCCCATTAATCAAGCCCTGGGACTACACAAATGACCCCTCAGGGCCCCACATCACCACCACCAAGATGGCAGGAGGTTCTCATTCAGCCCTCCCTGGCTCCGTGTGGCCCAAGCAGGTGCCCCCACTGGGCCTCAGCCTGCCTGTCCACAAAATGGGGACTCGAGTGTAGACTTCAATATCTGAGAATGGAGTTTGAGGAAGGATTAATTAAACAAGAACCTAGAAGGCCCTGAGTGAGAGAGGGCTGTTCCACCCCCAGGCAACGAAGAGAACAAAGCCCCTTCTCCCTCTCTCAGGTTGTCTGGGACCCAAGTGACACTGGGACAATGAACAAGCTGCTTACCTTATCAGAGAGGGGGAGCCCCACTGTGTAGCCAGCCCACCTCGGCCTGGCCTGCCATGTGGACAGGAGGTGCCACAGCCTCCCAGCCGCTGGGCTGAGCTTCCACTCCTGGATGTTTCTGCCTGGATCTCCTAGCAGCACGGAGCTCCTCTGGCCTCACCTAGGGGATGCCCACAAGATGGACCAGGTGAGGAGGGCAGGGCAGGGGACTAACCCAGAGCGCCTCCCATAAAACACACACACACATCCACCTCTGAACCCCAGCAGCTCTGTTTGTTTAATCTCTATCTGCTGGAGTTCTTTTTTTCTTTTTTCTTTTTTTGAGAAGGAGTCTCACTCTATCACCCAGGCTGGAGTGCAGTGGTGGGATCCTGGCTCACTGCAACCTCCACCTCCTGGGTTCAAGCTGTTCTCCTGCCTCAGCCTCCCGAGTAGCTGGGATTATAGGCATGCACCGCCATGCCCAACAGATTTTTTGTCTGTTTAGTAGAGACAGGGTTTTACCATGTTGGCCAGGCTGGTCTCCAACTCCTGAGCTCAGGTGATCCGCCCACTTTGGCCTTCCAAAGTGCTGGGATTACAGGCATGAGCTACCACACCTGGCCGTCTATCTGCTGGGGCTCTTTGTGAGCTCTCTTTTGGAGAATGGTTCTGTTACTCAAATAAAACATCTTTTAAATTTGTAATGAGGCCAGGTGTGGTGGCTCATGCCTGTAATCTCAGCACTTTGGGAGGCCGAGGTGGATGGATCACCTGAGGTCAGGAGTTCGAGACCAGCCTGGCCAACATGGTGAAACCCTGTCTCTACTAGAAAAAAAAAAAAAAAATTAGCTGGGCATGGTAGCATGCGCCTGTAGTCCCAGCTACTCAAGAGGCTGAGGCGGGAGAGTCACTTGAACTCGGGAGGCAAAGGTTGCAGTGAGCCGGGATTGTGCCACTGCACTCCAGCCTGGGCAACAGAGTGAGACTCTGTCTCAAAAATAAATAGATAGGCTGGGCGCAGTGGCTCACGCCTGTAATCCCAGCACTTTGGGAGGCCAAGACAGGCAGATCACCTGAGGTCGGGAGTTTGAGATCAGCCTGGCTAACATAGTGAAAGCCCATCTCTACTAAGTATACAAAATTAGCTGGGTGTGGTGGTGCGTGCCTGTAATCCCAGCTACTTGGGAGGCTGAGGCAGAAGCATCGCTTGAACCCAGGAAGCAGAGGTTGCAGTGAGCCAGGATCACGCCACTGCACTCCAGCCTGGGCAACAGAGTAAGACTCCATCTCCAAAACAAAATTAATTAATTAATTAATTAATTTGCAATGAACTGAGTCCAACCTGCTCTGTACACATAGACAATTGTAGCCCTAATGGGTAGGTGGGACCAGCCCAAGGAAATCCTGCAAGCTCGTGACAGAGGTTGGACCAGAAGCCACGACCCAGGCCCCCTCCCCAGACTCATCCAAAAATGACACAGCAACCACCACCACTGCCTGCACGGATCATTGCCATGTACGACCCGGACAAGATCACTATACACCGTCTACATGAATAGATTCACAACAGCCCAGAAAGGCAGGAGCTATCCCTTCATTCCCAATTCTGTGGATGGAAAAGCTGAGGCTCAGAACGTTAGGCCACTGCTGTAAGGTCTCCCAGCTAGTGAGCACTGGAGCTGGGATTTGAACCCAGCAGTCAAGCTTCTGAGCCTACATCCGTAACTGCCAACTTACACTGACAGTGTCTCTCTCTGCAGAGCTGGCAGGCCTGGCCCTCCTCCCTCCTCCTTGTTGGGGCTTTCTCAGTTTCCATGAAGAGTGGGAGGCTGAGGCCCTAAGCCCTTCTGGGTTTGGAGCCCAGAGTTCCTTTGGCAAGACTGTAGGGTTGTCAGATTTAGTAAGTGAAATTATCGGGGACACACTTTATACTAAAAGATCGTATTTGTTGTTTAACTGAAATTCAAATGTGGCTGGGTATGCTGTGTCTTACCTGGTAGGCTTACGGGGGTGGCATGTGCTTGGGGAGCTGTGAGGTCGGGGCGGCTCGCCTGTCCCTGCCTCCTGGGGCCCACAGCCATTCCCACATCCAGGCCCTTGTCCCATGCCCTAGGCTCCTTCACAGCATGGCAGCCAACTATGCCCTAGGTGGAGGCTCTGCCCGTAGGGCTATCTTGCCACCAATACCCTCCAGGGTCATTTGAGATTAAGGAAGGACTGAGGGGCAAGTGGAGGCATTTAAACAATTTGGCTCAGAGGGAAGCAGATGCCACTGACTCTCCCTGGCTACAGTGGCACTCAGGGCCTTGCCCTGGCTACCTCCACTGCTGCAGGAGATGCCTGGCCTGTGACCACTGTGTTCACACGGGAGGGACAGCAGAGCACCAAGCCTAGCATCACTGGACATTGCTGACCTGTCCCTCTTTGGCCACCACAGCACCTTGAACAGCACCTGGGACGTTGCTGACACATGAGTGTTTGTGGGATAGCTAAAGAGTCTAGGGAAGGTATGGAAATGCCAAGCACCTCCTCCTCCCCAAGCCCAAGGCAGACATTGCTAATCGACCACTGCATGCTTTCCCACAGAGTCCAGATGCAGCCTGGGCATCCTTCTTAACATGGATCAAGGCTACCACCAAGGAAGGATATTAAAGAAATGGAAGTCATCCGTGGTTGAAACTCAGCTGCAGCTGAGGGACTGGGTTGGATCAGGGAGGGGGACAGGGAGAAGACAGAGGGCAACAGGTTGTAAAGGAGGAAAGGCACAGACCCTCAAGTCAGAAGACCTGGCTCCCAGCCTGCTGCGCTCAGCACCTCTGAGACCTCGAGCAAGCGCACTCCCTGCTAAGGATAGCTCTGTCCTTGGTGAACAGGCACAGCGCTGTTCCCCATGCAGAGTCCTGTGGAGGATGTATCCTGAGAGGCGCTGGGCACAGTGCCTGCTTCCCAGCAATCCTCATTCCACCTCCTCCTCTGCGAAGCTCTCTCTGCCTGCGTCTGCAGGCCCAGGGCAGCTAGAAAGAAGCATGGGCACAGGGAGACCCAAAGGCTTCCATCCTTGTTGGTATTTTAGATCAGAGAATTTTCTAGACAGAGCCCAGGATCCCAGACCTGTACTCTCAAAGGCTCAGCATGGAATGGCATTCATGAAGGGCTCAGTGTGCTAAATTCTAAAGCAAGCAATAGAGCAATAAAGGAAGGAATTGAACCACGCGAAGATTCACAACACAACCCGGGGTTCCGCAAGTCCCGATCCCATCACTGACCACTCTGCACCCATCTGCTGTTCGATCCTGAGACGTGTGACCACAGCAGTCAGATCTCCTAGTGACTGAAGTCTAAGCAATGGATTCATTAAGGGAAATACTAGCAGGGGATGTTTGCTTAGGACTTTACAATGACAACCTGTAATTGTAGACACACACACACACACACACACACACACACACACACACACACACACGTGTCTATTTATTATTGTTAGTTAATTCTCACAACAACTGAGTGAAAGCTGGGCAGGATTTCTTCTCAGGCCTACTTTAAAGTAAGAATACTGAGTCTAAGACACTGTCCAAGGCAGAGCCAAAGACGCGCTGAAGCAGGCGGGAGACCGCGGCACAAACCTTTCACTGCACCAGCTGCTAGCTCCACATCCTGTGTGAACTAGCAGTGGTACCTCTCCTAGCCCTGGAAGGCATTCTGGGGTGGTGCTCTCAGGAGCCAGGAATCCTTGACTGTAAGACACAGGAAGGGCCTCTCCATTCCTCCTAGGGACACAAAGGACCTGGGTCTTCTTGGTGCACATTCTCCAATAGAGCCTAGGCGCCCGCTCTAGGCTGAGCTGGGGCAGAGGCAGCCATGTATGGTACTGGGTGAGAGCAGTGCATGTGAGGGTGAGGTGTTCTCGCCCCCATCCCCAACATGCACACACATGCACACACACGCCCACACATGCACAGCCTCAGCCTTTGCTCTGGTCTGAGGTCAGTCAGCTCACGGCTCACCCTGGTCCTGGGAACCACATCCCTTCTTCCTGGCCCCTTCCTGTAACCTGATGAGAACCTCCCACTCTCCATTTCCCACTCCTCAACCTCATTGTCACAGCAAGCATTGAGAAGCTGGGCCGCCTTGTTCAAGCGCATCTGTCTTGTTAGGTGATCTTGAAACACTGGGAGGGATTTCTGGTCCCTTTAAGACCCCAGATTGTTCATGGAGGAAGCATCGTCCAGAGCAGTGGGGCTTTGGGGCTTTGCTTTTTTATATGAGAAGCTGGTGAGGGCTGTGAACAACCTCCCCATCCCCAGAAAAATAGCTACGTGCGTACACACGTCAATCTGCACACAATTTCAAGGGAACATCTCTATGATATTGGGGGTTTTGACACACTCTCTGCCCTGAGAAGGACAAATTTTATTTAGGGAGACAAGATTCACCCATGTTAACCAAAAGCACACAGGACAGTGAGCAGCTATGGCCTGGATCGCCCCTGCCATCCTGTGAAGTGAGGTTGGGGAAGGGAAAGCTGAGCAGTGGCGGGTTCAGGAGGCAGAGGTTGGGGTCTGTGCTTGAGGGATGGAGAAAGTGAGCAGGCAAAAAGGAGAGGGTGTGGGGAGGTCCTGAGCCTGTTTCGTTGTCTGTAAAATGGGCCACAGTCCACTGAGGACTAATAATATTTACCTCAAAGGACTGTGGGTAACAACAAATGTGGGGACACAGAAATGCTTAGCCCCCTTGTGCTGGCACACGGTCACCCCGCTCACCCTCTTCAGGCCCAGCGGTGCCTGGCAGGCACACTCAGGAAGTGCCTGTCTCTCTCTCTTTTTCCTCTCTCTGACCTCTCTCCCTATTTTCTCTTTCTTTCTCTTTCTCTTTTTCTCTTTCTCTCTCTCCCTCCACCCCGCCCCCCATCTCCCTCTCCATCTCTCTGAGCCTCCCCCTCTCCTGGTCTCTGTCTCCTTCTGTCTCTTTGAGCCTCCCTCTCTCTTGGTCTCTCTGTCCCTTTCTGTATCTCTCCCTCCCTGTCTCCGTCTATCTCTCTGAGCCTCCCCACTCTGTCTCTCTTCTCGCTGACCCCAGGCCCTCCTCAAGACTCTGTATTACACTGGCAGCAACGTTAGTGACCTCCAACCAAGCAAGACTTTTCCAGAATGCCCCCATGAGCCCTGTTTCTCCGTGACCTGGTAGCCATCTCTGGCCCCAGGGCAGGAATCTGCCACATCTTCATCATTCAAAGTGTCAGTGCTGGACTGACCATGACCTACCACTAGGCCCTGCTTGGGCCTCCACACTGCCCACCACCCACAACCCCCCACTACACTCCTGGCATCCCTGCAAACTTCTCCAGTCTCTAGGGCATGCTGAGCCCTTTGAGGGACAGACCCATGTTTGCTCACCCTCCCTGTGGGCATCCCAGCAGGAATCCCCCTTCTCACAGCAGGGTCCAGCCTGTCTCAGGGCTGCAGAAGAAGGGAGGTACTTCCAGAGAGCCCACCCCAAGAAGAGTGTGGCAGGAGCTGTGCAGGAAACAGAATAGGGAATGCTATTTCCCTTGAAATTCTGTAAAACAATGGCAACCAAAGATGCTGTGCCTTGGACCCTGGTGGCAAAGCCTACATCAGTGGGGAGGAGAAAGAGCTCTACCTGCCCAGGTGCTCACAGAACAGCCCTGCTGGCCACAGCCCAGGAGCCTGATACTGTTCCCAGCACTTAGCCTGCTGCATATGAGATTGAATCCTCACACTGCTTCATGCAGTCATACCCACTTATAGATGAGAACAGCAAGACTCAGAAAAACTGTGTGATTTGCTCAAGGTCACTTAGTAAGGAAGTGACAGGGCCAGCATTCACACCTAGCACAGGCTGCCTGCAGTGCCCTTTTTTTTTTTTTTTTTGAGACGGAGTCTTGTACTGTCTCCCGGGCTGGAGTGCAGTGGCGCGATCTTGGCTCACTGCAACCTCCGCCTCCTGGGTTCAAGCTATTCTCCTGCCTCAGCCTCCTGAGTAGCTGGGATTACAGGCGTCTGCTACCACACCCAGCTAATTTGTGTATTTTTAGTAGAGATGGGGTTTCACCATGTTGGTCAGGATGGCCTCCATCTCCTAACCTCGTGATCTGCCCTCCTCAGCCTCCCAAAGTGCTAGGATTACAGGTGTGAGCCACTGCGCCCGGCCTGCAGCACCCATTTCATAGAGGTGACAGGGCTCCACAAGCCCCGGCACAGCCCTAAGCATGCCATGTGCTAGCCTGTCGGCTGTTGCCACTCCTTGAATCCTCCTCACTCTTGTCATGGCCTTCCAGATTCAGCCTCTGGCCTCAGAAAGGAAGATCAAATTTGAATGTCTGCTGGTGAGATGATACTGTCTCAGGCCCTTGACTCTGAGGACCACAGTGAGTTTCTTTGTGGTCTATGTGATAGTTTCTAGACCCAGAGCTGGCTCTCTAAGTCACTCGCCAGTTCTCACTAGCTGATCGGTTGGGCCACATGACATGTATGGCTGGACCTCCATGGTCTGGTAGACAGGGAAAGGCTGGCAACTCTGAGATAGGCCAGACTCCATGCTGTGGGAGCTCCAGGGGTGGCTGCTGTCATGACAACCACAGCTGGCTTCCCAAGGAGCACGGGACCCAGAGACACAGTAGGCAGCGGACCCTATGTGGTGGCCCAGGCCCAGGGCAAGCCAAATCTTCCTCTTCATTATTCTCCCGAGACCATCCCTGTTTTTGTGCAGACAAGAATGCAGTGCTGTTGGCTCAGGTCCTCTTTCTGGGGCAATTGACAGGGTGGTGACACTATGTTGGGACTCAAAAGGGAGCATGTCAGGTTCTGTGCATCTGTGTAAGTAAATGTGCCCATGTTCAAGGATGTGGCAGTCGCGTCCACCTGAGACAGCTGCAGGGAACATTAGCAAATGGACACAGAGAGAAAGGCCCAGGACCAGTGAAGATGGTCCCCTGTTCTGGTCCCCTTCCCTGAGAGGATGCTGAAGTCTGGTGGGGAAGAACTGTATGAGCACAGTGGTTGCTGGCTCTTGCATGAAAGACTGGTATAAATCCTGTGTGAGTCAAGGTGCTTCTGAGCCCAAACCAGTCACTGTTCCCAAAAAGGTATTTTGCATCTCACCTCTCTGTCTCTTAAGGGGGCCCATGTTTCAAGTGATGTGCAATATCCACTGACATACTAGCTCCGGGAAGACAGCAAATGTGCTGGGTTGATCAATATCGTACCCCCAGAGCCTGGAATAGTGCCTGGCATACTGTAGGTTCTCAGTAAATATTTGTGGAGTGAACAAATGAACGAATGGTGCAGAACTGAACTGGAGAGTCAGAGATTTTTTAAAAATGAATTGCAGGTATTGTGAGGAAACAGCACATGGGCTAGTTGCTTTCTCTGGCTCGCCTCTCTTCCCATCCTGAGCCAAAAAGTCTAAAAAAGACCAGATTCCAAACTCTTATTGAATGCATGCAGCATTGATCCTGAAGAAAACACAGGCTTCTGAAACTTCAGAAAAGGTCAAAAATATTCCCTTAAGAATCTTACAAGCAACAGAAAACAACATTGAGGATTCTATGCCTGGCCCCTTGAAGGCCCTCAATAAAGACACACTGGCTGGTTGACCAGTGGAGGAGATGGATAGCCAGCTGGAAGGCCAATGTTCCCACCAGCTCCTAGAATTCAGAATTGCATTAGGATATGGCCAACAGGAGCCCACTGGCCCACTTTTTTTTCCTCTGTAGCCCCGTGCTCCACAATGCACAAGGGAAAAAGTCACCCGAGACTACTCCTGCCCAGGTACAGCGGACAGGTGTGAGTGCATCTGGGGCAGGCTGCCCTGCCATCTGGGATCCTCTCTGTAACCCTGGTACCAGGGGGCTCCAGGTCCTCAGAGGGACACACTCCTCATCCCAAAGCTTCACACCAGGGCCAAGCCTTAGCTCCAGACAATGCCAGGGCCTGTCACACAGAGAAACATTACTGTTCTGAGAGACATGTCCCCTCCCCCAGCCCCATTCTTGATCCTGGACATTAAATATTTATGAGTTCTTTAAAAAAAAAAAAACCCACAAACCTCAAATAATGCAAGTTGTCTACCAGGCAGGGAGATTTCAAGATGATAAACATTATTTAGAAACACCATGATATGCTTCGTATTGTGATATGATTGGGGACCATATTAAAACCCGCCAAGGCTATTATACCTAATTTTTGTTTCAATTCAGGCAATATCGCCACTGCTTAATATGATTTCTATTTACTTTTTTCTATTGTTAGTATTTTATTGGGGTTGTGTCTGTTTTATCAAGCAGATCTCTTCTGAAAGGAAGGTCAGACTATGCTTGGACCTCGAGTTTTTCTCTCCTCTTTCTTTTAAAGGGGTTTCCATTATATTCTGCTTGGTCTGAATTCACTCAAAAACCCTCAATGCTAATGTAAACTCTTTTTCTTTACTCTTGTCCAATTACAATATTTCTACCGGCACAAAGCCTGACAGCTTGATATTTAAAAGTTATATAAACTCTCATCATCAAGTTTTATGTTCCCGTTTTTCTATGGTACCATTGGATTTGGGTGAGTGCTACATAAAATGTGTGCATTGAAGGGTTTCAAATCAAGTTATCTCCTCCATCTATAAAAATTGAATTTTAAAGGTTATTTTAATTATAAGTTTAAACCCAGGCGCTATTAATGACAGGGGCAGCCTCCTCCACCAAAGCGTTCATTCACCTTCTCCACAGGGTTGCGGCCGAGATGGGAAATCCTGTTATTTCCTGAATGAAATGCAATTTTGCAAAACAGGATATTATTTTTTAAAGTATTATACACTTTGCATAACTCTCTCTTCCTGGACTGGTCCAGGGAGGTGGGGGAAAGGGTGATCCGCGACTCTGTCCACTGCACTAGGTCTGCTCTTTGCACAACCAGCAGTAATCTTGCCCTATCGAGAGTTCAAAGGAAGAGATTATATCAACTTCTCAACTTCTTGAAGCCACATCGAACCCATCTGACTACTGGAAGTCAGGCAAGGATGTCCTATCACTGAATAATTTGGAGAAAAAATAATAAAGTAAGATCCAAATTTCAAACCTCATTTCTTCAGATTGCAATCTAAAGTCCTTTAGTTTAAGGGGGGAAAACATCATTGTTTTGTGGTCTCCTGTATTCTAAGTTTCTAAACATGTTATTGAAGCCATGATTGAAATCTGACAAAAACAGACTGCGTTTTATAATAATGTCCCGCAGCCAAAGTATGGCACCAATAGCTAAACAATACTTTATCACCTTTGCCACTTTCAACAGCTCCCATTAATATTGAGATCATAGTGTTCAGCCCTCTATTCCCCAGCTGACTGCCTTAGTGACAGCACTGGCTAAGGCAGTGACATTGAAAAATATTTGCCATGACATGGCCACAAATCACAGCCAGACAATTTTAAAACTCAATATTCACTAAACTTGCATCTGCTAGTTTCTTGTTCCAATTTCTAAAACATAATTATTATATGTTCCTTTCTCTGAAATTGCAGAACATAAATGGGTATATGTTAAGCAAAGGAGGAGGAGGTGATATTAAAATTAAATTCTGGGGGATGTCCAGCAGTGTCATTTAACAAGCCAGAAACTATCCCTGGAGCAGGAGCTGAGAACACAGACACTGTATGTGGTGAAAAGTACCTGTTTTCTGAGCTGTTCAGGATAGTCGCAGCAACGTGAACTCAGATTGCAATTACCTGTGGTCTGAGGTTCACTCGACAGCCTAATTTTATACGCATCGATTTTTATTTTCAGCTTTCTCAAGACGCTGAAGCAGATGTTGGTCCACTTGGCAATTGCCCCTAATTCACTTTACAGAGGCCATGGTCACCGTGGCAGAATGTGCCCCCACCTACCCTATTCCTGCTGCGCATGGCTAACCTCAGTGGAACCGTGCCAACTGTCTACATCTTGACCCCTGTTCAAGAATCAGGAGCCCGCAAAGTCTTGAAAGCGATGCCATTAACACTGGTTCCTAAGAGGAAAACCTTCCAAGAGACCCGGCATCCACATGCTTTGAACTAAAGCTGCTCCTCTTTGGGTGTGTCCCTGGCTGGGACTCTAAGCATTTTCAGCGCATAGAGTACTTATTTTTCTCTCTGTAGTCCTCATGCCTGCTACAGTAGCTGCCCCACAGCAGACACCTTGTAGGTGTGTACAGAATGGAGAACGAGCAACTATCCAAGACAGTAGATTATTGTATGAGAAGCTAGAGGATGCCCCTGGCTCTGCCACTAAGTCACCGTGGGACCTTGCCCAAGTGTCTGCCATTCACAGACCTTCAGTTCTCTTTGTCTACAGAATGAGGAGGTTGTATAGGATGATCTGGGGCCATTTCCAACACTCAAGTTCCACTTCATGAAGAAAATAAGTGCCATGTACAGAGACCACTGGAATCTGATGTGTTAAATGGTAAACACCATGGAGACCTTCTTACTCTGGGAGATGCTTAGACCATCCTCAGAGCCTGGAAACCATGGGGAACTGTTAACCATCTATTTTTCCTGTGTAGATACCTAGCTGGAGTTTTTTTTTCCTCCTGTATTTTTTTTTTTTTAAACAGAAAGGTGGCTCACCAACCCATTGGCTGTGAATATCAGCCTTGTGTATTGCGAAGTCCAATAAAATGAAGATTGGGAATTGTCCATTGGATTTAGAAATCCAGAAGCCATTGACAAATAAAAGCTATTTTAGTATATATAATAATACAACATGTGATATGACTTTTGCACCCTAAATTCACATTGGCACTAATCTACCACATTGGTGCCCATGACTCAAAGATGACCTTTCTTTTTTTTTTTTTGAGATGAAATCTTGCTCTTGCTCTGTCGCCCAGGCTGGAGTGCAGTGGTGCAATCTCGGCTCACTGCAAGCTCCACCTCCTAGGTTCAAGCAATTCTTCTGCCTCAGCCTCCCGAGTAGCTGGGACTACAGGCACCCACCATTATGCCCAGCTAACTTTTTTGTATTTTTAGTAGAGACGGGTTTTCACCATATTGGCCAGGCTGGTCTCAAACTCCTGACCTTGTGATCCACCCACCTCAGTCTCCCAAAGTGTTGGGATTACAGGTGTGAGCCACCACTCCCAGCCGACCCTTCTTGTTTACTTGTTTATATGCAGGATCAACAGGGACAGGAGCACTCATAGTGTGAAATGACCTCCTTTTGGGCAGGACTGTCTGTTGCAGCTATCCTGTCCCTGTCTTCCCATGGCATGCTGGGTCTGTGTCCTTTAGTTCCCAGGCCCCTGTGTGGAGGAACCATACCTGACTTTGATGACAAGATGGACTTCGAGCCTCAGTGTGACACTGTAATGGGATGAGACTTTTAGGGGAGGAAGTGAATGAGTCTTTTGCAGGTGGGAGGAATGTAAATTTTTGTAGCCAGAGGAAAAGCTGTAGTAGATTACATTTCCAAGGCAACAACATCCCCCCCGTCTACATGACCTTTTGCCCTGTGACCTTGCCACTTGTTCCTTCCCCACTCCCTCCACCCGACCTGTGTCAAGAGATGGAGCTCCCCACTGTTGGATCTGGACAGGCCTTGTGAACAAAAGTGTCAGGGGATGCTGTGAGGTCTTCCTAGGTGAGGTCCTTCCAAGGTGAGGTCATAAAATGCCTTTGTGGTTTCTGCTTTGTGTCTTGGTCCATTTCTTCTAGGAACCCAGCCACCATGCTGCAGAGAAGCCCAAACAGCCACATGGAGAGAGCCATGAGCTCTGAACTCCTAGCCATGTAAGAATATTTTGGACATTCCAGCTATCCCAGTGCCCCAGCCAACACCACGTAAAGCAGAATAATCACCCAGTCGACCCACAGAATCGTGAGAATGAGAAATTGTGAAATTGTGGTTTTTATGCCATTGCACTTGGGGTGGTTTGTTATACAGAAAGAGATAACAGAAACAAAGTTTGATCTAAATCATGGGTGTGTGTGTGTGTGTATATATATATATATATTCATTGTGACATTTATTCAACTTTCCTGTCTAATTAAAGATTTTCAAGATAAAAAGTTGAGAAAGAAACTCTTAAAGTCTCAGCTACCACAAGAAGGAATCAAACAACAGAACATACTCTGGGATGAGATAAAAAGATGCACCCAGAATTTCTAGAATTTCACGAAGCAAGAATGAGTAGACACAGAACAACCCCCTAATCCAAGAAATTGATGCAGAAGTCCAAGAAACCAGAAAAAGAGAGGAGTGGCCTCTCTGGGATGCCTTCTACGAGATTCCAAATATCTGGAAAAACATATCTGGGTGAAATGAAAACTTCATTTTGCGGGTGGTCTTTCTGTCCAGTTAACATCAGATACTGTTTCAAATACCCAGATGTTTGCCCTGTTATTCTGATTGGTTATAGCAGAAGCATTCACCGTACAGGTGGGAGGAGAAAGATTGGGTTCCTCCAAATCGCAAAACAGCTGTGCTGCAGCCCAGCAACATTCAGATATGTGATCGGTCCAACAATAAAGGATTGATTGAATAAGTGACAGCACTCTTAGAAAGAAAAAAATGGAAGACTCAGCAGCCAGGAAGAAGAGTGGAGAAGTCTACTAGATGGGCAAGATGTTCTTACAGTTCCAAATTGTTCACTCACTGCAAAAAGTGAGCTTTAAATCGATATGTAGAGCATAATCTCATTTTGTGGAAAGTAGACTTGTATACAAGGCACTTAGGAAAAGCCTGTAATGCAACATATCAAATACCTATCAGTATTTTGTAATTTTTAAATGGTGAACATGAGTTAATAAATAAGTAAGCAAGTAAATAAATAGAAGGATAAATGTTTGGCTAAATATTAGTATGAGTTTCTCTTTTTACTTCTACTGAGTACCTGGCCTTCTCTCTCTTTGGCCTGCATGAACGATTTGCTTCTGGGAAGATGAGAATTTGTTACAGAAGGAAGGAGATTACATTTCAATTCTAACCTTCAAAATAGAACTTTGCAACAGAACAAGGCACAAGGTTTTGTGACAGAGGAGATTTTTCTTGGTTCCTTGGGCTGGCCCTCAGCCAACCTGCATAGACGGGGCCCTGAAGGTGTAGTGAGGAAAGACAAGTAGAAAGAGGAGGGAGCTACCCTGCCCTTCCTTGGACCAGGGATGTGGGAAGGAGGCACACAGTGGTGGGTGTTGGGGAGATAAATATGTTGAGTCAAGGGACCCTGAGGGCAGAGGCTTTCACCCCACACTGGGAGGAGACCACCATTCAGGGGAGCCTGCACCAGCACAGGGTCACCCAGGCAAAGCACGGAGCAGTCAGACTGGAGGTGTCCACAGTGTTCCAAGTCTTGCTTGGTTCTGGTTTTTACAGACACTGTGCTGAGAGCCGTGGTCTTCCAGTGGAGTCCACCAGGCTGGTCTGCAGCACAGGCTCAAGAGACTGCACAGCAGGGTGGGTGTGGAGGGGGAGCTGGGTGGCTTCAACAGCAAACACTTCTCCTGCTTCTGGATGCCAGAAGTCTGAGGTCAAGGTGCTGGCAGATCCAGTGTTTCCTGAGGGCCGGATTCCGGGTTTGCAGATGGCTGTTTTCTCCCAGAGTGGAGAGAGAGAGAGAGAGGAAGAAAAACCCCTGGAGCCTCTTTGTATAAGGGCACTAATCCCATCCTGAGGGCTCCCCCACTCATGACCTAATCACCTCCTAATGGTAGCCCCTCCAAACAACATCGCATTGGGAGTTAGGCTTCAACGTATGAATTCTAGGGGGCCATAAACATTCAGTGCACAGCCCCAGGCAAGCCTGGATCCAAATGCTGGTGCCATTTCTTGGCTGTGAGGACTCAGACAAGCAATTTCATTTCTTCTGAGCCTCCATTTATTGAGCTGAAAACCAGGAGCACATGAGTTCTTTTGCAGTGTTAGTGTGACAACTAGGGCAGTGTGCACAGAGCACCGGCCGTGGCTTCCCAGGCACCTATCACTTTGCAGGTCTCAGTCCTGAGGCTTGGCCTGTGGCCCAGACATGCAGCAGGAAAAGCCCATGAACAAGAGACTCGGGTTCAAACCCAGACCACCACTGACCTGATGAGGCAGCACAAACAATTCCCTCAAAGCCCCTCTAGGCTTCAGTCCCCATGGCTGTAAAATGGCGAGTTTGTAATACCCGATCCCAAGGTTCCTTCCGTTTCTACCACCCACCACCCGAGGCCTCCTGCTGGGGCAGCTGCTGCATCCAAGGCCATCTAGGGCTGCCCAGGCAGTGTTCATGCCCCGACAAGATCGAGTTTCTTGGAAAGAGGCTGAGAGAGAACCAAAGAAATCCCTCTCTTTTCAACCCCAGCAAGAACATTTGGATTTTTACTGAAGGAGACAGATGACACATTTCAGAGGGGAGCTTGCACGCAATTGTCACGATTATGGAAAGAATCCTCTCATGTGAGACAGGCCTTTATGAATAAACTAAATACAGCTAATATTAAAGGTAATGGTGCAAATGATTGAATACTTGACAGTCCTACCCGCCAAATGGCCTCACGTGGGGAGGTAGGTTGGATAACCAGAGCTCAACCTGTAAAAAAGCAAATGCAAGTGATACTCCTGGGCAGGGGAGGATTTGAGCAAAGGGAAGGCTGCCATTCCTAGGAACCACAGGTTGGGCCAATGACCAAGAGTGACTGGCAACTTGCTGGAAGAGGCCCAGGCCAGGGCCTGCAAGACAAGAGAGGCTCGCCCACAGTTTGGAAGCCCCTTTCTCTCTGCGATGATGTATTTACCTTACCACAGTCTGATCGGTCACTGATGTGTTTGTTCTGTGTGTGAGTGTGACATCGAGACAGGGAGAGTTACCAACTCAGGTTCCACTAGGGGTCCACACACCGTCAACGTGCTAAGGGGCTGGGGCTTACACTGGCATGCTCCTGCATACCCTGCTCGTCTCCCGTGGCACCCCGCATGCCTTCCCAGCCACCCACCACACAAAGGAAACCTCAGTGACTATCCGAGCTGGTGGTGGGACATCACAGCGCCAAGATGCCATCGCACTCTGCGTTTGCTCTACTTGGTCCCTGGCCCAAGGAAACTGCTCCCCCATCAGATCCCTGGCCCAGGGAGTTATGAGGCCTGAGTCCCCAGCCCAGCACACTCCTTCCTTCCTGCTCGGGCTTGGGGGAGTGGGAATCAAAGCCCACACATGATTCGCAGGAACAATCAATGCCAAAAGAGAGGGAAATTCATATTTCCTCCTGCCCTTCTGTTACTGGCCACCAGCTAAAGTCCTGGAGCTCGAGATTGGATTGGAGCAGCATTGTTTTCTGAGACCCTGCCTAATCTCATAACTGAAAGGCTGCTATTGATCAGAACAAGGTCCCTCTTAGAAAGGTACGGAGGCATTTGACAGTCAATGCTGCTTCCCCTTCCCTGGCAACTTGGGTGTGCATTGGCCTCTCACCTGGTTCCTGCAACCATCTCTGCCTAGCCTGGTACCTCTAGTCCATTTTAGGCATAGCCACAACTATGCATTTCCTAAAAGACGCCCTCCCACCCTCCCCTGGGTGATGAGATGGTGAGGCTTCCTGTTACCCAGCAACGACAGAAGCTCCTTACCTGGTGCTCTGGGCCTCCACACTCAGGCATGTAGCTGTCTCCTCACTCTGCTCTCTCAATCCTCCCCATCCCGGACCTGCATGAATCCCTGCCCCATCAGTCTGGCCTCCTTGTTCTCTGTCCAGAACAACCTCCCACCTCTCAGTCCTACTGGACCCTGTGGATGGATGTCATCTGCCTCCCTTGCTGCCTGTCTGAACCCTACACACACTTGTCTGACCACCCCAATCCCGCCCTCACATCCTCAGCATACAGATGACAGTGACTGCCCCCCTTCACACTGGGCCTTCACAGCACCAGTCGCAGGTCCATCTGGAGACACCTGTTAAAGACGGCCTCGTGTGAACCTCTCACCCTCCTTATTTGTCAAACTGTGTCCCTGCTCTCTGAAGGTAGGGACCATTCACGTCATGTATTGCCACAGGACTGGCATGTATGCTGGTAGTTGATTCACAGCTCTTGATTTTTCTGACTGTCACCTCCACCCTCCAAAATGAAAAAGTTGTCTTTCTCCTTCGAACTCCCACAGTGTCTCTGCCTCACTTAGGACTCACAGCACATCTTAAAGAGTAAACACATGTCAACCGCTTGCTTGGATGATAGCAAGAGTTTAAGAAGTGTTGCTTATTATTGTTGTTGTTATTATTCCCTTACTAGAGTTAATAAACATGTTTTAGTTCTTCTATTCAATAGGCACTCACTTATTCATTCATCATTTAACAAATATTTATTCAGCACATACTATGTAAGACTTATAACTCCAGCACTGCTATCTGAATATCTCTGTACCTCCTGTGGAAATAGTAAATGTTCAGTAATTATTTGGTGGAGTGTGAATAAGTAGCCATATCTGATTTCCCATCTATTAGGTTGATGCAAAAAGTAATCTTTGCTACAACGGTGCCATTATGGCAAAAACCGCAATTACGTTTTGCGCCAACCTAATACCTTGTATGGAAAATGCATATGGCTTTGTAACCCAAAAACTTCCAAGTGGCTCAATGTCAGAATTGTCACAAGGAAACAGAATTCAGCAACCAAAAAGAATTCTAATCTTTGAGTGTCTCATATGACCTTAAAAAGAATCTACATTATTACCCTTACCAATGCTGCTTAGCAGGCACTTTCTTTTGGGTGCTCCAACCTTGGCAGGCTCTACAAATGTCTCAAAGCTTTTCATACTCTTCCTCTTCACTCTCAATTTCCATTCTGAACCTCTCTTTCCCTCTATGTTTTGGTTTGATTGCCCTGCCAAGCAGGTGCTAACTTTTCCTTTGAGGAGGAAAAATAGATGACTTAGAGATTCTATTTTATTTAGAATCATAGGGCCTGTTTACATGGCAGGGGCTCAAAATGTTAATGTTTGCAACCCCTGACGACTGAACTGTCCTGTGAGGTTCTATCCTATTGAAAATCTTAACTCTTTCTTTTAATGAAATACAAGACTAGGCTTATTTTTAACAATCTCTAAAGCAAATTGATAAAGGCATGGAACACATATAGGATTACTAAGATAAATATTCTAGAAATAAACACCTTTTAAAAAAAGTTTTACGCCTTTTAAAAAAAGAGTCAACAAAACTGTTGTGTGGATGCATGTTGTTTAGGACACTGCTGGTTGTGTTTCAGGGTGGCTTGCTTCATTTGGAACTGCCCAAGACCACTGGGGAATTAAAATGATATCTTAGTGGATAGTAGTATAGATAGACTGGGAGTCCCAGGTATAAAACATGGGCCTCAAAGGGAGTGTATTCTAAGGATGGTTTAGTTATCTGCAAGGTAGTCTTATGATTTCTGATGTTTTAGTATCTATTTTTCCTTTTTTTTTTTTTTTTGAGACGGAGTCTTGCTCTGTCGCCTGGGCTGGAGTGCAGTGGCACGATCTTGGCTCACCGCAACCTCCGCCTCCTGGGTTCAAGAAATTTGCCTGCCTCAGCCTCTTGAGTAGCTGGGACTACAGACGCGTGCCACCACACCCAGCTAATTTTGGTATTTTTAGTAGAGACGGGGTTTCACCATGTTGGCCAGGGTGGTCTTGAACTCCTGAGCTTGTGATCCACCTGCCTCAGCCTCCCAAAGTGCTGGGATTAGAGGCATGAACCACCCCGCCTAGCCTAGTATCTATTTTTCTACTCAGACATTCTATAAGAATTTATCTTTTTGTTATTTTTAAATTTTCACCATTTTACGGACTTTTAAAAAATGTGTAACGTGTTTAGTACAGTTGAAAGGAAAATGGGAATGAAAACTCCATAGAAACAGAGACTTGTCTGACTCATCCACCGCAGCCCCTCAGTACCCACACGGCCTGGAAAATGGATGCGTGGATGGAGAAAGCTGGCTCCAAAGTAGGAACATGCTTAAAACTTTCAAAAGTCTTAAATTCAAAAAGAACAAACCAAAAAAACTTAGACCTTTTCAATCACCAAATTATCTAATTAATAAGAAACAGTAAAGACAAGGAAGACTTTTTAAATTAGACTTTCAAAAATCAAGCTGTGATTGGTCCCAAGCTATCAAACTAGGAGTGTGAAAGGAGAAGCTTAGTAATAACAAAATAATACTATCCAACATGTACGTGCCAAACACTGTTCTAAGTGCCATACATGTATGAACTCAATCCCCCTAACAGTGCTGCAATCTGGGTATTATGATTATCTCTGTCTCAGTATATGGAGAAATTATGACCCAAAGAGGTTCAGTCACTTGGCCAAGATCATACAGCTAGCAAGTAGGGAGCTGGTATTCAAACCCAGAAATCTACCCCAAAGCCTGAGCTCCTAACCACTTTGCAATGCTGCCCAGACTGCCCCAAATTAGAGCTGTCTAACGATAATGTGGGTTCCCTGGAGCAAGAGGAAGCTCCTCAGTGCTTATAAGTATTTGAGCAGGAATATTATAGAGGAAATTTAGGTGTTTCTTTGGAGGAGAAAGATTTCAACTAAATGACTTTTATGGTCTCTCTCAACCCTGAGATCCATGACTCTAAGAAGGATGGTGTCTGATTTCTCTAACATGTTGTTTCTAAATTCACTTTTTCCTTCACTGCACCCAATATGCTTGGGTTTACATGAATGAATCCATATAACTGGGTAATACATTTGGGAAGAAAAAAAGAAAATTGATTCTCCCGGATGAATACCTACAGATACCAAAATTTGCCAGACACTTGCCAAGCTTCCAAATTAACCAAGACCCGCCCCGCTACAGAGGTCAAGCCAGGAGGAGCTCTCCAACCACCACCCCCACCCACCCCCCGCAAGAGACTGCCAACCCAAACACCACGGGCATCTCGGATAAGCATTACAATACATTACGGAAGCCCGCCAGAGTCCTTGGAAACAAACTTTGGCAGATGCAAAAAACTTTGCCAGGTAACTTTTGAGGTCTAGGTGTCCCTGGATGCTTTTTCTTAGGTTCCTTGGCCCAACCCAGAAAAATTTCCAAGCTGCGCTTGTGTTCAGCTGTTCCTGATATGCTCCAATAAGTGTGCTTTCGACACATTGTTAACATAAGGCCAGATCTGCAATACAGCATGGACAATTAAGTGCACAATTTTTGTATAAATGCAAAATCCCTCACTGTGAATTATTTAATTAATGCTCTCCAGTTCATTTAATAGAGCTCTTTCAGAGGCCATTTCACTCACAGAAAACTAATTTCATTCTCCGGGTTGATTTAATTAGATTGTATGATATATGGTATTGCTAATTCAGCGGCTCCGGACGCAGCGTCTGGGCCCGTTGCTCCTATTGTCGGCAATCTGTCAGCCCCATTTTTAACAGTATTGAAAAATTCAAGCTTTATTATTGCTCGCTCACTCTTTCTCTCCCATCAGGAGGAAAGTAATGAGCTTTTCTTCTTACGAGAGCCGGCAGAGAGCGCAGTACCCTCGGCGCTTCAGGCATGAGGCAGTATTAACAGGGCTGATTCATGAGTTAAGTTTCCAACTGCTCGTGGCTATTAGCACTCAGTCCTTTGGCTGTCATTTAGTTAAAAAGACTCTTCGGTTAATTCACTCTTTTAATGAGACTGTGCTATTCAACTAATGTATTTTACTGTATGAAAGGTCACACCAGGAACCAAAACAGATTGGAGGGAATGTAGCAAGAAGCCTGGCTGTCAAGAAACAATTCAAGCCTCCGAGGCATTTAGCAGCCTCTGCGTCTGTAATAAGCTACGGAACTGATGGGCCAGCATTCACCTCCAGAGTTGAGCACCATAAATCAAGGCCAAAGAGAAGGCAGATTAATCAGAGGCTCAGACAAAAAGAGCACGTGTTTCATTACCCATATAATCACTAACATGATTGCCAGACAAGCTAAGGAACTGGATGCGGGACTGGAAAAATATAGTTCAAGAGAGCGCTGGAACTCAGTTCTGTTTAGCTGCAAGCACTAAATCTTTTCATTAAGGCCCAGTTGCCTCCATTTTCTGATTCGGCGCTGGTGGGATTGGGGAGAGAGGAGGAGCATCAGAGGTTTGATGGTGGGTTTGAAGGGACAGGCGTGGTTGGAGAGGGAAGCCGTGCTAGGTGGGGTAAGTGCTAAGTAGGTGGTTTGTATAGCCTTGAAATGCAATAGGGGTCCAAGCTGGCAGAAGGGTCCAGCTATGCTGGGCTGCCTCAGGTCTAGAGGGAGGTTCCAGGCCCGTCCTCCTCCTGGAAGCTCATTGAGAAGAATAACAGGACCAGATTCATGGCTTTCACTCAGCCCTTCCTTTCTTTGGGTTGAAACACACACACACACACACACACACACACACACACACACACTGTCTTACCTTCTGTGAGTGGGAGGGTGTCAGTGCCTCTTCAGATGTCTGCTTTTTGATATTAACCACTTGCTGGCCCGTGTCAGCAGAAAGGCTCTGTATAGATGTCGTTTAGCGGGAATTCCTAAAGCCCTCCCCTCCCTCTAAGGCCTCCAGAGACCACCCTACCTTCTAGGTCACAAATGAGATGTCTTCTAGGTCACAAATGAGATGTCTGAACCTTTATACCTGCTGGTCTCCAGCTAAAACATATCTTTGGCAATGATTTGCAGATGACTTCCATGGTTCCCAACGTGGACAAATCACAAGAAGCTGCCCTCCCTTGGCATTGGAACCCACTCCTCCCCAGATTTCTCTGTGTGGATCCTTCTTCCAGTTACTGTCATTGGGAAGCTGAGCCACTAACACCTAGGTGGGGAGTAAGAATATTTTCTTTAGAACTCGAGCTTCCTCCAATGGAACAAATCCTGCCAATTTGAAATTCCTCCAGCTCTCCAAAACAAGGAAACCGTATGCTTAATTACCAAACATCTGTTGCCGAGAACACCCCCTCGCCTTTGCAGCTCTGATCTCACGGTATGAATTTTAAAATCTGTCAGCAAGGGATCACAAAAGCTCCGGGAGCAAAGAGCTGCTCATGTTAACCTCTGAACCAGATAATCTAACAGTAATCCATTCAGAACTAATCAAACATTTACAGAACCGCACCGGCATCCTGGCAAACAATTCGTCATCTTCACGCGCTCATTACACTTCCAACATCTCAATCTACCTATGCAAATGAAGCAAGGGAGCTGACATCGGGACCATGTACAGAAATTATAAACAAATATTCATCCATTATGCTGCTGAAATTTAACAGCTGAAGTACTAACAGTAGCTGAACTTCAAGCCTTGAGTATCAATTATTTATGAACCTAAAACTGACAGGACTGTGTAGGTGAATTAGCTGCATATGTCAAGCTTTGTTATAAATCCCAACCTACTGTAAAACTCATTTTCATAGAATGTAGGTACAAGGCTGACAATATATCAACAGCACGGCATTAATAATTTAGAAGAATGAGACTGTCAGGGAACACCTTGCAAACTGTGCTCTGCTCCATAGTTGATATTACAAATAAAAAAGTCAAATAAAATGAATTTCCCATAAACAGAGAATCAAATAAAGCATTTTCTCCATAATTTTATTTTCAATTTTCAAAAACATATCGGTTGATACTTTCATGTTTAGGTACTAGAAGCATCACCCTAAATTTTCTTAATTTCTTCTTTTTTTTCCTCCCAAGGAAATGGCAGGAAAATTTTTGATCTAGTGATAAATGAGAGGTTTCCTTGTCTTTTATTTTTATGACAAAATAAATGCAAAATGAAAAGGAGCTGGAACAAGCATAATGTTGTTTGCTGAAGTGAAATTGTTTGCTATGGTTTGCCAATGAAAGTATATAATAAAACAAAGTGCTATGCAGTAATAAAGACGGTTAATTGAGACAGTATTTCTCGAGCTCATGTTAGGATTTTCCTGTCACTCTCTATTCAGAAATGCAGAAGCGCAGCCAGTTGCGAAATCACAGCGACTTGCTCAATTTGCAGTGTGCGATCTTCTCCTGCAGGGCTCCAACCTGAATATGCCAACAGAGAGGGCAGAAAATTCCCTGGCCAGGCTGTGGAAGGTGCGGACTGGAGGCTGCGCTGTCTTGAACCTCTGCCATCTCAGATAAAATAGCCCAAGGCACAGTCCCATCTCCCTGCCGGTCTCCCCTTCCCTCTCCCTCACTGCCAGCTTTAACCTTAGCAATCATTTTTAGGCGACTGATGCTCAACTACGGAGACCCTTTGTCACTGCTAATGACTTCTCCCTGTCCATCTTCTCCCGACTCGGGATATCTATGGCTCTGTTGCCACATTTGTCATCTCTGGCCAGGGAGGAGGCATCTCTCAGTGCGAGGGGGAACTTCAGCCTGTGTTCTTGGTCCTGGGTACCTGCTAGATGCAAAGCTTCAGCCCTCTTTGGGCGAGGAGACATGAAACACTTCGTCTCCTCTCTCATCCTCCGCTCTCCACATTCTTGGTCTTTAAGGTCAGGGGAACGGAGCCTCCTTGTCTCCAACCCCTCTTCCACGTTGGCATCTCTGCTGGCTGGGACATTCCTCACACCTTCCCAAGGTGAGGCCCCTCCTGAAGCACAGAAGCCCTGGCCAGGTGAGCCGAAGCAGCTCAGCCAACCAGACCTAAGCACGCATTAGCTCCTAATGGGCGACCTGTTCCAATTTCCTGCCTCCCTCCCACCCAGGAGCCAAACAAATCAGAAATAGTTGTCAGCAGCCTGTAGCTCCCCTCATCTCCATGAGGCTCAAGTAAAAATTAAACATTTCTCCCCAACTCACAGCCCAAAGACATAGGCCACGATTTGAAATCTGGTGACAGAGTCCTTATCTGGGTTTCCACCCAGAGGCTGAGCCTGTGTTGTCACAGGTGGAGGTTCCTGCAGGAGACACCTGAGCGCCTTCCAAAGTCTCTGCGGGCAAAGCCTGCATCCTTCCTGGTACTTGCTGATGTCCATACATTTTCTTCTCTGCAACCTTTCAGGGCATCGTTAAGCTTGCCAAGTTCTTCCAAATGGCCTTTAGTGGAGGGAACCCTGGCAAGGAGTTTTTTTTTTTTTTTTTTTTTTTTTTTAGATACTACATGAAATTACACTCTACAAAGTAGCTCCTTAGACACCCTGCTGGGGCTGGGGAAATTCTCATTTGTGAATGCTCCTTCTGCTGCGTAGGTAGAAAAGACAGCAACCCATTTTCTTCTCTTTAATCCTGATGCCAATGAGAAGGAGAAAGCTGTTCCTCCACGTGCCCCAGACAGGGCCTAAACACACGCTAGCTTCCACGGCCACCACTCTGCCCCTCGCAAACACACTCAATTTATTGTGGTCAAAGCAAGAGAAGTCTCCCTTTCCCTTTATAGGTAAATTCCCCATGACCAAAGTGACAGAAACGTGAGCAGGCAACAGTGTGACTGGCCTGGTTTTGGACCATTCTGCTCCCTTGAAAAATTACCCTGGAAAGTTAATTGATTAGAATGTCTAGGAAATGCTTGCTGTTATTCAAATGACTGTGAAAGTAGCCTCTAATGTTTCCAGTTTTATGAAATGCTAAAATATTTACACTCTTTTTACTTCAATCAAGGGGAAATCATTTGGATCTGTTTAAAAGGGGAAAGAATTAAGAGAGCTGACATTTCCGGAAGAAACAACGTTCAGGCATGCAACTGGAATTTAAATGAGTATCTGCTTTCGATGCTGACAGCAGGAGCCTTCCCTCCCATATGCCCGCAACTGCACACTCAAACCTCAGGTAGCACAGAAAAGACCAGCGCTCCGACTCCTGGGGCCAGTGGTGCTGGATTTTATTTGCACTTTTCTGGGTTTAAATATTTTGAGAATTTTTTTAAAAAGCATTTCTCTCTTCTCTGTTTATGATTCCCATTGGCTTGCACTTTTTCCTTCCGGTGTTTCATTCAGCAGAAGGGAAGGAGAGGGGTCGTTAGTTTATTCCCAAGAACAGCTAAAAGCATCACAGGAGTTATGGGCGCTGTGTTCTATGGAAGAGGAAAATATATATTTTGGTCTTGAAAGTTATTGCTTCAATTACCTAGTAATTTCTTAAGCAACCTCTGGGTGGGCTTTTAAGAGGTGGGTTTGAGAGACGCCTACAGAGACACTGTCCCTGAGTTTTTCCATTTAAACTTGTCAGAGTAGAGGTAAAGTGCCCTTTTCCATGTTAACGGTGTACAGGAGACCACCAGGAAAAGCTGGCATGTCCAGGGCACCGGGCCCTAAACTTGTCTCTAGCTGTGATTTTACAAAAACGTCAAAAGATGTTCACAGCAGCACCACTCATAATACACGAAAGGTGGAGAGAGCCCAAATATCCATCAACTAATGAATGGATAAAGAAAATGTTGTAAATCCACACAATGGAATATTATTCAACCATAAAAAGGATTGAAGTACCAACACATGCCACAGTGTGGCCGCACTGTGAAAACACTATGCTAAGTGAAAGAAGACAAACACAAAAAGTCACAATAGTGTGGGATTCCATTTACATGAAATATCCAGAATAGGTAAATCCATAGAGACAGCAGACCAGGGGTGGGGGGAGGAGGAAATGGGGAGTGATGGTTTATAGATATGGGGTTTTATTTAGGTGTGATGAGAATGTTTTGGAATTAGATGGAGATGGTGGCTGCAGAATCTCGTAAATGTGCTAAAATGCCACTGAATTGGTCACATTAAAATGGTTAATTTTATATCATGTAAATTTCACAAAAAATTTTTAGGTATCATCAATTGTTATTAATGAATGGAAGAAGAAACTAAGGTGATGGTCAGGTTCTCCTGGTGGTCATTCAAGGGCCAGCACTCGCTCGGGGTCGGGAGCATCTCCTTGCTCAGCGGGACCTCCCTGACTGACACCTTTGCCCCAAGACATCCTGTGTTCTGTTTGCTGGTTTAGCACTTTAAAATACATTTGTTAAATTTTACTATGGTAAGAACATGTAACATGAGATCTACCCTTGTAACAATCTTTTTTTTTTAGATGGAGTCTCTGTCACCCAGGCTGGAGTGCAGTGGTGCGATCTTGGCTCACTGCAACCTCCATCTCCAGGGTTCAAGCCATTCTCCCTGCCTCAGCCTCCTGAGTAGCTTGGATTACAGGTGCACACCACCATGCCTGGTTAATTTTTGTATTGTTAGTAGAGATGGGGTTTCACCATGTTGGTCAGGCTGGTCTCGAACTCCCGACCTCAGGGATCACCTCAGGGATCCACCCATCTTGGTCTCCCAAAGTGCTGGGATTACAGGTATGAGCCACTGCACCTGGCCCCTCGTAACAAATTTCTAAGTGTACAATATAGTATTAGTAACCACCAGCATGATGGGCAGCTTACTCTACTTATTCAGCTTGCATAATTGATGCTTTATGCCCATTGATCAGCAATTTTCCCACTTCCTCCTCCCCCCAGCCTCAGGTAACCATCATTCTACTCTGATTTTATGACATTAACTATTTTGAATTCCTCATATAAGTGGAATTTTATAGTATTTGTCCATGTTGTTGCATATGGCAGGATTCCCTTCTTTAAGGCTGAATAGTATTCTATTGTATGTATACATCACATGTTCTTTATCCATATATCTATCCATGGACATAAGTTGTTTTCACATCTTAGCTATTGTGAATAACACTGCAATGCACATTGAGGTGCTACTATCTCTTTGAGATTTTGATTTCAATTCTTCCTAATACTCAGAAATGGATTACTGGATCATATGGTAATTCAATTTTCAATTTTCCATTTTTTGAGGAACCTCCATGATTTTCTCCACACTGGTTGCACCATTTTGCTTTCCCACCAACAGTGCACAAGAGCTTCAATTTCTCCACATCCTCACCAGCCCTTGTCTTTTATGTTGGTTTAGCTCTTTACATGTCAGGACACAGACACTCTCAGGTGACCTTAAGCAGTGTCCAGGAGGATGACAGGAACAGTGATGGCACCACCTGGCGTCACAGAGGCATGCCTAACTTGGGAAAAGAAGGTCAATCAGGACACCTCTAAGCTTGAGCCACCTGGTGACCGTGGTAGCTCAGAGACAACATCAATTCATCCTGACTCGAGGGCTCCCACATTATGACAACTCAGCAATGCTCTGCTCCTACTGCCCCTTATGCAGGATTTCTGCTAGCTCATGGCTTCCACCCCTCCATGGGTCCTCCCTCTGCCTTCTCCATTTCTTTGTTTCTGTTCTCTAGAATGAACCATCAGCCCATTATTCTCTGTATATCTTGAGTTCCAGCACCTTGCCATAGCCTCCAGTTTGTTCATCAATTACCACCATCTCTGTTGGGGAAAGGCATCACATCTGGGATATAACAGGGCCTATGCATTGGGTGCCTGACCAAGTTAGCTGAAGCCAATTCGGTGAAACCACAGGCTCATCTGACTGGATGACCCTCGAGAGGGCCCAGATCTCATTAGCCGCATGTTTGATGGCGCCTCTGTGCAGCCTCCTCCTTGGGACAGCCTCATTTTCACACTCCCTGTTCTTTGTGCACTTTGGCAAAAGCCAGAATGCTCCATTTAAAATGTTTTGGATCTTGGTGTTGATTTTGTCTAAGTCTGTGGTTGTGCAGTACCCACCACTCTGGCCACCCTTGCCCAGCTGGGAGAAATGTGAAAACAGCTGCCTGGGATCCTAAGGTCCAGGCCAAGTGACTGTTGTTAGTCAGCCATTGTCATCAGAGGAAACCCAGGCCCTGAGCTTCCTACAGAGCCAGACTGCAGCAAGGTGGTGACAGCGAGGCCTTTCTTCAGGGAACATTTCATTTGGGCCTTTCAAATCACAGAAACCCAAGCAGACCTTGCTAAGGCAAAATGGAGGAGATGTGAGCTCCCAGAATCAAATGAAGAGCAGGCTGCAGCCAGGCCTCTGGGACAGGCTGGAGGCAGATAGCCCAGTGACTCCAGGACCCTCTCCCCATCTTCTCTACGTGTGAGGACCAGCCCACTCTTTCGCCTTACAGATTCATTTCTTCCAGGTAGTTGGAAATATAACCACTAAATACTCTTATGTTTTACTTACACTGATGAGATACCATCCTGAATCTGTACCCGGGGGAGCCACTCATCAGCCCAGCTTGGGTCAAGTGCCCACTTCTAGACTGTTGAGCCATGACTGGTGGCAGGGTCACTGGAGAAGAGAAGCTGTTCTAGAAGAAAGATGCTTTACAGACAATTCCAAGTATACAGCTCAGCTGGGCTTCAGGGCCTAAATTTCTGGCTCAAATCCTAGCTTCACAATTTTTGAGCTGTGTGACCTCGGCGAGTTATTTAACCTTGCTGTGCCTCAAGTTCCTCATCTACAATAAGACCCTGTGGCTTAGGGTTATTAAGAGGATGAAATTAGGTATCACATGCACCGTGTGTGGAACGGTGCCTGGCACACAGTGAGAGCTTCATGCTATCTATTATTATTTTGTCAACTGTAACCCTGAAAGGCAAGTCAGGCAAGTAAAGAATAGACAAGGTATTCCCAGGGGGACCACAGTGTGCAAAAGCCAGGTGACAAGACAGAGAAGGGGGCTTCACAGAAGCATGAGAGATGCCACTGGGCTGGCGGTTAGAATTGATGGGTGGGGTACAGAACTGAGGCACTGGCTTAGATGGGGCCGGAAAGGTGAAGGGGAGGCCAGAGCACAAAGGGCCTTGAAGGTCTTCTAATGAGTGGTCCAGCTCTGCCTCTGCCTTCAGGAAGGCACTGGAGCTCAAGACCAAGTTCCACAGCTCCCTTCCTTCCTATCTCCCCAGCAGGAAAGTCTTCCTCACTAGCCCCACTGGGCTCCAAGTTGCTCATTGCAGGGGAGTGAGGAAGAGCTGCTGTCACAGGATGGTTTCCTGGGAAACAGAAGATGCAGAGCAGAGATTTGTGGGCAGGTTTTCTGGAGACAGCTCTCAGCATCGACACCTGTACAGGAGTGGCTGAGGCTGGGGGGATGGAGGGAGGAATGGAGCTGTGAGTCACCACAGGGACCTTAGCCTACCCCACAAGAGCGCTGCAGCTGGATTGGCCCTGCAGAATTGTTCCAAGTTGAGCTAAGGGAATTGGGCTTTGTACCCACTCACTGACCATTCACTGGATGTGCATTTCACCTTGGGCTGGGCAGGCCAAGTGCATTTCTCAGAGAAGAATCCAACTATGAGCTGCCAACAGCCCACACCCCCAGACGCTGGAAAGGAAGGGGACTGGCCACACGCCACAGTGTCCACTGTGCTTTTATCTAGACCAGTGCTCAGCAAACTCTTCCTTAAAGGGCCAGGTAGTAAATATTTTAGGCTTTGAAGACCAATAGGCAAAATCAGTTACTTATATAATCATTTTAAACTCTAAGTCAGATTTGGCCTATGAGCCATAGTTTGAAGACCCCTCATCTAGATCTATGTTGTCCAAAACGACTGCCACTAGTGGTGGCATTACAAGTTACTAACCCTCATAAAGCCTCGGCTTCCCTGTACCTCATAGTGTGTATTAAACAAGAGGACAGCCTGGGCAAGGTGGTTCACACCTGTAATCCCAGTACTTTGGGAAGCCGAGGTGAGTGGATTGCTTGAGCCCAGGAGTTCAAGACCAACCTATACAACATTGTAAGACCCCATCTCTAATTTAAAAAACAAAACAAGAGACACAGGAAAAGCACATGGCACAGCAATTTTGGTCCTCCTGTCCCTTCTTCTACTACTTCCTATGGTCAAGTTCCTCTGAGGCTAGCTCAATGTCTTATCGCCAGTAACTACCCAGTGAAGATTCCATGGCTTGTTAGAGCACACAGGGAATTGTCTGAAAGGAAATCAAAGCACCCTGAGAGCAGCTGGGCTCAACAACCTCGCAGACTCCCTGCACTCCCCATCCACCATGCCCCCGCCCCCCCCCCCCCGACCCCCGATGTTTCCCCAGCCTCTGAGTGATGCTCAACAGGAGTGTGGCTCCGACTGGGCCTTGAATACCTTGGGGAGCACTTTGTGCACAAGAAAGCCCACCAGCTCTACTTAGATATTAAAACGAGTTACCACTGTACCAAATGCACTGATTACCTAATCAATCTGAATACACTGTCTGAAGACAATTAAATTTACAAAGCATTTCAAATGCTTTGTAAAATTCAGCCCAGACAAGGTGTGTGGAATTTTGATGGGTATCTCCCAATGCCTGAGAAAACATACTTCCTCTCTCCTCTGAGAGTGAAGCAAGTTTGCAGATCTCTAAACAGCCAATCTCCACCCCAACCCGGTGGGAAGGAAGCTGACATTTCATGGTATCCAGAGGGCACGCTGGACAAGGTCACCTCTCCTTCATTCAGGAAGGCTGAGTAGCAGCTCTGCTTTTATTTGAAGGGGGAGGGGCTATGGATTGGGAACAGGAAGAAGCTGGAGAAGGGTATGAAGCAAGTTTCTATCATTATTGTTCTTATTGTCAATACCTGTGAACTGAGTCCCACGCCACACTGATTCTGGCCATGCCAGTTATCTCATAAGGAGGAGGAAACTTTGGCTTCTTTGCTCCTTATCAGCTAAGTCACTGAAGGACAGATGCCACAACTGCCACTATTCCAATGGGCTACAGTTGTGTGCTCACATCAAGAGACCTGCTCAGCTTGTTGCTTGCTGGTTGGACTTACATATACTTTGTCTCATCTAGCCACCGAAGCAACCCCGTGAGACACACGGCACTTTCCCACTTCCCAGGGGAGAGCCCTGGCTGAGGGGCAAGTGACCTGCCCAAGGCCATGCAGAAATTACCTTGCAAGAGTCAGGATTTAAACCCCAACACTCTTCCTTGAAGTCAAAGTCCTTTCCACTATGCTACGATGCTTCAAGAAGTAAGTCCCAGAGAAGCCTGAGACCTGGACAAAGTTCCTAGGATTTGAATAATGGGAAAGTTGCCTCAGTGCTGAAGCTGAAGTGAAAAATGAAAAGTGGGGCTGCGTGTGGGGGGACGGGGTACAATACCAAAGCTGAGATTCCACTTTCCACGAATCTTTTTCCTATGAAGACGTGGGCTTGTCCACTCTAGGAAGACAGCTTCCAAGAAAGCCTGCATAGAGAAGAGCATCATTGGCCCAACAACTGACTGGCTGTCCCAGCCACGGTGTCCTCATGGTCAATGGGCCATCAAAAGTTCTAGACAAAAAGATTCTCTCCTTCTATGGCACTGTAGAATTCTGCGATTATAATTCATTGACCATATTATGGTATCATTTCTGGCAAGGTAAAACCTCCATTTACACAATTATCACTTATTCAGTAACCACGGACTATATACATATTAAGTGCCTGACAGTCTACTAGGCACTGGGGATACAAAAAGAAAGTAAAATTTTAGCCTCATGGAGCTCAAACTGTAATTGGAGATACATACAGATACAGATATTCCAAGAGGAGAAGAGAAGAGAGGAGGGGAGAGAAGGGGAGGGGTGGAAAAAACAGAAAAGCTAATTCTCAACTCTCCTTTAAAAGAAATAGACCAGAGGATTAACTGCTTGTATCAGCCTTGGCAGATACAGTAATGGTGCTCAAAAAATAGTCCATCTGCTTCCCCACATTCCCCAGCTACCCTCATAGTTGGGAGTGGTCAGATGAATTGTTCTGGCCAATGTGCCACTTCTGGGCTGAAGCCTAGAAGATCTGATAGACAACCGTCTCTCTGCCTCTACTGCCACAGAAAACACAATGTTCCTGATGTCATCTTAGCTACCCTGGGTCCCTGAGTGACTATATGGAACAAAGCCCTTTGATGACCCACAATGGATGAAGAGCCTGAGAGAGAAATGAACTTGTATCATGTTAAAGCCATTGAAACTTGGAGTCATTTTTTACTGAACTTTATCCAGCTTATTCTGACTCACACAGGCAGATTAGAAGACTAATCACACTTTAGACAGGAATTGATTTCACTACATAAAAATATATGACATGGTTTTAATTAACCTTTTTTCTATATACTGTCTCGAAAAACTTAAGACTACACATTGTAAAACCAGTCAGTGCCCAAGCTGACTTCCATTTCCTACAATTTGGAATTTATACCATTTTTCATGAATTTGTTTTCCAAATGCTAGAGAAGCAAACCTCAGACAAAAAGAATTCTAAAGTGTAATTGGTAAGCTAAGAAAATACTGGCATGGAAAATACCACTTTTAGGAAACCAACAAAAGATAATGGAAATGCAGAGGCTGCGCATTGTCCTGTTGCCATGGTGAACGCAAGACTAGCACGGTTCTAGATGCTATGATAGCAACGACGGCGATGGTTACTGAGATGTCAGCCTGCTGGCAACATGGCTCAGTCTTACCTTGGAAGTCTGTAGCTTGATGATGAGAGGACATCGTTGCCGGAATCTGAAATAAGTCCTGGGTTACTGAACTAATTAATATGAGTTACTAGTTTTTGAAAAAATGGAATGAAGCTGGGCGCGGTGGCTCACGCCTGTAATCCCAGCACTTTGGGAGGCTGAGGCAGGCGGATTACCTGAGGTCAGGAGTTTGAGACCAGCCTGGCCAACATGGTGAAACCCCATCTCTACTAAAAATACAAAAATTAGCCGGGCATGATAGTGTCCGCCTGTAATCCCAGCTCCCAGGAGGCTGAGGCAGAAGAATCACTGGAACCCAGGAGGCAGAGGCTGCAGTAAGCTGAGATGCGCCACTGAACTCCAGCCTGGGCGACAGAGCAAGACACCATCAAAAAAAAAAAAAAAAAGGAGAAAGAGAAAGAACAAGAAAGGAAAGAAAGAGAAAGAAAGAAAGGTGGAATGAATAACCAACTCAGCTTCCCCCACAAGACTGGGAGAAAGATGGAATTGTTTCTCTGAATCATGGGCAAGCTCATCACTTCTGATGAGAAAGACACTTCAGCAACTTTGCTTCCTCATTAGTTAAGCAGCTAAAGAACAGATACCACCATCTCAGCGAGCTTGGGTTAGAGGCTCAGGCTGACAGACCTGATCATAGTATTAGTCACTGGTTGGGTAGGTTCATAGCTCAGCCCTGTGGGGGACGCAGAGCAGAGTAAGGAGGGGTAGGAAAGAAAAATTGAGAGGGTGGAATTCAGCCAAACCTAGTGGGTTTTTATCTCTCCCACAAGCTTTTGTATAAATGAATCTGAATGACTGGTTATTAGACAGCAACTATCTGAATATATTCTGTTGAACCAATGCCTACTAAACGTCTACTATATGGTAAGAACTGTGCTAGACACTGGGAATAGAGAAGACAGACATTGATCCTAACCTCGGGGAACTTAAAGTCTCATTTAGTAAGCACCTGTTGTATACCTTGTGTCATATACTGAAGCAAAGGGGATTTAAATAGTAACAACAACAACAATACTACTTTTGCCTCTCGAGGGAGTTACAATCCATTAAGACCCTCAGGAGGCAACTACAGAAGACAGACATTGATTGTTGGGGACTCATGTGGATGGTCACCCCAGTCTTGGGAGTGAGGCATGGCCTCTGCCTTTCATTTTGGAGGCTTCCAGCATTCCCCTCAAACTTGGACAACCCTGACAGCTCATTTCTGCATCCTTTTGCTTATCTCCATCTTTGAAGCAGGGTTTCCCTCCAAGTTACATTGTTACACCCAGTCTGAGTGCTGCTGCCTCTTGGAAAGTGATGCTTTTTTTCAGGACCCTCTGTCTTCTTTCCAAACTAAGAAATTCGAGATTTTTTATTCACATCACGCCAGCTCCCACACAAGGCAATCTATTTAACCATGACCATTGCCTTTGGGTTTAGTCTCTTATCACCTCTACCGGGAGACTGCATTAAACACAGAGCTGAGTTTCTGGTGGGACGCAGTGGCTCATGCCTGTAATCCCAGCACTTTGGGAGCCCTAAGACAAGTGATCACTTGAGGTTAGGAGTTCGAGACCAGCCTGGCCAACGTGGTGAAACCCCATCTTTACTAAAAAAATACAAAAAATTAGCCAGGCACAGGTGTGGTGGCATGTGCCTGTAGTCTCAGCTACTAGGGGGACTGAGGCAGGAGAATCACCTGAACCCAGGAGGGAGAGGTTGCAGTGAGCCGAGACTGCGCCACTGTACTCCAGTCTAAGTGAGACAGTGAGACTCCCCCCCAAAAAAAAAAAAAAAAAAAACCCAGAGCTCAATTTGTATCAGGAACCTCAAAAACTTTCATACCTTTTGGTCTAGAAATTTCACTTCTGGGAATAATATTCCAAGGAAATTATCCTAAATACAGTTAAAAATATTTTTGCCCAGATACTAATTGCAACACTATTTATGCTATGGAATAATGAGAAAACACCTAAGTACACACAACAAGGGCAATGGTTAAGTAAATTATAGGCTGTCCATACAATGGGATATGTTTTAGCCATTAAAAATGTGTTTACAAAGAAAAAGCTTTAATAAACAGACTAAATGTTTATACAATAATGCCAAGGGGAAAAAGTCATGATTCACAATGGTATATAGAGTTCAAGCCCAACTATAAATTCCATAGGAGGAAGGAAATAAACTAAAATGTTAATAGTTAATGCTAAAAGGTTGAATATGGGAGATTTTTTTCTTTGTCGTTCTTTTCTGTATTTGGCAAATTTTCTATAATGAGGATGAGTTAGCTTTATAATCAGAAAATTCACATTTTAAGAAAGTGATCAAACCAGCTGGATAGTCCTGATTTGTTGGGGTCTGTGGGTGGTGTCTGGTGAGCCAAGTGTAGCTGTTCAAATGTGGGAGAGACAGCCTCTACGAAATATCACCAATATTCTTTAAACCGTTAAACACATTTTATAATTGCAATTGCTTCCTCTAAATTGGCTGTTTATTCTGTTAATGACTTTTTTTGTGAACCACTGTTTACAAATAAGGCAGATCCTAGAATCTGCTAGCAATTAGGGAATTGTTCTGGCATCCTAATGAAAAATAAACACCATTAATTACGCCTGTCCTGGCTTCTACTCATGTTGGTTTTGTGTCATTTACTTTGGGAACGGATATGAACAACCCTTAAAAGATGTGTTTCACCTACAGATTGTTCCTGGGCATTGTTTGCTAATCTCATGGCAAGGAGAAAATGTGATTAAGACGAGATGAAGGAAGACTTCCTCTCCTCCTCCATGTCGGTTGTCATAAACAATGGTCTCCTGACGATCGTTCTTACTAACTTAGCTATTATACTTTGCATGTGCTCATCAACTTCATAGGCCAAGTTAAAGCTTCATTCCTTGGACCAGAACCCAGTGGCTAAAGTTGTCTCAAATTGGAATGCAAAAACACCCTTACTCCTGTCCTGCCTGGTCTGTGCAGAAGCCGTGGGTATACAGTAGACGATATCTGACTATGAAAGAGGTGAAAGTTATAATAAAATAAAATTACCCAGAAAAATAAAAGCCTATTTCCAAACAAAGAGATGTACATGAATGTTCATAGCAGCTTTAATTTGTAATACCCAAACTGGATACAAATCAAATGTCCATCAAGAGATAAATAGACAAATTGTGATATATCCATATAATGGAATATTACTCAGCAATAAAAAGAACTACTGATGCACACTGCAACAGGAATGAATCTCAAAATCATTATGCTACATGGAAGAAGCCAGCCAAAAAGGAATCCATACCATATAATTCCTTTTATATTAAATTCTAGAAAATGCAAGCTAATGTTTAGTGACAGAAAACAGATGGAGGTTCAAGGAGATGAGGGAGGGGCTACCATGGGGAGATAGACATGTTCATTATCTTGATGGCACAGATGAATTTACGGGTGTATACATATGTCATAACTTACACTTTAAGTAGAGGCAGTTTATTGTTATATCAATAAACTTGCTTTTTAAAATGTAATGAACCACATCTTTTTCTTATAAAATTAGTCACAATAATTTTATTCATAGCAAAAGGGTTCTACCATTAATAAGTAACCTTCATTTTTAAAAATTAAAAAATAAAATAGAAAGTGGTGAGGAAAAAACTAATGCTCTCGCACACGGGATGAGTGGTTTAATTATAATTTTGGCTGAGTGGCTGGTTCACATGCCTTCCATGTATGTTATGTAATATTTTGCATGTGTCAAGTATTTCATAATTCAATACACGAGATTCTGATTGCGCATCATGAGAAATGTTTAGTTTATAAAACATGGCCCTAGATAGATAGCAAGAAATGAGGAAAAGCAATGCACAAAATAGAAAATTTGAGGCCATAGAATCACCAACAACCTCACATGCGTTTTCCGGGGTCTATGCTAATGGCTGATGCTCATTCAGAAGCCTGGGAGACTGTTCTAGAAGCTAAAAGCTCAGCCAAAATAAAGGGCTGCTTCCAAACTTTTATCTTAAGATGAGGTGGTTCCACCCTCTGGAGGTGCATTCAGAGCTGCACAAAATTACCCTGAGTGCCATGCCCCCATCATATGGGCCCAGGCCCAGGAAAGGCCCAGTCTCCTTTCCTTGCTCCAGTCAGCCCCTCCCTGCCCTGCTCTGGAGCATCTCCCTATACACCCAGCTCACTCAGACTGTCCTCACCTGGTGTCACCCCAAATACTACTCCTTGGGAAACCTTCTCGACTGCCAGCCAGGTCGAGGCACAGATCTACACCTGCTCTGTCTTTAGCTTCACTTTTGTGTCTTGTGGCCCAATCCCATGAAGGGCCCTGCGCCTCAGGACCTGATCTCAGCCTCCCCCAGGAATAGGAGCCTTGAGACAGCAGAGTTTCCTTCACTGTGCCTCCTTGGTGCCTGGCAGATAGTGTGCACTCAAGAAGCTTCAGGACGAGTGGAACAAGGACCCACCCAAGATTCCTGGAAGGGCCGGTGAGGAAGGGGTGGGTTACAAAGAGGCATGACATCACCTAGAAGTATAAAGAGGAACAACATGAAAAAAATGGGTGACCTTCTAAGGACAGGCTGATGCAGAAGTTCTTTGGTAGGTTCCTCTGCGAAGAACTGGGGATGAATATGCTAGAACATTCTAGCACTTCTGGACTTTGTCTTCTTACCCCCCTAACGATGCACATTCACACATGGATCACTAGTGGGCAATATTGCAATAGGTCATTTTGGAAACAAGTGCCCTCAGCTGCTAAACCACTGATGGGCATATACAAAAAAAAAGAAAAAGAAAGAAAGAAAACACTAGCTAACTTAGCAAGAGCAATGGTCAGGAAACCAAACAGCAATTGAGAACCTAGGCTTTGGGTTCAATGCACTTGTGTCTGAATCCCACTCTGCAGTTTACCAGTTAGATGTCTGTATTAGTGAGGCTAACAGCTATAACAAGCAGCTTGCAGGTCTGAGGCTTAGCCCCGTAAAGGTTTATTTAATCCGCTTAGTCCTCAGAAGCAGGCCCTCCATGCTGTGGATGCAGGATCTCTGCATTTTCCATCTGAGGGCATTTCCAGCTTCTAGGGCCTCCTTAGAGTCATCTCCCAAATTCAATCTGTTGATGAGTGAAGAGAGTGTGGAAGATTACACAGGTGTTTTATGGCCAACCCTGGAAATGATGAACATTGCTTCTGCTCTCATTCTGTTATCCAAAATGCAGGAACATAGACCCAATCTAATTGTAAGGGAGACTAGGAAGAGTGGAATTCCTGTGTGTCCGGGAAGAAGAAACAGGATTACAGAATGTACCAGGTTAAATAGTGTCTCCCCCAAAATGTGTGTCCTTTCCAGAGCCCTGGAATGTGATATTATTTGGAAATAGATTAGTAGCAGGTGTAATTAGTTTAATTAAGATGATGTCATCCTGGAGAATGGAGGGCCCTTAATCCAATATGACAGGTGCCCCTATTAGAAGAGGAGAGACACAGAGACAGACACAGAGGGAAGACGACCCTGGGTTGACAGAAGCCGAGATTGGTGTGATGCTGCCGCAAGCAGGAGAGGCCAAGGATTGCTGGCAACTGCCATAAGCTAAGAAGAAGCCAGGAAGGATCCCCTCACAGAGCCTTTGGGGAGGGCATGGCCCTGCAGAGACCCTGCTTTCAAACTTACAGTCTCCAGAACTGTGAGTGAACACATCACTGCTGTCTTAAGCCCCCCAGCTTGTGATACTTTTTCATGGCAGCCCCAGGAAGCAAATACAGTGAGCATTTCAGTGCCTGTCGACTACGTACTTCTTTAAGCCTCAGTTTCCTCACCTGTAATATGGGCATAATAATGATAATTAACCAATAAGTTTCTCAGAAAATCAAATGAGATGAAGTATGTGAAGTGTTTAGCACACTGTCTGAACCCTAAGTGCCTGAATTAGTCCATTCTCACACTGCTATAAAGAACTACCTGAGATTAGGTAATTTATAAAGAAAAGAGGTTTAATTGGCTCACAGTTCTGCAGGTTGTACAGGCTTCTGCTTCTGGGGAGGCCTCAGGAAACACAATCATGGCAGAAGGTGAAGGGGAAGCAGACACGTCTTACACGGCTGGAGCAGAAGGAAGAGAGAGAAGCAGGAGGTGCTACTCACTATTTTAAACAACCAGATCTCGTGAGAACTCACTCACTATCATGAGAACAGCATGGAGGAAACCACCCCCATTAGCCAATCACCTCCCACGGGGCTCCTCCAACACTGGGAATTACAATTCGGCAGGAGATTTGAGAGGGGACACAAATCCTAGCCATATCAGTGCCCGATAGGGATACCGTGATAATGACTGTTGCCAGGTGGTTTGGAGGTAAATATTGTGGCCTGTGGATTTGCCTATTGGCTGGCAGAAGAATCTAAGACTCAGCATCCTGAAGAAACCTGCAAAGTGGAGAGAGTGAGGGATTAGGGATATAAAGGCTGGGGTGGAGCCCAGCTGTGACTCATGTGCCCTGTGCTGTTGATTGGGAAAATCCAATCATTTCTTCATCTGTGAAAATGGGGGTAATAATAAATGCCTGCTCTACTTACTTCAAGAGGATGTTTGGGGTGCGAAATGAGATACAAAACTCTTACCCTAAATGTACAGCTGATGAAAAGCAAAGAATTGCCTCAGAGGTGAACTTCATTAGGGGTTAGATTCTAAAAGGCTGTGTGGGGCTCTAATCACCTAGAGCCAACCACAGCCTTGGAAAATCCATTGGGGGCACCTGTTGGACGCCAGCATTCTGTCTCTCAAAATCCAGCCCTGCTAGGTTTCCTTTAGCCTAAGTTGAACACCGAGTTGACTTGCATTTAGGAACAATGTTGCACAACTATCTTTAAACCACAGAATCTCACATAGCATCGTGAGATGCCCCCCACTGGGAGGGGCAGACACCACAACACACAAGAATGGAGACAGGGTGGGAATGTCAGGTTCACTGCTTCTATCCCAGATATACTCCAAGGAAGAGACAGAATCAGTGTCTCTCTCCCTCTCTCTCTCTCTCTCCTTCCTTCTCTTAAGGGCGAGCAATTGGAATCACCTAAATTATAAGACATAAAGTAGAGTAGTCCACTATCCTTAAATATTTAGTGGTTGTAGTCCTATTTGCATTCCTTTGGTAGAGAGAGGATTCAGCAAACACCTGTTTGTGCCATCTTGATGCGAAGGGTAATCCATGGAATTTCTACGCTCCCCCTGGCAGCCAATTAGCACCTAACTCTCCACAAGTTCAGTAACTAAGAAATCTGGGTTTTCCTTGCAAGGCAAAGGCATGGAGCAGTGGTAGACACGTGAATGCAGAATTTGGGGGCACCTGATGGCTGCAAACTTGCCCTGTTCTCTCATTCTGTGAGCAGACTCCTAAACGCTGGGGTGCGTCTGGTGTCTTTAGCCATTGGCTAAATTCTCAAAGGGGCTGTTTGTGTGACAGCTACACCTCTGCAATTTACAAACTTTTTCCAGGGCCACGGGTAAAATTTCACTACATATCCATTATTTTGTGGACCTTTGAAATGAGTTAAAATCTGACCACACCTCAGCACCCTTTAAACTCCATACTGGCTTCTGTGCTGGGGTGAAGTCAGCAACTGACGACGTCTCCATCATCACAGGAAACACTTTCTCTTCCCACTAAAAGCGTTGCAGTGACTTTCATAGTTGTGACCTCAACTTTGGATCAAATGGATTACTAATGTGTATTTATACAGTTTCTGAGTGATCAGAATGGATTTTATAACAACAGATACTGAGACCCAAGAACGCAGCATCAAGGGTATTCAAAAAGACATTGATCATCAAACTCCAGTTGCATCATAAGTGCCTGGATGATACTGAGATTAATTCCCAGCTTCCTGCATCCCAACCACACACTATTTCTGACCTTGGCTGCAGGTTCAATTGACACTCAAACCAGTAACACTGTCAGAAGCAGGTGGTGAGCACATCACTTTGCTATAACAACAACATCAGAAATCAGACAGAGCTGCTTTTTAAGATGTGCTTTTTATCCAAGTTCGATATTTTTCCTGAGAGTGATGTTGATCAATTCCTGAGAACTCCAGAACTCTCAAGCCTCGTCAGTACAACCAGGCTACAATCAATGAATATAATCAAATAAGGAAGACCTCACAAGCCCAGCACATGACTCTGACTAGCTAGAAAATTGGAGGGCAGAAAGAAAAGCGACAAGGTCATATGCAGAGAAAATAAATTTGTTCTCCTGGTGACACTGGAGAGGAATTTGGCCTTACGTTCAGGCCTCAAGTGAAGAAGAGATCCCCGGCAGAAGGCACCCCACGCCACTGGTCAGGTGTCTGCACAGGCAGCTTCATGGAAGGGCTATTTAAGTGAGAAAGAGTTGAGCAAGCACCTCTGACCGCCTTCAAGATCCCACAGGTGCAGTGGACTCCTGAGCCACTGGGAGACTAAAGGGAGAAGCATATGTCTGATCAAGGAAAAAAAGTCCACGGCTATGGACAAGAGAATCTGTTTGGTAGACTAAAGTCACCCTGAAATTCTGGGGTTTTAAATAACACATACTCACTTAAGATCTGGCATATGTATTTATACAAAAGACTAGAGCTTCTGGCCAGGAGTCAAGAACAGCCTGTCTGCCCGTGACGCCTAATTACAAATTGGGCTGGAGTTGGGGAGGGGGGTTGGCTATTTGGCAGTAGAAGCAATCATGAACTGCTTTGCAAAAACTGAAATAGAATAAGAAAAATATAATAGGATTCCCTAAGAAAGTGTAGAAGCTGGAAAGAGGCTTTGAGATCCTCCACTCACCTCCCACTTTACTCCCCTAGCTGGCTCCCTCCATCCCCACCATCCCTCCACCTCCTCGGAAGCCTGAGTCCCAGAAAATTAAGCCATGAGTCCAAGTTCATCCAGCTGAAAATCAGGAAGGGCTGCAGCTCAGACCCTGCTGTCTGCACTCCTGGGGTGCGGTGCTTTCCATTCCAGCAAATTTGCTTTGGGGGAAAAGATTTTGATGACAAATGGGCTCTATGCCTTAGAAAAAGCTTCCCTGCAGGAGTTCCTTAAAAAGTCGTTTGTCCTAATATATTTATAGCACAATTTGGCTTCTTAAAAAAAATTGTTTTCATGTCATGAATAGATCCATGGCAAAAAGCAAGGCCTTTTTGCAGAAAACAAAGACTGCTGACATCCTGACCTTGTCTAATGCAAACCTTTTAATTTTGACATAGAGCATCTTGACACTTCACCTCTACCAGGGATTTCCAGTCTGGCTGTCCATCAAAACCATTTGGGGGCTTGCTAGTAATGAGAATCATAGATTCCTAGACTCCAAGCCAGGCCTGCTGAATCAGAATCTATAGGAATGGAGTCCAGGAATTCATATTTTAGAATCTTCCTCGATGACTCAGATGCAGTCTGACACTCGTTCAATGACCACTATTTAGGAACTACTATCCATATCATAGAATATACCAGAGTGAAACTCGCTATTGCATTACAGTAGGTTGCCCTAGAAGAGGGTGCTCCATTGACCCAACCATCAGGGAATTTGTTATGATGACTGAAGAGAGGAAGAAAAATATCATTTATCCCCCAATGGCCTGTTTAGTTTTTGACTGTAGCCTGTTCAAGATGTTAAACATCTTTAAACATCATGTATACATCCAGTTTCTTCCTGAGACTGGAATTCAGTGCAGAGATTTCATGCAGGAAATATTGAGGAATCCAGTGCAGAGGTCTCATTTGTCCCTAAGCCACATGTCTTTAATTTCAGGGACATTCTGCCCTCATCCACATTTACCATCTCTCACCAGGCACTCAGAGACCTCCCTCCAAAGCTCCCAAGCTTTTTTGAGGTTGGGAAGGGAACACTGAATTTTATTTTAAATCTCTTTCATCTTTCCTCTCCTCACCTCAAAATAAAAATTGATCTCTAAGGAGCACAGGTATTGGCTTAACTCGTTCTGAATTACCCTAATCTGGAGTGACTCTTTGTCACTCATCATTTTACAGGTAGCAAGTCACATACCTATTATCCTGTTATCTCCTCCCAGAAAAGAACATTCTAATGGGAACTTGCTGTTCTGTTTTGCCAGCACCCTCAGCAACCAGGCTTCAGAGCCCCTGCTAGGAATGTTATGGGGACTGAAGGTTTCAGACTCCCCCCACGCCTTACACAAACGAGGAGAGAATCAGGTTTCTCACCACTGGCCACAGCAAGGTGGCCATGGGCCCTGCACTTCGAGTAGAGGGGGCCTGGCTTTGGGAGTCAGGCAGACCTGGGTTCAGATCACGGCATTGCTACTGGGTCACATGGATAAAATGAAGGGTCACATTCATTTTATCCGTCTAGGTCTGGTTCATGCTCTGTAAAATGGAAACAATGTTACCTCTGGTACTGGAGTTAGGGGATGTGTATGAAGAGACAGATGATGATTTTGAAAATAATGTAGCTCTATATTAAAACGCTGTGGTTTGCATTACATTTTAATTGGGAGAACAAGATAAAACAGGATGCTCAGTTGAGTTTCAAATAAACAACAGATGACTTTTCATTATAAGTTTGTCTCATGCAATATTTGGGACAAACTTATAACTAAGAAATTATCGCTTGTTTGTCAGAAATTTGAGTTTAACTGAGCTTCCTGTACTGTTACTTCCTAAATCTGGCAACCCTAATTTTAATGGAACATTTTGTTAACAGGGATGAATTAAATTCCTAGACAAGGAAAAGAATTGCTGACTTTAAGAAAATAAAAATAAAACCAGCTTTATTGAGATAAAATTTATCAGCCATATGATTCACTCAAAACAATGTTCTTAGTATAGTATTGTATAACCATAACCATAGCCTGAGTTTAGAACATTTCCATAACCTGACAAAGAAGCCCAGTACCCATGAGCAGTTACTCCCAGTCACTCCCACCTGTCACCCCCAGCCCTACAAGGAATCTGCTTTCCATCTCCACAGGTTTGTCTATCCTGGACACTTTGTATGAGTGAAGTCATTCAGTATGTGGTATTTTGTAATGTCTTCTTTCACTCCGAATAACTTTTTCAACATTCATTAATGTCGTAGTATTGTTGCTTATATCAGTTTTCTGTTATTTTTTATTGCCAAATAATATTCCATTGTATGAATAAACCACACTTTGTTTATCCATTCATCAGATGATGGGTGCTTGGGTTGTTCTGCTTTGCAGCTACTATAAATAATGCTGCTATGAACATTCATGGACGAGTTTTCATGAGGACATATGTTTTCATTTCTCAGATATATACCTAGGAGTGGAATTCCTGGGTCACATGGTAACTCCATTTAACTTGGAATTGCCACACTGTTTTCCAAAGTAGCTACAGCAATGCATGAAGGTTGCAATTTCTCCACATCTTCATCAACACTTACTATTGTCTATCTTTTTGGCTCTAGACATCTCGTGGGTACGTAGTGGTTTGTTACTGTGATTTTGCTTTGTATTTCTTTAATGACTAACAAAACTGAGCATCTTTCCATGTGCTTACTGGCCATTTGTTTATCTTCTTTGGAGAAATGTCTATTCAGATCGTTTGCCCTTTTGTAAGATTGCACTATTTGTCTTTTTATTATTGAGTTGTACAGTTTTTATATTTTCTGTATACGAGTCCCTTATCAGATATATTATTTGCAAATATTTTTCCCATTCTATGGATTGTCTTTCCACTTCCTTAATGACACCACCTGTGGTACAAAAATTTTTAATTTTTATGAGTCCAATTTGTCCATTTCTTCCTTTTGTTGCTTGTGCTTTGAATGTCGTATCTAAGTCATTGCCTAACCCAAATCATGAAGATTTACTCTTTGTTTAATCTGCTGACAGGTTTTCAGGCTCTTTCACTTACACTGGATTTAGAAACCTCTTTGTTCCTAAATGCTTGGAGGGAAAATGAGGTTGTGGAGTGGAGTGGGGAAGAGATGTATGTGTGACTTATAAATAAAAACAGGTATTGAAATACAAAGTAAAATGCCCCTCCAACTTACTCACCCAACAATAATCTTCAGTGTGATTTCCAAATGATCTTTCCACCACAGAAGTTAACCATAAAAATGCCCCTAACATATCCAACATCCCCCTTCCCTCTATCAGCCCCTGGAACTGGCTGGACTGCATAGGGTGAGGCTAGTGCAAAGAGTTTCTTGCCAAGATGACAAGAGGGGCTAAGACTGGAGAGATTAGTAAAGTCAGAGCTAGGAGAGTTGAGGTCCAAATGCCAGCAACAGAAAGGGTGCCTAACACATTGAGAGCAGAGGGGAAAAGGAAGCAAAAGCAAGCAGAGAGATTCCAGAGTCACAAAGCCAAGGGTTTAGGACGGTGGGACAAGATGAAGTGGAAGCAGGTTAGAATCAGTTGTAGAGAGATGAAGGGTATTGAGAAGGAGGGAGTGAGTAGCTGAAGCAATGGTCTGAAAACCCCAGAATTCAAGGCTTCCTGGCCTATGGCTCATCAGAAATGTGAGTCAAGAGTAGGTCAGTCCACTTTCAGGAAATAGGAGTGGGGCAGGAGAATAGGGAACATCAGTAGCCACTGCTCTGGAAAGCCACCACTCCTTTAGATCAGTTACTTTATCTCCTAAACAGTCTCATGAAGGAGTCAATATTGTCTTGCCTATTTTCTAGATATGGACACTTCATCCCTGGAAAATGTATGCATCTAGACTTCTGTTTCCAGCAATATGGAAGCTAATATTATCCAAAGGGCTGTCCTGCTGCACTTATTTTATTGGTAGATTTGTAAGAAATAAGTTTAATGTCCAAGGACCTCGTCCTCACCCCAAAGAAAAACAAACCTGAGCTAAAGAAAACCTGCATTAAGCAGATGGAAAGATGGGGTTGCACTGAGTACAAATGTCAATATCAGCTCTGCAACTGAGACACTAATCGCTAGGCCATCAGCAAGATGGAGGAGCTAAGCCTAAAACTACTATATTAAATTACAGACCCTCAACAGTCTAAAGTGACCCCAAATTCATAGACGTTTTTAGGTCCCAGAAAGAAATCTAATACAAAGACTTTTCGGAGGAAAGCATTTAGATCTATAGGATTCCTACCAATTAAGCACATACAAACATGGCCCCATAATAAAAGACCACCAAATACACAAGAAAATAAGTCACTATGACTTAAAGTTAGCAAACACATCCAACAGTAAACCTGGACTGCCAATATTTCAGAAATTATAATTACTAGTTAGATAATATGAAATAATGTTGCATTAACTGTTAAAGGAAATTAAAATTGGCATTACAAAAATAAGCAAGCAAGAAAAGACCATCAAAATAACCAAAGATATCTAAGAAATAACCCAATAGAACTTTTAGGAATGAAACTATTGTTGAAATCAGAAATGCAATGGATGAGTTAAATAATGGATGAGGCACAACTGAAGAGAGATTAGTGTATTGGAATACAGAGCTGAAGAAATTACCTATTAGTGTAGCACTTCAGTCAAGGAGATGGAAAATATGAAAGAGAAGCTAAGATCTATGAAGGCTAAAATTAAAAGTTCTAAATCACATCTGATAAAAATCACAGAAGGAAAGAATACAGAAAATGGAATTTTTTCAGAGAAAAGTGGCCAAGAAAGTTTCCCAAGTTGATAAAAGACATGAATCCATAAATCCAGGAAGTATACATCCAAAAAGAATAAAAGATATGTGTAGATATAGTGCATTGAAATTGCAGGACACCAAAGACAAAGACGCAATATTAAAAACAGCCAGAAAGAAAAGACAGACCACCCACAAAGACATTAAAGTGACAGCAGACTTCTCAACAATGATAATAACAACCAGGAAACAGTGGAACCATACCATTTCAGTACTGAGAGAACATAAATGTTAACCTAAAATTTGTAACCAACATAGTTTGAAATAAAAAGTAATTTCATAAAATTTTATAAACAAAAAATAAAATGCTTGCTACCAACAGATCTATAGTCAGTAAAATAACATTTAAAAGACATTCATCAGGGAAAAAAATAAAAGATAACAGAAAATGTGTCTATGCTACAAGAAGAAACTGAGCAAATCAAATGGAAAACATACAGGTAAATCTACACAAATTTCTATTTTAACTAAATACTGAACTAAAATACTAAAAAACCACAGCCTGTAAGTCATAAGTATGAAGTATAGGGGGGGATTGCCTGGGGGTTAAAAAGTTTTCTAAAGTCTTATGTTCTTCATTAAAGATTTTGTTTAAAATGCATGTACATGGTAAACTAGGATTGTCCTGAGAAAACACCTGTTGCACCAGCATAAATATTAGCAGCCCCTTTTACTCTCAAAACTGTCCTGGATTGAACGATAAGTTATATTGTCATCCTGCCTATGACACAATCATCCCTCTCTTGGGTACATGTCCTTGTATGTGTGTACTGGGAGATGTGTGCAAAAATGTTCAACAAGAGGGACACTGCTTAGTGGTGTTTTGTAAGCTGCTTAGTCTTCTCACAGAAGGAGATGATGGAGATTAGGGAAACATATGGAACTCTTCACAGTCATGATTAAGAATGGGAGCTGGAAAGTGAGCCTGCCTAACTTTTCATCCCCATGCCACCACTTCCCAGCTCTGAGCCCATGGTCAAGTTGCCAAAGCTCTGTAAGCCTCAGTTTCCTCACATGGAAGATTTGGATAATCACCTACCATGCAGGGTTGTTGGGAGGTCCATTAGCATTCATAACAGAAACTAACATTTAATGAACACTTACTATAGCCACAGGTCTGCTGTGAGTTTTATGTATATAGCTCATTTAATCCTCATGATGACCTTGAAGGTGGGTATTATTATTATTCTCATTTTATAGGTGAGATACCTGAGGCCACATTGAACAACCTATCCAAGGTCACAGAACAAGCACATCTTGGGCCAACACAAAACCTGGGCATCCTGGCAGGAGTGAGGGGCTTTCGGCCACAGAGCCTGGTGCACCATGAGTGCTCAGTACCTGAGTGAGTAAATGGTGGTGATGATGATCATGGTGGTGGTGCCATTCCTATCAGATCAACAGGGGGTAGCAAGGATGGAGGCCTGTAGACTCTCTAGAAAAGGTGACACCGGGGCCCACTGGCACCCAATACATTTTCTAATGCTGCCGGGCTTGAAGCACAGTGTCCCCTCCAGCCAGTTGCTGGTGGCTCCATATTCCAGCTGTGCTTGGAAACATCTTCTGGTGGGCTTTTCAAACACCGCACGCTACCAAGATCCTAAGCCAGTTCCCCAGTTTCACAGAAACGTGTGCAAGCCTGAAGGAAGAGACAGGAGTCTCTCGTTTGGCTTGTGTTTTCAGGCATGATTTACTGTTAAACTTCAGGCAGGGAAACCAACATAAGAAGCAGATGAGAGTCCAGATGAAATACTCACTTCTCCTTTTTCAGTCAAGCACTAGGAGGAGTGTCTAAGGGCTCCCAAATTAATCTCCCATAACATTGCCACCTGGACTGACCTCTGTGTGGCCCTGCCTGTGGCCTTGTTCCTCTTTTGAGTTCTGACTTTCAGTCCTGACTTTCAACAGACCAAATAATGAAAGAAGTGAGCTATCGTCCTTACAGATGAGAAAACAGAGATTCCTCCTGAGGCAAAGGAGCCACAAAGGAGGAGAAGGGGAACTGGGATCTGGAAGGGGATGGCTGCCTCAGGGATCCAGTGACTTTGCTCCACCCAAAAGGTTATGTTGCCTAGGAAGTTTCATGAGCAGGAGAGAGGCGAGAAGTCCTTGTCATAGTAAAATATGGGGCTGGGGGAGAATAAGGAACCCCCTTCCCTGTTTCCTTCCCTCTTCCCTCCCTCCTCCCTCTCTTCTTTCCTCCCTCCCTCCCTTGATTCCTTGGGAGGGCAGGGTGGATGCTGACCCAGGCCCTGGGTATATCCTGGGAACAGGCCAGCCGATTCTATGCTCTGAAGGAATGTGAGAGCCTGCCCCACAAATCACAGTGGAAGCTGCTGAAGAGAGAACCCCTCACTTCAGCCTCTGCAAGCCCCCACACATCACATACAGGCACCCTGGTGTTGGGTGCTGAGCCTAACGAGGCACTGGTCAGGCCTCTGCAGCTGGCTGGAGGTCCAGCCCCAATTTCAGAGCTATCAAGCCTCAATGCCTACATGTGCCACAGCTCCAAAACCCAGCCTCGTGGTCTTAGGATCCAAGATTTTTTGCATCTTTTAGGTTTAGACAGACCCAGACTCCTGACCTGTATTTTTCTTGCTCTTGGGCCTGGCTCCACTTTCCTCCATACAAAGCTATTTACCAGGAGCTAAACAAAAATGATCTCTCCAATTTGCAGCCACGCTGCCTGGCTTTCTGATGTTAAAAGGCCTGATTTGTTAAAGCCTCAAACAAACCTATTGCCTACGTGGGTTTGGTTTCCAAAAGCTGGTCTAGTTCTCCCAGATAGAGCTGATGAAAAGGAGGTGTGGGGACCCATGCCACCCCTGTATAGAGGACCCCTATAAACTCACGTGCTGCCTGATCTGGGGCATTTGGCAGGAGGGGCTCTGTGGCTGTGCCTCAAATCCTTCCAGGAAGTCCCACCAGCTTTGTCTGCCTGGTCTCCTGTGACACCCCAGTGCATTCAGGCGACTCCCAGGCTGGAACTCACTCAGCCAACCCCTGCATGCCGAGGCCTGTCATGTGCCAGGCGTGTGCTAGGAGCTGGAGATTTTACTCTGAGCAAATTAGACATGGCCCCTGTGCTCCCTGCACTTCCATTCAGGGAGGGAGAGCAATGTTAGCTCAAATCCTACTGGAAGTACTCACCTCCAACTGTAATACTCCATCCCTAACCAAGGAAAAATGCAGTATTGCGGGAGGAGGTGGGAGAGGGCCCTGACGGGGTCTGGGAGGGTAAAGCAAGCTTCTCTGACCTTTGAGCTGAGAGTAGAAGGATGCATGAAGAGGGCAATGCTACTGGGGGTGGAGTCGGGGGCAAGAAGGATGTTTTACAGGAGGCAGCTGCATGTGCCAAGGTCCTGAGGCAGGAGGGAGCACACCTATGCGGGGAGCAGACTGTCCAAGGCCTGGAGTGGAAACTGAGGCTGGAAATGGGGCAGCAGTTGGTCCAGAGCCCCTGCCTACCTCAGCGACTGTGCCCACAGTGCTCTCTCCACCCTGCACACCTGGTGCCTGCAAATCCATGTACCTCCCTTTCCTTCTCTTCCTGCCCAATCCCACACCCCTCCCTCCAAGAAACCTCCCTCATTCCCATACTTGTAAATGTCCACTCCCTGCTCTGAGCCCTCTCCTGATATGGAGACACCAAGAAGTCCACAAACCCAAGCTGGGCCTCCCTACTCACCTGACTGTGCCAGGGAGATGCCCAGACAAAGGGGCCCAGTCCCTGCCCCAGAGGGGGCACCAACAAACCATGACTGAGAGCAGGTGATCAGTACTGGCTTGAAGGTGTGCAGAGGTGCCTTCCCCTCCCCAGTGGAGGCACCAAATACTCCCTGAGCCCCTACTCCACCCTGGGCATGGCTCTAAGTCCTAGGGATGCAGCCGTGAGCTCAACAAGCCTATTCCTGCCTTCATGGGGCTTGTACTCAAGAAGAAGGGGCAGAAATAAACAAATGTGTCTGATGCCAGGTGTTGGTAGGAGATTGAGAAACAAAGCAGGTTATCGAATAGGGAGTGCCAGGTGAGTGTGGTAGTAGAATGGGTTTTTTATTAGAGAACATGGGCTGTCTTCTGACAAAGCACCGACAAGACAAAGTCTTTCCATAGTGAGGGGCTGAGTTGTGAGAATACCTGGGGGTGGAGCAGTGCAGGCAGAGGGAAAGGCAAGTGCAAGGGCCCTGGGGCAGGCCCAAGTGCAGCACGCCTGAGGGGTGGCATGCCACCAGTGCATCTGGAATGAAGTGCAGGGGGCAGGTTAGGAGAGGAGGCTGGGGAGATGATGGAGGGTGTCTCAGGATTGTACCCCAGATTTAATTTATAGAGGCAATTGAGTGACAAGAGAGAGAACCACGAGGTGAAGGACTGGACAGGGCCAAGACACAAAGAGTGAGGCAGAAGCCTAGGCCAGCAGAGCCCTCATTGTGGTTTCCTCAGGAAAGGCCAGGCCAGGCAGAGGAAACAGCCCAGGACCAGCTAGTCTGAATCGTGTTGGGGGACCTCTGGACTCTGGGGTGGTCTCTAGATGCTCGGTATCTGGTTCAGGGGTGGTTTAGGGCAGGGGAAATATTGGTTAGTGTGTGAGTGAGATAGAGAAGGTGAGTGGAGAATGGGCCCTGGACTGGTTGGTTACATGTGAGTGGTGGTGGGCTTGCAGGCAATTTGCTTTCTGGCCAGTAAGGTCCCCAAGATGTCAAAGCATCATAAAATATAGAAAATACCAAACATGATTCATTCCTAGGGGTCCAGAGCGTGCAGGGCCTCACAGGCCACGGGGAAGAGCTGGAATCCCCTCTCAAGGATATAGAAGCCTGTAGATGGGGAGATCTATCTGGGAGTGGCTGAGAAGCTACGGAGGGAGGCTGCCTGTGAGCTGAGTCCAGAGACAAGGGCAGGGACGGGAGGCGCAGGAAGAGGGGGGTAGTGGGAACAAGGACTGTAGGGCGTGACTGTGCATCAGGAAGGGCGAAGGGTCTCGGGGTGTGTGGTCGGGTCAGCAGTGGGAAGTGGAGGCAGGAGCTGGGTTGCAGAGGGCTTGCCTGGAGGGTCGTGGTTGAGATTGAAACCATAGCTCTGAGGCCCAAGAATCAGCTGTCAGAAGTCCCCAGGTTGGAGAGTGGCTGATCAGATCTTTCCACTGCAGGTTATGATTCTTTCTTTTACGTTCTATGGTTGAGCTATACCTTCTCCCTCCGGGACCCTGAGAATTCCTGAGGCCAGAGCCAGTTCTTGTCTCAACTGTGAATCCCCCTTAAACCAGGCCCCATGGCTGTGTGCTTTACACGCGTTAGGTCACATTGTGTCACTTCAGCCCCTGCCAGTGCTCTGGGATAGGCACAGTCTCTGCCTTTATTGAAGGTAACTAAAGCTCAGAAAGTAAATCATGTGCCTAAGGCCACAGAGCTAATATAACACGGAGTCAAGACTCAGACGCACCCAGTGGTGTCCCCGTGAATGTTTAGCCAGTTCTCTGGGAAAAGAGAACTGATTGTTAGTGTTTGCCAATTTCTGTGGTGTAAATACTCCCACCATGGCTGATTCCAAGCTGCCAGCATGAGCTCATGGAAGGCAGAGTTGGGGAGCAACCATTATACAGTATTTCCACCAGAAGGATATTACAGACATAAATAACCTCAAAAGCATAGATCAAGAGTTGGCAAACTTGACCTGGGCTATGGGCCAAATCTAGTGCTACATGTTTATAAATAGTTTTACAGGAGTACAGCCATGCCCATTCTTTGATGCATTGTCTGTGGCTCCTTTTACCTTAAAACAGCAGACCTGAATAGTGTGTCAGAGACAAGAAAGCCTAAAATACTTACTATCTGCACTTTCATAGAAAAACTTTGGAAACCTCTGATACAGATGGTAATACAATGTTATAAAATAATTAGAAAATGATGAGTTTTGAGTATTTATTTTCTGTTTTTGATATAATTTATTTAATTGCAATTTTCTACAATTTCATTTTTAATATATGTTTAAAAACCAGCTGCAAAACACTTACAAATTTAGCAATCCGCTTTTGCAAGCTGGAAATATCCCACTCCGGCACACCACTGAATTACGTCTGCCTCCAAATCATGTGCTCTTTTCTTGACACATTTTCTGAATGAATGAAAGCATGCATGCATGAACAGACAAGTGGTCAGACCGAAAGAGAAGGGCCCTTGGCCTGCATGTTGGGAAATGTTGCAGACTTCAGCAAGAGCACAGATGCCTTCACCAAAGGCCTGATGACTGTAAGAATGAAACTCAGCTGACCTATTTAAAGCAGTTAGAGGAAGAATGGAGACTTAGCAGGTGAGAGAGGGAAACTAGAGAAGGGGCCTTCATAGGGCAATCAGGCCTAATTTTCCACGAGCAGAACCAGGATCAACAGGGCACCACAAAAGGTCTGTGTCCACCTCAGTGCAAGGCCTGTAGGCCCCATTGTCAATAGAAATGAAAGTCTAATTAATAGACACTGTTTTGCCCCATGCTGAATGCACTAAAATCTAACTTGGTTCTTTAAGAAGTGGAGGAGCAGAAGTGGCTTGTGTGAGGACCTTAAATTTTTCTTTAGTAGAAACCTTTATGCCTAACAGGAAATCATTTGAAGTGAAAATCACATAAGCAGAATTATCAGGTCTAAGAGCATGTGACTTGACCCTGTCTTTGGCAAGGGCTGTCTTGGGAATAAAGATGCCTACACTTGAGGTGCTATGCACAAACACAAACACACACATGCACACATTCACACAAATACACACACACACACACACACACACACACACACACACACACACACGCCACGTTAATACTGGGCCTGCCTATTCCCCCCAGTCATGATAGTTCCTGTTGCTTCTCACCCTATTCTATCCCCCTAAAAATACCCCGACACAGTGAAAGACACAGGCCAGAAGTTGAACACACGCTACAGAACCCTGAAAGGGAGATGGGGGCCTTAGAGAAGGCAGAGGACATTTGCAGAATCCTGAGCATGCTGGGAAAGGATGGTCGCACAGCTATTCCCCAAGATTATTCGGTGTGGCTTTTCGGGTACTGGCCCAGCCAAGAGGTTCAACTGAAAGAGAAAGAGAATTTCCAGTTTTGGGTTGTGTGTTTTTTTTGTTTTGTTTTTGTTTTTGTTTTTTTGCCAGGACACTTTCCCCTTGTCCTTGCTTTGCCCTTTCCTGTTGTGGAGGGGGCCACTCTCTGGCTTCAAGATGTGCCTCCTCTCTGTGGACCTGCACTGCACCTTGGATGGGACACCCAAAGCTGCTTGTCCCCAGGCAATTTTGCCTTCAGATGTCCTCAGCCATGACAGCCTGGTGCCCAAGCCCACTCAGGTGCCACCCTGCCATCTCACCAGCTTATCCTGGGGCACTCCCTACAGGGAAAACACACAGACAAAGGGCACCTTAGCTCCCTGGCCCTGGACTGCAGGGGCTGTCATTGGAGCCCTGCACATACGTGAGCCATGGATGCATCTTCACAAAACCACAGTCAGAAGGAGAAGGGGACTAGCCCAAGGTCACTCCATTGAGTTGAAGTAAAACCAGGCCAGGACTCCAGGTCTCCTGTCTGCCAGGCCTCCCAGAAACCAAACAGAACCCAGCTGCCAGGAGGAAATTGTCCTCTCCCTTCCTACTTTCATATTTTTCACTAATGATGGACGTCATCAACACAAACTTTCAAAACAATACAAAGGGCACAGTTATTGTTTCTTATGGAAGGGGTGAGAAGGAAAGAGAAACTTTATACATAATAATTTTTGCTATCAAATGAGAGATGCCGGTGACAAGCAGAGGCCAGAGTGTGGCACATTTAATTTAAGCCGTGGCAGCGAGGGGCAGCCTCCATTACAGCCATAATAAATTACATACAAGTGCCACCGAACAATAACAAAAACTGTGGGCCATCTATTTCAGTTCCATTTACAAGAAATCAATATCAATACTTAATGCAATACTGGTGAAAAATGAGCAGAGATACAGAAAGCATAATAAACCAGGAATGGAAGCCTCTCAGCATTTCACTTTGGAAGAAAAAACTAACTGTCTATATTTTCATGTTAAGGGATATTTCATTGAAACCATGCGCTGGAGGTATGAGGGTTTTCCAGATCTAACTTTAAAATATCCTCTTTATTTAATTAAGAAAGTTATTTAAACAGTCTATTTCTAGCTGGATAAAACTCATATGTATGGAAAGAGGCATTTCATCTTTCCCAATGCATTGGGCATCTTTCACCAAATTTTCTTTCTTGTAATAGCCTCAGTTGGATTATGCACATCCTGTGCCATCTTTATGCTGTCATTAACAGCCTAGCTTTGTGTTTGGGGGAAGTACCTGGTGTCGAAAAGTACCTGGTGTCGAACCAGATAAATGCAGGCAGCCAGCTCAGGTGTCTGACAGGGAAGCCACATAACAGTCCCGTGTTCCACCTGCATATGTGGACAACACATCCAGAAGCCCAACCCAAACGCAGGCGGACCTGGTCACTGCTCCTTCACCTGGACGCCTGCCAGGCAGACACCTGCCATCTCACTGTGGACTGTCCACAGCCATTCAGTTTGACCATCAGAGCCTGATTGTCTCAGCCATGGCCCTGGTTTTCCCCATCAGGATGCCCAGTAGGAGGTCTGTGTGGTCCCAGAGGTGGACAGGAGCCAGAACATCCAGGCCAACCCAGGCAGGACAGCAGTTCTCAGCCACCAGCAATAGCGGGACACCCAGCCTCCACTGAGTGGCCTGAGCATATCAAGTCATTTTACTTCCCTGAATGCCACTCTAATGGTGCAGCACCAGCTGTCCCTTCCTGGGGGCTCAGCATATCCTGGAAGGGTCTCTTGGGCAGATTCTAAAACTTTTAGGTTATTTTCATTATTAAAATTGTGTCTAGTTTAAAATTCCAATCTCATGCCCAACTCAAAGCTTTCTCCTCACCCTTCTCTGGCCAGGCTGAGGCTCCAGGGACTGCAGGGAGAAGGGGGTTCCTTCTTCCCTTGGAGTGGGGTATATTAGTTCATCTTCATTCTGCTGATAAAGACATACCCAAGACTGGGAAGAAAAAGCGGTTTACTGGACTCACAGTTCCATGTGGCTGAGGAGGCCTCACAATCATGGTGGAAGGCAAGGAGGAGCAAGTCACATCTTACATGGATGGCAGCAGGCAGAGAGAGAGCTTGTGCAGGGAAACTCCCCGCTATAAAACCATCAGATCTCCTGAGACTTATTCCCTATCAAGAGAATAGCACGGGAAAGACCTGCCCCCATGATTCAACCAACTCCCACTGGGTCCCTCCCGCAACATGTGGGAATTCAAGATGAGATTTGGGTGGGGACACAGCCAAACCATATCATGGGGCATCCCCCACCTCCAAGAACCTCCTCAGTGCCCAGAGGAGGGGGAGGAGACTATGAAGACCAGATGTCAGGCGGCACACCTGAGTGCATGACTGTGGGAGTAACAGAGACAGGGAGGAGGCATAGGCTTGAAGGGGGCTGGAGAAAGCAGCCATGGGTGTTTGGGACAATGTGACTCTGAAGAGCCTGGGAGACATCCAGGTGGAGACAGTAGCATCTTTGGGGGCTGGGGATGCCAACCTGAGTCTCCAGCATGGCACACAAGTGGAAGTTGCCATTGGCACGGATGGGTGCAGCAGCTGGGCCTCACTAGGACTCAGCCCTCTCCACGTGGGGAGCTGTCCTGGCGCTCACACCTGAGCCTGCAGTCCAGCCTGCAGCACCACGCTGTGTCTTGTATCTTTCATTCTCTGTGTCATGCATGTGTCACAGGTTCACCAAGTTTGAAGAGGGGAGTTACGTGAACTAGAATGTGGATCTCCTCACTCCCAGCCAGTGATTTCTTTTTTTCACAATGAGCCCCAGCATTGCTTTGTTTGTTTGTTTTGTGTAATTTGGTCTTCTGCATTACTTGCAACACAAAGTACTCTTTTCCTCAAGTAATTAAAAAACACTTGGATTAATATAATGATCTAAGGGGACCCTGCAGAACAACATCATTCCAATTCCTCCTCATTTTTTGGGGGTGGGGAGGTTAGATAATTGTGCATTCATTCATTCAATCATTCATTCATCCAACCTCGTTCCCCAGATGAGGCAGGGAAAGTATGAGAGGATGTGATTCATTCTGTCCAGGAAACAGCACAGCCAAGCAGCCACTCAGCTGAGACTTGAAGGATGAGGGGGAGCTCATTAATCAGGTGATGGCAGAGAGCACCCCACACAGGGACAAGGGAACAGAGACTGCGGGTAGCCAATCTATGGCATGTTGGAGAATTTGTATGGCTAGAGGGCCTTGGTGCATTTGGTAAAATTGACATGATCATATTGCCAACTGCCCTTCCCCCAACAAACTCTTGTTTATCCTTTAAGTCCCAATTCAGGCATCACCTTTTCCAGGAAGCCTTCCTGCCTGTCAGAGTTGGATGCTCCTTTCTCTGTCTGCATAGCCCACACGTTCTGGCACGGGTGGGGAGATGAACTGACCTCTGCTGCTTGAACTATGAGCTTCCACAGGGTGCAGGTTGGGTGGTGTTCTTTCTAGAATCCTTAGCCCTTGGCACAGGACTGAAACAGGCCAAACAAAGCCATCACAGACCCTGAGGGCTTGTCAGGAGGATTACAGGAAGCCAACTTTTTGTAAAGGGTTGCACGGCCACAGTAAATGCACAGTAAATGTCTGCTATGTTCTTACCAAATATTTGTCAAATAAACAAATACATTATGTAATATTTTACCTTTCTTCTTATTAAGAGATATTTCAGAGCCACACTGGATGAGAAGAGGGGGTGGAGGTGGGCATCATTCTCTGCTCCCCTCATCTCTAAACCCATGGAAAGGCCTGGGGTAGTAATTGCAGAGGGGGAAATAATTTTTAAATGTCTCTCTTTTTGTGCTTTTATTGTCAAATGATAGCATTGTTCACAGTTTTTGAAATACTGAAAGCAAGTCTGCACAACTCTTTCTGCAGAAACAATGGGAGCGTGTGTGTGAGTGTGTATAAGCGTGTGTGATCTCTGTTCCTCTGCCATAATGTGTGTGTGTGTGTATGAGTGTGTGTGATTTTTGTTCCTCTACAATAATGGGTGTCTGTATGTGTGAGTGTGTATGAGTGTGTGTGATCTCTGTTCCTCGCAATAATGAGGGTTTGTATGTATGAGTGTGTGTGATCGCTTTTCCTCTACAATAATGGGTGTGTGTGTGTGAGTGTGATCTCTGTCTGTTCCTCTACAATAATGGGGGTGTGTATGTAAGTGTGTCTGAGTGTGTGTGATCTCTGTTCCTCTGCAATAATGGCGGTGTATGTGTGAGTGTATGTGTGTGATTTCTGTTCCTCTGCAATAATGGGGGTGTGTGTGTGAGGGTGTGTGATCTCTGTTCCTCTATAATAATGGGGGTGTGTGTGAGTGTATATGAGTGTGTGTGATCTCTGCTCTTCTACAATAACGTGTGTGTGAGAGAGAGAGATCTCTGTTCCTCTACAATAATGGGGGTGTGTATGTGAGTGTGTATGAGTGTGTGTGATCGCTGTTCCTCTACAATAACTGGGGTGTGTGTGAGTGTGTATGAGTGTGTGTGACTCTGTTCCTCTACAGTAATGGGTGTGTGTCAGTGTGTATGAGTGTGTGTGATCTCTGTCTGTTCCTCTACAATTAAGTGACCAGAAGCAGGTGGCTTCAAAGGTGAATTAATTCTCTGCTGGAAAAATTGGGCTAGAAAAATCTAGTCATTAGGAAACCAGAAAAGCAAGAAATGTAACTTCTGCTCAATGAAAGTGAACTGAATTTCTATTGAGGCCCCCTTTCTCTAAAACTCATTTTCAACTAACTCAGTGCTGTCAGCCAGCCCTGGGGCTGTACTTGGGGCTTACGTGTGGCTAAGATGTCAGGCAGCGGGGTCTGGTCCTTGTTGTCATCTCACTGCATGGCCACAAACATGTTCTCATTCCCTGCTGGTCTCAGTTCCTGAGCCAGTCCTGATGATCCATGGAGACTCCTACCTCGCTCCTGCCTCCCAGCTTAACCAAATGGTCTCTCTCCCTCTCCACCCCACCACCACTCCTACTGTCTCCAACCCCTCTTCGACACCCAGGAGCCATCTGGCTGCTTCTGTACCTCTCTGGGGACTCTCAACTTCCCTGCACTGAGACACCCACACCTGGCTCTTTCTGCCCTATAGCTCTTGCACCGTAATGAGTCAAGGGCAGTACTGAGATTTCACAAGTTCCCAGGCCTTCCCCAGGGGAATTGGAGGTGCGTGTCTCCTCTGCTCTCAGTCCCCAGATCCAGAGAGGGGTCTGCTTCTCCTTCCCTTCCCACAAGCACCAAGGCTCTCTCTTCTTCTCTCACTTCTTCTTTCAATCCCCTCCAAAAGTTATCTAGCCACAGGGCAATAAGAACTGGCTTTGACTGATTTGCATTCTTTCAAATATTTTCCTGTGCTAAGACCTAAGCTGCTGGAAGTCAAAAGCAGATTATTTGTATTTTTGCTCTTCTGCTGCCTATACTAGAAGATGGAAGAAGGAGAGGAGGAAATGCCAGAGAAAGAAGCATGGATAACATCGCAGAATACCACACCCTACCCAGGTGGGAAGACAAGTCCAGGCTCCTCAGGTTTAAGTGGATATCCAGTCCCGTGGTGCTGCCAGACAACTGTCTTGGGTACATCTGGCCACCACGTGCTGGCTAAGATATGGGGGGACCCCTGGGGAGCACTCATACCTGGCTTGCATCTCAGCTGTTCCTTCCTCCCTGCGTGACAGATCAAGCACCTCCCCCCGAACCTTGGCTCCTTACGAGGACTGCTGGGGCCACAGCGATAGCATGAGAAGCAATCAGGGCTTGGGACCCAAAAAGAACCACGGAGACTCCCCAATGGTCCCACATTTATTCTCTTCCACGTGGTCTGGATAGAAAACTAGAGAGAGTGTGGACAGCACTTGCCTCCGCTGAAAAAGTAACTCTCACCCTCTTCCCCCAACTCAGACTGTTCCAGAACAACCAGAGGCGTAGAGCCACACACTCCTCTCAGCCAGCCTGTGAGTGAGGCTGAGTTGCACTAAAGAGATTGTGCAGGCGCCGCCAGCTTCCCAAAGGCAGACTCTTCCCACAGCTGCAAACACTCCTCTAAGAACTCACCCACCCTCGCAGCTTGACCAACGTTCTCTGCAACTTCCTAGAAGATGAAAACATACCCTCCAGCCCTAGCTGTTCTCAGGTTTACTTTCTGACACCCCCTTCCCAGAGAGCTCCCATTCTCCCAGGGGCCTCCCTTTCCAGGGGTCAGCACTTAACCGTTGTCTCCTCCCAACAAAGCCTAAGAGAGGGCTCCCTGACCCGCTGGCCCAAAGGCCTGGGTCCCGGGCCGCTCAGTCCTTCCATTTTGTCTTCCACAGCTGAGCCCACTGTTCCCTAGTGGATCCGCCTTCCAATGCCACCACCTTCCCTTCTACGAAGTCCCAGCCAGGGGATGAACTACAGAGGCAGCCCCTTCCCCATCACCATTACTGTCACTGACTGGCTGTGGGCCTTCATGCTCTTCCGGGTTCTGGTTGGACGGTAGCCAGGGAAAATGCAGGGGGTGGGGTGCCGTGACAGGGAAGTCACCTGCAGCCCAGATCTGCTGCGTCCCAGGGTGTGCACTAGAAAGTGAATTGTTTCTTGTTCTTTTTTTTCTTTGTTATATGCTCTAGGGAATAAAAGGAATTTTCTTCCTTACACCCACCTCACCCCCAGCGGGACCAGACTCTTCCTGTCTGAGATTTCCTCACTCCCTGTGGGGTTCAGGGGGTACAGACACAGGTTTTGGGGGTTTTAATCTCTGGAAAGAAGAGAACTTGTCAGGACCTCCAAGAGACCTCCCTAAACAGAACCTGTTTTTGAATAACCTGAGGGTATTTCTCTAGGTCATCCCTGAGGGCAGGGGAGGGTCAGGCTCTCGGTTTCAAAGATAGGCTGGGGATGGGGGGCCTACCTGGACTGGAACAGGATGCACTTTTGAGGGTCCTGTGAGTGGTGGGCACTGGGACCTCACCTACCTGGGAGGACCCCTGTGGAGACAGTGCCAGGAGCCCCTTGTGGCCTTGCTCGGGATCACAACCTCTGAGAAACCTTCCAGTGGGCTGGGAGAACCTGGGCCAGGAGTTACCGGTGGTGAGTGAATGGCCCTGGCCTGATCTGCCTGAGGCCTCACCTCCCAAGGCCTCACCTGCCCATTCTTGAGTTGCTTACCCCCTGAATCTCAACAAAGTCCCCGGGAAGAGAAGAGTGGCCCTGGGTGACCGCTGGGGGATTCTTGCCAAGTGGTCAAGTTGAAACCAGGTGGGATTTCATGTGGAAACATAAAGAAAGAAAACGTTTCTTTGCATCTCAAGTCTAAGGGTGGATTCATGTTTGGCAAATGTTATCCCACCTCTCCTATGATTCCCATTTTACAGATGAGGAAATTAAGGCTCAAGGAAAGTGAGTAACCCCCAAGTTCACTGAGTACAGTCAAACGCAGCTTTGTCTGACTACAAAGAACATGCTTTTTCAGCCTCCCCACATAGTTAGCAGATATCAGTTAGCACAAAGCTATTTAGTGGCAGGGTCCAGGCCAACATCTGGGACCATGCTGGTTTCAGAAATGGGGCGATTCTCTCTGGAGTCATCCTCTTGGGAACAGACTGGCCCCAGAAGTTCTTCTAGACCTGCAACTGGATGCCCTCAGCTCTCTAAGTCACTGTCCCCCACCTGTGGAGTCGGTACAGTGAGACAGGATTTATCCTTCTCATGAAAATGTTGAGAATGACATGAGAAAATGTGCACAGAAGCACTTTAGAAATTAAAAGTGATTGTGTTAGGCTAATAATGCCCCCACCGAAATATATCTACATCCTCATTCTTGAAACTTGAGACTGTTACCTTATATGGCATTAAAAAGGATGAACCCTTACAGATATGATGTGACTAAATTAAGGATCTTGAGACAGACATTATCTTGGATTATTTGGATGGTCCTTAAACTCAAGCACATGCATCCTCATCTGAGGGGTCAGAGGAAGATTTTATACACAGACACAGAGGAGAAGGAGGTGTGACCACAGAGGCAGAGCCTGGGGTGACATGGCCACAAGCCAAGGACTACCAGCAGCCACCCCAGCTGGAGGAGGTAAGGAATGACTTCTTGCTTGGAACCTCCAGAGAAAGCACAGCTCTGCAGGTACCTTGATTCCAGCCCAGTGATATATGTATTAGTCCATTTTCGCACTGCTAATAAAGGCATACCTGAGACTGGGTAATTTATTCAGGAAAGAGGTTTAGTGGACTTACAGTTACACTTGGCTGGGGAGGCCTCACAATCATGGCGCAAGGCAAGAAGGAGCAAGTCACATCTTACATGGATGGCAGCAGGCAAAGAGAGCTTGTGCAGAGAGGAGACCCCTGTTTTAAAAACCATGAGATCTCATCAGACTCACTCACTATCATGAGAACAGCAGGGGAACGACCTGCCCCCATGATTCAACCATCTCCTACCGAGTCCCTTCCACAACATGTGGGAATTATGGGAGCTACAGGATGAGATGTAGGAGGGGACACAGAGCCAAACCAAATCTTTCCGCCCCTGCCCACCCCCTAATCTCATGTCTTCACATTTCAAAACCAATTATGCCTTCCCAGTAGTCTCCTAAAGTTTTAATTCATCTCAGCATTAACTCAAAAGTCCACAATCCAAAGTCTCATCTGAGACAAGGCAAGTCTCTTCTGCCTATCAGCCTGTAAAATCAAAAGCAAGTTAGTTACTTCCTAGATACAATGGGAGTACAGTCATGGGTAAATACAGCTGTTCCAAATGGGAGAAATTGGCCAAAACAAAGGAGTTACAGGCCCCAAGCAAGTCCAAAATCCAGTGGGGCAGTCAAATCTTAAAGCTCCATAATGATCTCCTTTGACAACATGTCTCACATACAGGTCACACTGATGCAAGAGGTGAGTTCCCATGGTCTTGGGCAGCTCCACCCCTGTGGCTTTGCAGGGTATAGGACCCTCCTCACTGCTTTTATGGCATTGAGTGTCTGTGGCTTTTCCAGGCACATGGTGCAAACTGTCAGTGGATCTACCATTCTGAGGTCTGGAGGATGGCGATGACCCTCTTCTCATAGCTCCACTAGGTGGTGCCCCAGTGGGGACTCTGTGTGGGGCCTCCAACCCCACATTTCCCTTCCACATTGCCCTAGCCGAGGTTCTCCATGAGGGCCCTGCCCCTGCAGCAAACTTTTGCCTGGGCATCCATGCATTTCCATACTTCCTCTGAAATCTAGGCGAAGGTTCCCAAACTTCAGTTCTTGACTCCTGTGAACCCACAGGCTCAACATCATGTGGAAGCTGCCAAGGCTTGGTGCTTTCACCCTCTGAACCAACAGCCTAAGCTATACCTTGGCCCCTTTTAGTCATGGCTGGAGTGGCTGGGATACAGGGCAGCAAGTCCCTAGACTGCACACAGCAGAGGGACCCTGGGCCAGGCCCCTGAAACCATTTTTTCCTACTAAACCTCTGGGCCTGTGATGGGAGGGGCTGCCACAAAGGTCTCTGACATGCCCTGGAGACGTTTTCCCCATTCTCTTGGGGATTAACATTCCACTTTTTGTTACTTATGCAAATTTCTGCAGCAAGTTTGAATTTCTCCTCAGAAAATGGGATTTTCTTTTCTATCACGTTGTCAGACTGCAAATTTTCCAAATTTTTATGCTCTGCTTCCCTTATAAAACTGAATGCCTTTAACAATGCCCAAGTCACTTCTTGAATGCTTTGCTGCTTAGAAATCTCTTCTGCCAGATACCCTAAATTATCTCTCTAAAGTTCAAAGTTCCACAAATCTCTAGGGCAGGGGCAAAATGCTGCCAGTCTCTTTGCTAAAACATAACAAGAGTCACCTTTGCTCCAATTCCCAACAAGTTCCTCATCTCCATCTGAGACCACCTTAGCCTGGGTTTCATTGTCCATATTGCTATCAGCATTTTGGTCAAAGCCATTCAACAAGTCTCTAGGGAGTTCCAAACTTTCCCACATTTTCCTGTCTTCTTCTGAGCCCTCCAAACTGTTCCAACCTCTGCCTGTTACCCAGTGCCAAAGTCACTTCCACATTTTCAGGTATCTTTTCAGCAGCACCCCACTCTACTGGTACCAATTCACTGTATTAGTCCATTTTCACACTGCTGATAAAGACATATCTGAGACTGGGTCATTTATACAGGAAAGCAGTTTAATGGACTTACAATTCCATGTGGCTGGGGAGGCCTCACAATCATGGCGCAAGGCAAGGAGGAGCAAGTCATGTTTTACATGAATGGCAGTAGGCAAAGAGAGCTTGTGCAGGGAGACTCCCATTTAAAACCATCAGATTTCATGAGACAGACTCACCATTATGAGAACAACATGGGAAAGACCCACCCCATTGATTCAACCATCTCCCACCGAGTCCCTCCCACAGCATGCGGGGATTATGGGAGCTACAAGATGAGATTTGGGTGGGGACACAGAGCCAAACCATATCAATATTGATCTCAGATATCTGGCCCCCAGAACTGTGAGAAAATAAATTTCTGTTGTTTAAAGCCACCAAGTTTGTGATCGTCTGTTAAAGCAGCCCTAGAAAATGAACAGAAAAAGGGAATAACGCTTTTGGCAAAACAGATGTTCTGAGATGATCACAGAGAAAATTCTAACCAATCACACCTGTGCTGCACAATGACTAATTTGGGAAACTGGAAGTTCCCTGTCACAAAAGCTCAAGTCTCTGGACAATTCCCCAAACTTTCATTTCTTTTCCCTCAATATCCTCATGAAGACAGGGCTTGTGTTAACTCTCATATGCTGATTGCACAAGTACAAAATAGCACAATGCCTTTAGAGGGAAATTTGGCAACAAATTCCCTTGGCCCAGCCATTGCACTGCTAGAATTTTTCCTAACGATACACTGGCCTCCACCAAATGTGCACCCCTGGGAGTGTTTGAATACACTAATGCATATCCACTCAATAGAGTTAATAAACACACATATGTATACACATATATACATATTATACACACACACGTGCTCATTTTCATAAAAAGACACACAGAATGATAAACCAAAATCTAATAAAAATGTCTACCTATAGGGAGTAAGTAGGAATGGCATGGAGAGAGGAGGTTTAGGGGTGAGATTTCTCTGAGTATACCTTTTTACATGGTTTTGTCTTTTGAACCATGGCATGTTTTACATATTTAAAAAATACTAAGTAAAAAAGGATAAACAAAAGCAAACCCTAAAATCTAATACAAACAGAAACAAATGATTCTATATGCATATCAAACTTAAAACCATTCAGAAAAAAGAATTAGTTCAAGTAATTTTTGAACTCAGTGATCTGACTCTACACACTTAGTGGGATGTATCCAAAGGATAAGAATAGCTACAAAAAAATCTTGCACTTTAACTTAGTGAGTTTGTTGGTGGTAGTGCTCTTGGGATAGTAATTCTGACACTATTTTGGGTACCTCGAGGATGAGCAACTAGATTGATGTAGATGAGAAGCACAGTTGTCACTGGGAGAAGGAAAGTACAAATATGAAAGAGAGATAGTATCAGTATGCACATGTGATTTGTAAAAATACAAAGTGCATTAAGGACCCTGCTTCTTAGTTCCTCCCTGTGTCCACACCCTTTGCCACATGACTTTGCAGTTTCCCCCACTAAAGAGGCAGAGGATACCTCCCTGTCCTTGCCTTTGGGGTGACCATGTGACTTGCTGTGGCTGACAGAGTGAGTGGATATGATGTAGCCAAACATTTGTAAAGTGCTTATGCAGTTGGGCTTTCCCGTTTGGGCCTCTGCCATGACCATAAGAACATACCCAGGTTAGCCCAGTGACCCCGGGAGGATGAGAGGCACATGGAGGAGAGATGAACCAACCCTGCTGAGCCCAGCCTAGATGGTCTGATCCCTGGCAGATTCCCAGACACACAAATGAGCCCAGCCATGATCAGATCTCCAGCCAACCTGAAGGCCCAGGAGAATAAATGATTTTTCTTTTAAGCCACTGAGTTTTAGCATGGTTTGTTAAGTAGCAAAATCAACCCCTTTAGAAGGAAATTTGGCAACAAATTCCCTTGGCCATTACACTACTAGAATTTTCTAGAGGATACACCCACCTCCACAAAATGCACTTTGTTAGCTTTTGTCATTTAGTGGGATTGGTGGGATGGAGCAACAGAAATACTGTCAGTGGGCTGGTGGTATAGCACAACAGAAATAAAGGAAAACAAGGACCAGAAGGGTGGTCAGCGACCCTGGGCCTGCACAGGACATGACGTGATATAGGAACATCACAAACAGCAGCAGCTCCTTCCCTTTCCCTTTGACAAACACACTAGAAAAAAACAAACAAACAAAAAACTTGACCTACTGATAGCATTTGAATCCAAGAATTGCATTTCATTTGAGAGCTAAGGCCAAAGCCAGAACCAAGAGGGCAGTGGTGAGCTCTGATGCTGTGGATTCAAGACAACTCAAACTTGCAGGGAATACATAAACTCTTAATTTTATGTCTTAATGATATGTTAAGAATAAGATTATGATTGTTGCATTTTTGAGTAGAACATAAGGTCATTTCGTCCAGTCCCTCATTTTACAGATGAAAAAACTGAGGCCCAGAGAAGCCAAAGACACAGCAAGGGTGCAGCAGAGCCAGACTGGAATATGGGTGTGGTCACTGCCTCCTCCTGTCCCTCCAGGCTATCCCCGAAGGCTACAGAATCCTCCTGTTCATCATAAGGGGAAGATCTTTTGTGAGACAGCCCAAGACTGATACTAGATGCTCCAAGCTTCTGTCCTGTTTCATCTTTAACTGAGCACCAGGCACCAGATCTACACTTCCATGTCACCATCATCTTAAACCTGAAGTCTCTATTAAGCTCCACCCAGGAGACCAGTTGCCTCCTCTGTAGAAACACTTCATGTTCTGAAGGTGCTGGTGCCACCGGCTGACTCCAAGAGGTGTTGTCAGCAGGCAGTGCTATCTGATCTGGCCCTCTGTTCCCTCTGTTTCTTTTAGTTGTGTGTCTGTTGCATTCTTTTAACTCTCCCCTTGTTCCACCCCTACAAAGAAGCAAGATGCAGATAACGTGACAGAATAAAATAACATTTAAAAGAGAAAAAAGATTAAGAACCATTTCAGTAGGCTCTGGCCTGGCTGGTGTGTGCTGATGGAGTCAGGGAGCACACGCAGGAGGTGTCTGATAGTCGCGCGGTGAGAAGAAAGTTGGACAGGCATTGAGGAAGCATGGAGAACTGGTTTCCAGTGCTAGCACTTTGCCATCCCTGGGGACATGAGGGAAGTTACTGAACCTCTCTAAGGCTGTCCCATCTGTAGCCTGGGGACAGCAGCAGCCTCTTGGCAGCTTTCATGAGATAGCATGACGTTGCTGTGGGGACCTTTAGGGCAGGACCCATAATGATGATACTTAAATCATCCTTGTTATAGAAGAGAGGTAACAACCCTTCTTCGGTCCCAAGGTCACTCCTCTGCTCCAGAATGCAGGGAGTTTCTCCTGAAAGTCGGTCTTCATTCTTCCTCTGCAGATGGCATGGTCCCACTCATTCCCTTATTTATTCCAAATTCAACCATTTACCATTTATTTCTCCCATCCCTCAGCTTCCTTCCATTGCCACCTAGTTTAGGACATCACCAGCCACCCGGATCCATCCACACTGCTCTCAGTCCTGGCCTCCAGGGCACCCCATACCGCAGCAGAGAAGGGTGTGTTCCTAAAATGCACTGCTCTTAGGATGAAAAGCACATCCTGAATACAACCAACACGCCGCCATGATGCTGGCTGCTGCCCACACTGCCAGCCTCATCTCATTCTCCTCTCTCCTCCCCGCTCCTCAGACCAGCCACGCTGTGCCACACTCTCATTTCCCCAAACCTACCATTTCTATATTCCCTAGAACTGCCATAACAAATCTCCACAAACCTAGTGGCTTAAAACAGCAGAAATTTATTCTCTCCCCGTCTAGAGGCCAGAAGTCCAAAATTAAGGTGTGGATTTTGCCCCACTCCCTATGCAGGCTGGAGGGGAGGACATTTTCTTGCCTCTCGTGGCTTCCAGGGGTGGCTGGTAGCCCTTGGGGTTTCTGGGCTTCCAGCTGCAGCACTTCCCTCTCTGCCTCCACTGTCACAAGGCGACCTCCCTCGTGTGTCTGTGTCCTCACATGGCATTCTCCTCCCTGTGTGTCTCCCTCCACTCTTCTTATAAGGACACAAGTCATATAGGATTTAGGGCCCAACCTACTTCAATATGACCTCATCTTCACTTGATAACATCTGCAAAGACCCTATTTCCAAATGAGGTTGCATTCACGGGTACCAGGACTGAGCAGTTTTTAGGGAGATGCAACTCAACCCATACCTGCCAAACATCTTCATGATCAGACCCTTCCTGCAAGACCTTCCCTTTGCTGACACACTTTCCCTACCCACTCTCTCACCCACCTTCATTCTGTCCCTCTGCCCCACCCTGTGGATTTCAGGTCAAAAGTCACCTGCTTCAGGAAGCCTCCCCTGATATACCAGGTCAGTTCCTATTGTGCTTGCTGAATGTCTCTGAGGCCCTCATCCTCCTGTTGAATAGACCTATGGGGCTATTCAACTAACGTCTGCCTCCTCCACGAGATTACATGCTGCACAGGGACAGAAGCAGACCACTTTGTTTATCACCATGTCCCCAGCATTAAGAACCAAGCCGGTGCTCAGTACACTCAGTACAAGTGAGCTAACAAATGAACAAACTGAGATTGAGAGCACTGTGTGCTAGGCTACAAGGATACAGAGACACTGATGTGGTTTAGATCTGTGGCCCCACCCAAATCACATGTCAAATTATAATCCCCAGTGTTGGAGGCCTGGTGGGAGGTGACTGGATCATGAGGGTGGAGTTTTCGTGAATGGTTTAGCCCCATCCCCACTTGGCACGGTATAGTGAGTGAGTTCTCTTGAGATTTGGTTGTTTAAGTGTGGCGCCTCCTCCCTCTCTCTCTTCCTCCTCTTCCAGCCATGTAAAGTGCTGGCTCCCACTTCCTCTTCCACCATGAATGTAAGTTTCCTGAGGCTTCCCCAGAAGCCAAGCAGATGTTAGAATAACATTTTCTGTACAGCCTGCAGAATCGTGAGCCAATTAAACCTCTTTTCTTTATAAATTACCCAGTCTCAGGTATTTCTTTGTAGCAATGCTAGAACAAACTAGTACAGACACCACGGTAGAAGGGGTGGGGTCTCCTGTCTCTTGGCTCAATAGGAAGGAAGGCACCAGACAAGTAACTAAAAGGGAAGGTGGCACATCCTACACCCCAGGGACGAACCAGATACAACAGGATTCAGACTAATTGCTGGGAGACAATAAGGGTTTCACCTCGAAGCTGCCAATTGAGCTGAGTTTTACAGGGAAAGAACGGAGAGAAAGGCATTCCAGGCAGAGGGACCAGCCTATGCAAAGGCACTGAGGTGAGAAAAGGTTCAGAGTATGTGGAGAGCAGTAAGATCCAATCCCCAAATGGACCAGCCAGGCCAAACTTGGGAAACATTGTCTAAGAGTAGGAAATACTCCATGGATGGAGACTTTTCCCTACTACCCACCACAACTACATCCAGAGTGAAAGAAATGGAGAGGTTAAGTAGCCTTTGCTATGGCAAAAGGAAGGATCCTGCGGTTTGCATTTGATTTGAGCCACTCAGTTGCAACTGTGAAGCCATGGCCTCCATCCCTGCATATTCCATAGTAGGCAGCACCTCAGAGTTCCAAATCCTGGGACTTTTCTTTTAAAGGTCTCTGGAAAAGCACAGTAGGTGCCCTTTAGGAACTGGGAATTAAAAGATCACAACAAGAAAGTCCCTTTTCCTGCTGTCCTTGCTCCTTGCTCCTCCTGTGGCCCTGACTGAGACGGGGAGGCCCACGTCTCTGCCTGGCCCCTAAAGAACACTGTGAGTGCATGGAGCCGTCTCTCCTTCCCTTCCCAAAGTCCCCAGAAGTTCTAGCCTGGCTTCCAGAAACATGCTTCAGCAGTGGTCTGGTGTGATTCAGTTTTTGTTACTTCCTGAGCGTGACTAATCCAATTTGACCCTTCCCTGCCATGTACACAGAGTCCTTCTCACTCTTCTCTACACCACAAGAGTGGCCTATTGTGCAGCAAGAAATCCATGCTGATCAATTCAGGGCAGGCTGCATTAGGAAGGCAAATTACACGAATATGAGTTGGGGATAACTATGATTAATCCTTTGGCCAGGCAGAGCCCTGATTCCCGTCATGCCCTTGGGCAGCTCAGAGGTGACAGGGATAAGGACAGCACTTCTGATGGCCGCTGGACCCAGCCATTCATTACCGTGATGTCCCCATCACTGAGCCTACTGATGAGATTATTGATCGTGGGAAATAATTATATGAAATGCATTGCAGTAAGCATCGGCCATTGTCTTTGTATTTATTGGCAAGGGATGTTAAGCTTTTCCTCATTTTAGAAGAGCTTCACTTTTAGGAATTAATTGATGGAACCTTTTCAAACTAACAATTGTTACTTTCATGGGGGAAAAAGCAGGAGAGAGCGGAGGAAAAACAGAAAGAAGAAGCAAACATCAACGTATAGGAAAGGCCTAGAAAAATGGGAAGTCTAGTACCCAGTAGATGGTGCTGTAATCAAATTCTAAAACTTGTTATACCAGAAGCTCAGAAAAGTGCTGGAGAAAGTGAGAGGAAGGGAAAGCTTGTCGGAATTAAAGGTACACAGTTCAATGGACTTGGCCCTATCTCTCACTTTAGTAAAAGATGATGTTGATGTTGATGATGATGACAACGAGGATGATGATGATGGTGGTGGCGGTGATGGTGGTGATGACGATGATGATGGTGATGATGATGGTGATCATGATGATAGTGGTGGTGATAATGGTGATGATGATGGTGATGATAATGATGGTGATTATGGTAGTGAGATGATGATAAAGGCAAGGCTTCCTTCTAGAAATAACAGACTGGGAGGGTTTTCTACTTTGAAAGGAGTCAATGCAAGGCGATGCTGGGAGATAAGAGCCCCCCAGAACCAAATATACTTGTCCCCTTGCCCACTTTGGTCCCATAGAAATCCTAGAAAAATTAGTTAAGGGTGAAAAGGCCCTTTCAGCACTGAATATTAAGTGACACCTAAAGATATCTTCAATTCCACCCCAATGAGAACAAATGTCATTCACATACATTTTCCCCACATAAGGAAACTTGTGTATAAAAAAGCTGCTTTCAGATTTTTGAAATAAATAACTAGAGTGGACCAGATGGGGAGCTGAGTGTGCGAGTGAACCACCTATTTTCACATCGGTTGCTGTCGGCTTGCCCAGAGCCTTTCCAGACCCCTTTGAGACCTCAGGTAGAGGGCTTATGGCTGGGAGCCCTCAGGTGGATGGGGAGAGGAGCTCTTGAGAACAACTGGGAAAGCCTATTGTTTTGTGGACCACTGGGGAGGGAGGGGTTAACTCCATCACAGGAGGAAAGAAGGGCTGGGAAGCATAGGTGTAACTGGAGACGTCTTTGGATTTGCACACTGGACAGCTAGCCGCCACCATGTGTGCAGATGAAATTCTCTTTGACTCCTTCAATCACTGCCCCCATGTGCCTTGCGAGGCCTTCCCAAGCATCGAGAGCATCACACTGTCTTCATGTGGCTGTAGAAGGCTTTCTTTGGATGCAGGCTCATGGTTGGTTTGTTGGCAAATACCCCCACTCCTAAGAAGCCACCTGCATGTTGCAAAGCATTCTGAAATACCTGGATGGAATTGCTGGGGTAAAGGTCAAGGCCGGGTACCTAAACTGTGGAGGAATGGCGTGATTCCTGGGAGCAGGGATGGCTGGAAATAGACGTGGGCCCAGGGTTTCACAGGGTACAGAGCTTGGTGGGGGGGATGCCAGTACTATGTGTGTTTCCATAGACACAATGCTCTAATTGCCCCTGGGCTGCCTCCCTGGGGCCGCTTAGATGATCCAGTCTCATCTCAGTTATAGAATTTGGGCAAAAGGAATAAATTAGGCAATGTGGCTGAGGAGGGTTTTGGGGGTGAGGCAAACCTTGAGCTTGACCCTGAAGACCCTGGGGAATGCAGAGGGAGAGGGAGGAGTCGAGGAGGGTTTCAGGTAGCAGAGAAGAGTCAGGAGGCACAGGGAGCCTTGGGCAAGCAGAGGGGCGTGGTCCCACTCAAAGGTAAAGGGAGAAATACGAGCTCCAAGCAGAGATCACTAGGGATGGCACCAAAGCAGGAGGCCCCCATACCCCAAATTCCTCATGGGAACTCGGCAGGTCTCCGTGGTGGCCCATGGCAGGCACATGGTGCCAGTGTCACAGGCTTGTTATAAAATCCATACAGAACTCCACAGGGGCAAGCACTGATTCAGACAGTGTGCTGCAGCTGTGAAGCCTTGCTGTCTCCTTGCTGCTCTCAGCAAGTCTCCTCTTTCCAGGGAGCTGTGCAAACCCATCAAGGAAACATTTCCATTCTCACCTTCTCAGGCGGGCACCTTCTTCTACACGTGTGACTCTGCCATGCCCCCTCCTGCTCAGCATGGCCTTGGCTGAATTCAACAGTCACCCAGCATGCCGTGTGGCCCCAGCTTACCACCACCTCCCATGGCTGAGAACAGCACATGCCACCCAAGAGCTCATCAGTTTACTTGTCCTTTTTTAACTGGAAAAAAAAAATCAGCAATTCAAAGGCCGAGGAAGAACTCAGTGAACCAGCTTCAATATGACAGTTACATGGAAATGTCCAAAACTTTCCAAGTCAGCCAGGATGGAACCCATTCTTTACTGAATACTAGCGGCCAGTGCCTTCAATGCAGCATCGATCTTCCTGCTGCCCCCAGCCCAGGACATGAGACCTCCAAGAACCTTTGACCAGGGTGGCCCCATCTTGAGAACCATGATCGGCCTCACCCTGTTGGCATCTCTTTGCCAGCATTGACCAAGGAGGAGTTAGGGCAGAGTTGCCCCTTCCGATGCCTCTGGCTAGAATGGGTGACAGCACAGAGCAAACAGCTCCTTGATACAACTGCCAGTTTCTGCTGAGGACTCAACTGAACTCAAGCCTGCAGACATTTCTATTGGGATCACACAACTGTCCTTTTAGCCTTGCAACAAAGCCACAAAAAAGTGTCTCAGGGAGTTCTCTTACAGCTGGGAGACCTAGTGTTGATTGGACCCTGGAACTAAAAACATGCCAAGCTAGCTGCAAGATTCAGGGCTCTGCTGGGTCTCTCTTTTGAGAGGCAGCATCTCCTCACTTGCTTTGCCCAGCAGAGGTGGGGCTGGCACAGGCCTGAGATCTCCAGAAAGCAGCCCGATGAAGGGGTGGGAGGGAGAGGGGTCGGGAAGGGAGGCCCGAGAGAGAGCCGTGGGGCAGCATGGGTCAAGGACGCCCCTTCACCCCCACCGCTTGTGGCTTTCCAACACCCAGCCCTTACTATGACAGTTCACGCCCAGCAGGTAAATATTTAGACTATTGCCTAAACGTTTTGGCATTTATGGACTCAAGGAAAACTGCAGCCAAGTCAGAAAACTTTTTCATAAATCACATTCCCTTGTGTAACACTTCTCATGTGTCCAGACTATTGAGCCACAGATACATTTCCTTAGGCTATAGAATTTCATTTAATCCACAGTGAGTTCCTGCTAATAAGGGATTTCAGCAGGCTGATATTTTCAAAAGCACAGAATCAATTCTAAATACACTGCATTTGCACCAAGAGGAGTGAAGACGCTAAAAATCATAATTATACCTGCTTTCAATCATCAGTTTTTACTGATGACTCTATTCCTAAAACTCATTTTCTCTGAATCTACCACTTAGAGGGTATAACCAGGACAACTGATAATAATTACTACCGTCACTTATTTTGTTTACATTTACATATTCCTTGAGGCACCCAAAGGCCCAGTGCTGGGGCCTTTGGCAAAGTAATAAGGTAGGTATATGTTGATTCTCAGCCACTTAGAAATAAGCCATCCCTCCATGGTGCTGAGCCTATCTTAAGTTTGTAAAATCACTCAGTAAACAGCAGACCTACTCTGTCAGGTACATGGTAGACATTTCAAAAAGACTTCCTAGATGAATGCATGAATGACCGAACGAATGAATACAGAGAAAGCGATTTGTAAATGGTGGAGTTCTTTACCACTAGGGAGAAATGATGAACCATTCTTATTAAATTTCATCATTAACTGTCCTACCAAGCTTCCTAAGCAGTGATCTAGCTTTGAAAAAAAATGGACAACGTGACTTTACCCCTCCACTCAAACAATATTTTTTGAGGGCCACGCTGTGAGGAATTCTGGGAATAGAGATGTGAACAAGAAAGACACAATTCCTGACCTCGTGGAATTTAGCCGAGCAGGGACCCAGAACAGTAAACAAGTCCTTCCACAGATAAGCACTGAGCTGCAGATGGGATGCATGCCATGAAGGAGACACACGGGGTCCCATAAGAGCAAACAATGGGGCCTGCCCAGTCTCAGGGGTCAGATTCCCCTAAGAGTGACACCAACGCTGACACCAGAGCACTCCAGGACTTTAAGAGAGGAAAGAAAACCAGACCCCGGAAACTGGAGAAGGCTGGGGTAGGAGAGTGGAAATTTGAGCATGGCCATACCCAGCACAGATCTTCTACCCTGCACCCATAACCAGGCCCTCATGGGCTGGTGGCATTGGGGGAAGGAGAGGAAGGCCACAGTCCCTGGACAGAGATAAGGAAATGCCCTGGGCTCTCACTGGCCCCTGAGCATCCCAGCCTCACCTTCCACGCCTCTGCCCTGCAGGGAAAAGCCACATTTCCCAGAACCCCTGTTCCCGTGTGCCTCTGGGTTAGGGTCAACCAATGAACTTGCTGTGTAAGATCTGGAAGGAGGAAAGAAGGGAGAAGTCCTTATTGATCTCTGGTGGCAGATGCAGGCAGATAGGTGGACAGAGATCAAATCTAGGGACTGAGATTAAGTCACCCGCTTTGGAGCTACAAGCAAGCGCAAAGGCAGCCCTGCTGAGGTTACAGAGACCCAGGATGGGCACTTGTTGAGGGAGACACTGAATCACCTACCAAGCAGCTGCTTCCCAGCGCTTCTGCTGACCGTAAGAACCTCCAATCCCCTGCATTAGATTCCTGTTCTGCTTGGAAGACCTAAAAGCACCCACCCGAAGCTCTTCCCACCATGGGAGGAAATGGCCCTGGTAAAGTAGTTCCCACCAACTACTTTACCAGGACCACTAGTGTCTGATAGCAGATTCCCCCACCTTCCCAAGACATTTACATCTCAGCAGTCACTGCTTGGGTGGCCTGTGCCTATAACCCCAGCTACTCATGAGGCTGAGGCAGAAGGATCCCTTGAGTCCAGGAGTTCAAGACCAGCCTAGGCACCATAGCAAACCCTGTCTCTAAAAAAAACTAGTTTTTATTTTATTTTATTTAATAAAATAGAAAATCACTGCCTGGAGAGATGGAGAAAACTATAATCAAGACAGATCTGTAGGGCTTGGGAGGTCTTCAGGCAAAAGTCATCCCCAGTAGGCAAGTGCAATGTAAGAGTGGGTAGCATGAATGCATTTGGTGACGTCACAGGAAGTCCATCAACTGGTCCAAGACAGAAACACCTTCACATTTGACCTGCACTGCCAAGACCCATCTCAACCCCAAGGGAAGGAGAGGGAAGATCCAGGCCAATTAACTCCTCTTATATCACTTTGAAGTCAAAGTGAATGCTTCAAAAATGGTACAGAATATGTTCCAATGCCCTTACCAAATGCAATAGTGGGAAGTTAATTTGAGTTCTCTTCCATGTCTGTCTTTCCTACCCTGGGGGCGAGACTTCTACATAATGCTGGCAGCAGGGGGCCTGGGCTCATCGCTGCTAAACTGACTGAATCAAGGCTCTTCCAAAAACGACAGCAACAAAAAACATAGCCCTGGAGGCCAAACGTCATATTAAGACTTTTCTTAATTTTCTACATCACTTCTGTCTGTTTATTTCCAAATCTTGAAGCAAACAAATTTTGAGAATGCAAGACTAAAAAATAAAAGTTTATTACTCAAGATCTCACAAGTTAAGTTCCAGGAAATTCTCTCTTTCTCAAAGAATTGCTACCTTATTTTCTACAGTGTAATAAAAATTCCATGAACCATCATGCCCTCGGCATCTGGGAAGCTCAAAACAAAATTGAACACATAGGAATAATAGTGCTGGCATCCCTGCGGTTAACAAATTCGTTTGCTCTTCTTTCTGTGAATTTAATTTTCTAGAGTTTGGCCTAAATTCCTTAATGTTCACACAACTTGCATACAAATTTACATCATGGCATTTAAATGTAGAAGCTGATTTGAAAAATATGAATAAACCCATAAATATCAAGAGGGAAAAGGGACAAAGGAAGAGAGAACAAGAGATCAATAGAATCAATCAGATCAAATCTTAGCATAAATGGAAAACGTGAACTGTGGTGGAAATGTTCTTATCCCTTAAATAGCAAGCTAAGGCTAACGGTGATTATGGGCTCTCATTTCAGATAGGCACCATTTGAGAAATGCCCTGTTCTGAAACATGGAAAATGAGAAATTATAGAGCCTATCTAACAAATCAAAAATAAATGAAGTAACAACATAAAGGTAGATTTACCGTTATTTATAATTTACCATTTTTACCTTGTTTTCAATTGTCTCTCGTCCTCTTCATTTGAAGAGCCCATTACATTTTATTATGCTAAACCCTATCTTCTGTCACATAAATTACAGTTAAAGATCTTAATACTAAAGCCTTTTAGCTCTGAGATCATATTTCAAGCTTTGTTCAAACCAGACGTTAATGCTAGAATTGAACACAGGACACTTTGTCATCATTACCTAGGATCTCAAAAGTATAATACAATTTTTGCTATATATGGCAAAAAAATGCCTCTCGGTATAACACTGAATTATGGAGATATATTGATTTCTGTAGTATTTTGACAAAACAATAAAACTAAACCTGTTAGCTCCTAAACAGATACCCAGACATCAACCCAGCCATGATAGCGACCGTCATGAAGATAAAGGTTTCATTTAGCCCACTTAGAAATAGGAAACTCCTCAAACTCATGTCCATTCTGGCAGTTCCTGCTGCTCACCTTTTTGTCATCCTCTTCTCTTTTCAGGGGCAAACAGGAGAGTAAAGAGAGGGCCAATTTTGCCATTGTCTTGGCTCAAATGGAAATCCCAAATCTCACTCACCTGCTCAAGGATCTTGGGCCACTAACCTAACTTCTGGGGGATTCGGTCTCTTCATAAGTAAAATGAGGACAATATCAGCCCCATGGGATTGGTGAGGAGATTAAATGAGTAAATACATACATGACACACCTACCCTCCCCTTAGGCCCAGTATGCAGTAGGTGCTCAATAAACAGTGGCTGCTGAAATTATTTCTTAAAGAATGCTGCAGAGTCAGCCTATGCCTCTTGCCCACACTCCTACGAATACGTTAGGAGACCTGGCCAAGTTCTCACCCTGCCTTTCATCACCATCTTTCCTTGTGATCTTGGGCAAATTGTGTTTGTTTTACAAGTCACCATCTAGAAAACGGGGATAATCACCCCTGCCCGGCCAACCTCAGAGGGTTGTTTGGGGATAAAATGGAATAAGAGATGTGATGGTGCTTTGCAAAGGAAAAAATGCTCCATGCACATAAAAGATTATTACCACAAATCAGCCAGATGGTGTGGAACTGCAAGCACCCTCAGAGCTCTGTGTCGTTCCAAGTCAGGCGTTTGGCCAGCAGGAAAAGAGAACTTTTCCAGGATAAATCAATGTGTCTGTTTCCCCCTAGTAATGATGATGATAATGGCACCACAACCGTACAACTAACCTTTTCCCCCTAGTAAATGATAAGAACAATGCTGCTGCCACAACAACTCGCATTTATTAAGCTCCTACTATGAACCAGACAGGGATAGCATTTTCACCTGAAACAGTTCTCCCATTCTCTTCTCACAACTACCTGGTAATGTAGACGCTACTATAGTCTGCCCTCTACACATTAAGCAAACTGAGGCCCAGAAAGTCTAAGCGATTTGCCCAAGCGCAATGGCTGCAAGGTGGAAGCACAGGATTGGGGCACAGGTCTGCCCAACTCCAAGTCTGGGGCTCTCTCCATCACACCTCTGGGAGGCTCCTGGCTGGGTCTGCCCAGGTGGGTGTAGAGCAACTGAGAATCATTGGATGGGTTTTCAGTCTTCACACAAGACTCTTGTTGGGCCCTAAGCTGCCAGGCCCAGTTGTCTTAACAGCTGCTCTGAACCAAGGGAATGGCCCCGCAGCAGGAGCCCAGGGAGAATTTAGAGCCTGGGAAAATGCCTCTAACCCATAACACGATTCCTGGTTACGGGTTATATTGGAGGAAGAGGGGGCCTTTAGAGCAGGAAGACCAGGGACCGCATCTTGGTGTCATCACTGCCTGGTTAAACAATCACAAGCACAGCCCACCTTCTCTCATCCTCAGGTTCCTTCTCCGGAAAGTAGAAAACTCTAAGAAATATAAACAATAATTCCTCTCTCATCAAATTGTTGTGCAGTGAAGTAAGAGGATGAGTATAAAAAGGCTTCACAAACTGTCAAACATGGCCCCAGTGCCTCCTCTCCTTGTTCCCTGTAGGGCCTGGGGGTCTGTCCTTGGTGCCGTCACTGCAATTGCATCTACCATGGCTCCTGTCCCAAGGCCAGGTTCACCTGCAGCAAAACACAAAGTCTCCCCAAGAACCACACCCAAATCAACACCAGCCTTCTGGCCTGACCTCCCTGTGCAGAGGACAAATGTGTGCAAAATGCACACTTACACACACACACATGCACGTGCAGACACACACTTTCAAACCCTTCATTGCCCTCCCACTATTCTAAGGATCAAAGCAAAATTCTCAGCACTGCCTACAAAACCTCAGATTTGGGGCCTCCAACCAGACACATAAACACACCCAGGTCTTTCAGCCCATCTTCCTCCCCTGCCTGATGCCCTTGCACTCTCCACCACCACCACCCATTTGCCTAGTTACCTATTTCTCCTTCAAATCTCAACTCAACCATGATGTCTTCATGTCATCATGCAAAGTCTTCTCTGTTATATGTAACACTAGGGACCTCTATTTTCTATTCCTACCACAGTAGTCTTTTCATATTTATTTGTGTGACTCCTTCATGTGTGTCTGTCTATTCTCCAGATAATAAACTCCATATGGGCAGGAGACATATCCATATTGCCACCATTATGAAACCCTAGAGCTTAGCACAGTGACTGGTACCCAGTAAATTCTCAAAATAAATGGTAAATTTATGATTGAAAACCAACATCACCCTCACCTGCCTTTTCACTTGTACACCTGTGCCTTTCAATTCAGTTGAAAATCATCAATGAACCTGGATGCCTACCTCACACCATACACAAAATTAATTCAAAAGAGACCTACATGCAAAAGCAAAGATTAAAATTAATCTGGGAGAAAAATCTTTGTGATCTTGAGGTAGGCAAATATTTCTTAGACAGGACACAAAAAAATATTAACCCTAAAAGAATGAAATCATAAATTTGACTTCACCAAAATTTGAAATTCTGCTCTTCAAAAGAAATCATGTTAAAAATGAAAAGACTGCCAGGCATGCTGGCTCATGCCTGTAATCCAAGCACTTTGGGAGCCTGAGGTGGGTGAATCACTTGAGGTCAGTAGTTTGAGACCCACGTGGCCAACATAGTGAAACCCTGTCCCTACTAAAAATACAAAACTTAGCTGGGCATGGTGGCACTCGCCTGTAATCCCAGCTACTCAGGAGGCTGAGGCAGGAGAATCCCTTGAACCCAGGAGGCAGAGGCTGCAGTGAGCCAAAATCACACCACTGCATTCCAACCTGAGTGATAGTGACTCTGTCTCAAAAAAAAAAAAAAAAAGAAAAAGACAAGCCACAAATTGAGAGAAAATATTTCAATACACAATCTGACAAAGGTCCTATATCCACAATATATAAAAAACACTTACAACTCAATAATAAGAGAAACCACCCAATAAATAAAATGAACAACAGACTTGACCAGGCCCTTCACCAGAGAAGATAAACAAATGGCCAAAAAGCACATGAAAAGATGTTGTTCAACATCATTAGTTGTTAGCTACATGCAAATGAAATCCACAATGAGACACCACTTTTTATTCCCTAGAATGTCTAAAACTAGAGACTGACAATACCAAGTGTTGCCAAGGATGTGAAGCAACCGGAACTTTCATATACTGCTAGTGTGACTATAAAAAGATACAACCACTTTGCAAAACCACTAGGTGCCTCTTATACAGATTATAATCCACTTATCTTCCTAAGCACTTACCCAAGAGAAATAAAAGCATATGTCCACACAAACAATGTTAGTGGCTGCTTTATTCACTATTGAAAAAACTGAAAATAACCAAAATGTTATTTATATCAACAAGAGAACTGATAAACTGTGGTATATTCACTCAATGGAATGCTACCCAGCAATAAAAATGTACAAAGTACAGAGTGAGAACATGAATGAATTTCTAAAAATATTATACTGAATGAAATAAGCCAGACACAAGAGTAGAAAATGTATTATTTCATTTATAGGGAGTTTGTTCAAGAACAGGCAAAATTAGTCTATGCTGAAAGAAATCAGATCAGTGGTTGATTGGGGCAGGATGTGAGATGCTGGAAATGCTGACCAAGGGGTTGGTTACGTGACGGTCTACTGTGTAGGTTCATCAAAACTATCCAAGTGTACAGATAAGATCTGTGCTCTTACTTTATGTAGTTTATACCTCAATAACATTGAAGTTAAGAAAGCAACGTTGACTACTCTGCCTCACATCCAAAGGAGGGAGTTGACCACTTTCTTTTCTTCTTTCCACCCTCCTGGGTGAATTTTGGTCAGAAAAGAAAATGGCATTTTAAAAAGGAATTGATGCATGAGGTTGTGTTTTTTATACAGTAAAGGACAAAGCTGGTTTCCCTGCCTCCTGTCTCTCCTATCCATTCTCCACAAGAAACCCAGAATGAGGTTTTGAACTCATCACATGAAACACTCCTACCTCCTACAGGAAAAATCTCCTGTACTCATGCCCACAGAGGACCAAGTTTATCTGGCTGTATTAGTTTCCCAGGACTGCCATAACAAATGACCACAAACTGCTTGGCTTACAATGGAAATGGATTCTGTCACAGTTTTGGAGGCCGGAAATTCAAAATCAAGGTATCACAGGGCCAGGTTCCCTCTGAAGAGGATCTTTTGTTGCCTCTTCCAGCTTCTGGTGGCCCCTGCCATTCCTTGGCTTGTGGCCACATCATCACTCCACTCTGCCTGTCTTCACAAGTACTTCCCCTCTTCTCCCCCTGTGTCTCTTCTAAGGATACTTATCTTTAGATTTAGGGCCCACCTGGATAATCCAGGGTGATCTCATCTTCAAAAACCCATTTCCACATAAGTCACATCCACAGGTTCCAAGGGTTAAGACATGGACACATCTTTTGAGGGCCACCATTTAACCAGCGACACTGGCAAACAGCCACTTTTTTAGTGGCCTTAACTTCCTTTTTACCTTGTATTGAACTGTAACATGTATTCTGTAAAGAGCCCCTCTCACAGATGTTTGACATTCTCACAAACACAGCACACCCATGCAACCAGCACCCAGATCATGAAACAGATCTTTACCACCCCTGGAAACTCCCTCATGTCCTCATCTGTAAAATGGAGATGATAATAGTAGTTGCCCTGGTGGGACTGTCATGAGAATACCATGAGATAAAGGTTGTGAAAAGCTCAGCCCTGTGCCAAGCTCATAGTGAGCACTCAAAAAAAAAAAAAAAAAAGTATTATTCCCACCCACCCCCAGAATAGATTATAGAGCAGTGGTCTTCCTCGGGATATCAAGGGTGCAGACAGAGTTAAGCAGGAGAAAACATTTGCACATCTTCAGATGAAGCCTTGAAGAAGAGCAGAATGACCCCACCCCCAGCTTCTGGCTGGTTGCAGACAAACAAAAGGACTGACGTAACCAGGAGAGCTACAATTTTCACACCTGGATCAGGCGCATCACCTATGGAGGTACCAGGAAAGTAGATTGAGTTTATGTTGCAAATAGAAAATGATGACACTAATTATCTTCCATTGTAGTGGCTGGGGATAGTTCCTGGAGCACTTTGCCTTCCATTATCTTGTTTGATCACACTATAAAAGGGAAAAGACTTCCATCTCAGGTATTCACGGCTGTATTCTAGATTCGAGACGAGACCACCTCCCCTCCCCATCACTGAGCTGTTTTTGTTGTTTTTTTGGTTTGGGGGGTTTTTTTTGTTTGTTTGTTTGTTTTTTCAGAAAAGGGACAGACTCATTCAGGAGGCATTGCTTATTCAGAGTGAAGTCTTCCCACGCTGCAGTGACTAAGGTTGAGAGCCCCACACTGCAGAAAAAGGGTCACTTGGAAATTGCTGTGTCCTTGTAATGTCTGCTGGGACAGCACAGGCGATGTCAACAGAGGGCTGGCCAGGCCCCTCTCACTGCGGACTCCTATGATTAGATGGTTTCACCTCCTCAGAGTTCCAGAGGATCCCGGCCATTATGAATAGAGCCCCTGAGTTATTGGGATAAGACTAAGAACTGGGATATAATGGCACCGAAATATCACACAAATCACCCTAGCCTGACATAAAACCATTTCCCCACCAAGTAGATAGAATGTTCTACCAGGTTCTATCGGCAGCAGAGAAATCACCACTTCAAAATACCTAAATGGGGTGTCCCCCATCTTGGGTTTTGTTTTGGCATTTGAGAGTCCCCCTCTTTATCAGGAGAGAGATTTTCCTTAAAATTTTTTTCTTCAATATATATCCCTTTTTTTCCATTACAACTGGAAAAAAAAAGGTCATGAGCGTCCTCTGATGGGGGCATAAATATTGCATTCTAGAGGTGGAATGGTTTGCCTCCCACTTTGTAGAATCCCCTTGGGTAAAATCTCACCCAGAGCTGCTGCAGCCTGGCTCTTTTTACACGCTTGTTTGCAAAAAAGCTCCCAAGGAGTAATGCCGGCCTTTTCATTTCAAATGCTGCAGCCATTCCTACGGTGTGCTGGGCCCACCACACGGCAGGAGTGCCTAGGAGGACCTCTGTACCAACACCATCCTCAAGTCTGTGGGAAATCCATGAAATTTAGATCTTTTGCTATTGGAAGGAACAAAATATTTACCAATATATAAAGAACTTTCAAAGAGGGGCTTACCATACACACAGTTCTGAAGAAGTGCAATATGGTTTTCCATCCAGGAGATTTTTCTTTCTTTCTTTCTTTTTTTTTTTTTTTTGAGCCAGGTTCTTGTTCGGTTGCCCAGACTGGAGTGCAATGGCACGATCTCAGGTCACTGCAACCTCTGCCTCCCAGGTTCAACGGACTCTCATGCCTCAGCTTCCTGAGTAGCTGGGATTACAGATGTGTGCCACGTCCTGCTAGTTTTTGTATTTTTAGTAAAGACGGGGTTTCGCCATGTTGGCCAGGCTGGTCTCGACTCCTGACCTCAAGTGATCCACCCGCCTCGGCCTCCCAAAATGTTGGGATTACAGGCGTGAGCCACCGCTCCCGGCCTAGTTTTCAGGCAAGACATTTTTAAATGGCAGCCTCCTTCATTATTCCTTCTCCTCTCTCACTCTAATTTCCAACTGTCTACACAGACTCAAGGAACAGCTCTTGTGGAAGGATCTTCAGCAGGCCTCTCAGCCCTGATGGAACCTGCCTGCCTATTACCTTCAGTATGCTAAATGGTGCTGTTTCATTTTGTTCATTTATAGGGCTACTCTTTTATCTGAGGCATGTTTATTAACTGGTAGCTGTTAATTATATAAGAAGATAATTTCATGTAAATGTTGGATTTAAAAGCAGCCTATCTAGCGTGCTTACTGTTTAACAAGAAGGCTTTGGGATTTGTTTTTTTGTTGTTCCTATGTGAGTAAGGCAATTAATTGATTCGGTTGATTGAATGAAAAATGCATCGTAATTGCTTTACCCCATCAAGCAGCTACTAGAATTATCCAATGCTGGCAGAGGGACAACAGCCTCTATGATACACCATCTCTCTGTTTACTGCCCTAATAAGGCATGGGAGCTGGGGCCTTTGGTTAACAAAGGGACACTCAGATGGGGTCCTGGTGGTTCTTTCTCTAAGAGCAGAGAGAACATCCCCAGTGACTTGGACTATTCAGGACCAGAAAGAAAAAAGAAAAAACAATCCACTTTTGTCTGGATTATGCAGACAATTGCCAACCCGTTCCTTTGGTTCTGCTTTGCTGGCCTGGTGAAGTCCAGAGTGTCAGGGCTGACTGCTTCCTGGGCACTGGGCTTTGTATCTTCATGGAGATGGCTCATTTCATGAGGACATGATGTTCTCTGCACAGCAGAAAGATGTGGGGGCTCCCAGGTATGTCTTCTAAGAGGTTTCCAAGAAAGATTCAGAGTGGAGATGAGGCGGGTCTTGCTTGGACCCATCTACACATGCAAAGACAACATATCTGATTAATCCTTAAGTCCCAGGTGCCCAACATGAGTGCCTGGCACATCACACAGGCTCAGCTTGAAATGGAGTGAACAAAAAACACCAGCTTGGACCCTCCGGTGCCAGAGCTGCAGGTTACATTTAGGGCAGACCATGTTCCCCAGCCTGCCCCAAGTCCCGATTCCAGGCACATTCAAAGATTGAACTCTGACCTTACTTCCACAAGGCTTCATCTGACACTGAGAACCAACACCACTGGTCCCTGCTGAGGGCACCCACTGGATGTCAGGTGCAATGCACCTGCTTTAAAATGTCTCAAATGCATGAATTTATATTTGACAATAACTTCACAAGGAAGCTCTTGTTATCCCCATTTGCAGGAGGAGAAACTAAGGTTCAATGAAGCTGAGCCTCATGGGTTTGCCACTGAACACATGGGTAGGAGAGCTGACATTTGAACCTAGTTCTCCGTGCCCCAAAGGCCAAGCCCTTTCCATATAAATTGTGCAGTACAGCCTCAGGCACATGGAAAGTGCCCTTTATTGCTTGTTGTTGTGGTTGTTGTCTTGTAGTTGTTATCATTGTATGTCCATGATGCTAATTGCCTCCGTTCAACCTACACTTTCATCTAAGATGAGTCTCTCCAGCCCTCAGTTGCTCACATTCCACATCAGGTTTCTGGTTTCCAGGTAGACCCCAAGGTTGCCCCCATCTCCTTTTCCCTTTTATTACAGGCTTTTGAGTTGACTGATTCAGATCCACTCCTGAGAGCAGTTACAGAATGGCGTTGGGGGTATTATACTGGGACTTCTTCCTCAACCCTAATGACCTTTCTGGTCTCTACAGCTAGAAATCCCAAGGAAACATTCAAATAATTGCTGTAGGATGGCCCCGAGGAATCACACACAAGCACAGGCATACCTGGAAGTATCATATTGAGGAATACTGACCCCAAAATTAGAAAAAAAGAGAAAAAGCATCATTTAGTGCACTGTGTAGTTTTCCCAGTTTGAACAATAATGCACCATTGTATGGTGATATCTGCTGATTTTTATGTACAGGAGAACAAAACCACAACACTGTTCCACTGCTTTGCCATAACTTGGTCCACAACAGCAAACAACCACAAAAAGTCAAAATTCACTTTAAGTAAATTAACACAGGCTGGCCTTGAATTTTTTTCTCAGCTGCCAATATGAATTATTTAGAGTTTCTAGAATTAGAGGGCATTTCCAATGCCTGTGGTAATGACCTTCCAGATGAACGTCCATCAAAGTTGGAGACATTTGGCCAACTGGGTGCTGTAATAGTGGCCATACGTCACCAAGGCCCCGCTCTCCTGGGGACTACTATGATGTTTGTTAGAATTAGATGAGAATGCTCTGGTGCAGTCCCTTTTAGGCCTGGCTGTTTGCCTGTCCCAGCCAATGTTTTACTGTTACTGCCAGAGACTTGCACCACCTTTGCTGAGAGGCAAGGGCCTTGCCAGCAAGGCCCCTCCTTGTTAGACGGGCATGTCTGTTTCTGCAGCACATTGGCAAGAGAGAAGGTGAAGGTGATGGGAAAACCCTGGTGGGCTCCAGTTTCGAGGTCAGGCAGTAACCGTGTTACCCCAATGTCCCTGCGTCTCCGCCACTAATGTAGTGGCTTGAACCACATTACTATTATGCAATATTAATGAATTGTAGAGGTTCTCATGATGAAATGTTTGGGGAAACACTGCATTTTCTGTCCTCCTCTTGAAGACTCACACTGTACCTTAGCATTGTAAAGGCTCTGAGAAGGCCTGCAGTAAAGAAACCTACTAAACAGCTTCATTTGACTCATCTTTTCCCACTGCCTCCACTGCCAAACATTTCCCAAAAAAAAATCTTTTAAATCACACAAAACTAGTGTATCCCACTGTCCCCATCTGGGGAAGGCTGGCTGGATGGCAGCCTTGGTCCTTCCCAGCACGGGCATTCAAGATGTTGGGAGCACCACGGTGGGCCCCTTCTGAAGGTGTCTTATAATGTTGCTCAACTAAAAGGCATTTTCTGTTTTCTAGAGATTTTCTGAGTATTAGAGCTCCTTTTTTCTCAAGTGATCACAACCTTCCTCAAACTACCTTGCAAATAAAGGCAATTTATTAGGCTATGAGGATTACTGGGTGAGCCCAAAATGAAAAATGAGCTGGCCAGCTTCCCCAGTTCTCTGTCTGTACAACCTTCCCAGTAGGCCCCACCTCTTTGAACACTTAGCCAATCCAAGGAAAAAGAAAAATTCCCAAGAGAGACACTGTACTTGCAGTTGATGTGGCCAGTCTGTGCTCATGCCCATTTGAATTTGAAAAGTTAATGATCTATACTTCAAGTTGATGAGGTAGGCCACAATAGCTACACTTTCAAAAACTGTGTGTGTAACAAGACCTTCTGTACTCTTGATCTGGATGATCTATCTGATCACACCAAACCAACACCATTTCAGCCCCTGACTTTTATCATAAGTAACATTTTTTATTTGTGAGTGATCCCTTAGCACCAGGAAATGTAGGCTGGCACTAGGGATTTAGAAATACTAAAATTATTCCTGTCCTCTTCCTTATCCCTCCCCCCAACCCCATTTAACCTCCTTGGTTTTCTAAATATCTGAGAACTCCAGGCCAGGAGCCACTCTCTCAGGCCTGGGTGGTGTCCAGGACAGAAAGGCAGCCATGCATCCAGACCCTACACCAGCCCTTGTCACACTTAGAGCTCATTTCTTGCTCTCTTGCTCTTTCCCCTACCACCTGGGAGCCCCTTGAAGGCAGGAACTCTCACAGAAGGCCTGGTATTCAGTAGGTGCTCAGAAAATACCTTTGTGAGGGTTATTTAGGCTTCATCCCCTACACATGTAATATATACACAGGCCTTACCCTGTAATGGGGCTGAATCTCTGTGGGAGGTGGAGGTATCCATGACTGTGACAATAGATCCTACCTGCCTGCAGGTGACCCAGGCAGGATGGCATTTCTTTCTACTCTTGCTAGGAAGATGGCACCATGACATGGAGAGGATCTCCGCCCTGGCAGCAGGGAGTGTGTGGAACACTATCTCCTCCCTTCTGTGTGGTCAAGGATAATTGTTTTCAAATCGCCACCGAGATCAACGTCTGGTCACTGGGAAAGCCACACTGCCCATCCACCAAAATGGCGCCATTGCTCATAACAGTCACACAGAGAATCTCATTTTAGAAAACGGGTCTCTAAAGCCATTCACTGAAGCATTATGCACTGTAATTCCCCAGATAGAAATTTTCACAACTCAGGCCTAACTATATAATTAAATAATTAGCATACGTATCTTACAGGTTTTTAAAAGGCTTGCTCTGTTAGAAGCTCTAGAATGTTAATCCCACGCTCTAGCCCTCAGCCAGTAAAAGGCGCATTGCTGCGTCAATCGGGTGGCAGTTTGTTTTCACACCTCTGGCTCAATTACCCTTTAATTGAAAATTTCCTCAAGAAATGGAGCTGAGAGGCCATGGGGGCTCTCCCAGAGGCGCTATGATGTAAGCTGCTGTGGAGCAGAGGCAAAAAGATACCCAGGCGCAGGGAAGGACTGGCCTTACTTCTTCCCCAGCTGGGCCTTTTCCTAGGCCCAAGGAGCCTGGGAAAGGCACGGATATCCAAAAGCTGCAAAGAACCTTCCGAAGGCACAGATGGCCAGGTTCAGAGAGTCTGGGAACAGGCAAGTTCATCTCAAAACCTTGACCCCAGAAAAAAAGAGGCAGATGTTTCTTACAAGGATGGGGCTGAAGGGAAGAAGAAATTGCCATCCTTTGCCTAATTCCTCAATTGCACCACAATCCTTCCTACCTCAGGGTCTTCCCACATTTTGTTATCTTTTCCTGGAATGTTCTCCCCCTATAGCCCCTTCACGGGCCCACCTTCAGATCCCAACTCACATGTCACTTCCTTGGGGAAGCCTGCCTGGACACCTCCACCACCCACCAACCCAAGCCTTTGTGATCTATTATCACCCAGCCCCTTGATTGCCCCTCTTGTCCTTCTGATTAGATGCAAAAATGTTTCTAATTCCATGGTTATTTTTATCAGCATCTAGCTCCACTGTGGAAGGGTGAGCCAGTGGATCTCCACTCATTATTACACCCCCATGTCCAGCACACCACCCCACTCAATACTTGCTGCATGAATGAAATTGATAAATTAGGGGTCAGCTGAGCCAGTCTGGATTGGGTGGGCTGACCAATTCCCTCTCTTGCTTTAATGAGTGCTTTATGACTTTCTTGCCCATTCGCAAAGTAGCCCATGGCGATCCACAGGACAGGCATGTGAGAGGAGAAGAGGGACATGCCAGGCCCCAGAGTCCCCACAGCAAATATGAATGCTGAAAATGGCCAAGGGCACTTTCTGTTGAAGGATGGGTTGGGGCCTTAACACAGCGCCACCCAGGCCTCTTACAACCAAATTCTCCTCAAGGCCATTTATGAGTTCATTGCCTGGATCTTCATTACTGATGTGCTGTGTGCCAGACTGCTCTAGGTGTTAGGAAAACAGCCATGAATGAGCCAGACCAAAAGCCCTGCCCTCATGGAGACTGCATTCTAGAGAGAAGAGACAGAAGGTAGAACATACAGTGCACCAGTTGGTGATAACTTCACAGAGAAAAAGAAGACATGGGTGGCAGGGAGGGTTGCTATTGAGCTGACAACTGAGCAAAGACTGGAGAAGAGTAAGGGACCAAGCACTGCAGGCACTGGGGACAGCAAGGGCCATTTCCTCACCCTATTCACCCAGGGACAATGAAAGAACAGAGTCATGACCACCTGGTACCCAAGCTCCCTCTGGGACACAAGTGATATACTTACAGCCAGGTCATTGGGTGAGGCCAAAAGGATGTTGTGCCCATGCTGCCCAAGAGTTCAGAGGCTCGTGTACCCACAGTCCATCTGCTCCAGGGCGCATGGGCTGTTTGCTGGCTGGTGACTCAGTGGAGCCCTCAGGAGGGGAGCAGAGGAGGTGGGAGCAGCACTGACCCAGCATCTGTTTCCCTGGCTTTCCCCAAACATTGGGCTCAGCATCTTGGAGGGAAGCTTCCAAACCCAAGGAGTGCATTGCCAAAAGACGCTTAAACAGAAGAAAACGAGAAACAGCCAATATGTTCAAACCATCTAGAACTACACGTAAAAGACATCAGCCCAAACTAAGCCAGCTAGGGACATGCACAACAACCTTAGGGAAGCTGCTGAGCTATGGCTAGACCCTCCCTCCCAACCCTGATCAACCAGCCTCCCAGGTTTGTGAGCATTTGAACTGGGAGCCCACAGACAAGCCATTTCTCAGTGGTTTGGAACAGTTTGTTGTACCTTGATGACTGGTTTCTGTTATGATGCATCAGATCAGCAGTGTCATTGATCAGAAATGTTCATTTCTGTGTTTTTCAAATCTCTGATTGTTAAACTCACCAAATTTATGTTTGAAGATGGCTCCCTCCACCAGTCCTGATTTTGTGTGGATACAAGAGCTGCTGCTCCAGCCTAGAGCCCGGGGTTTGCCCATCTCTCACCAAAATCCAGTCGGAGATGAAAGTGTCGTCCATCTACTTTCTGACCAGGATGCAGAGACAAGCATTCTAAGTCAGCGTGTTCTCTCGTCTCCCAGAATCAGGGCCTTGCTACGGTCCTTGGGCTCTTCTTCCTGGAACGAGGGTCACAGACATACGTCAAGAAGGTCAAGGAGTCTGGATGCCTCCCTTTCTGGTGCTCGCCTGCCAGTCAGCCTTGCCCTTGCCTGGCTACCTGCCCCCTGACCCACTGCTCACCCTGTCCTTGAAGCTCTTCTTGACTCATATGTTTGTGTGTAAACTTCCTGGGCTGCAGACCTGGCCTGAATGCTCAAGCTTTGCTTAGAACTTGGAGCCTGGGACCAGCCCTCCTAACAGCCCTGCCAAGTGGTACCCAGAGGCATCCCAAACTGTGTGTGTAAAGCCTGTTCACCTTGCCTTCTGGAACACAGCCTCTCCTGTCATCCATGAATCTTCCATGGCAGACCTCTCTGCCATCTGCCTCTCCTAATTCTCCTCTCTGCTTTACACTAACCAAGTAGTTACTAAAAGAAAAACAACAGCAACAACAACAACCATAGCAAAACCCCAAACTCCAAAGAAGCATATTATTCATGTTTCTTTTTAATATTCACTTTTTAATTTTAAGCTTTACATAGATATTAACTTCATTTTCCATCGACCTTCATTTTCCATTGACTTCCTGGGGATATGAATATGAAGGTTTTTTCCACCTACAAATGACATGTTTCTATTAAGCTATATTGGGGAAAGTATCATTTTACATGTGGTCCTAAATCCATTCCCCTTGTTAATTGGTTTAACATAATTTTGCAAATTCTAATCTTTTAGTTAAAAGAAAAAATCATTAATGCCTGTGGGAACCAGATTGCCACAATCATTGCCCACACTCAGAATTTCCCAGAGACTCCCAGCCTCAGCAGTATTACCAAGTCATGCCTCCTGATCACCATCTTCATCTTGCAATTCTTGGCATGTGAGTTGTAAGCAACAGTGATGGCTGTGGAAGGTATGGCTGCACCTCGGTGATCCAAAATTTTCCCAGACTCACACTCTTCCTCAGGATTAAAACACCTTTTTGATTTTGTATCTTGGAGACAGACAGAAACAAATTTTCCCGAAGCAGGAGTTGGATGATAAAGGAATGCCTAAAGGCGGATGCCAGGTGGAAAGTCATGGCATATAGTAAGTGCTCAACCAATTGTGCTGAGACAATTATGACTAAGAGTAGAACAACTCTGATGGTAACAGTAGTAAAACAGGCACGAATCCTCAGAGAGGCGAGGAGGTAGTGACTTATCTCTGTGAGTCTAGGTGAGGGTCACTTGGCATTGCCCGTCTGTCTCGGTGACAGGCTGGCTGCACCGGGTGCTGGGTCCACTGTGTAGGAAGCCACTAAGGAACATTCTGCAGGGACAACCCACTGACCCAGTTCTTGGGCTCAACTCCTAGGAAGATCAGACTCGATAGATATAAGAGATGCTCAATTTTTCTACAGTTCTAGAGAATGGGAAAGAGAACCCCCATGCAAGCAAGGATGCATAACCTAACACTGGGAGCAGATACCATTTCCTGTGAGCCTCAGTCACAACCACCCAATATCAGCAAGCTATGTTATCACCAACCCAGAAAAGGGGAAGTTACTTGCCAGAAGTAGTAGGAGGCTGGGGTTCAAACTCAAGGTCCTACATTCCTTTCACTGTGCAGCATACAAATAGGGTGCTTTTTTGTTTTTGTTTTTGTTTTTTTTTTGAGACAGAGTCTCACTCTGCTGCCCAGGCACGATCTCAGCTCACTGCAACCTCTGCCCTCTGGGAGATTTCAAGCTATTCTCCTGCCTCAGCTTCCGGAATAGCTGGGACTACAGGAGCATGCCACCACACCTGGCTAATTTTTGTATTTTTGGTAGAGACGGGGTTTCACCATGTTGCCCAGGTGGGACTTGAACTCCTGACCTCAAGTGATCCACCTGCCTCAGCCTCTCAAAGTGCTGGGATTACAGGCTTGAGCCACCGCACCTGGCCTAGGGGGCTTTTCAAACTGGGTTTTTTCTTGCTATTTGATGGGTGTTTTTAACAGAATGAGGATCAGACTAACTCAGTCCAGGTGGTGGGAATAATAATGGAGTCATCCTGTGGCCATTCAGACAGCAGCTGGAGGCCCATGTGCTCTGGCAGCCAGTTGGTGATGAGTGCCCAGGAGAATCAGAGAGCAGGAGCCAGAATTGAAAGAAGCGGGCTAGAGACAGTATGAAGCACGGTAAGCGATCAGATTGACAGTAGCTGGCAGCTTCAGCAATGACCCAAGGTCAGCAGAAGTGAGTAGGAGAGTCTGGAAATGCTTTCACGTGAGCAGTATTCAGCAGGGCCTGCCTGCGCTCAAAAGTGTGACTCCAGGGACCCATTCTTCCCACAGGAAGCCAGCTCTTGGTACCACCATAGCCTGGATCTAACAATGACTTAGCAAGTAGCTGAGACCATAGGGAACAGGGACCCTGTCCACAGCCTCCACTTCCGTTGATTCCATATCTCCAGCCCAAAGGTTCCTTGAAACCCCAGAGGCTAAAGGGGCCTTGAGCCACAAGCCCAACCTTCTTCCTGGATGGCCCGGGGGATTGTTTCTGCTGCTGTCGTTTCTGCTCATGGATGCGGGCCTCCCACTGAAGTCTCCACTAGCGGTCCCCATACACAGAAAGAAAAAGAAAGGCCCAGGGCTCACCCAACACCCAAAAGTGTTGCCAGTCCCTGACTCAGCCTCCTCAAGCCCCCCAGGGAAGCAAACCGAGCCCCACAGCCTCCTGTTTCTCAACCCCAACTCCCATACCTTGCCATCCATCTCAAGGCACAGAGCTCCTCAGCCTTGCGTTTCCAGTAGAACAGGCCCAGCGTGCCTGCAGCCGCACACCCCCACATGTTATTCTTGCCTTTATCTTGTTAGCATAATGCTCAGCTTCATTAGCCAGCCAGATGAATCATTTAGTAATTGGAGCTAATGAATTTAATTTTCTACTTTCTATTTTTTTAATAATAAAACAAAGTCATATTTTACCAACAGGTCAGGGAAGGCTCCAAGTTGCTGTTTTGAGTCAACGTTAGGCCAAGAGTACAAAACGGCAGACGGGGAAGGAGTTGGCTCCCTTTTGCTGATGTCACCGCCTTTTCTGGAGTTTCTCGGTTAAGGAACCCCATGGAAGCATTATCCCAAAGTTCTACGGAGAATGATACTAAGGGCCCGCATGAAAAATTGATGTTGCCATGGTGGCAGCATTCCTAATAGGACAGTATGAAGAGTAGGAGGCACTCACAGAAAATAAACAATGCACAGAGTTATCAAGGAAACACCCTGATATCAATTAGATGAAGAGCTATAAGGAATCTATTTATCTTGGAGAGATTTCACTCCAAGGGTCCCAGTACCCCTCAGTCAGGTGAATTGGATGGATAACATACACCTTCCTTCTCACTCCCCGTTACAGAAGACGCGAAACCCAACAGTGAACCCGTACCTGAAATGTCAACGTGGGAAGCCAGGCTAATTAGAGTGGGGCCAACCCGCCCAACCGCATAGCTGACATGCACCCGCTGAAGCCTTCTTGTAACTTGACTACCCGAAGCCTCATCCCTGATTAACAGAGCCTAGCTGCAAACTAAAATGCAGTTAATTTATTGTAAGTTTTATTAGGCATATAAAAGGGAAGCAGGAATGACTAGCCTTTCGTTGCTCGAGATACATTTCATCCATGACACGGAGCAGATTCCTCATAGATTAAGCTTGTTAATTTCCCTCCCCGCCAACATTCTTCTCCGCATTGCTGAAGCAAAAGCCACAGGCTCTTGTCTGAAATGGATGGGATGAAAAGGGCTGGGGGCCCCCCGGACAACAGTTACATTAACCACTTTGTCCTTTTAATTCATCTAATTACATGCAAGGAGAAAGCTGCCGCCTTAGCAGGCTCGCTCTGCGCCAGAGCGCGATGCCGCTGGGCCATTGCTTTGGGCTTTTTGTTGTCTTATTAGGGGTGCTTTTGTTCAGAGGGATGGTTAAAGCCATTTTCAGCAGCTAGCAAGATGAAGCCGCTTCAATAAGGACACAATGTACTTGTTTAAATTACCTTTCAAAATGCTCAAAACCATTAAGGGGGAGGGGCTGCAAAGAAAAGTTGGATTTTTTTTATAATGTTTTACCCTAATAACAGCTTTTATTTTATTATAATCCATTAGTTGACAATATTATTCTATAGATTATTAGGCAGCAATTTTGCTATTTTATCACACTTTCAGCACTCACTCACCGGGCCAGAATCCACAAATCTCAGTATAATATGCTTTCAATTTTGTTAAAATCTCTATTTAACTGGTTTGGCTGCGGAACATCTTGGCAAATGTGTTTTTAATTTCGTTCTAATTAACTTGACAGTTGACAGAACTCGATGGTGGCATGATGGTGTCCCCTTTTCCAGGGTCCCTGCAAGCTCCATGCCTAGGGTCCATTTTTTTTTTTTCCTCTCCCATCCTAACAAGGAAGATGTCAGAGCTAACATCCAGGAAAAGGGTCTTTCGTCTCTGTCAAAAGTACATGCAATTTTTTAAAAACCAATTAAAAAATCTGGCTTTCATCTTTATCTGTAAAAAGAAGGTCGTTGGTTCTGTGGGGTTCTCAAAAAATGGCTTGTCCTACGGATGTGGGTCCTGAAAGATGAAATGAAGACAAAGCAAGTGGGAGGGAGGGTTTTTTTTGTTGCCCAAGAGGACGCCAGCTCTTTCCCAAAGAGATACTGTGAAAGAGTGGCCATCCTCCCTCTCTGTCACCGGTACTCGGTGGGGAAAGAGACTTCAGTTCTCTGCTTTTGGGGATCAGCCTGAGAAGAGCAGCATTCAGAGAACTTACCCTTGTTCTTTAAACAGTTCCAAATTATCTCTATTGTCTGGGGAATTTCACTCTGGCAACCATTCTCCAGGTGCCCTCTCTGTCTTTGCTTCCAAAATCCTGCAGCATCCCAGAATCCAGCCTTCTCTCTGACCCTGAGCAAGCAGAGATACAAGCAGGCCTAGATCACACCACAACTAAGACAAATAAGTCATGCCTTCCTGACGTGGAGGTGAAACAAGTCTCTGTAAAACAAATCTAATCTTCCCTCTGGTTTTCCTTATATGGAGATGGGCCTCCAGGGGACTGTGTGGAAACCGTTAGCTGACTTGAGACCAGGTCCTGGAGTGACTTCACAACCCGCAGTGAATTTGGGGCATCCATTCTTGCACCTTTTTTGCACTGTTGCCCTCCCCGCCCCCACTCTCTCTCTTTCCCTCCCTACCTTTCTCACATGTTGTGAATTTGCCCATCACTGGAAATTCCCTGATTCCACATTTGTACCACTCATTACGCTTCTGTTCAATTATTAAGAATGTCAGTCCTTCCAGGACCCTCAGAGATGAATCACTATAACATCTTCCTCACATTAATGACAAAAAATCTCACTGCTCAAGGGACTTGACTCACCAAGACACTGGCCAGCAAGAAGCAGCAGCCTAGGACTGGATCCAGGTCTTCCGACTCCCAGTCCATGCCCTTTCCTGAGATTTCCATTGGAAAAGTTCTAGGTTTTGTCAAAACATACACATGCACACACACATATGGTCTTTTTTCTAGTCTTCAAGTCTGAATTTTGAATTTTCATTTTTATTTTTTATTTACAACGAGAATGCTGCTACAGAATTATCAGGGCTATTAGAGTAAAACAAATTGTTTGGTGTTCATGTTTTAAAAAGGTACTATGTTTTTAGCCCCAAGCAAACAAAATACAGATGTCTAGACCAATAATTTTCAAACAGGAGGTATTTTGCTCCCCAGAGGACATTTGGTAATGTCTGGGGACATTTTTGGTTGTCAAGACTGCAGCTAGGGGTGTGCTACTGGCATCTAGTTGGTAGAGGCCAGAGATGCTCTTAACCACCCTATAAAGTGTAAGACCCCCACGCAACCACCACAAAGAACTATCTAGCCTCAAATGCCAGTACAGCCCAGTGGACAAGCCCTGCCCTCTCCTTACCTGGGAGTCAGATTCAGGTTCAGGGAGCTTATACCTCACTCAGGGAGAAGAGAAGATGGTGAACCTGCAAGGAGAATGGGTGGAGCCAAGTCCAGATGACCCACGAGTGGTGACAAAAGCAGGATTGAACCCACATCACACCGACAGTGCTCATTCTTGTTTGTCCTGCCTGGAGAGCAATTATACTTTTAATAACTGTGCAATCCCTTGGGTCTGTTTCCCTTTCTATTCAACGGCGTTATCATGGGGTAATGAAGAGAAGGCCCATGTGAAGCGCCTAGCTGGTGCCTGGCACACAGTAGGCCATCGACACATTGGAGAGGGAGGAGGAATACAGTGCTGCTGTCTTGTGCTTTGGCTGGGATGGGGAGGGCATGCGTCTCCTGCTCTGGCATCTTTTTTATAAAACAGCAATATGTCTGCTCGAAAAAGTGTGCACACTAATGAACATTTGCTTGGTAGGGAGAAGCGGAGAGGGGGCGTGGAACTAGAGGAACGAGAAAAGGATGATGTCCTTTGTGGGACATGACCCACCTCCTCTTCCAATACTCCCCATAACCCAAAAAGGCACCTATAAAGGCTTTGATCAGAACCAGCTCATAAACACAAGATGAGATCTGCTCCCAGCTGGCTCTAGTCCATCCTGTAGCCCTGAGCAATGACTCTGCTCAAACAGGTTAGAGCCATTTAGGAAACACAAGCCCGAGCTTCCTTACCAAGTCTCACGTGGTGACGGCTGTTGCTAGGTGTAGGAAGCCAGCAATATCTGAAACCATGCTTTCTGGCCAGAATATTAATTTGCACCAGTAAGTATTTGCTGTGCTCATTCCCAGCACCCCTCCCCACTCAACGTACTTGCATAACATCCATATCCTCATGCAGGGGCTGGGAGTAGCAGTGCAAGAGTCATCTCAGAGGGATGGCCCATTGATAAAAAAACTTCTTTTTCAAGTTAATTGCCAAAGAGAAGTAAAATGTTCTTCCAATACTTCGTCTCCAAAACTGTTCTGGCTTGTGAACATCTGTCAAGAATATATATTTCCAGGGCTCCAAATTGCCCAGATTTTAACATCCAGCTTAGTTAAGCCACTAGAGTTTAACTAACATGCTGCTCCTTATAGAATCAGCACTAGGATAAAAAGGAGTTTGATTTCTTCCCCGAATGCATTTCGTTTCTTTTGGATGGTCATACAGCATAGGTGTGTTTCTCGCCTCTCCGTGGCCTCACATGAGGAAGGAGGGGCCTTACTCACCAACACCACGGGTAAGTAATCCATTCAAGACCGCTCTCCGTCGGGCCTCCATTTTACCAGCCCAAAATTAAGTTTTACCAGGACATTGTAGCGGGGCGTGTGTTTGACCATTGAGCACCATGTGTGGCCATTAGAAAGAAAAGGAAAATCAATAGGGTTTCATTAAAACAGCAGGCAATCAGGGCCCAGGCCTGGTTTAATTACAGTTTCAGTAGCATTTGCTTTAATTGGAAAGAATAAAAGAAGTGAAGTGGAGTGGATGAAGAAATTAGCATATCTATCACTGTTGTCACATTGTACCGTGGCCTTAAAACACTGTTCACTCTTTGCTATCTCTGAAGCTGCGCTGAACCCTGGAAAAAAAATATGGCAGGGCAGTCAGCAAATCCTCAGCCTCCGCCTTTGTGAAATTCTAATTAAAGTCTTTTATAATCCTTGGAAGTCATTTTTTAAAATCTGCTAGATATGCTAGATACACTTTGCAACATGTCTGTTAATTACTCCTGCTTGGCACGATGTGAGGAGAACTGCAATCACCTTGTGCTGTCTGAACATTGAGGCTGTTCTGAGAGCCAGCTCTGGCAGCCCACGAAAGCCCTTAGGATCCTGCTCAGATAGGGGGCCCCAAGGGCAGTTTCCACCAGCCGGAATTCTTTCCACTTGATCAGGCTTCCGAACAATCACAGACTCAAAAAATATCAGACGGTCTTTAGGCACCAAGTAGACCAAACGCCACCCTCATTTTACAGATGGGAAAACTGAGGCCCAAGGTCCCCAGACTAAGAAAGGGTAGAGCAAGGACTTTTTCCCAGGTTTGTTTCTTGGCCAATTCCAGTCTACTGTCTACTATCCCATAATAGTTTATCTGATGACATCTCAGGAAAACCCTTTCTGTTGAAAGAAAATATTGAGGTGGTCAGGCACAGTGGCTCACACCTGTAATCCCAGCACTTTGGGAGGCCGAGGCGGGCGGATCACTTGAGGTCAGGAGTTAGAGACTAGCCTGACCAACACGGTAAAGCCCCATCTCTACTAAAAATACAAAAAAAAAAAACTAGTCTGGCATGGTGGTGCACGCCTGTAATCCTAGCTACTCAGGAGGCTGACGTGGGAACATCACTTGAACCCAGGAGGTGGAGGTTGCAGTGAGCTAAGATTGCACCACTGCACTCCAGCCTGGGTGACAGAGTGAGACTTCATTCCAAAAATATATATATATATATAGACATAAGGGATTGAATTTTTACTCACTAAAACGCAAACATTTCTTACCAGATAACATTTCATAATGAATACACTCCTCCTTTTGGAATGGTTAATGGGTTAAAATCCATCCATGATTAGGAATTTGCTTAAGATATGGCCAGGGAAAGGTTTTCAAGTTCACGTCTACTGAGGAAGGAACAGCAGATACTGGAGGCAGAGCCGACCTTCTCACTGACTTGGATTCTGGAAAGGAATGTCAAACGCCTAATCATTCCCATGAATTGCATGGAGGTCACAAGGACAGCTAATAATAAGAACTTCTATTTTATGAGAGCCTATTCTGTGCTATGTCCTCGTGTGGAGGTTCTATCATCCCCAGTTTAAAGAATGAAAGACTGAGGTTATTTGCCTGTGGTCAGATAAGCCATATACTGGGATTTAAACTTCAGTTTTGTTCCAGTGGGCTTCTTCCACCAGGCTACGAGGCCCTCCCAAGGCAAAAGACCAACCCCAGTGTAGAAAAAGGCAGGAGGTCTGGGTATCCCACTCTGGAGCTGGTTCTCTGCCTAGCAAATGCCTGGCCAGAGGGAGGCCCAGGCAGGCAGCCTGGCCAGTGTGGCCCCACGCCCAGGCAGGTCCTCCTGAAAATTTACCCAGACCAGGTGCTTCCTCCCAGACTGCTAAGGCCAGCACTGCTCCTCTAGGAAAAGCCCCCAGAACAGCAGCTCATTGTGCAAGTAAGGAGCAGGCGCAGCGTGGCGAGGGTACAGGGTGGCCTCCGAGGTCAGGAGGATGTGGCCAGGGGACAACAGGGAGACCTCCATGCAGAAAATTACAGAGAGGAAACGATCCATTGTCTCCTCGCAAAGTGGTCATCGGGAAGTGCGTGATTGGCTTCTCACTGGAGCGTGGCGGGCCCTGTCCTGGGTCAGTCCTCAGAGCCACCTTGCCCTGCAGCAGGAGGCAGCGGGAGGTGGCACACAGCGGGGGTCCGACAGTGGGCGAGTGCTGCGCGCAGGATGTGTTCTCACTCCTCCTCAAACCCGTGTTTCCCAGTGAGGGGGCCGAAGGTGTGTTTCACACAAGTGAAACCACTCAGATAAATGGGTGGTCAGGGACTGACTGGAAGGGAGGCCTTCCAGGCACCTGGGCCGGGTTTGGGCCGGGTTTGGGCCGGGTTTGGGCCTGGTTCCAGGCCCAGTTCCTGGAGTGCGTGGGAAGTGCTCTCTACCTCCTCTGCTCTCAGCATCAGAAACGTGTGGGGATGATTTTGAGCACTTGCTCCTGGCCAAACGGTAGGCATATTGCTGCCTCCAAAATCCATTGTGGGAGGAGCCCAAGGGTAGCATGCCACTCCCACAAAATGATCAGAAGGCTGTTCCCCAGGCCTAGTGGAGCCACCACTGGCCTGGAAGCTGGCAACCTGGTGAGGACCATGGGGGCCCAGCTCATGCGGGCTGAAGAGAAATACCAGATGCAGCCCCAGCCTCCCGAGAGGACCCCACAGCCTCCTGGAGATGAGAAGCCCACTTGAGAGGTGTGCGGCTGGAGGAGACAGAGAGTACAGCATTCCCAGTGACTGCACGCCCCAAGGCACACCCCAGCCCCTGTCCTCTTTTGTTTTCTGGACTCTTCAAGATGGGAAGAAGGCCTAGTCTAGCTTTGCAGGACCTCGTGCAAACCACCCCTGCCCTGGGCCTCAGTTTGTTTGTCTGAATAATGTGTCCTCACCACTCCCACCCCCAGCCATCCTCTGTCGCTGTGACCCGAGGCATGTATTAGTCTTGTGATCTCGGTAGCCAGTGTTCAGACCCAAGAGGGCCTCAAATAAGGAAGGAAGTGAAATTCACTCCAAAGGCACAGAAGACCAGCACAGAAGCCCAGCGTAGGGAGCATGCAGAAACGGGGTCCATCCTAAAAAAGGCAAGCACCCCAACCCCACGAGGGGCCTTCCAGAGCCAAGAGTCATCCCAAAAGTGTGGCTGCAGTGAATGGAGCTCATCCCTGCGGAGCCCCGATCTGGGCAGGGCATTGCTCTAACTCCCTAACGTGCATGAACCATCGGCTCCACACAGTCTTCCCGAGCTGTCGTAGGCAGCAGGCATCACTTTGATTCTCTCTCTGCAGATGAGACTACCGAAGCATGAGGGGAAGAACTGGCCAAGCTCCCACGGCAGGTAAGCGGCCTGGCGGAATGCTCTGTATCTCTGTCCCTCTCCTGTAGCCTCTGCACCGCCTTCCTCCTCCCAGCCAGCATGGGGCTTCAGCATCCAGGCCTAGGAATCAGCTGGCACCCTGGTGGGAAAAACTGAAAGTGGAGGAGCTGAAGGGTGGGAGCTTGAGGCACAGAAACACAACGCTTTTTGTCCTTTATTCCAAGGTTCAACTCTGTTTTTCCTAGGAGAGCACAGGCCCCGATGCCCTCTGGAAAGGCTTAGAGTTCAGTGGCTCAGCCCACAGGCTTTGGATTCAGTTGACAGCTTGAGTTCAAATCCCTGTCCTACTGCCTCCAAGCCACAAGATCACAGGCAAGTGGGTCCTCTGTGCTGGCTCACGGGTTCCTCCTCCACAAGGTGGGTTAACAATGGTGTCCACTTTATGGAGTTTCTGCTGAATTTCATGACAGAATCCACATGTGGCACTCACGATGCAGCCATTGAGACTCAGGCCACTGAGTCAGACTTGGGTCCCCTGGGGTAGCATCCATAGTGCCTGGGATGGGAAAGAGTTCGCAGTGGGACAAAAGAAACTTTGAATTCCCCATTGGGGGCCAGCGTCAGTGTCCTGGCCCTGCCGCTGCATGACATGGGCAAGCCCCTTCCTCCAAAGGCCCTTTGGATGTTGGCTTAGCATTTTCAAAAGGCCAGGTGGAGCTTATCAATGACAGGGGCAGGGGATTGGAGAATCACTGGAGACAGGCTCAAGGAAGAGCCCTCTCACGTTCAGCTGCTTCTTATCCTGTTCATACTCTGCTTCTAAAGTCCTAATGAACCCACTGCCTGGGGCTGTATTGTGGTCTTGCCGGCGAGAGGTGGAGGGTCTTGGAGAGGACCCATCTCAGAGCAACTAAAATGCAGCCGCCATCATTAACTAGGACAAACATAACCCTGTGCATGGCATGGCCTGGGCGCACATTCACTGGGGCAGTAATTAGAGGGGAAATATCCTACAGGCAGCTTAGCTGCGGAAAACCATTTTCATTGAAAATATACATTTGTAATTGTAAATGGAAAGATTACCTGTAATAGCAGTAACAGACCCATTTCCTAATAAGATGAACACTATAGCTGATGACTGAAGCATCTGTATATAGCTACGTACACCATTTCTGTACTGCAGGCTGCCAATTTGTTTCAGCGGCGAAAAGCGTGATTTAGTGTTTGTAGCATTACCATCTGTTGTCGTTATTACAGAAATTATATATAAACCAGTTAGTAAACACTTTGCCGCATTGTCTGTTGTTTTGATAATCACCCATAATAACATCTAGCATCAATATGGTCTTTAAACCCGATTTGGGAGTTAATGGAATAAGAGGAGGCAGTCTGTATATGCACCGGGGTAATGTCATTAGGAATGTTTGTGAAGAACAAATTAAATCAGTTGTAAATTGTGCTCTCAAGTCAGCCAGAAAACCAGTCTTGTTCAGGAGAAGGGATTTATATTTTAACCTCGTGCAGAAAATGCACTTACGCAGATTAAAATAAAATAGGGACTTTGCCGATGGATGGAAGTGGTAATTGCTAGGGCCTTAATGGTTTCCTGTTGGCTGTGTCATGCAGTGGGCACAGCTATTTTAAAAGTTAACCGGCACTCGGGGTCATACTTTCACTGATTCAGTCATTAAACCAGGCTAGACATGTCACTAAATGGCTGATTATTCAAATGACAGGCCTGCTCCACGGTTCCCTGGTGTCGTCTATTGAACATGAGGATTTTCAGGGATGGTTCTCATAAAATCAAGATGAGTTGGATTCAAGTACGAGTCAATGGTAGCGCTGGGCTGGGGCCTGGCCCATCTGAGACAGCAGAGGGAGGCCCCGCCTGCTTTCTCAGACAGGCGGGGACAGGCATGCAGCCCTGGTGGCTAAGCCTTGGTGCTTGGATGTTTCCAGAGGTCAGGGAAAGGCCGATTTGTGGATGTGTTCAAAGGGAAGCCATGTTTAGACAAAGAAGTGCCATGATGGGAGGAAGCAGACAAAGAAGGTGGGTGGAAATTCATAATTCCATCCTAAGACTGTCATCAACATCACCACAGATCCAATTCCATAGCCAGGAGGTGGTGGAGCAGCAGTTGGACCCCAGGTCTGCCTCCACAGCCTCTCCTCCTTCCTGGGGCTCCTCCTCTTACTTCGAGCCTTCCTCTTGTATCTCCTCATGATACCTCTTGCAGACAGATTGCATTAGTACCCCCATTTTCAGGTAAGCAGACTGAGGCTTGTGTGAGTGAGATCATATGGCCAGCCAGAGGCCCAGGCTGGATAAGATCACAGGTCTCTGTGGGGCTGGAAATCTTCCCACAGCACTGTTGCACAGGCGGGACCAAAAGAAAATGAACATTTACCTAGGCACTCAGAAGTCAAGAGCATCCCTGTATGGAGTGGCAAATGGCAAGGTGGCGGGGGTGGCAGGAAGGATACTAAGACCAGCTCTAGAGTCAGCCTGGTGACTAGGGAGCTGATCTAGCAGCCGTGGAAGCTGACTTTGGGGCAAGCTGGGGAGGAGATGGGAGGGAGTCTTTTAACAAGTGGTTACTCCCAGCACAGAGACAAATGGAAACTGGAAATGGTCCCCAAGCCCACAGGAAGGGCTTGACTGTCCAAAGGACCCACCTGATGCCAAGCCTCCAGCCACATTTAGCTGGGACAAAGCACAGAGCAGTGTCTCTGAAGAGCAACATTGATGACTCACCGGCTTTTAAGATGATATCCGAGAGTGCACATAACGATCTCCTTTTTACTTTGTTTTGATATTTATCAGTAAAAATATAAATAGCACATCAAATTCATAGTTCAAAATAAATTTGATTTTAAAGGAAATCTTTTTAAAAGGAATCTAAGTATTTAGGTTGGTGCAAAAGTAATTGTGGTTTTTGCCATTTAAAAGTAATACAAATAGTGAGTTCATTTTAAAATATTTAGTAGGCAATAGAACAGATGCTATATAGACAGGGCAACAATCATAAAGAGAATGACTGAAGTTTGGGTTTCGGAGTCAAGATTACCTTGGTTCAAATCAACTAGTGTTTTGGGGTCAGTCTTCATCTCTCTGAGTTTATTTTCTTGTGCACAACATGAAGCTGAAGCAGCCTCCACACAGGGCTGGTGAGGACAGTAAATGGGCCACCAGATACCTGCAGCACTAGAAGTCCTCACCAAGGGGGGCCAGTCCCCAAAACGAAAGGACAGGGAGTTCTTCCTCCCAGGGAGTAATGAGATAACAGCTTGTCTCGAGAGCCTACGTTCAGGGCATATTCCATCAACAATTGCAGAACTGGAACATACCAGGAAGCAAAAGCCCTCCAGGTCCCACCATCCTGAGGCCAATTAATGAGATACTCATCCTAGGGGAAATCAGGTCCCCTTGGGCCAGATGCGGCCCCTGCGTATTCTAGATCAAGCCTGGGTTTTTGGAGGGTTTTTGTCTTTTGTCTCTTCTAATAATTCAGGGATCTAGGTCTGGAAATGTCAAGTTACTTGTCCAACATCACACAGCAAGTTAACGCCAGAACCAAGGAGAGATATCCCCTCAGTGAGCACTTACATTGTTACTTTCTGGTGTGCCCGGCACTGTGCTGCATGCTTTTCGTAAGTCATCACAGCCAGACTGGGAGGCGAGTACCACTGTCATCATCACCCTGTTAGACACGGGGAGGCTGAGGCTCAGAAAAGATCAATCACTGGTCCAGTCACATGGATAGAAAGTTGCAAGAGTCAGAACAGAAACCCACCAAATCTGACTCCAGACAAAGAGCTCTGTTCTTAATCAATCAACTGCACCAGGGGTTGCCAAACTAACAGTCCCAGGGGCCAAACCCAGCCTGCTGCATGCTTTGTAAGGGCTGGCGAGGCTAAGAATCATTTTTATATCTGTGAATGGTCACAAAAAAATAAAAAGAAGAATATTCTTTGACATGTAAACATTCCATTTCTGACCATAAATAAAGTTTTATTAGAATACAACTGTGTCCACTCACTGACATTTTCTCAACAGCTGCTTTTGTGCTGTGGCAGCAGAGGTGAGCATGCTTTTAGAGACTGCAGGGCCCACAAAGCTTCAATTATTTCCTTGCTGGCTTTGTACAGGGGAAGTTTGCTGACCCCTGCACTAGACTGCCTTGCCTTGCCAAGGAAGGAACCTTTGGCCCTTCCAAGGAAGGGGCTTTGTCTGGGGAGCATTATCCCAGGAGAAGATAAGGAGGGGAGACAGAGAAAGGGGAAACAGAAGAGAAAAAGAAAAGAACCGTCCATGTTAACCAGAAGGCCAGTTGTGGACATGCAGTCCCTATTACTGAGATTACAAAGGAGAAAGGAGAAGGAGGTCTCCATTTTGGAAATAAATGTTTCCCCACCAGCTGGGACCCGGGTGATAATCACCAGGGTAGAAACGCATATACCCAAGTGACAGCCAGGAAGGGAAACCCTGAAATTGGGGCACAGTAGAAGTACTTTAGGTGCTTGAGTATTTTTCATAAATTCATGTAATTATTTTAACTAAAAATCTGTAAAATATTAATGGGGGGGTGGGTTTCAAAGCAGAGTTAATTATAGCAGCTCCACTCACCACGTGTACTTAAGACTCCGTCAGCTTTTCCATTAGGAACCGCTGCTTTTCAGGGGGGTTATAATTCAACCAAATAAATTGGCCACAGGCTGAGGCTTGACGTGCAAGTTTGCAGGGTGAGAATTAATTGTTTAATTGATTTGAATATTCAAGGCCTACACATGGAAGGAAAAAAAAATCATCATATGTTGTCATTTCAGGGAGGGTTGGCCTGAAGATACCCGCCTCTCTGTAGCTTGCCGGTCATCATTCTCCCCTATTAAAACCCTACATCCATCATCACAGTTCAAAAATATATGCCTATATGTGGCTTTGCACCAAAAGGTTCTAAGTACCTTACTTAGCTCTTAAATTCGTGCCTATGTTTCCCCTCAAATAAGCTTCATTAATCTGGAAAGGAGAGGGTTTTGCCGGCTCATATGAATGTGTTTTAAAATAAGCCTTTTCATTTTTGGTAGCTTCAATATACAACCAGCGGCAATCGCAGGCTTACCTTCCTTGGCTGAAATCCGATCATTAAACCAACTTCACTATTAGGGGGAGTATCTGGCTGGAAAATGCATTTTATCCCTGAAGAATATGCTATATTAGTGAGAAAATTACTCTAAATGGGAACAAAGCTGACAACTGCTGCTTGCAGACTAATGGCCTGGTGTATATATCGTACCCAAAAAGCATGTCATCACCTGCCTGTTGAGCAGATCACGGGCGTTAGGTTCTGGTTGGCACAAATGGGACATTACAGATGTCGAAAAGGTTTTAGGGATTTTGGTGGGTTTCGCCTCACCCCTCCCTCTTTTACTTAAAGCCAACGGATGCAGTATCATCATAACCCAAAATTCCAGGTGAGCCCAATGCAGCAACTGCCAATGTGGCCACCAGCAGGTAGAAATGCATCCTATTCTTGCTTCTATATAGGATTCTTCAGTAGCCATTTTATGCAAAATCACATCCCGTGAATGGCAGAATATTTTCTCACCTACTGCAGAGTTGTTCAACTCAACCTATTTAGGGACTTAGAGGATGCCCTGGAGCCCCACAGACAACTCAAGACGTCGGGGCAACGACTTCTTTTTCAAGAGGGAAAAATTGTACCATTGCTTTGCACAGTAAAAGCAGTGGCTGGGAGGAGGGAACGAAGAATAGGGCCCTAAGAAAGTCCTTGAGGTCAAAATGTGAATGTTGTAATGAGAAAAAAATTGCATTTGTTTCATTCCCAGTTCTTGATGCTATCTTCTTCACGAGAACAGATTCAAATTTGGGACCATTTTCTGTTCTTATTAAGAGGAAAGTGGTATCAATTTTAATTAAGTCCAAGAACACTCATTAATAGAAGGCATTTTTCATCTACCTACAAACATAGTGGAGGCCGTGTCGGTGACTCAGAACATTTAAATAAAGGGCCCTCCAGCTCTGTGTCGGCTGATGGAAGATCTGGGAAGGGCACTGCCTGAACAATAGCAACCATTAGAACTTTATTCTTCTTCTCATGTGCTTCTTCAGATCTCCTAATTCAGATATTATATCCCATCAATTTTTTATTAGAGCATAATTCATTTACTGAGATTGCTTCTTTTGAAAGCATTTGGCGATAGGATCTTTCTTATTGAAGATGCATGGCCAAGAACATAGAAATGTGGATTGGTAATGCCCATGAACCATAGGATAGTTCTTTATAGCCTGAAACACCTTCACATTGAACTAAAAAGGCAAATAAGTGGACTGGGGCAAAAGCTAGGGAGCAGAGAATCACTTCCCTCACAGTGCAGAGAGGAGGGATGCCAGCTGCTACCCAAGGTGCTGTTGTGAATCATCAAGAACGAACACCCAGCACCACCAAGAAAGTCACATTTCTGCTCTCCCCACCCACATGCAGCTCAGGGTGCCAGAAACAAGCATTTTTCCTGTGTCTGTCTGCCCTGAAAATATTGACTTATGTGAGACTCTTCAAGTTAAAAGCTACATGTCATTTTCAGTCATGTGAAAGATGTTTGAAAAGCTGAAGTTTCATATATGTCTTAAGAAACCCTTAAACAAAAGCCATATTTATGGTCATGTAGTATTTAAGCAAATGGAAAATTCATGATGATCACTCAAGTCACATTTATTAAGCAGCAACTATGAGCAATGCAGTGTTCTAGGCGTTGCAAAGGTTCAAAGAGCATCTATCAGGGAAAAGGTCTACATAAGAAGATAGTCAATACTACAAAGCAGTATGTCATAGGATGTTCAAGCCAGAAAGAAGCTTGGTGGTAACTTAGTCCAAGGTACCCATTTTACGAATGAAGGGTCAGACCCAAAGAAGTGAAGTAACTTGCATGGTTTGTGGCAGAACCAGAGTCATGACTGTTTCATTGATCATATAATATACTATATTTATTATACTATATAAATGCCAATATAATTACTGTGTGATATACATCACACTTCAATTTCCATATAGAACTTTTAAAATAACCCTACAAGGTAGAGAGTATTATTTTCCCAATTTACAGGTAAGGAAACTGAGGCTTGAAGGGGTTAAGTCATTAGCTCAAGGTCACACAATGAGTGACAGAGCCCCCAAAATCCTGACCCAGCTCCATCTGTTTCCAGAGCTAGATCTCTCACCCATGAGGCTATGCAAAACTAAGTCCTTCACAGTGCAGAGAGGAGGGATGTCAGCCCCTCCCAGCTTCTTGGGAAATGGCAGTTCCCGTTTAGAGACTCATTGACTCCACCCTGTCTTCCGTGAAACCCCTGCTGACTCCCTGCAGAGGCAATCGTCCCATCTGTGGGCACCCTTGTCCACGGTGTGCACTCTGTGGGGTGCCCCATCTCAGTGCGCTTGATTTGTGTATCTCTGTTTGTGCCCACACCAGGTCCTACCTCTTGTGCCCTCAGCCTGCAGCACAAGGTTTGGCACACAGCAGGTTCCAAGACGGTATCAGTTGAGTGACTCCACTGAGTCTGACAAACGCTAGCCCCATTAATACCTCACCCATGGCAGACTGAGCACACACTGAGGAGGAATCCATAGGGGTGACCACAGCTGTCCTTGCCTTTGAACCCCAGCCAGACCTTCCACCCACACAGCACCCCAGGCAGGTGGGGAGTTGAGCCAGGCCCTTCTGTTGTCTTCTACTCACGGCCCAGCTTTTCAGGAAACATATTCTGTCTCACCACCACCATCCCGCACCCAGCCATTGACATATATACACAAATAGCCACTAAAAACTAAACCCGCTCCTCCACTCCTCCCTCCAAATTCCCCTGCCTCCTTCTTTCCAGCCTCCCATACATACGGTGTCAGTCATCAGTCATTTCCATGCTTTTTCATTCTGGATGGGAAGGAAGGTGACTGAGAAGGGAAGCGGGCTCTTTGGATGCTACAGTTAGCATGTCTGCCAGGTAGCAGAATTTCAGCACTGCTGGGATGGCCTCCCTCAGCATGTCCCTTGAGCTCTGTGATGCCTCTCACTCTGCCTCAAGTGGCATTACCCAGTGTCCTTGTGTTGTCCTGACTTCGGGGACTCTCCAGGATTAAGTGTATGTGTGTTGAGGGAGGGAGGATACTGCCTTAGAAAAACCATCCTGGCCGGGCACAGTGGCTCATGCCTGTAATCCCAGCACTTTGGGAGGCTGAGGCGGGTGGATCATGAGGTCAAGAGATCGAGACCATCCTGGCCAACATGGTGAAACCCTGTCTCTACCAAAATACAAAAATTAGTCGGGCGTGGTCACATGTGCCTGTAGTCCCAACTACTCAGGAGGCTGAGGCAGGAGAATCGCTTGAACCCAGGAGTCAGAGCTTGCAGTGAGCCGAGGTCGCACCACTGCATGCCAGCCTGGTGACAGAGCAAGTCTCCGTCTCAAAAAAGAAAAAAAATTCCTTCCCCTTAACAAAACCCAACCACTAATAAAAACTACTTCACAGCACAACTATTAAAAAGACAAGACTTTAGAAAAATGATTTTTTCTTGGGTTTCAGGAAAACTAAGTGCTGTTATTTTCACTTAGTGATAAACCAACTCCTGAAAATTCTAGCCAATTTGTAGTAAATATTGAAATGCCTACTTTCATCAGTGATGGGGAAATTGAATGCTCCTGAGAGTATAAAATTCTAATATCAGTGTCTCACCAATTTGTTCAAGTATTGAAATACAATAAAGATATTTATACTGAAAGTTGTACCTTTGGTAAAAGATGCAACTGGCTCTCTTTTATTTCCATAATTCAGAACACCCTTCAAAATGTATCATCCCTCCCATTCATCTTCCTTATCATTAATACCACAAAATCCTGGATGTGGAAATTTTTTAAGCTCTTGTTTACTGAATGCCTGTATGTGCCAGCCTTGGTTTTATCTATTTAATGAACACTGTTTGACTTAATCATCTGAAGTTCTGAAAGGAAGGGCACACTTGCCCATTTTACAGATGCAGAGACTGGATTCAAGTGGAGAAACCTGTCCCGCTTTGCACAACTTGATGGTTTCTAATACAGCTTGTCAGGGTTCTAATCCAGGTCTGTCTACACACCATCTAGTTCCACTTTGTCTCTTTAGAATATTCTGGGTTTGCGCATGTTCTCACTCATAGGTGGGAATTGAACAATGAGAACACTTGGACACAGGGTGGGGAACATCACACACTGGGGCCTGTTGTGGGGTGGGGGGATGGGGGAGGGATAGCATTAGGAGAAATACCTAATGTAAATGACGAGTCAATGGGTGCAGCACACCAACATGGCACATGTATACATATGTAACAAACCTGCACGTTGTGCACATGTACCCTAGAACTTAAAGTATATATAAAAAAAGAATATGCTGGGTTTGGGGGTGAACCTCTTCCAATCCTGACATATCCTAGAATATGGATTTTTTTCTGTTATAGGGATTTGTTTGTTTTGATAAACTTTTATCAGCCTGCAAATCTGTCTCTCTTGCTCACTTACCTTTTGTTCTTACTTCTAATCTTTGTCTTTCTTAGGGTACCAAAGAATTATGGCTTGAACTTCCTGGCACCTGAGACTCTAGATGAATAGGTCATTGCTTAGGTCATGGCCGCCCACTGGTGACATGAAATATGATGAAGCCAAAGGCAGCTCCCTGCACTCATGGTATCTTCCAAGACCTCACCTTCCTCACAATAACAGCTGAGACAAACCCCAAGCTCCTGACATGAAATGCCCACCAAGGACCCATAGTATTTGCACAAATCAGAAAGGAGAAACTATACAGACAAGGAAAAGGGCCAGCCACAGTAGTTGTTAAAAAATGCTCATCTCACACCAGTTAGAATGGCAATCATTAAAAAGTCAGGAAACAACAGGTGCTGGAGAGGATGTGGAGAAATAGGAACACTTTTACACTGTTGGTGGGACTGTAAACTAGTTCAACCATTGTGGAAGTCAGTGTGGCGATTCCTCAGGGATCTAGAACTAGAAATACCATTTGACCCAGCCATCCCATTACTGGGTATATACCCAAAGGACTATAAATCATGCTGCTATAAAGACACATGCACACGTATGTTTATAGCGGCACTATTCACAATAGCAAAGACTTGGAACCAACCCAAATGTCCAACAATGATAGACTGGATTAAGAAAATGTGGCACATATACACCATGGAATACTATGCAGCCAAAAAAAAATGATGAGTTCATGTCCTTTGTAGGGACATGGATGAAATTGGAAATCATCATTCTCAGTAAGCTATCGCAAGGACAAAAAACCAAACACCGCATGTTCTCGCTCATAGGTGAGAATTGAACAATGAGTACACATGGACACAGGAAGGGGAACATCACACTCTGGGGACTGTTGTGGGGTGGGGGGAGGGGGGAGGGATAGCATTAGGAGATATACCTAATGCTAAATGACGAGTTAATGGGTGCAGCACACTAGCATGGCACATGTGTACATATGTAACTAACCTGCACATTGTGCACATGTACCCTAAAACTTAAAGTATAATAATAATAAAATTTTAAAAAAATGCGAATTGAAAAACTAAAAATAAAACATTTTGCCTATAAAAGTAGTAGAAATCTCATGAATAAGAGCTCCAAACACTGAAGAGGCTGTAATAAACTTTCATATTTTGCTTGTGGGAAAATAAATCGACACACTTTTTTTAGGAAACAATTTAGTCATATATAACGTATGATATATAATTTAAGAAACACTCACCTTTTGGACTGACAATTTTTTTAGGGGCGCTAACCAAACCAAATAATCCAAAGTTTTATGGCACATACATGTAAAAAAATAGAATAAAATACTAAGCACATGAAAACTGTTACTGTAAAATTGTGTGATTCAATTTTTAAAAAATTAAATGTACATATTATAAACACACATAAGAAAAAGAATAAAAAGAAAAAGAAAAGCTTTAAAACCCTTACAGTGACATTCTTTAAGTAATTGTATTATTCTTACTTCTTTTATTCTTAGGTTCTTATTTGACCTTTCTACATTTTAATTTTATAATCAAAAAAGAACTAAGCCATTAATGCCATGTTTATAAAGCACTTGTGATACCATGTAAATAGGTATGCTATTATATTAGTGAGGGAAGAAAACAGAAGGATACTAGGAATATGATTTCCATTTTTGTACTTAAAAAAAGGCATCAAAATTTTATAGTAAAATGGGTAACTACTTTTTTTCTACTTTTTTTTCCTTTTTTTGTTTTGAGACAGAGTCTCACTCTGTGGCCCAGGCTGGAGTGCAGAGGTGTGATCTCAGCTCACTGCAACCTCCGCCTCCCGGGTTCAAGCAGTTCTTCTGCCTCAGCCACTATTGTTTTCATTTGTCTAATACAGTGACACTATTTTCATAATTTCTTTAGAAACTTTATAATTTTGCAAAGTGGCTTTATTAACCATAAAGTAGCCGTACAAAGAAAACTAAAACTGCTAGATGGATGGGCTACCCGAGGAGCAGGAGCACTCTGACCTGAGGCCTCCTCCCTGTGCTTAAAAATAGAAACAAACAAAATCGTGTTAAGAAATGTTAGAAAGGTGTTAAAGACATGTTAGCACAAACTGAGCCTTTTTCCTCAACTTGATTAGAAAATTCCAGAGAAGGATGAAAAGAGAGTATTTTCCTTACCATGTGCACCTGTTTCCGGGAACCTCTAAAATCAACTGTCATCTCCACCCTGTAGGAGACACTGGCAGGGCCATTAGGCTGGGGACCATTTGCAATATGTGTACATCGGTCCAGCAAGTCCAGGCATCTGAAACTAAGTGTTCTCACCAGAGCTGAGCAAACAGGTTGCCTTTTCTCTCTTCCATCAGAATGCAGAATTTCCATCCCAAAGGGGAAATTGTTCTCCCACTAGGAGGGAAATGCAATACTGTGGAATGCAGTGAAACTGTCAGCAAGTTTTCTTTTTTGGTTGTGCCTTTGTCAGGTTTTGGTATTAAGATGATGCTTGGCTCATAGAATGAGTTAGGGGGGGAGTCCCTCCTCCTCAATTTTTTTGGAGTAGTTTCAGTAGGAATGGTAACAGCTCTTTTTATACGTCTGGTAGAATTCGGCTGTGAATCTGTCGGATCCTGGGCCTTTTCTGGTTGGTAGGCTTTTTATCATTGATTCAATTTCAGAACTCATTATTGGTCTATAAAATGGTTTGGCTGTGTCCCCACCCAAATCTCAACTTGAATTGTATCTCCCGGAATTCCCACATGTTGAGGGAGGGACCTAGGGGAGGTAATTGAATCATGGGGACCAATCTTTCCTGTGCTATTTGCATGATAGTGAATAAGTCTCATGAGATCTGATGGGATTATCAGGGGTTTCTGCTTTTGCTTCTTCCTCATTTTTCTCTTGCCACCACCATGTAAGAAGTGCCTTTCGCCTCCCACCGTGATTCTGAAGCCTCCCCAGCCATGTGGAACTGTAAGTCCAATTAAACCTCTTTTTGTTCCCAGTCTCAGGTATGTCTTTATCAGCAGCATGAGAAAAGACTAATACAGTAACTCGGTACCAATAGACTGGGATGTTGCTGTAAAGATATCCGAAAATGTGGAAGTGACTTTGGAACTGGGTAACAGGCAGAGATTGGAACAATTCGGAGGGCTCAGAAGAAGACAGGAAAATGTGGGAAAGTTTGGAACCTCCTACAGACTTGTTGAATGGCTTTGACAAAAATGCTGATAGTGATATGAACAATAAGGTCCAGGCTGAGGTGGTCTCAGATGGAGATGAGGAACTTGTTGGGAACTGGAACAAAGGTGACTCTTGTTAGTTTTAACAAAGAGACAGGCCGCATTTGGCCCCTGCCATAGATTTGTGGAACTTTGAACTTGAGAGAGATGATTTAGGGTATTTGGTGGAAGAAATTTCTAAGCAACAAAGCATGCAAAAGGTGATGTGGGTGCTGTTAAAAGCATTATATTTTAAAAGGGAAACAGCATAAAAGTTCAGAAAATTTGTAGTCTGATGATGCAGTAGAAAAGAAAAAACAATTTTTTGAGGAGAAATTCAAGCTGGCTGCAGAAATTTGCATAAGTAGAAAGGAGCCTAATGTTATCCCCAAGACCATGGGGAAAATGTCTCCAGACCATGTCAGAAACCTTCACAGCAGCTCCCCCCAACACAGGCTTAGAGGCCCAGGAGGAAAAAGTTGTTTTGTGGGCCAGGCCCAGGGTCCCCCTGCTGTGTGCAGCCTAGGGACTTGGGGCCCTGTGTCCCAGCTACTCCAGCTGTGGCTGAAAGGGGCCAACATAGAGCTCAGGCTGTGGCTTTGGAGGGTGGAAGCCCCAAGACTTGGCAGCTTCCATGTGGTGTTGAGCCTGCGGGTGCACAGAAGTCAAGAATTGAGGTTAGGGAACCTCCACTAGATTTCAGAAGATGTATGGAAATGCCTGGATGCCCAGGTAAAAGTTTGCTGCAGGGGTGGGGCCCTCATGGAGAACATCTGCTAGGGCAGTGCAAAAGGGAAAGGTGGGGTCAGAGCCCCCACACTGAGTCCCTACTGGGGCACTACCTAGTGGAGCTGTGAGAAGAGGGTCATTGCTGTCCTCCAGAACCCAGATTGGTAGATCCACCAACAGCTTGCACTTTGCGCCTGGAAAAGCCACAGACACTCAAGGCCAGCCCATGAAAGCAGCCAGGAGGGAGGCTGTAGCCTGCAAAGCCACAGGTGTGGAGCTGCCCAAGACCATGGGAATCCACCTCTTGCATCAACATCACCTGGATGTGAGACTTGGAGGCAAAGGAGATCATTTTGGAGCTTTAAAATTTGCCCTGCTGGATTTCAGACTTCCATGGGTCCTGTAACCCCTTTGTTTTGGCCAATTTCTCCCACATGGAATGGCTGTATTTACCCAATACCTGTACCCGCATTGTATCTAGGAAGTAACTAGCTTGCTTTCGATTTTACAGGCTCATAGGCGGAAGGGACTTGCCTTGTCTCAGATGAAACTTCAGACTGTGGACTTTGAGTTAATGCTGAAATGAGTTAAGACTTTGGGGGACTATTAGGAAGGCATGATTGGTTTTGAAATGTGAGGACATGAGGGGTGGAATGATATGGTATGGCTGTGTCCCCACCCTAATCTCAACTTGAATTGTATCTCCCAGAACTTCCATGTGTTGTGGGAGGGACCCAGGGGGAGGTAAGTGAATCATGGGGGTCAGTCTTTCCCACGCTATTCTTGTGATAGTGAATAAGTCTCACGAGATCTGATGGGTTTATCGGGGGGTTCCGTTTTTGCTTCTTCCTCATTTTTCTCTTGCCACTGCCATGTAAGAAGTGCCTTTCAACTCCCACCATGATTCTGAAGCCTCCCCAGCCATGTGGAACTGTAAGTCCAATGAAAGTTTTTTTGTTTCCAGTTTCGTGTATGTCTTTATCAGCAGCATGAAAACAAACTAATACAGTCTATTCAAGGATTCAATTTCTTCCTGATTCAATCTTGGCAGGTTTTATGTTTCTAGGAATTTACCCATTTCTTCTAGGTTTTCTAGCTTATGTGCATATAGGTATTCGTAGTAGTCTCTGAGGATTTTTTCTATTTCTGTGGGGTCAGTGGTAATGTCCTCCTTTGTCATTTCTGATTGTGTTTATTCAGATCTTCTCTCTTTTTTTCTTTGTTATTCTAGCCAGCAGTCAATCTATCTTATTAATTATTTAAAAGAATAAACTACTGAATTTGTTGATCTTTTGCATGATTTCTCATGTCTCAATGTCCTTCAGTGCACCTCTGATTTTGGTTATTTCTTTTCTTCTGCTAGCTTTGGGATTGGTTTGCTCTTATTTCTCTATTTTTTTCAGTTGTGATATTAACTTGAGATCTTTCTTTTTGATGTGGGAGTTTAGTGTTATAAACATCCCCATTAACACTGTCTTAGCTGTGTCCCAGAGATTCTGGTATGTTGTATCTTTGTCTTCATTAGTTTCAAAGAATTTCTTGATTTCTGCCTTAATTTCATGATTTACCCAAAAGTCATTCAGGAGCAGGTTGTTTAATTTCCATTACTTGGCGTATACCCGAAGGATATAGATTGTTCTATCATAAAGTCACATGCACATGTATGTTAATCACAGCACTATTCACAGTAGCAAAGACATGGAATCAACCTAAATGCCCATTAATGATAGACTGGATAAAGAAAATGTGGTACATATACACCACGGAGTACTACACAGCCATAAAAGAGAATGAGCTCATGTCCTCAGCAGCAACATGAATGGAACTGGAGGCCATTATTGTAAGGAAACTAACACAGGAACAGAAAACAAAATACCACATGTTCTCACTTAGTGGAAGCAAACATTGAGTACATATGGACACAAAGAAGGGAACAACTGACACCAGGGCCTACTTGAGGGTGGAGGGTGGGAGGAGGGTGAGGATCAAAAAATGACCTATGGAATACTCTGCTAATTACCTGGGTGATAAAACAATCTGTACACCAAACCCCCGCGACACACAGTTGACCTGTAATAATAAACCTGTATATGTACCCCTGAACCTAAAATCATATTGTAAAAATTAATTTACTAATTAACTACTTAATTTTAAAAAAAGAAACTGTCAGCAAGACCAAGGTCTCCTGCATGGGTACTGCAGGCATTTCAGTAGACGGTTCAGATCGTTTTGGTGGAGAGTCACAGGACAGGGAATAAAGGTGGTAGCCCAACTAGGAAAAGGCAAACATACTGGAAAGCAAACACACACACGAAATTAGGCAAAAACTTTGCAAAAGAAACACCCTGAGATCCCCCCACTTTTTTTTTTTTTTTTTTTTTTTTTTGGAGACAGAGTCTCGCTTCATCACCCAGGCTGGAGTGCAGTGGCGTGATCTCAGCTCACTGCAACCTCCGCCTCCCAGGTTCAAGCAATTCTCTTGCCCCAGCCTTCCAAGTAGCTGGGATTACAGGCACCTGCCACCATGCCCAGCTAATTTTTTTTTTTTTTTTTTTTTAGTAGAGACAGGGTTTTGCCATATTGGCCAGTCTGGTCTCAAACTCCTGACCTCAGGTGATCCACCCACCTCAGCCTCTCAAAGTGCTGGGATTACAGGTGTGAGCCACTGCGCCCAGCTGAGATTCCGCATTTCTAATTTCAGCAGCAGACTGCCAGATGACCTTCAAATCCTTGCTTTATCTATCATACCTCAAGTCTTTGATCCTGTGCCTTACATGGCCCCAAATTCATCCTCCTCCCTCCTTGGGCCCCTTCAGCCCAGCGCACTGCATCACTGAACTCCTGACCCCAGGGGAGCCTTGTGGATCAGGGTCTACACTGAGGAGTTATACCCAGAGGTCATCATGACGTTATAGTTACTGCTATCTTGGACCAGATCTTTTTCTTTTTTAAAACAAACAAACAAACAAAAAACCTCTTGTGATTATAGCAAATCGAAGTGCATTTCTGTCTAAATACTAAATAAAGGCAGAGTAGTTCTACCCTGAGTGGCAGGGAGTGCATTTGCACACACAACTTTAGCCTCTCTAAACTTCAAAATTTTTTATCTACAAAAAGGGGGTACCATATTATCTCAGAGGACTGAGAACTAATTTTAACCTATGTAAGGCCTAAGTGCATGCATACCTAGCGTGTGATCAGCACTCAGGAAACTTTGCTGTCAGGGAGGAACAGCAGTTCTGGATATCTGAAAGAGGGTGTCCAGAAGTTTGTAGCAGCCCACGAGCTCATTATCATACCCGGAGGACCTGATGCAAAACGGAACGGCAAACCAAGGCAAATCAAGACTGTGTGCTCACCCTAACAGCAAGAACAGTTCCTGCATGGCCAGAGAATGCTCCTGAAACTCTGCACATTGTGGTCTTTTAAGTCCCATGTAAAAGGACTCATTGACTGAATTAAATTAACCATTCTCCACCCTCTTCTAGCGCAAGAGCCCAGATGAAATGAGATACGGTAGACATAAGGGTTTTTTGCATCTTTTATCAAGGTGTAATTTACATATAATAAAATACAGCCCTAATAAGTGTACCATTGAAGAAACTCTTATAAATATACACAGTCATATAACCACCATCAAATTCAAAATATGGAACATTTTCATCACCTCAAAAAGTTTGCTCATGTCACTTTGCTGTTAGTCCCCACAGCAACCCCTAACCCCAGGAAACAACTGATCTCTCTGTCACTATCGATTAGTTTTGCCTATTCTAGGATTTCCTTTAACTGGAATCACACTCTTTTGTGTCTGGCTTCTTTTGTTCAGCATCATCCCTGTTGCAGGTATCAGCAGGTCATGCGTTTTTGTCCCTGAACAGTATTCCTGTGTGTGGCTACAGCACAATTTGTTTATCTATTCACCTTCAATGGATATTTGAGGCTACTACCAATAAAGCTTTTATAAATATTCTTGTACAAGCCTTCTTGTGGACATATGTTTTCATTTCCTTTGCATAAATACCTAGGAGTGGAATTTGGATTCAGATAGTAAATCTCTTTAACTTTAGCAGAAACTGCCAATATGTATAAAGTGGTTATACAATTTTTCACTCCCACCAGCAATGTGTGAGAGTTCCAGTTGCTTCCACATTCTCACCAACACTTCATATCATCGGTCTTTTTAATTTAGCCACTCTAGTGCATGAGTAGAGAATCTCATTGTGATTTGAATTTGTGTTTCCATGGTGACTGCTGATGTTGAGCGTCTTCTCATACACTTATTGGTCCTTTATGTATCTTCTTTTGTCAAATATATTTTCAAATATTTAAAAAATTAAGTTGTTTTATTATTGAGTTGTAAGAGAACTTTGTAATTCTAAATGAAAACTTTGTCTATGAAAACTTTTGTCTAAGATTTTATATATATAAAAACTTATAATGACATAAAATATATATGTTATATTTATGGGTTTGGTTTGTATGCATGCATGTGTGGCCTAAGAAATGTTGTCTGCCCTCAAATCACAAAGATTTTTTCCCCTAATTTATCTAGAATTTTTATTGTTTTTAACTTTTACTCTTAGGTATGTGATCCATTTTGAGTTAATATTTGTGTGTGATATCAGGTCAGGATCATAGTTCATTTTTATCCACATAGGTATCAAGTTGTTCCAATACCGTTTGTTGAAAAGACTATTCTTACCCCACTGCATACTGGGAATAGTTTTCATAGTTCCTATTAGATCCTCAAACGTGACCAATTTTGATTTAGTCTGAGGATGTTAAAATTAGGTTTTCAAAATGCATATTTGAGAGACTGGACTTAAACGACCTCAAGATCTCTTCACAACCTTACAATTCCATGTCTCTGTGTTTATGAGACCTCAAGCTCCAAAGTTTCTCCCAGTACGCACAATTGTCTGAACCCACTTAGGGGGCTCCTAGGAAGACAGGAAACATTCATGAAAACACTAACAAGTCAAGGGTGTTCAGGAGATTCATGCCAGATCCCTTTAACTTGACCATTTTACCTGAGACCATCTCGAAACGCTTCCAACTCCAGCATAATCTCTTGAGTTCCTAAAGCAAATGAGATCATTTCAAAACATCCAGGTAACTGGGGGAAGCAGAAATTCCGGAAGGTTTCACTTTTTTTTTTTTTTTTTTTGAGACAGAGTTTCACTCTTGTTGCCCAGGCTGTAGTGCAATGGCACAATCTCGGCTCACCCCAACCTCTGCCCCCCGGGTTCAAGTGATTCTCCTGCCACAGCCTCCCAAGTAGCTAGGATTACAGGTATGCACCAGCACATCCAGCTAATTTTGTATTTATAGTAGAGACGGGGTTTCTCCATGTTAGTCAGGCTGGTCTCAAACTCCCGACCTCAGGTGATCCACCCACCTCGGCCTCCCAAAGTGCTGGGATTACAGGCGTGAACCACCACGTCCGGCTGCTTTCACTTATTAAGTCACTATTATTCTTACTCTGCAAAACTGTTAAAAGGTGATGCCATCAGCATGCAAATATTTAAGTTGCTGACTCATGACCTCTCTTAAATTCTTCTTCTATGGAACACACTCAGGCCCAGTTTGAAAACACGATTTCAGCCTCTGCAATGTAGATAAACACAGGCTGTGCTGGGGAAGAAGGTTTCATGATGAGAATGCTTTAGACATTCTGGCCAGTTCCACTCTGAGACTGTAGAGCAGCCGAGAAGCTATACAATGTGGCTTTTGTTCAAGTGGCAATTAGCAGAAATTATAGAACTGGGGGCAGTGTCATTGTGCAAAGAATTCAGCCAAAGTAGACACAGACCAGTTTTCATTAGACCAGCCAAAAGCTGGAGAACCCTCTTTCAAAAAATTAAACAAGCTCTCAGCCTATTTGCTCCAGTTATAACAATGCCGAGAAGTGTGCTTCCTCTCACTTACAGATAGTACCTGGAGGACACTATGGGGGATCTCTCTAAGTGTTGGGTTTTTGATTGACAAATGTATTCAACGGGAAATTGCTGGTGTGATTTTATCCATTATTAGGAAAATGAAGCAACTGAATTGTGCTCTCTTGTAGCTCCTGTGCCAGTTATAATAGTATCTCTGGTTATTTTATTTTTAATACAGACATTAGAGTATGAGGATCCATTTTTGTCCCTATGGGACAGGAAAGTCAGAAGAAGGCAATCAGAGGAATTAAAGGGTAAGAAGGGGGACTTGTGCATAGAAAGTCATAGAATCTCTATCTTGGGAGGTAGCTCAAGGCTCATCTGGTCTACCATTTGGTCATAGTTCAGCTTTCTATAGTCATTAAGAAGCAAATCAACCCTCCCTTCCAAGAGCATTCCTTCATGTACTTGAAACAAATAATTGTGCTTAACTTCCCCAAATCTTCTCCAAACTTAACACCCTTAGTGTTTCTAGGTACTCAGACTCATTACCTTCCCTTCATTTCCTCCTGGACATGCCTATCCCTCATCATCCCACCTAAAATATGGACACTGGGCTTAACTGTGGGAAAGGGTAGCCTAGATGCCTCTAATAGCCCCTGTCAAAGCCTGAAGAGTCAACAATAGGAGGATGCTTTTGACTCCTCCACTTAACGAGGAAGATTCAACAAGACAATGCAGGAAACAAAAGTCCTTCTGTGTCTTAGGACGAGCTCCCAAGTCTACAGGACTCAGGAGTGGAAGCTCCTTCCTAGTTGTCTCATGTGCTCCTATCTGTGAGGTATCACAACAAGCCCACAAGCCTGGGGGTTTAGCTTCTAACAGCCCTGCCCACTCTTCCCTTAGTGAATTTAGGGATGGCATCCAAGGCCCCTGAACCAGTCCCACGTCTGGGCTCTTAGAGAGGCTGGACTCCCAGGATTCCCAGTGGAGAAGGGACAACCGCAGAGTTCTTGCCAGCAGGGCTCAAGAACCCTTACACTTATGGAGTCTGGAGACTAAACGAAAGCTATCATCCCAGGAAGAATTTGATGTTCAAAGGGTGTCCTTGGGCTAGAAGTTGGGACCCCCATCCCCTGGCAGGACAAGATGACTCTAGGGGCCTGAGGTCCCTTGCAGCTTACATACCTCAGGGAAAGGGGAGTCCTGATGGGATGAAATGCTTTCTCCAAGTCTACCTGGCATTTAGATGACAATGTGGAGGATGAAACCTTTCCACCTTTGGCATGACAATTTAATTTTTTTAATAAAAATTTAAAGTCAAATGCAAAATCTTAACTCTTAAAAGCATTCTGTAAAGGTGATTCTTACAGAGTCTGCCCCAGGCAGAGCCCTGCATATTTTTTCAAAGCAAGTTCCTTCGGTCTCAACTTTTTGAAGGAGTTTATTACAGTATAAAGAGCCTGGGTTTCAAACAAAACAGACCCTGGGCATGAAACCTGGCCTTACTACTTACTTGGCTGTGTGACCCCAGGCAAGTTATTCGAGCCTCTGAGCCATAATTCTGTCACCAGTAAAATGGGTGTAGCACTCTGGGCCTCACAGAGATGTAGTGAGAAGTAAATGAGATGCTTCTTGTGAAGCAACTTAGCAGGACTGGCCCTCAATATCAGGCATGATTACTTTGGAATCAATTTGATTATTTTTGTTAAATCAAATTTTACCCCTTAGGTTTTCAGATTACTTGGCAATTGGGTCATCTAAAAGAGGTGTATAAAACACCTGATAATTTTTATATTTCAGAGCGAGGAGTTACACTCTTACCATTGTGTAGACAAAAACGTCCTGGGTAAAATTTCTGACCTTAGCACCCTCTTGCCAAGCTTCCAAGCACCCCTGTCATCTCCCCTCCCCTAGCTGCATTCCTATACCTCCTTCTCTTGGCTGACAGCTTGTTCTGAGCAAGTCTTGCCTCCTTCACTATCAATCCCCTCAAGCCTGGCCCCCTGCAGCTTTCAAGGTCAATAAGTATTGCCCTCCTGATCACCCAGGTCAGCTCCCCTTTCCAATGAGGAGAAGGAAGGAAATCCACATCATGCAACCAGGGCTGGAGATTACACCCTGCTCAGTCCAGGTCATTCCCCTTCCATTCCATGAACGCCTTAATGTCCCCTAAGAGCAGATCTGCTGAGAACCTTCCAAGCAGAGGGTCTGGCCTGTACAAAGTCCCTGCGTTGGGTGGAGACAGCAGCTTTAAGGAGAGAGGCTCAGGGGTCTGAGGGAAGATTTGAACTTAGGTCTTGGTCTCATACTCTCTATTCTTGGGTTCCATTACCTCCTCAAAATGAAAGACTTGGCTTTATTTATACCACCCAAGTCCTCAAGAATGAGGCAATCCATCCCCCATGTGATGCACAGTTTTGACACATTAAACCTGTATGCCCATAAATGCAAACATGTCACACATTATCATCAAGGAGCCAAGGGGGACACAGCCGGGGAGACATCCTAGCATGCTCTAGTTCTGTTGTGATTCATTAGGTTGATCATGCTTAATTACAGCTTTCTACCTTCAACCAGAGAGTCCACTACCTGAAAAAAGTGTTTCAGGTCTGATTCATGAAATTTAACATGTGTGTGAAAAACAAATAGGCTTTCGCCTCCAGGAGCTGGTTAGCAAGGCAAAAGCTCTTGACTTCACAGATCTTCATTTCTAACAGTCTGTCAACATCAGGAAGACGATCTGAATTTTCCCTTTTATGTGGCCGGTCTGAAGATACATGGGGAGGGCTTCAGAGCCAGAGTCTTGGCTCCTAACACCAGCTTTGCTGCTGGTGAGCAGGAGGCCAAGAAAATCTAGTAACTTCTCTGAGCCTGTTTCCTAATCTCTAAAACAAAGATCACCCTTCGCCTTTCTTCTACAACCTTAGAAGATCAATCACTCCTCACTTCCCTGATCCTCCAATCCAACTCCCCTTCCCAAAAAGGAGAAAGAAAGAAATCTAGGCTGGCATGACACAGATGATGGTCTGGTGGCGGCTGCGGGACTCGGATCCATGTGTGGAACGTGCCCAGAAAGGGGGCCTGGGAACATAGTAAGCCCTAGGCATAAGGAAGCCTTCACTGTCTCCATGGTTTTTATTGTGTCACATGCCCTTGGCCTCAGCCTCTTATTTGCAGGATACATTTGCAAAGCTGCCCAGGAGCAGCGGCCATCTTTTCCAGACATTTTTCAGCAGGAGAAAGTTCCTGCCTTTGGAGCAGAGTCCTGGTAATGATTCAGACACTGTTCTCCCCTAAACAGATTGCAAATGTTTCTTCAATGGAAAAGAGGATACACTGTAAAATGTAATGTTTCCCTAAGGGTTTGGGGATTTTCTTTCTTACAGTCAATCATGTTTTTAAGCATTTGGGAAGCGAATATAATGCATCTTTTTTTTCTTAATCATGACTAAGTTCCCCTCCAGATGGAAAAATTCTAGGTTTTTAAATTAAGACCATCTAAACTGCCAGCTTTTCAAGGATTCCTTGGGTTTTAGAGCTGAAAAGTGCCTTGTGAGCCACTTTACTCAATGCCTTGACCTTCAGACCAAAAGAGCCAGGGCCCAGAAGGTGCAATGACCTACCCAAGGTCACACAACAGGTCAGGGACAAAGCTGAGATAAATCACAGACCTCTGGATCCACAATCAACTGTGTTTCTTTCTGTGTTGTGCTGCCAGAAAAAGTACCATGGGGTTGAAAGTGAAATTAGGTTTCTTTCTGAAGTAAGTGCATCACCTATAACTGGCTGCAGCTGGACTTTACCAGAAGGGGAGGGTATATTTGCAGTGGTCTGACTTAATATACGGCCTATGTGTCACTCAGGGAAGGGGTGCCTGGAGAAATCCCAAATGCCTCTGTGCCACTGAAACAAGAGTTTCATAAGATGCCAAAGTGACACCAACCCCAGGAGTGAAATATACATATATACTTACCAGATTCAGCAAATAGTGCACAGAACACAACTATACTAAAAGAAGATATTTATTGCTTATCTGAAATTCAGATTTAACATTCTATATTTTCTATGGTAACTTTAACCAAATAGAGAGGTTTTTCTTTTTAATACAACATTCAAACGTAAGCCTCCAATTGAAGCCACAAGAACAGACCCTTCACATTCCAGGTGTCACTTGCTTCTCATGTGGGCAATACACTTCCTGTAATTCTTGGTAGGAATTTAATTATTTAATCAAGGTTAAAGATCCTCCAAAGTGACAAGAAGAGTCTGGCTAACATAAAATATAAGAATCCATCAAGTAACTTAAATTTAAACTTCAGGTTTCTACCTCAATTCAATTAAAAATAATTTATAGAGCATCTAACATTTGTGAAAACAAGCTCTCTAGTTTTCCTCTTCTCAATTAAACTTCTTGAAGGACATGTTGTCTACACTGGCTCTATACTTCTTCATCTTCCATTCAATACTCAAGACACCATAATTTGGTTTCTATTATTACACAACTGAAACCATTCATTCTTGCTAAGTTGTACAATGACCTAATACAGTCTATTCTCATTATTTGCAGTAGTTATGTTCTATGAAGTTGCCACATTAGTGAACACTGAACCATTGCTCCTACAGGAAATACAGGGTTAGGTTCCTGCCAGCCTCTGGGCACAACATTTTCAAAACCCAGTAAATGCTGACCTTGGTTTATGCGTGTCTCTGTTTAAAGATACCCATTTAACATATATTGATTATTCATGAACATTGAATTCACAGTGAACAGCACTATAACTCATGCCCGAATGAAACTTACCTAACAAGTATTTTTTCAAAAGGCACATCATAGCCTCCTGTGCATAGAAACACTACACAGCACTTCAGCACTACACTTGAAGTCCCTTTTAAACAGCAAAATCACCAGCAAAATGAACAGAAATGTGAAGAATGTGACACTGAATAGACTCAAGGACACTGGTTCACAATATGAAAGCAGAGGCAGGAAGGCAGAGCATCACTGTGTTCAGCCTCAGCTGGAAACGTGCACGTCAAGTGACTCAAATTTTTCATCACTCTACACATGTCCACAAATGATCATGAAAGCTCCATGAGTACTGATTATAAATACATTTTAGTGAGTGGGTTGAATTTGCAGATACAGATTCTGCAAATAATGAGGATCAACTGTAATTTCCAAATCTGGCAGATTTTTTCAGAGCTAATCCTGAGGGGACTCTGGATCACATTTGCTTTGCTGATCTCTTCCCTCTTGAAACTCCTCACTCCTTTAGCTTCTGGTGCCCTCTGCCCTCCTGGAATGTATACTCTGATATTCCTCCTCCACCTCTTATGTGAACTCTTCTTGCCCCTAGGTACCTTTGAAGTGTTGCTATTCGCCAACATTTAAGAGAATAGTGACCCTGGGCCACGGAACTGAGCCAGAGGACTAAGAACTTAGACACAGTTCATTGAGCTGAGGGAGGTTGAGTTTCTCTTGGAACTATCCCTGTGATGCAGTGGGGTCAACCACAAAAGGGTGATGGTATATGTAGTCATTATATCTTTCTAGGCTCCTCTTGTCTGTGACAGTTTCTCAGACTTTCCTTGTTCTTGGTGACCTTAACAGCATCTAGTGTGGATAACTTCTCAGGGCTAGAGAGCTCCAAACCCAGTTCACACTGTTGCAGAACCAGGAGCAGAGAGTCACTGAACCAGGAATAAGAGAAACCAAAACTTGGTAAAACCTGGGCTTAGTTTCAGGACCTAGATGGCCTGACTTCATGGCAGATGATTTGGGTGAATTGGCAGAGGCATTGAGGACAGCATGAGATATGAAGGTAGATGGGTGGTTTGGGGGGTCTGCATGTCCCTCTCAAGGACAGACAGGAGGGAAGCAAAATCATGATAGTAGTAATTAACATTTATGTGGCACTTCATATGTGCCACTACTTCACATGGCCTGTCTAGGGGATGATGATGATGACAGTAATGTGGCCACACATACAGAGCACCCACAATGGCCCAGGCACATGTTACGCACATTCCACAGCCCTTTGAAGCCACTTCACAGAGGAAGAAGCCAAGAATTGAAGAGGTTGGGTAACTTGCCCCAAACCTCCCATCATGCAAAAGCCAGAGCTGGAATTTGAGCTCAGCCATCTAACTCAAGAGCCTAAACTGTGACCTGATACTTCCTCCCTTGTGCCAGGATCCTTGCCCTGTGACACAAATTTCCCAGAACTTGGCAGACACCTGAGGCAAAGAGAAGACAAGATCAGGAACCGGAGTCCCTGGAAAATAAAGTAAAAATTTAGTTACTAGAATCAACTATCTGGTCAGTACAGAGCCAGCAGCAAAGCTGAGCTGGGGCAGAGCCCTAGAGATGGGATCCATGTACCAGGAGTGAGGTGGGCTGCTCAGGGCCTGGGCAGGAGCTCTAAGAAGGCGGCACTGTCCCTGGCTCCTCTGTCCTCCTGCTCAGCCATCCTCAGCATGTGCCTCTCATCACCACTCTTGTCACCACAGATCGCCGAGCAGCTGCTCCACCTCCAGCCTTACATCTATATCCTGGATGGGAAGAAGGGCAACACCAACATTAAATGGCAAAAAATTTCCCCTAACCCCCCAAAAAGGCTTCTACTCACATTTCACTGATAGAATACAGTCACTCCAGCTCTAAGACAGGATAAAATATGTAGAAGCTTTTTAGGACGCCACATAGCCAGCCCAAAGAAAATTGAGGCTTTGTTAGCAAAAGAGAAAGAGAAAATGGATGTAAGTGCTACAGCTTGGGATTATTTCCCATCTTGAGTCCAAACTGGTCCTAGAGGCAGGGGCAAAGGCTTAGTCTGCACACAGCGTCGGGTGTATGGTGTCAGATGCCTCGCTTCCCATTGGCTAGCAAATGTGAAGGCTGAATGTGACGGTCCCTGTCAAATGCTACACACAGTGCCTGGCACGTGTGAGCACTCAAAAATAGGTAGGTATTGTCACTAATTTTTAAAACATTATTATTAACTAAAATCCATATGTTATTGTGATGTCCCTAGTTTTTAGCTCATGTCCTTTTTCTGTTGTAGGATCCCATCTGGAATCCCACATTGCATGTAGTCTTCATATCTTTTAGGCTCCTCTTGCCTGCGACAATTTCTCAGACACTCCTTGTTCTTGGTGACCTTAACAGTACTGAGGAGTGCCAGACCTGTATTGTAGAATGTCTCTCAGTCTGGACTGGCCTGGTGTTTATCTCATGATTAGAAACTGGAGTTGTGTGTTTTCAGGGGGAAGACCACAGAGGTAAAGTGTCATTTTCCTCACATCATATCAAGAGTTCACATCATCACTGTGACACCACTGTTGATGTCAACCTTGATCACTTTGCAGAGGTCGTGTTTGTCAGGTGTCTCCACTGGCCAGTGACTCTTTCTTCCCCCTTTCCATACCGTACCCTTTGGAAGGAAGTCACTATGTGCAGCCCCCTCACACTTCTGATATTTGCATTTTCTTCCCCAAGTATTTATTCTGTCATTGATTTGTATCAGTATAGACTTGTGGATATGTATTTTTTACTTTAGGTTTTAATAGAATTCTATATTATTTATTTTATTGCCCACGTAGTTCCAGCTATGGCCATTGGGAGCTTTTTCAGTTTCCTCCCACATCCCTTTGACACATTTTCATCACTGTGGGTTTGAGGTGGGCGGGTATTGGTTTGTTTTAGCACAACCTTACTTGGTGGCATCATTACTTTTTATTAAGTGATCTTGCTATAGAAGTTGGAAGGGTTTTTCTTCCACCTCCAGTCACTGCACCTTTTGCAGAGAGGCTCACAACCTCTGTGTTCTGTAGAAGACACTGTGAGGAAGGCATGGGGGAGAATTTGCTGTTTTCAGTAGAAAATAAGTGGTGGTTACTAATTACAGTGACTTTGTACTTTGGATCTGGGTTTGTTGCACCTTTATAGTAAGATACAAACTGCTTAAGAAATAAGAATGTTTGTATCTGACTTCAAATTAACCAAAACAGCTTGGTATTGAGATAAAAAGAGATACAGAAATCAGTGAAATAGAATAGAGAATCCAGAACTAAAGCCACATACATACAACCCACTGATCTTTGACAATGTTGACAAAAATATATACTGGGGAAAGAATATCCTATTCAATAAATGGTCCTGGGAAAATTGGCTGGCCATATGCAGAAGAATGAAATTGAACCCCTATCTGTCACAATATATAAAAAGTAACTCAAGATGGATTAAAGATTTAACTACAAGACCTGAAACTATAAAAGTCCTGCAAGAAACCCTAGGAAAACTCTCTGGACATTGGCCTCAGCAAGGAATTTATGACTAAGGCCTCAAAAGCAAGCAACAAAAACAAAAATAAACAAATATGACTTAATTAAACTAAAAAGCTTTTGCACAGCAAAAAGAAACAGTCAATTGAGTGAACAAACGGCCTGCAGAACAGGAGAAAACATTTGCAAACTATGCATCTGACAAACGACTAATATCCAGAATCTATAAGGAACTCAAACAACTCAATAAGAAAAAAACAAATGACCCCATTAAAAAGTAGGCAGAGGACATGAACAGACATTTTTCAAAAGAAGACATATAAGCAGCCAACAAACATATTTTAAAAATGCTCAACATCACTAATTATCAGAGAAATGCACATTAAAATCACAATAAGATGCCATCTCACACCAGTCAAAATGGCTATTACTAAAAAGTCAAAAAACAACAGATGTTAGTGTGCATGCAAAGAAAATGGAATGCGTATACACTTTTGATTGGAATGTAAATTAGTACAACCTCTATGGAAAACAGTATGGAGATTTCTCAAAGATCTAAAAATAGACTTATCATTTGATCTGGTAATCCCACTACAGGGTATCTTCCCAAAGGAAAGGAAATCATTATATTAAAAAGACATCCACACTCATATGTTTACTGCAGCACTATTCACAGTAGCAAAGTCATCAACCTAAGTGTCCGTCAACAGATGATTAGATAAAGAAAATGCCTATATCTGTGTGTGTGTGTGTATATATATATATATACACACATATACATACACATATATACACACACACACATATATGTATTAGTGTGTGTGTGTGTGTGTGTGTGTAGAGACACACACCATGGAATACTACTCAGTCATAAAAAAGAATGAAATAATTGTTTTTGAAGCAACATGGATGGAACTGGAGGCCATCATCCTAGGTGAAATAACTCAGACACAGAAAGTCAAATACCTCATGTTCTCACTCATAAGTAGGAGCTAAACGGTGTGTACACGTGGACATACAGAGTAGAATAATAGACACTGGAGTCTCCAAATGTGGGAAGATGGGAGTTGGGTGCTGAGGAATGAGAAAGTACCTCTTGGATAAAACATACACTATTCAGATGATGGGCACACAAAAAGCCCAGACTTAACCACTGTGCAATATATCCTTGTAATAAAAATGCACTTGTATGCCCTAAATCTATAAAAATAGAAAATGAAAAACAAAATAAGGATGTTTTCATTCATCCGTTTAACAAATAATGGAGAGGTACAAGCTCTTTGAAAAATGGATCAAACTCGAACTCCTATGACATACTAGATATGTTTGTAAATAAACTTAAAACATAAAAAAAGAAACAAGAAGGACACAGGGTAAAATATTAGGATCTGTTGAAAGAGTTCATTAAAAGAATGCTTAGAACTGAATGACAACAGATACACAGCAAGAAACTCTCTTTGGAGCAAGGTTTATAGAAACAATCACCGAGGCGCTTTGAGATACCTGTCTAGGTTAACTAGGTTAACTATTACCCATCCTACTTAGTGTATTTACAAGCCTCACCCCAACCTCCCAGTGCTAATAAGATCCTTGAAGCTTCTTAGCATTATAGATGTGCAGGATCTTGGCCAATATGGAATTGGATTCTGGCTTCCGTGCTCAGGAAGCAGGCCAAGGTGAGGATATTAGTGCCTCCTTATTGAGTGATGTGCGTGGCTGCGCTGCAAGCTTTTCCTTCATTACTTCACCTAATCACCACTCCAGGCTTGTTGGTTGATATGGAAAAATGAGAAGTTACATACTTTGTCTAAGGACACATATGACAGCTGAGTGTCAGACCAGATTCCAAATTATATTTGTTGGATTCCAAAGCCTTGCACCAGACCAGAGCTTGGCAAACTATGGCCCGTGGACCAAACCCACACCTGGTCATCTATGTATTCTCTGTGGCTGCTTCTGAGCTACCAAGGCAGAGTGTGTAGCTTCAACAGAGAGAACACAGCCTGCAAAGCCTAAAATATTATCTGACTCTTTATAGGAAAAGCTTACTGACTTCTGCTGTAAATCCCTGTGAGATGCTGCCTCTTAGTGACAAAAGCATAAAGAAATAACAATGGGTGGAATCTGACATTCTCTAACTATGTGTCATCACATCTAATCTCCACATAGACAGCAACCACCTCCATTTACAGATGAGGAAACTGAGGTACAATCATGTTAAGTGCTTGCTCAAAGTCCCAGCTCCAAAGTGGCAGAGCTAGGACTTGAGATCACATAGAACTGTCTCTGAAGTTAACTATCAGGCCCCCAAGACCTAGAGATCAGGCCAGAGGTGCGTGTCTTTGAGGCCTCGAGACTGGCACTTCTGCTCTATCTTAATGCATTCTCAACGGATCTACAACGCAGGGCAGAGAGACAAATCTCTGCCTTGTAGATTAATTGTTCCCAAAAGAATGCCACAATTCACAAATGCTGATTTTGATTAAAATAATCAAGATGATTTCCTACTCCCAAAATACTGACAAAATAGCTTTTTTATCTATGTAGACAAAAAACTAAGCAAGAATTATTTAAATCAAGATTATGTACAACACGCATCCTAATTACTACACAATTACCTAGCTAAAAAGTGGATATTAGTGAATGCTGTTTTCTGCTGGCAGTCAAATCCGAATTAATAGCATTCTAGGCTGATGTGGATCACAGATAAAATTAAATTAATGTGACTCTGAGCCAGCTCTGTTTATAAGAAAAGCCCAACTACAAAGAGAAGAGAAACATTTTAAGATGCAAAAATATGCCCCCAAACACAAGCCAAACATGGATGTTTAATTAAAGCACTAAGATTTTTTTTTCCTACCAACTGTTCCTTTTGGGTACTAACTAGATTTGGAAAATTGGGTCTGGGATTCTGAGGACAACTGAACGGGGATGGATTTTCCCAAAGTTCAACCTATGAAGCCATACCAGATATGAATTTGAGCTCCCACTTAGAAAAGTCTCCTCTCCGAGCCCAGATGAAAGAACTCCAAGAGGAAAAGGGTAAGAATGTGGGGTTTTTATTTTGAAACAGCTTGGCTGACTTCTAGCCCCATGTCAGGGGCCTTGCATTTGGGCCGATCTGAGCTATGACAAGCATCCGCTGAGTAACCGTGTCTTACTTCTCCAAGACTAACCACGTCCTGGAGTAAGCAGAAGACAGGATCATCTGGTCCCTCGATCCTCTGGCCCAGGAAGGCCCATGCCCCACAGGCCCCTGACAGCGCTCTCCACTCTGCATCTCATGAGGCTGTTGGCATAACTTCTCAGTACCAGGTAATGTGGGATCCCACTCTGTGATTCCTCCAAAAGTTCCAGTCTATAACTTGGCACGTTGGCACCTATTTTGGTTAATGTGGTTATGACCACTGACATGGTAGAGAAGGACCTAGTGCTGGATTTGAAGACAACCATATCTGCACCCTGAGTCTCAGTTTCCACGCTTGTAAAATGGGGACATGCCTTTTTTACAGCATGATGGCCCAAGTGACAGGGCCTGGCAGAGAGCAGGTTCTGGTCCACAGTAGTTCGGCATCAAATACATTCTTAGAACATCAAAGTTGGAAGTGCCTTCTGTAGACCATCTGGCCAAACTCTTCCTTTTCTAGCCAAGGAAACTGGCTCAGAAACCTACCCAAAGTCACCCTCAAAACGCTGGTGGAACGGGAACAGGCCCCAGACTACCTGACTCCCATTTGCTTCTATCCCATCTCACCTCCTTTGACTGACGCCCATGGATTCCAGCTGTCATCTCATTTCTAGGCTTTAGGCCTGCAGGGCTTCCTGATCCCTTCTAACCACATCTCTCCTGCAGGCCCTACAAGCCCCACACCCCTATTCAGGAGTTTAACAAATATTGATTTAGCCCCCTCGGGCTGTCATTCAGAAATATACACCGGAAAAGAACGAAAACAAAACATGAACTATTTTAACCAAGGAAGAAAACAACTCCCATCCCAACTGTGTTTGCGAGGTGTGAAGGGACACTTCATGATCCCCCTTTTCAGATGAAGACAGTGAGATCTAGAGACAGCAGCTCCCTGGCTGGAGGTGTGAAGGGACACCTCATGATCCCCATTTTCAGATGAAGATAGTGAGATCTAGGGACAGCAGCTCCCTGGCTGACTCTCTCTACCGCTGAGTCTGTCTGTGTGGGCTGCCACTGGTCACCACCACTGCAGCTGTTTCCATTACTCCCACCTCCCCCTCACTGCTGCCACCATTACTTGTGGCTAAGTTCTCCCCCACCTCATCCCAGCCCAGATCAAGGCCACCTCTTCCAGAGAGTCTTCCTTTCTACCCCAGTTGAAAGAGGCCCCCTTCTCCTCTGACTCAGAGCAGCTCTCCCTGCCCCTGTTTGGTTTTTGAGGCCCTGCACATGGTGACTCAGGGGCTGCTGCCTCCCAGGCCCTCTGATGACTGCACTGCATGACCTTTCACCTGGGGTCCAAATGCTCAGCACCCCCTCCCACCCACACCTGCTCCCTAGGGGCCAGGAAGGCGTTCTTATTCCCATCACTTGGGGTGCAGAAGGGGTGGCCCAGAAGTGATTTGATCCTTTCAGGATGTTTTTGCAGGCCACAAGGAGGATGAGCTGCTGTTAGTCTGCAGATACTCGAGATGGTTGGTTTTCTGCACAGGCTGGGGTAGAGGAGCCTATGTCCTATTGAATTCTTGCAAGCGTGCAGACCTCCTCTGCATTAATCAAACACTTATTGAGCCCCTATCATTTGCTGAGTATTGAGAATACTAACATGAAGAAGATACTTCATGCCTACAGAAGTCACCTCCAATTCTGCCCAGACTGCTTACCACTATCGTGGGGTGCACAAGGAAAAGCCCTTCTTGGCCCCAAGCACCCCAATACCTCATGGCCCCCAGCAGTGAGGGAGCTTCATCTCCCATCCATTCACATGCACTCCCAGGACAGGCCTGACAACCCCTCTGGAAGACCACACTGAGCTCTCTGTGCTGTAAGAATGTCTGGCAAGACTTTTTTGGCCCAGGAATCGGGGAAAGGTATTAAGGGGTATTGTTGCCGGGATCCTAGAGAAGAGATTCCCCTGCTTGAGGAGCCCCCAGCCCAGTCCTAACACCTCTCCAGCCTGCATCAGACCTGCTTTATTCTTCCTTGCCCTTCCAGAATTTGCAGACTGGGCTCTGGGGGTGATAAGGAGACTTCAGCCTCCCCAGGAGTGCTGCCTGTGCCCACTCCCTTGGATGGAGCCTCCCCACTGACACAGAGAAGGCAAGTACAGCTAGTTCATCTGGAGCAGATGACAGGTGGCACATTCCTCTCTGCAAGGCAGTGAGTTATTTCATTTAAACTTGAAAAGCACAGCGAGCCAGCCATATTCAAGCCCCAGTTTCATTGCTCCAGTTTCAGGCCCCAGTTCATTGCCTCCATGCCCAAACACTTCTTGGAGTTCTTGTTCCTTACGCGTCCTTGCCAGAGGGAGCTAGCTTCATCTTCTGTGTAATCTTGGATAAGCCATAACCTCTGAAGCTCAGTTTCTGCATCTGTAAAATGGGAACAAAAATCCCACACCACACATGCCCTCCAGGACTTTTAGGGAGATGTGGTGGTCTTAAGTTTAAATCTCCCTAATCTTTTAGGGAGATTAAGTGCCACTGCATGTGTATAAAAGCACTCTGAAGAATGTGATGATGGTGATGGTGATGACAACGATGATGACAACAGGGATGCTTTTGATACCACATGCAATCATGGCTCCATCCAGACAATTAGCTCCAAGGCATAGGAAGGGGACAGTCCCAGGACTAACCTCTTGGCCTAAGAAGGAACCGTGTGCTTCTGGGAGGAAGGTCCCTGGAAAGCAAAGGACATTCTTGAAATCAGAGCCATGAGGACTGGGGTTATTTCATTTAAATTGGAAAAGTTCATTTTGGACCCCAGCTGGTAAAGCAAGGCCAACAATATGGCTATGTCCCTCCCTGTGCCATAGGTTTGGGTGAGGACCCCGTGTGTGCTGAAGAGGGGGAAATTGCTTTTACTAGGTACAGAGTGAGCCTCTCAGCTTGCTCTGGAAGCTTCTTCAGAGCAGGGTTGAGGGGTACTTCATGGGGTCATGGTGTTACCAGGACCCCTTCTCCCTAAGGCCTGCCATGCTCCCTGTATGCCATCTGGGCCAATGTGGAGCCTGCCTCACCTGCTCTAAGTGGGGATTCATGCAAACTTCTACCTTTGGGGCATGTGCTCTGATGCACCTTCCAAATGTTCTCTGGCCTGGGGCACTGTCTTCTGGGCTGTTGGAGGGCCCACCTCATTCTCTGAATAGGACCCAGGAATCTGCATTTTTCAAGAGTTCTCCCTCCCCCCACCCGCCACCCTATTACATACACACACACACACACACACACACACTACAGATGTGTAAACACCATTTTGAACTATGAATTGATGCTTAATCTGTGTCTACTCTGTGCCCTGGCCATCCCAAACTTCTTCTGTTCCTCTGTTATTCCATAGTGTCTCTGACCTCCAGATGTTTCCACATGGTAGTTCTCCTCATGCCAGAAGCATTCATCGCTTCTCCCACCAGCAAGCTTTCTTGTCAATCCCTTTCAAGGTCCATTCAGGATCCTTTCCATGTGATCCCATAAGGGCCTAAGCGTTGATCACCTTCTCCTGTAATCTGTTGCCTATTGGCTTGGGGGCCTCTAGAAAGTGAGTCCCATGAGGAGGAAAAGCACCATTCTGGGCCTAAACACCCGGTACACACCATGTCTGGCTTCTAGTGAGCCACCCATGCTGACCAACTATGAGTACATGGATCTTGGTATCCACCCAACAGCCAACACAGGGCCTGGGAGTCCTCGGGCACTCTGCGCTGCTCACAGAACATTGAATGAACCCAACACTGGCTGCCAACTTGACTGAGTGGGCCTGCCTGAGAATACACACCCCTCTCTCCACCCTGGGCACTTCTAACCAAATATAAATCACGTGAAGATTTCCCTCATTTCTCTGGAACGTAGACTAGAAAGCCAAAAGTCTTCCTGTGGTTTCGTCCTGGACCTTGGTTGACTGAAGACCACTAGGCAATCGTGATATCCTGCAGGTGGATGCTGGCACTAAATGTGAAAAAGTTTCCACAGTAAATTCTGACCAAGGCTCCTTTTTTTCCATAAATCGCACAGCCAATTCTACCTTCTAGGGTCACGTATCTCTCCCAGAGACAGGCTCTGCAGTGCCACTCAAGGAAATGAGTACCATTGGTGTTCCTCTCACTGGACACTTTTGTCTAAATCCAAAAGACCAGCGGTGAGAAGGACTATTCTGGCCACCACGAGACAGCTCCCCATGGCACAGCCTCATAGCTCAGCTCTTTCTAGGTTCTGGAAAGACTGAAAACTTGGTACTTCAACCTCCAGAGCATGAGATTTTAATTTGCTGAGTGCAACTTTCAAAAAGCAGAGTAAATTCCCTTTCTCCAGTGCTTAGACCAGTCAAAAGAGAAGACCTTTTCAGTTTTGACAACCTCACCCCTTTGGCTAGCAGTCCTATTGGCAGACTTCCAGGTTCATTCATTCAGGGATCAGGCTGTTCCTCCAAGCATAAAAAAAAAAAAAATCAACTTTATTTTAATGTCCTATTAAAAAAAAGACTTGAACAACATGAACAAAAGGCCACTGGAATGGAATGGAGAAATATGTATGTGTGTGTATATGCTCATACAGATGCCTGAATGCTAAATTACCAAGACAAATTATCTTTTTCCAATCGAACTTCCAAGGCTGCATTGGCTTTTGTCAGTCTGTAGTGGGGAGAGTTTCTGGTTGCTTGGGATGTGAGGGTTTCGCTTTGGGTTGCTTGCTTACTTGCTTACTTGCTTATCTGGGGGCTTTATTTGTTTGCCTACTAGGTTTTTTCCTTTTCATTTTTTTCAGTCATCTTTGTGGGGAAAAAAAAAAAAAGACTTGTTCTATCAGCTCCCACCTGCAGGATCAGGGCAGCTTCTACATTTCATGTTGGAAGATGGGACCAAAATGCAGCACTTGAAAATCCTGAGTGATTTAGACCAAGAACGACCATTCCCATTTTTGAAAAATCTGTGATTAGCCCAGACTTTTCAATAAGACATTACCAATTGGGAACTGAAGTCGGTATGTCCAAACTTGTGAGGCACTGGACGAGGACTTTAAAATGAGAGACATTTCCACAGGTTTGCATCAGCCTTGCCTCTCACAACCACCATCTCCCAACAACTTTAAGAACAAACTTAACTTTTCTAAACAAAAATAATTTCATCATTTTGTGTGGCATTAACACCCTGCTACTTCGATATGTTATCTATATTTTTCTTGTTGACATCCAACCAATTCAGAGCTAAAAATCCATCCTCCAGTTTTTCTGTGGGTTGTAAATCATAAAAAGGTTATATTTTATGAAAGCTGAAGCTGAGAAGTAAACAGCATATTTATATCCAAAGAGTTTCATCCATTAAGCAGCAATGACAGGGCCCTGTGGGCCAGAATCTAGTTTTCTTACTTAAAAAGCTTAGTTCTTTTGTAGACTCCTGCAGGGACCTATAACAGTTGGAATTGGGTTTTTTATGCCTTTGAGGCCTCTGAATGAACGTTACACTTTTCCATTATTTTCTTTTTTCTTTTGAGAAAACTAGGCTACCTGCTTATTGCCTAAAACCTACACCCCATGATTGTACTGTCGTAAAATCTGTCTTCTGCCCTTTCCTCCCACATCTTACCAACATCCCAAAACTTTGTTTAGACTCAGTGTCAAGCAAGGTTATGCTGCATTTATTGAGATGGGGGAGGGCTCCCTCAACGAACTGGGCTGATAGATGGCACGCCTGAATGAAACTTCAGCCTAAGGGGTGCCCAATAACCTTGACCTCCTCTGCCTTACAAAAAATAAAAATAAAAAAGCTTAAATTTTAATATCTCCCTTGTTCTAGCCTGAGAATGCCTTCCAGTCCCCTGACTATTTTGCGAGCTGGTACATGGCTAAAATAAAAAGGCATGAGTCCGGATCTTGCATTTCACATTACTGCCTGCTATTAAAATGTTAGTATGACGGCCCCTTGGGCTATTAAAGGTGATGCACCTGCCCTGTCTGCCAATGGTGTAATTTGTGGTCATGAATATATATCTAGGTCTACGTAGATGTGGATGTGAATTTCACACCACAATTACATCAGGCAAGTAAGTCTAGGTTCAGAGTCAGCACAGTGATCACTCTGAAACTAGCCAAATAATCACTAACAATTAAGAAAATGAAATATCCGAGTCTCAGTCCTCTTTTTACCCACTTCGAACATATATTTGTTCTTTTGATGTCCTGTGTGAATAGGGGTGCTTTATCTGACTGCTGATGGGCTAAACAATGCGTCCGAGTTGTAATATAGAACTCAATTTGCTGGGACTATCATCTGAAAGGCCTGGACAATTTATCAAACACTGCAGATGAAAGAAAGAGAGGGAAAAAATTTTAAAACTGACCACTTTTAAAATGAAGAAAATAGGGCAGTAAAGGGTATTGTAATATACTTTAATCTTCCTTAATGTAGAAAAATATGAAATGCCATTAAATCTTCCTTTGAAATGGATGTGGTTACATGGCTTGAGCACCCAAATCTAGTTAATGAATCTATTGTTAAGGCAAATAAACAGGAAAGAAGCAGTGAAGGAGTGATCTGTGCATTATATGACTAATTCAGAAGATGAAAGGCAGAAAAATTAAAGTTAAATTCACATAAATATTAGAGCTAAGGAGAATAGTTGCAGGTGTAAAAAGGGAAGCCTGCATTTTCCTTGGGTTGGTGTGAGGCACAAGCAGACATTTTCTGCTCGAGAGCAAGTCGGGAAAGATGAAAGTGTTTCAAGGGGCCCAATAATTAACATTTTAAAAGGTTTTCTTAAAAAAAAAAGATCTGACAATAATAGCAATTTAATCATTTTATTTGAAAAATTAAATTGATTGCAAGCAACCGTTTGTGCGGAAGTGGCGTTTACAGAATTTGGATGAAGTTATCCAATCAGATCTCCACTTTAATCGCTTTAAATGGAGCCAATCTACAAAAAAAAAAAAAAAAGCTGGATGCAGTAGAGATTCAAAGGGCGGTAATTTGGGGGAGATTAGCAGTTCTTCACAAAGGACCCACAGCAACCTATTGAACCCACTTCTTTGTTGTGGCCAGACATTACTAATGGAACTCAACCCAATGTGACTGAGAGTCTATGGGGAGCTGGGCTTTATTAGGGAGTCTCACTGGAGTCCACAAGTACCACCCATGTGGGGACATGGCCTCATGGTATTTCATGGTGTCTTCTCCATGAAATAAAGGATACTTCTATCCGGTTAACACAGTGCAGAGGATTCATCCTAGTGTTAACCCTAAATTATAAAGCATGCAACGGCTTACTACCTATTAACTTTGAAAGCATTGTAAAGTAGAATTTGTCTTGAGATCAGAACATATCTTTCCACAGACATAGTTTAATGTGATCTTCACATTGCACCCCTGTTCTTGAAAGAAACAGATACCCATTCACACTCTCTCGGGAGGGGAAGAGAGAGCTTTACTATAGTCCTCAGGAGGAAGCAGCATGAGGACCTGAGGATTTGGTCTCCACCTGGGTCTGCAGACAACTCTCACTTTTCTCTGCCTCAAACATCATGTGGCCAAACAGAGACATTCCCCACTACCTGACTCCAAACATCCTGAGTTTAAGCAAACAGTGAAGACTGACGCACATCTTGGAATCCCAACCCACATTCTTAGAGAGGATGTGAAGACTCATCTTGGGTTCAGTGTCCACTCTGGCTCAATCCATGCTCAAGGAGACAAATCACATAGAACAATCCTGGCTGCAAGGACACAGCGGAGGTGAAGGGCAATTCTCAGAAAAGGGGAGAATGGCTCTGGAACACACCCAAATGCACCTTTTACGTAGGAGCAGGAGAGTATCAAAGTTAAGAGAATGGACTCAGATTGCCTAGCTGAGCCTGTGCAAGTATCTTAACCCATGTGTATCTCTATTTCTTCATCTGCTAATTGAGGTGATAAAAATACCTCCCCATAGGGAGGGTTGGTGTGAGAATTAAATGAGTTCATGCAGGTGACATATTTAGAACAGTGTCTGACATATAGCACAGGGGATGAATCCCCTGTAACTGTTGACTATCATCATTATTATTGTTGTTTGCCCCATTTTTTAGATGAGAAAGCTGCACTTCAGAAAGTGCACATAACTTGCTCACTGTTGTACATGGAATAAGGGGCGGCCTTAGCCATCAACCTTCTTCAGGCTACTGGTCTGCTTATGCTCTGTCAGGCTGCATCGAGACACACATGCACCCTAGGAGGCTCCTGTTTTACCCCATTCATTCATTCCTCAACAAATATTCCCTGGGTGACATCATAGCCATATCTTGTTTTACTTAGAGGAGAGGAAGGGGGATGGATAAAGGGCGGACCTGGGGACAGAGGCCTATCCTGCAGTGGAATAGCCCATTCATCAAAGCCACGGCTGTGTGGCTTACTAAACCTACCCTCCCAGAAGGTCCTTTGGCTATGGTCAGTCAGACTTTTCCCCACCTTAAGAGGCTTTCCAGAATGTTCCTTTAGTCACATTTATGCCTGTGCCTGGGAGCAGTGTAAGTATTCTTAATTTCTCTATCACAGGATATTTCTAATTATGTAAAGCCACCACACAGGGTCTGGCACTTAGTAGATGCTCAATAAATGGTAGCCATTACTATCCCAGAGTGAAGAAAAGATAACCGTTGAATATCTACGGTCTTCTGTGGAAGCACATGCATCCACGCTGGGGGCCAGCAGTGGTGGTGTAAGAGCATATCATGGGCTCAGCCTCCAGCAAGAGCCTCTTGATCCCAAGATGACCAACAATTTTGAATTGGGCATTGGTCAGCCCAACACAATCTTGTTGTCCAGAGAGCCACGGACAGGGGCAGGCTTCCCCCAAGCTTTTCTCTAGAATTCTGGGGCTGTTCTGGGCACTCATGGGGTCTTCAAATATTTAATTCAAATTAATTATTTACTGTACATAATTTTTATCATAATGATATGCCTTCCAAAATTGAACACAATGGAGACACACCCAATGCATTATCTGGTATTGCAACTTGTTTTTGAGCACAGTTTTTCTGATCTGTCACAGACCAAAAAAAGAAACAGGAAAAAAAAATTTTAAAGACCACACATCAGAATAATTTTCTCCCTTATTACTGTTTAATTAATGAATATCCTTACATTTCAAAGTAAGCTACTTTTTAAAATTACCATTTGCAAGCATAATTGGTTCACTGCTATAAAAATAATACTCTTACCTGAATTGGATGCTGAGGCTGTTATAGGCTGCAAGTGTAACTCATAAACCCAAATTCAAAACAGTCTTATGGTTCTCATTGATTGATTTTAAAACATCATTCATTTGAACTTCTAAATTAGATTTAGACTGCCAAAATGCCCTTTTTTATCTGTTACATATGTTAGAATTCCCAATTAAATTGTGTTTGCAAAAGACTCCTAACACAGTTTATAGGCCATTAAGAGAGCCTGGTGCAATCCCCAATGAGGGCCAAAAAGTGAGAACCCTTCCAGATATCCTAGGAGAGCTTGGGCCAGCTGACAGCACTTTAATATCACTGAGCTCCCGCTCGAACCCCAACATTCTCTATGCTTCTGAAAAGGGGGCCACTTTGACTTGGGATTCCAGACTTTACAGTTAAAAGAACAAAAGAACCATGGGAAAAAAGACTGGAAGGAAATATGCTGAAATGCTAACATGCTAACAGTGCTTTTCTCTGGGTGATGGGATTCTGAGTGACTGAATTTTCTTCTTTCTTATTCGGAAGTTTTCCACAATGATCATTATAAATTGGTATTTTGGCCAGACACATTCCCTGCCTACTCACATTATTACTTTTTTATTCAGAAAAGAAAGTAGGATTTTGTATGTTCTGTTATTTAAAAGGAAGACCATATAATATCTTGGCTTCTGTTGTAACCAATCCCTCCCACTGCTGGCCCCACACCCAGAAGAATGAGGAAGCATTAGGCAGCTCCAGAAATGCAAGGCCTCCCACCACCACCCACACCCCACACTCATGCATCCAAACAGAGGCAGTCAGGTTCCAGGCCTTCAGCCTCGCATTACTCAGTGTACCCAAACCGGATGAAAAAGAATGAGAGCAAAGTTTAAAAACAAAGTGAACTCGGCCAGTCAGCTCGTCTTTCCTCTTTCGGTCCCTCTGACTCCGTTCTCAGTCATAGCAGGCTTTCCCCACTTAGGGCTGTAAGCTCAAGCACATAAAAATACAAGGGTCCCAGATAAGCAATGACAAAAAAATTTTAAGTGTAAGTATGTCCCAAATATTGCCTGGGACTGTTCAAAAGTATTTTTTGCTGTTTTTAGTCATTTTAGTATTGGTTGTTTATCTGAAATTAACTCTAAATGGGCATTCTGTATTTTATCTGGCAGCCCTATCCCCAATTCAAACCAACTGACTCACCATTGGAGATGTTTTTGTCCAGTTTGGTTTGATTCGGTTGGTTCTTGTTGCTCATGGCAGGCAAGCCGATTTAAAAAACAACAACCAAAAAACAAAACCCTCAACCAAGGTTTTGTTTGTTGTTGTTGTGTTTTAATTGGCTTGCCCGCCAACTCTCTGACACTGGGCAGGCTTCAGTCTCCTCAAACGAATGAGTAAATGTCACTCCACCCACCTTGCACATGGCGAAGACACCATGAGATGATGAAGGGAAAGAATCTGGGAAGTAGGGCTACAAGCAGGTAAGCCACCCAACAAACTCAAAATGGAGAAAGCAATGAGTTGCTTGCCTTTTCTCCTTCTTTGTGGGAAACACTGGGACACTACAGCTTCCACTTAAAACTCTATGGTATATGTACAAAGACAATGAATTAAATACTTAATATGCAGACAATTCCAATAAATTAAACAACTCCAATAAAATAAAAAGAAAGCTGCCAGCACCTAAGTAGAAAAATGATGAAACAGGCATTCCAGTACAACATGCTTCACCAGAGCACCTCATGGTAGTGTCCTCAACCTCGCCAAGCCTCAGAAGCCCCCACTAAATGTGGAGCATAGTGGCTACTCATGGGGTGAATGTGAGGTCTAAATGAAATAACGCATCCCATAAAACACTCAGTGCTGGCACTGTTCCCTCAGTTAATGATGGCTGTACTTAAGTCAAAAAAATATATATATATACACACATCTCAAAGAAAACACATATGTGTGTATATATATTAAATATGTTTTTCTTATATATTATATATAAATAATATATATTATGTGTGTACAGATACACATATATACATACGTATTTAATGTTATATTTCTCATATATAATATATAATATATAAATAATATATATTTCCTTTGAGATGATTATATATAATACTTATATATGACATATATAAGATAATATTTATATATGACACATATAAGATAATACTTATATAATACTTATATATGACATATATAAGATAATATATATACTTATAAGATAATTTTTATATATGACTTATATAAAAGTAAGCAAAAAACAGGGAAAAATTTCTACTTTATTAGAAATAAAATAAATTGAAATTAAGCTTTACTTATGAAATTGGCAAAGGTTGTTAATAACTTTAATAACGACATTATTTAAAAGATCAAAAATGTTCATAAATATTAGATAAATAGAGAACAGTTAAATAGACAATAAATGAATGATTAAACATATAAAGAATGGTTAGATAAACTACGGAATTTTTTAAAATCAGAGAATGAGTGAATTATGGAATTCTTTATGTTGGACATTCTAGGGAGTCACATTAAGTGATGTGTTATGATGAAAAAGAACATTTGATGATATGAAATATGTTCTTAATATAGTGAATGAAAAATTTCAGAATATGATGTACAGTATTATTATATTTGGATTCATGGATATGGATACAAATAAAACAAAGACAATGAAAGCACATAAATATTAACGGGAGTTATATCTGGGTATGGATGGTTATGGGGAACATTTATTTTCTTCTTTGTACTTCTCTACTTTCCACATTTTCTATAATGACCATATAGTACTTTTGTAATTTTAAAAAAAGTTGGTTAAAAAATTCAATACTAAAAAAAAATTCAATACTGAACTATTGGGAAGTGAACTTAGTTTTAGGAGATCACAGAGTGTTCAGTGTATGTGTATACAACAGTCTCCCCCTCCTCCTCCTCCTCCTTTTTCTTCCTCTTCTTCCTCTTATTTCTCTTCTCTCCCTTTCTCGCTCCCTCTTCTGGCCTCCCCTTCTCCCCCCTCTTCCTCCCTCTCTCCCTTCTTCTCAGGAAAACTACAGTAATGAGCTCCAGCTTCCCCCTAGCACACTGCCTTCACTGAGGGTCCTCCCAGAGTCTTGTGTGAAGGGCAGTGCAGCTACAAACTCTCTATTTTGAGACATCCCACATTAAGCATCTCGGGGCAACTTTCCATTAGAATTGCTCCTTCTCCAGTCCCTAGCAGACAACTTCCTTCCATCCCAAGAGCAGGAGGCTGCCCTTAGGAAAGGTGGACCTATCCTAGTCTTAGAAATAGCAACAAAGTTTAAGTCGAACTCTTCCAGGTCATTTTCTCTGAACTTATACCAACATCTGGTGACTGCAATCATGCACTCATTCTGCAAAACAAGATGTATCAAGCACCAAAATTCAGACGCGCTTACGGAGCCCTCAGCCTGAGGAGTAGCTGGCGCTAGATTCTAGAACCCCCAAGATGCAATAAGACTGTTGTAATGGGGATGCACACATAGCACATAGGGAGTAAGAAAAGGTGCCCAAGAGTCTGGGAAAGCTTCACATAGGGGAAGCCCAAGAACGACTGCAGTTTGCAAGCAGGGAGGAATATTCCAGACCAAGAAAACAGAAGACTCAAAGCTACCAAATTCAAGACCATGGCTTATCTAGGACCCTATGTTTAATGTGAGTTGTGGAAGGAGAGGTGATTGGGCCAGCTCCTGCAGAGCTCTGAATGACACTGTAAAGAACATCTGCTTGCTCCCAGCAATGCTATGCAGTGGAGGGACATGATGAGATTGTCCCAGGACCAGCCCTCCACATGAACACTCCACCTCAGTGTCCCCTCCCCTATTCCCATGACGCACAGAAGGAAATGTATCCCAAAGCCTCAGTTTCAATAGGCACTACAGAGGGGTTTATCCGAAAACCAGGCTAGATGAGGCCAGGAGGCTTCCAAGCTTCCAGAGCTCCACAGAAGAGCTGTCCCCATTCCTCGCCTTGCTAAGACTGAATCAGTTGTCATCCTCCTCTCGAACTCAGACATAATCATCACCAAACCAGCAGGCACCATCACCAGTCCTAAGAAAGCCTGGAGTCATCTCGGCATGCATGCAGGAAGGAAAACCGTCCTTCCCAGACACTTGTCCTTGAGATTCACACCACCTTTCCTAGGTCCTCCCTGAGCACCCAGCCTCGGCCCACCTAGATGTTTGGAAGTGGCTGAAGGTGATGTGCCTGCTCCCATCAGGCCAAACTGGCAGTCTAGGGACTCTGGTCGACAGTGAGTGGACTCTCTCCAGAATCCTGACATCGGGAGGCAGCTGAGATGGCCTGTATAGACCGTGTCCTCTGCCCAAGACAAAGCATCCCTCTGGCCATGTACAGCAACCCAGAGAAAACAAAACAAAGCACCACCATCCACTCCTTGCCTGCATTGGCGCTGGTTTCTTTAAATCCAGTTGCAATCTTAGAAGCCCGAGATTGCCTGAAACAAAAGGCTCACCGATCTCCGGAAGATGACTTTGGTGAAAGTAGAGCTCATTTCAGAAAATCAAAGCAAAGAAAAATATTGAATACAATTCAGAGGCATAATGCATTATTATGAGCTTTTATGGATTTTATGTGAAATTTCATGTAAAGTTAAGAGGCTGAAGCGATCTCTTACATTCAGCTGTATTATCAGCCCAGCACCAAACAGTGTTCCACATCTTATTATGCTCACAGTTGACACACTATTAGAGAAATGTGCAGCTGTCTTACTCTGCTATTCATTTCCTCATTACTATTTTATAAATATATGATTAACAGTTATTGCAGCTGCCTAATTCACATTTATTGCAAATGCAACCCCACAAATGAATGCTCAAAGCAAAGAGATGTGGTTTTAGAGTAATTTAAATTTTACAGTTCCATTTACCCTGCTTTTTAATTTACTGTATAATGACCCTATTAGAATAAAGCACATCTGGAAGTTCTTTGGGGAACATTTAATTTTCTGTGGCTTCAGTACTAACAGAACTTGTACCATAAAGCCCACAGATGCCTAGAAGACTGTACAAATCTCCACATTTTATGCCAAGATGCCAGTTAATTGTACAGATGAGACAATTACAGCAAAGAGCAAAAATATGCTTCTCGGTGCTGAAAAGTGAAGACGCTGACCGACAACCTCGCTCTTTGCAAAGTTTGCACATCAGAAACCTGAAATTAGCTCGCCTGCTTTTTGATTTCCTGTTCAGGAAAGAGGCCACCTCTGCTGTACGTGCTCCTGGATTTTCTTTTGCTTTTTCCACAAGCTTTCTGCTGAACCCCATTTGCCCCTCACCCTGTGTAATGGAAGGCAAGGCAATCTGCAAAGCTCTGGAAGCCGATGAGAGGCAGGTGTATCATCCAGGCTTGGCCTAGTCCTCATCGGCCAGGAGGCTACAGATGCTGCCAGCTTCCAGCATGCCACGTTAACGGAATCATCCTGAGCATTCGAAATTGATTTGAATATTAAATACAGATCACTGCAGCGGAACTCATGTATGAGAAATAATGTGAATCCATTGCCATTGATTAGCTAATTTATGTTCTACAACTAATCGAAGCACAAATCTCATTAGCCACAGGTCAGTAAGGCTTGGAGAGAAAAAGACAATCATTTTGGTAGCCTAGTTGGCTGTAAAGAGACAATTAGAAGCCATCCGGATTTCCAGGCTTCTCTGCCTGTTCTCCCGGTCTCAAGTGAGCTGTGAAGGGAAAGAAAAGCCGGTTTTACCCCTCGTTCTGCCGACCACTGGAAAAGAGATCTTCATATATAATGATTAAGATGTTTCTTTTATTTAATGCATAATAACATGACTTTATTGCTTCTAGGTGGACACAGAGCCCATAAGCTACTTAGGGCCACCATACGCACTGGAAACATAATGTTAATTGTTCCTCTCTCCATATTTTAAGCATTGGGATCGTGTAAGTCTTCATGGGGCAGGGTGGAATGGCCGAGGCTTTGCATATTCTAATGTTACACACTTTTAAAACTCTGTCTTTGTAAGGCACAGGGAAGCCATACATGATCAAATAGGCCTTGTGATTAAAATGCACCTGCTATTAGCCAGAGATCGTCTTCATTTCTTGAGCCCTGCTCAGATCAATTTTGGGCAGAGATTTTTTAACCAATCTTGAATATGGAAGAGGATGGGAAAAATCCCTCCCAAAAAGAGGGGGCAGTTCTGTTTTAACTTCACAATCGTAAGTAAAATCCCTACTAGTAATCAAATTAAGATTTCTGGCAATAAGCTCCTCCTGTTGGTGATTTCCATGGGATGGCATTTTTAAAAGTGGTTTTGACACTGTTGCATAAGCAGAAAACCAAGGCTCCCAGCAGACTTGCATTCGGCTAGTCACATAACCCCTCGACCTCTTTGTCATAAAAGACAATGGATCAAATTGAGGACCTTTGCTAAATGACCAGGAACAGAACCCAAACTGAGATTTTTCTGCAGAAACAAATAAGAAAATAACACATTGAACTCCAAGTGTTTTCATTGACCCAGTATTTCCAGGTCGTTGCGATACCATACCGGGTCCATAAAAGGCATTACTGTTGGCCGGTGACGCATTATTTCAGGAGAGTTAATCCATGTTCTATTGAAACAATAGACTATTTGCATTCCTTGAGGTCCATTATACTGAGCAGGGCATTTTTAATGTGGCTGGAAGAAAAAGGTGCAGAAGGGTTGGGTGGGAAGCAGGAGAAACAAACGTCCCATATTTCCCCAGTGGGGCCTTGTCCTAATGCCACAGAGTGAAGAGTCTTCCCATGTGCTCTAAAATTAAAAGAATACTTATTTTAATTTTTTTATGTTACTTAATTGAAAATGCTCTTAAACTAATGGGCATTTCAGAGGACAAGCTCTCTTCCACCAACATCTTTGCCTATGCCTCAAAACCACTGTCCCCACAACCTTTAGGAAATAGAACATTCCAGCTGTTCTTTCCCACAGCTCCATGTCCTTTCATTAGATAAATGGCCTGGAGACCAAAGGTCACAGCCATGCCCCACCACAGCAGCTTTATTTTTTATGTTAAGAGTTTAATAACAGTGTACACTACATGACACTAATAACAGACAGTAAGTGGGAAGAGAAGTCCCAAGAGAGTTCAGTTGGCAAAATGGGTTCTCTCCAGGACCCATTTCCTGGTTCTGTTCTTTTTCATCCACACACTCACTCAAACAGCACCTATTTCCACGTTTGTCAGACCTCTTAGCTTTTGTTAACCTGACAAGTATAAAAAGGTAGACCACTGTGGTTTGTTTTGTTTGCTTGCTTGTTTGTTTTTGAGATGGAGTATCACTCTTGCCCAAGTTGGAGTGCAGTGGTGCAATCAAGGCTCACTGCAACTTCCGTCTCCCAGGTTCAAGCGATTCTCCTGTCTCAACCTCCCAAGTAGCTGGAATTACAGGCATGTGCCACCACACCCAGCTAATTTTTGTATTTTTAGTAGAGATGGGGTTTCACCATGTCAGCCAGGCTGGTCTTGAACCCCTGATCTCAAGTGATCCACCCGCCTTGGCCTCCCAAAGTGCTGGGAATACAAGTGTGAGCCACATCGCCCAGCCCATTGTGGTTTTAATTGGCATTTTCCTGATTACAAATGAGGTTGAGCATCTTTTCACATGTTAATTGAGCATTCCAGTTACTCTTCCTATGTCTATTCATGTCTTTTGCCACTGTTTCTACTCGGTTGTTGTTGTTGTTGTTTTTATTATTATTTCCCATTTGTCTATATTCTGAATACTAATTTTTTGTTATATGTTGCAAGTATCTTGTTCAAGTTTTTGTTGAGATAAATTCTGAATTTTAATTACTCTAACTTATCAACCTTTTGTGTTTTGCTTAAGAAATCCTGTCCTACCCTGAGGTCATGAAGTAGAGTCCTTTATTTTCTTCTTAAAATGTTCGAGTTTTGCCTTTCACATTTAATCCATCTGGGATCAGTTTTGGGTATGGTGTGAGGTAGGGATCCCATTTCATTTCTCCCACATGGTTAACCAATATTCCCAGCAATATTGACTGAGTAGTCCATGCTTTTCCCCACTGGACTGCAGTGTGATTAATGCATGGTCTGTTTCTGGGTCCTGTTTGGTTCCATTACACTTTTATCTACTGTTGGGCCAGTAGCACACTATCACAATGACTATAGCTTTATACTCCATCCTGACATTTAATAGAGCAGGTCCTCCCCCTACCCCCACCATGCACACACAACTTATTTGGCTATTTTCATGGTCTGTTTTCCAGGAGGAAAAAGTAGAAGGAGGAAGAAGAAAAGGAAAAGAATCGTAACTGATTTCTTTGTGCCAGGCACTGTGCTAAGGATTTGACACATATTATCTCATTTCAACAACAATCACCCCCACATGGTTTAGATTTATTTATTTTTAACCCCTATTTATTTTTCTTTTGAGAAGGAGTCTCACTCTGTCACCCAGGTTGGAGTGCAGTGACGTGATCTTGGCTCACTGCAACCTCCACCTCCCAAGTTCAAGCAACTCCTGTGCCTCAGCCTCCCAAGTAGTTGGAACTACAAGCACAGGCCACTGTGCTTGGCTAATTTTTGTATTTTTAGTAGAGACAGGGTTTCACCACATTGAGTAGGCTGGTCTCAAACTCCTGACCTCAAGCGACCCACCCACCTCAGCCTCCCTATTTTACACATAAGAAAACTGGGGCTCAGCACAGTTTAATGACTTGCCAAATTCACACATCAAACAACCAGCAGAGATATAAACCTTCACCCAAGTCTATTGGACTCTCAGGACAGTGCTCTTCCAGCTTCATTGGGGAAGTCTAGATTCCCAGAATCCTGTTTAGTATCAGTGTTTTGTAAGCCACTGGACTTCCACAGACCCCTCTCTGCTCTGCTTGGAAACTGCAGCTGAGTATGAGGCTGGGCCTTAGCTTGTGGGTTGCAGGATGCTGATGTGGGCCCTCAATCCCTGCCGCTCACACGCATTCTCCCCCAGGGTGTGCTGTCAGCCTGGCTAACTCCTTTGTTGGGCATTTCTAATTGTGAAGCATTTTTTTGCTCAACCTAGATTGTTGGTGGGGGAGGGGCAAGGAAGTAAAGTGGAAGCTATTCCAGACAAGATTCAACTTCCTGACTATAGCTTTTACCAAGCAACTCAAGAAAATGACTGCAAGGGAACCGGCACTGTCCTTTTCAGATGAGAATAGCTGAGCTCTCTATGCACATAATAAACCCAACTGGCCTGGTGGATTCACTGGCTGTAATTATGTGGTTGAGGTTAAATATATTTTATGGACAAAAGCAATGATAGACGGGTTCTTTGTACAAAAGATTTCAGCTCATTTGAGGTTTAACCATTTTTAAATTTAATAATTTTTAAAAAGCCACAATTGCAAAGGTCAGATCTAATTCCACTGCCTATTATGAGCTGCCAACCCGAGGCTGCAGCTTGGAGGCAGCTGAGTATGACTCAGGACCGGGAGAAGGGACAGCTGGACCAGAAAGGGGCGGGGCTCCTCCTGCCACTGTGCGTTCATGCAAAGACCCACTGTATCAATTAGCACTGGTCTCGTTTTCAGGCCAGTTCTAATGGCAAATGTCTAATTCATTTTTCTAGCTTTGTCATGATGTTTTCCCCTTCGGTGTACATCTACTGTTCCTATTTCCTTTGTCAGTGCCCTGTCTGTATCCGTGGATTTATTTTTAAACAGTTTTATGAGACCTAACAATTCATTTCAAAACACCAATCAAAGGCCAGGTGCAGTGGCTCACGCCTATAATCCCAGCACTTTCAGAGGCCAACGTGGGCAGAACACCTGAGGTCAGGAGTTTAAGACCAGCCTGGCCAACATGGTGAAACTCCATCTCTACTAAAAATACAAAAATTGGCTGGGCCTGGTGGTGCACGCCTGTAATCACAGCTACTTGGGAGGCTGAGGCAGAAGAATCACTTGAACCTGGGAGGCAAAGGTTGCAGTAAGCCGAGACTGCACCACTGCACTGTAGCTTGGGTGAGAGAGCAAGACTCCATCAAAAAAAAAAAAAAAAAACACAAATCAAAAATTAAAAAGCCATTTCTGGAATGGCAGGGGCATTGGGCCATTCTTTCCAGTGAAGAAATAATAAGTCCACTTATTATTTGGGCTTACAAACGTGACACTGCGTGTATCACTGAGGCAGGTTTATTCGGATACATATGTTGCCATTGGAGAAAAATAATCCATGAGTCAGAAACAGATGCCAGGAGATGTGACTGTGAAATTCACCCTTGCGGCAAACACTTCATGGCTCCTCGTTTCTCTGTTGCCTCCACTTTGAGATAAGAAGAGGGGGCCTAGAGAAATCAAGCAAGTGCCCAGATCACACAGCCAGTTAGGAAAGGTCCATGGCCTGGCCCCTCTCCCAGCACCCCATTGTGTATCTAGAGCTTCAGGTCACTGACAAGATGAGGTTCTGCAGAGGGACCTCTTGGGGAACAGAAGGACCCCCATACCCTAGGACTCTGAATGCAAGCCAGGCCACAGCCCTCAATGCCCAAACTCTATGGCACCACTCTCTACCCTTTGCCCAGAGTGGCTAAAAATCCAAAACTCACTAAAAATCCAACCCAGCTTTCTGTCCCCTGGGCTGGGCCAAAGACTCTATCTAATATATAGGGGACATTCTGAAATAATCTAGTCCAAGAATTCAAGTTCTCCAAAAGCTGACTTAAACAAAACTGTGTAAAGTATCATCCACAATAAAATAAAACCCATTACAAAACAACTCTGCTGAGGTGCTCTGCAAATTATTGCCTCTGCCTCTCTGCCCCTGGTCTTGCCCTGAGTGTGGGGGATCCATTCTTCACTCTGTAGCCAGAATCATGACTCCAAAATGCAAGTCTGATCATCTTACTCTCCACTGCCTCCCCTACCGAAAGGCTCCCACAGCTCACGGGCAAGGTCCAACTTCCTTAGCCCAGCACACAGGACGCCCCGGGATTGGGCCTCTGCTGCACGCCCCTCCCCTCTGGGCACAGCCACACTTGAGGGTTCCCTCCCAGCCCCAGACCTGAGCCCTCGCCTGAAGACACACATCCTGCACCACTCCTAGTGAAGCCCTGACCTTACCTGTCAAGGCCCCTCCAGGGAGCCTTTATGTCCCCTATACTTAGTGGGCACTTAGGTGACACTAGGATCTCAACCAAGCACATTATTGACTGTCTACTTTCATTCTCAGCAGCGCCGGGTAGATGTACTTAAGGAAGGAGACTCTGGAACCCAGAGATGCTGGTTGATTTATCCACTGCCCCCCACCAGCCGAGACCAAGCTGGGATGCCGCAGGGCCTTCCCTACCCACCACCCACCCCGGGGCTGGGTTGGAGCTCTCCCCTCCACCCCTACAGGCTTCTATGCTGCTTTGAGCTCTCTGGTTGACCACCAGAAAGTGAACCCTTGAAAGCAGGGGCTCAGCTTCAATTGTCTACATCCTAAGTTCCTCGCCAGCCCCTAGCACATTGTAGGTGCTCAATTAATATTTGCAAAAAGAGTGAATGAACCATAGGTAAAGATGCCTATTGGTAAATGGATTTGTTAGACAACAGCCACAGAAAAATATTGCACAGCCATAACCTATGCAATTATTGTGGAGAATACCATTTGCACGCTGTATACAGGGGCATGTCCACTTGCCCAGAACCTGCCTAGAACAGGGTCTGGCATATATTTAGTGTCCTGTAAATGGTGGCTATCATTGTGGATGACGGTAATTGCCAAGTCATTGTCTTATTCATTATTAGATGCAGACTTATTAATATCCTAGTGAGTAGGAACATCATTCCAGTGATGGCCTATGAATTAGGGGGACTGTCCTTAGCAAGTTCTGGTCCCTAGCTCTCCCCTCTTACCAAGCAGCATGCTTCTTGGTTAGCTCTCAGTGCCGCTAGCTATGTAATCAGGGCCCAAATCTGAGTATTCTATTAAACATATAATTGGAAAGATAAATCGGTTGTTCGATTCGATGTGTTTTGAGGCATATGGATGTAAATTACATTTATCCAGATGTTTAGCAGGTTCGTGCCAAACCATTTAAAACATAAAACAGATAAGTTCCTTAAGCCTAATTTTCAGCTTCTCAAGGATCCATCCTCAGCAGATGGCTGGGAAAATGAATGCTGGAGAAAAATTAAGGGCTGTCTGTATCTTTCATATTGACATGGGGAGCAGTTGGGGCCTGCTAGAAACTGAGAATGACCACAAAATGTAATTATGATTGTAATGAGAATGGTTAAGCTTAAACTATTTCTCATTTTCATTGCAGTCACTGCCACAAGATGGAGTGGAGATTAATGCCAGGCCATTTCCTGTGCTTGTTATACTCTTTGTCATTAGAATAAAACATCATAATTTGAGCATCTCATGTACACTGAGAAGGATGGCTGGGGAGGAGTGGCCAGAGCACCGGCCAAATCTTCATGCTCTGGGGAGCTCCTCTGCGGTTGGTGACCACCAAGGGAATTGGGGCAGACACGCCATAACCCAGACTATCCATCCCGTCTCACCATTCTGCATGCTGGACTAGGTCAGAGCCTCATTCTCTTCAACTGTGGAATGGGGATACCTGCAGAATCCTCTTTCCAGAGCGGCTGCAGCTGCCAACAGAGAAGCGGCTTACAAAAGGGTTTTGCACACCATAAAGCACGGTTCTAGTGCAAAGGAGAGCACCAGCTTCTGAACTAAAAAGACCTGAGTTCACTTCATAGATAAACACTCCCAACTGTGTGAACTTGACCAAGTTACCTCTGAAAGCCTCAGCTCCTCATCTGTAAAATGAGAGGTCTCATTGCATTAGGGTTTTTGTAAAAAGTAAATGGATATAACATGCCTGGAACAGGGCCTGATGTATATTTGGTGCCCATAAATGGTGGCTATAATCTTGGATGATGATAATTGCCAAGGTCATCGTCTTCTTCATTACTAATTGCCGGCTCCTTAATATTCTAACAGTACAAGTAACAACACTGAGGATTGTTCATTTGAGTCAGGAGTTTCCCATCACAGAATTCTCTATTGGAACAAAGTCTTACCTAGAGGCCCCACGTGTGAAACAGGTAGGAGCAGAACTGCTTTGGTTCAAGAGACAGCAGGGGCCCGGGGTTGACAATGCCTACAACCCTCATCCCCAGCAGTCCTGAGGGTGCAGCTCTGGGGAGCCCAAGTGCTAAGCAAATCCCTTTATTGGTCCAGATCTTGCAGCTGTACCTGCTGCCTGCTTGTCTAAGCTCTCTGGAACACCTCCTTTTCCTTTAAGGACCTCCTCCAGGGTTGCCTCTATTTGACATCTCCCTTGACCTCCAAGCACAGTTAGAGTTATGATGTCATCCATTGGTAAGTTGAGAAGACACTGGAACAGGATGGGCTTTTAAGACATTGTGACTGGTGTCCTTATAAGAGGAAATGAGACATAAAGAGACCTACACAGAGAGAGAACACCACGCGAAGACAAACACACAGAGGGAAGATGGCCATGTGACCACAGAGGCAGGGATTGGAGTTATATGACCAAGGGACTCCAAGGATCGCCAGCAACCATCAGAAGCCAGGAGAGAGAGCTTGGCTGTGCTGACACCTTGATTTCAGACTCCTAGCCTCAACGACTGTGAGACAATAAATGTCTTTGTTTTAAGCCCCCAGCATGTGATACTTTGTTATGGCAGCCCTAAGACATTAATACAGTCTTACTGGTCTGCCTGAGTTGCTGTAACAAAATACCATAGATTGAGTGGCTTAAACAACAGAAACTTATTTTCTCACTGTTCTGGAGGCTGGAAGTCCAAAGTTAAGACATCAGCAGAGTTGGTGTCTGGTAAGCCCTCTCCCCGTGAGTTGCAGATGGCCACCATCCTGCTATATCTCACATGGCCTTTTCTCTGCACACACACATAGAGACAGAGAGACAAAGAGAGAGAGCTCCCTACTGTCTTTTCTTTTTTTGAGAGAGAGTCTCACTCTGTTGCCCAGGCTGGAGTGCAGTGGCACAATCTCGGCTCACCACAACCTCCACCTCCCGGGTTCGAGCGATTCTCAGCCTCAGCCTCTCAAGTAGCTGGGACTACAGGCACATGCCACGATGCCTGGCTACTTTTTTTTGTATTTTTAGTAGAGACAGGGTTTCACTATGTTGGCCAGGCTGGTCTCATGATCCACCCACCTCAGCCTCCCAAAGTGCTGTGATTACAGGCGTGAGCCACTGCGCACAGCCTGTCTCTTCTTATAAGGAAGTGTATCCTATGGGGTCACGGCCCCAGCCTTTTGACCTCATTTAACCTTAATTACTTCCTGAGAGACCTCATCTCCAAATACAGCCACACTGGGGGTCAGGGCTTCAATGAATGAATTTGGGTGGGGACACATTCAGTCCCTAACACAGCCCCCGTATCTCCATTTTGACTCTCATCTCTCTGCAGTTTCCCCTAAGTGTGGGTCTGCATCTCCCTCCAGACCAGGAACTCTCTAAGGACAAGGTCTATGTTGGATTCCTCTGGGCCCAGCTCAGTGTAGATGCATGCCTGCCAAATACGTGGACAAAGATGGGATTGGTAGCAAGTGAAGGAATAAGGGCAATCTCAGATCACATTTCCTATGACTACTGGGCCTCCAAAGCCAGCTCACCTGAGCCCAATATCTGTCGCCATTCATCTCCTCTCTCCTCATTCTGTGACTCCTCATCATCTTGAATCAGCTCAGTCCTTATATCCAAAGGAGAATTTCAGAAAAAGATTGGGATTGTTTGCATCAATGGCAGAAATGTGCTAAAGTTTGCTAAATCTCATTTCATTTTTCAATTCCTTGGCAAACAAAAGGACTATATTTCCCAGCCTCCTTTGCAGTTAGGTTAGGATCATGTGACTGCATTCTAACCAATAAGATCTGACAGGAAGTGATGTATGCAAACCCATGCCTGGTTCTGGGTGATCATCTACACCAGTGTTTATCAATGGGAGGTGACTGATTTTGTCCTTCATCAGACACTTGGCCATGTCTGGAGACATTTTAGTTGACACAACGGTCAGGAAAGGAGGGCTGCTACTGGCATCTGATGAGTAGAGGCCAAAAATACTGCATCCTACAACATACCAGACACCTGCACGACAAAGAATCATCCAGCCCAAAATGTCTGTAGTGCTGAGGCTGGAAATCCTGATCTATACTCTATGTTCCCCATCAGTGATAACCAGACTTTAGGATGGAGCATCACAAGCTGGAATAGCCTGGCCTCTGAGACACCACTTGAAGGTGTATCACCAAGGATAGGAAATCAATCCACATCACATTGGAACATGGGAGAAAAACTCATCTTTCCTGTGTTAAGCCACATTTTTTTGTGGCTTAAAGTGCAAGTTTTGTAGCCAATCCCAGTCTCTCCTGACTACTGCAGCACCTCCAAGCAGCAGCCTGGATGACCAGAGAAAATGTCTGGTGGGGAGTGGGAGAAAGGAGGGCCCTTGTGGTCATGCGGATAACTTGCTACTTGGCCCTACGCAAGTTGCTTTCTTTTTCCTGAGCCACCATCTCCTCCCTCCAAAATGAGGAGGTCAAAGTAGGTGGCTGCTAAAGTCCTTCTCACCCACAAAGTGTCAAATTTCAAGCTGGACTAGGACAAAAATACAGCAAGGCACTGCAAGGAGAAGAAACTAGGCAGATGGCTGGGCCAACTCAAGGGAGAGGGTGTGGCTATGAACTTTGCCATCCTGGAGGGCTTTGGGTGGCCGTGATGGGTGGTGAAAGTTCTACATCAATCCAGTTACCAGGCAGGATGATCTCAGGACCAGCAGAAAGGAACGGAAGTGGGAAGGTCTACAGGAAAAAAGGGTGGCACTGTGGTCCCATCATGAGGGACACTGCAGGGCTTGATGCTTGGGGAGCCCGTGGAGAGGAATCAACTGAGACCAGCAAAGCCCAGGGAGGCACTCAAGTTCATTAGGGTCAGGACAGGTCGGCACTGTTCTCAGCCCAGTGAATCAGACAGGAAATCAGGCAGGCTGGAGAGATCTAGGGAGTGAACAAACAGAGAGGGTAGCCGCAGCCTGCTCCTGTATCCCGGCCACAACCACCCTGCTGTGACATCTTTACCTGCTTCCATGTCTATTCTCATCTGGACCACAGCTGTCAACCATATTGTCCTTCCTCACAGGGGCAGGGCAGGCACTCATTAAATGTTTGCCCAGTAAATAGCTAGTATGTTAGCATCAGTTGGTGAGGTTACCTTGTTGTGGAACCGATGTTTGTAATGGCGAACTTACGTATATGAACCAGAGCTGATTCACTGTGTTCTCTTTAACAATGGCTTCCTCTCAGCCCCGTATGCATTCTCTAGAGCTGAGAAACAGCAGCCTGAGATGCTGAGGAAGATGGGGGTGGGGGGTGGCTCAGGTGTACTGAGCACAGCAAGCAGGAAGAAGGAAAATCTGAGCTGTGAAACTTGGTCCTCCCAGCAACCGCCCTGTCTCTGGCCTTCCTTCCTCTCACCTTTTCACAGTGACAGAAACCAACAGCACTCACAAGTCCTGGCCTCTGGAGCTCCTGGCAGGGCTGGCTGGCAGGGGACAAAACTTACACATCCTTTTAGGCCCAACTCACAAAACCATCCACTACCTATCATTGAAATGATCTCCCCCGACCTCTGATAGTGCATATTTTAAGAATATTTTCATTGAGGTATAGTTCATATACTATAAAATTCACCACTTTAAAGTATGCAGTTCAATGGTTTTTTAAATAGATTCGCAAAGTTGAATAATGATCACCACTAATCCCAAAATATTTTCATCACCCCAAAAAGAAACCTTGTGCTCATCAGTAGTCACTCCTCCTCCTCCTTCCCCTCAACCACCCAGCCAGCCCCTGTGCATGGACTTGCCTACTCTGGATAGTTCATATAAATGGAATCACAACAATATGTGGTTTTCATAACAATATGTGGATCTTATGTCACTTAGCAGAATGTTTTCAGGGTTCATCCACATTGAACCATGCATCAGCACTTCCACTTTTTTTACTGCCAAATAATATTGCATTGTACGGATAGACCACATTTTGTTTATCAATTTACAGTTAGTGGACATTTGGTTGTTTCTACTTTTTGGTCATTATGGCCACTCATGAACATGCTCTTAGTTGTACATATGCTTTCAGTTCTCTTGGGTATATATCTAAGAGGGAATTGCTGGATCGTATGGTAACTCTATGTTTGTCATTGGAGAAACCAATTGTTCTCCGAAGCAGCTACACTATTTTATCTTTCGACCAACAGTGCACAAGAGTTCCAATGTCTCCAAGTCCTTGTCCCCACTTGTTGTTTGGGGGGTTTTTCTATAGTAGCCATTCTAATGGGTATGGGTGGTATCTCACTGTGGTGTGGGTTTGCATTTCCCTAATGATTAGAGAGATTGAGCATCTTTTCATGTGCTTTTTGGCCATCAGTATATCTTCTTTCAGAAAATGTCTATTCAAATCCTTTGCCCATTTTTTTAATCAGGTTGTTTTTTTTTTATCATACTTTAAGTTCTAGGGTACATGTGCACAACGTGCAGGTTAGCTACATATGTATACATGTGCCATGTTGGTTTGCTGCACCCATTAATTCATCCTTTACATTAGGTATTTCTCCTAATGCTATCCCTCCGCCATTCCCCCACCCCACGACCACCCTACTTTTTGGTCATTATGGCCACTCATGAACATGCTCTTAGTTGTACATATGCTTTCAGTTCTCTTGGGTATATATCTAAGAGGGAATTGCTGGATCGTATGGTAACTCTATGTTTGTCATTGGAGAAACCAACTGTTCTCCGAAGCAGCTACACTATTTTATCTTTCGACCAACAGTGCATAAGAGTTCCAATGTCTCCAAGTCCTTGTCCCCACTTGTTGTTTGGGGGGTTTTTCTATAGTAGCCATTCTAATGGGTATGGGTGGTATCTCACTGTGGTGTGGGTTTGCATTTCCCTAATGATTAGAGAGATTGAGCATCTTTTCATGTGCTTTTTGGCCATCAGTATATCTTCTTTCAGAAAATGTCTATTCAAATCCTTTGCCCATTTTTTTAATCAGGTTGTTTTTTTTTTATCATACTTTAAGTTCTAGGGTACATGTGCACAACGTGCAGGTTAGCTACATATGTATACATGTGCCATGTTGGTTTGCTGCACCCATTAATTCATCCTTTACATTAGGTATTTCTCCTAATGCTATCCCTCCGCCATTCCCCCACCCCACGACCACCCTACTTTTTGGTCATTATGGCCACTCATGAACATGCTCTTAGTTGTACATATGCTTTCAGTTCTCTTGGGTATATATCTAAGAGGGAATTGCTGGATCGTATGGTAACTCTATGTTTGTCATTGGAGAAACCAACTGTTCTCCGAAGCAGCTACACTATTTTATCTTTCGACCAACAGTGCATAAGAGTTCCAATGTCTCCAAGTCCTTGTCCCCACTTGTTGTTTGGGGGGTTTTTCTATAGTAGCCATTCTAATGGGTATGGATGGTATGTGATGCCCCGGTGTGTGATGTTCCTTGCCTTGTGTCCAAGTGTTCTCATTGTTCAATTCCCACCTATGAGCAAGAACATGTGGTGTTTGGTTTTCTGTCCTTGAGATAGTTTGCTCAGAATTATGTTTCCAGCTTCATCCATGTCTGTACAAAGGACATGAACTCATCCTTTTTATGGCTGAATAGTATTCCGTGGTGTATATGTGTCACATTTTCTTAATCCAGTCTGTCATTGATGGACATTTGGGTTGTTTCCAAGTCCTTGCTCTTATTGAGTTGTAGGGGTTCTTTATATATTCTGAATACTAGATCCTTATCAGACACATGATTTGCAAATTTTTTCTCCCATTCTATGGATTGTGTTCTCAATTTTTTAATAGTCTTTTGCAGCACAAAAGCTTTTTATCTCAACGAAGTCCAGTTGATTTCTTCTTTGGTTGCTTGTGCTTTTGTTCTCATATCTTAAAAAAAAAGATTGCTTAATGCAAAGTCACAAAGATTTATACCTGTTTTCTTCTAAGAGTTTTATAGTTTTTGCTCTTAGCTTTTATATTTAGGTATTTTAATCATTTTAAGTTAATTCTGTATATGATATGAGATAAACATCCAATTTCATTTTCTTGCACATAGATATCCAGTTGTCCCAGCACCATATGTTGAAAAGGCTATTCTTTCCCTATGAAATGGTCTTGGCACTCTTGTCAAAAATCAATTAATCATTAATGTATGAGTTTATTACTGGACTCTCAGTTCTATGCCATTGGTTACATATCTAGCCATATATCAGTACCTCTCTCAGTTACTTCTGCTTTGTAGTAACTTTTGAAGTTGGGAAGTGTGAGTCCTCCAATTTTTGTCTGCTTTGTCAAGATTGTTTTGGCTATTCTGGGTCACTTGCAATTCCATATGAAATTTAGAATCAGCTCATCATGTGATATGACCAGTTGACTTAAAAAAGAATCAGCTCATCAATTTCTGCCAATAAAAAAAGAATCAGCTTGGACTTTGATAAGGATTGTATTGAATCTATAGGTCCATTTGGAGAGTATTGCCATTTATTAAGTCTTCTAACTCAGGAATACAGGATGTCCTTCCATTTATTTAAGTCTTCTTCAATTTCTTACAATGATGTTTTGTAGTTTCCTGTGTACAAGTCTTACAATTCTTTTGCTAAATTTATTCCTAAATATTTTACTCTTTTTGATGCTATTATAGCTGGAATTTTTAAATTCATTTTTTAATTGTTCTTTGCCAATGTACAAAAAGATAATTGATTTTGTATATGAATCTTGCATCCTGCAATGTTGCCAAACTCTTTTATTAGCTCTAATAGTTTTTTGTGTGTACGTTGATTCCTTATGATTTTCTATATACAAGATTATGTCATCTGCACATCGAGATAATTTTACTTATTTCTTTCTATTTGGATAGTTTTTGCTTCTTTTTTTGCCTAAGTGTTCTCACTGCATTATCTTAAAATTTGTCCCCTCCATCTTAACTATGAAATACTTGAGATAAGGACTTTGTCTTATTTATTCCCTCATCTCCCTGGGCCTGGTCCAAGACCTGATCAGCAATAACTATCTAGTAAGTGAATGTAAGGACAAAATACTAAGAATTTTGCTTTAAAAATTCAAGTTTTTTGAAAATTGCCTCACCAAAAACATCATGTGCATTTTGATGTGATAAAATATGAAATACCAAACACCCCTATGAAGTATTCTTTCCCAAAAATAAGTTAATTAGAGCTAAATTCTAACCTATGAGAAATCAAAGGCATAAAAGTATGAGTGAAATGACACCATAAGAAAGCCAACAGGTAATTTCAGAATGTAGACCTCTCTATATGGTCAGTTTCTCCAACAAGTCAATGGCAGGTGGGAAAAAAGGTGTGTGGGTGAGACTCTTCTAGAGTAAAAGATACTTAAAAGATTACTGTGGGAGATTGTATTATGTGCTTAAAAATATACAACCAGCCCCCTGTGGCTGACTCCTTTCTATGAGACCCCTCTCTAGTGAAGAACTGTGCTTCCTAGTCCGTCAAGAGTGACATGAGCAAATGAGAGATAATAAATGACATGGCCACGACCTAGCTGAAGCTTGAAATGTCTTTGCATGAAAAGCCTTTTCCAGAAAGGAGCTGTTCCTCCAACCTGGGTCCCGAGATAAAGAGCTGAAACCAACCCATGATGAGCATGGAACATGAGCCAAAAAAGAAACCTTGTTGGTTGGAAGCCACAGAGATTTTGGGGTCATTTGTTACAACAGCATAATGTAGCTTAAGCTGACTAATATAACAACCAATACTGGATATTAAAAGGAAAGTGTAATTATGCAAAAAAAAAACCCATAATTTGTAGAAGTACATATTTAAGATTGTAGAGGTGAAATGTCTATGGTAGGCAACTTCCAAGATGGCCTCTAAGATTCCCACCCCCTGGCAAACCCACCTTATATAGTCTCCCCTTGAGTGGGAGAAGATAAGTGAATATGATGGGATACTCTCCCAAGATAGGTTACTCATCAGTTGACTTTGAGTTAATCAAAAGGGAGATTATCCTAGGTGGGCCTGACCTAATCAGGTAAGCCCTTAGAAGAGAGGAAAATGTCAGAGATTCTCCTGCTGACCTCCAACAAGAAGTGAACGGTCATGGTTGAACTACCAGCAGAGAGGGACAGCCTCTAGATCAGGGGTGTCCAGTCTTTTGTCTTTCCTGGGCCACATTGACAGCAGAAGAATTGTCTTGGGCCACATGTAAAAAAACACACTAACAACAGCTGATACGCTAAAAATGAGCTAAAAAATGCAAAAATTTCATAATGTCTTAAGAAAGTGTACAAATTTGTGTTGGGCCACATTCAAAGCCCTCCTGGGCTGCATGCAGCCTGCGAGCCACCAGTTAGACAAGCTTGCTCCAGATGCTGAGGGCCTCAACCCTACAATACCACAACCCCAAGAAGCCACATGATCTTGGAAAAGGACTTGGAACCTCAGATGAGCCCCAGCACAGCCAATAACCTTGAGTGTAGCTTCGTGAACCTGAGTGGAGGGTCCAGCTAAGCTGTGCCCAGGCTCTTGGACCACAGAAACTGTGACATAACAAATAAGTGTGGTTCCAGCAGCCAAATTCATAGCAATTTGTTGTATGGGGATAGAAAACTCATGCAATGTCTATGATTTACTTTGAGATAATTCAGCAAAAAGGCATGGAGGATAGATAAACAGGGCAAAATCTTGTTTATGCTTGAATCTGAATGATTAGTAAATGAAAGTTCATTATAACATTCTGCCCACTTTTGGGAAAGTTTGAAATTTTTCATAATTAAAAAAATGTTTGAAAGATGACTTACCAGATTAGAACTTTCTTTAGGACAGGGGCCTAATAAGTCTGTTCACCAGTGTATCTCCAGCAACTAGCACGGTACCTGGCATGTAGGGAGTGCTCCAAAAATTGTTAGATCAATTAACATATTGTGTGTTTACTTGGTGTCTTAAAGTTTATAAATGCACCACTATTCCTTTGCAGTTAGAATCATTTACACCATTTATAGATGCAAGGACTGAGGCCCGAGACTTTTTGACTCAAAGTCATGTGACAAGTCATCATTGAGATTAGTAGTCAGGTCTTCCAATTCCTCATTCAACATACACTGGTCTCACTTTGGAGTATAATCTCTGCCATCCAGATTTTCTTTGGGATTTAAATAATTGCTGCTACATTCTGGTTTATCAGGAGAATTTACGCCATAGCCACAGTTATATTGAGACATCCGTTAGGAAATCCAGGCAGGCAGGTTAAATGTTAATTTCCTTTCTACTGTACCATTTTCTAACCTCCTTCCATGAATCAAAGTGAGTAAAAGGTTCTTCACTTACTGACATAAAACAAATTGAACAAATTACGTTACTTAACTGAGGAAGAACTAGTCATGCCACTGATTCTGGTCCAGCCCTCAGCTGAGCTTTTTCTCCTTATTAACATTCATTTGCAAATGAGTGTGGATTTTTTTAAGGTAACATTGCATTGATCTCATTAGCATATCTGACTGCATCACATCAGTGGTCCTATCCCTAGGCACTGTGAACCTGCCAGGCAGGGTGCTTTTAGGTAACACACCACTTCTTCACAGGCCATGAATCATAATCATAACCAGACCATGAATCAGAGTCGTAGGTGGAAACCACTTCTAACGATGATATCAGTAACTCTGAGTGCATAGAGGGCTCAGAGTGAGCAAGAGCCTGCCCAGATGTGAAATAAGTGGCAATGCTTGCCGCATTTTTCTTTTTCATGAAAAATGCTGATCACAGAGAGTGGGAATTTTAAACTCTCATTACCCAGGGCCATTTTGGCTTCTATTGGATTGGCCTTTGGTGGATGTAGGGGGAACCCTGTCTCTGACACCAAGTCCCACATAGACACACGTCAGTTGGTTCTTTCTGGGGAGGGTGTGAAGGGAGCCTGGTGGGACAAGGGCCACCCACATGGGGTACATGTAAAAAGCCCAAAGCCCTCCTGGTGAGGCCAGAGGACAGCATGAAGCCTCCCTGGTTCAGAGAAATAGCTGGAGAACCAGGGGCCCAAGAGATGGATGCAAGCTGCATTTCACTGGCTCAGTCATTTGGCACATTTACTCACCTCTTTAAGCCTTCATTTTCCCATCTTCAAAATCAAGATGATACTAGTCCATACTTTGTGGGATTAAATTAGATAATCCTTAAGAAGTTACACTAAAGGAAAAAACCACACACAAGAACCCCAGGTCCATTAGGGCCAGGCTCCATGCTAGACGTGCTCACGCCCCTTACCTTCTCATCTCAGCTACACAGCAGCACTGCCTGTGGCTGGTGCATTGCCGGCTCCATTTCACAGAGGAGGAAATTAAGGCTCACCAAGTAAGCAGTAAGTGAACAGACAAAGCCTGGAGCCCAGATCTGTGTGTTTTCAAGGCCCATGGATTTTTCTCTATGTGACACGAGGTCTCAGGAACATCCTGTCACTGGAGGAATACATTTCTGCAGAGGAGTCAGGGAGCTAACAAATGACTTTTGCAGTTCCCATCACTAACTTGCTCCCTCAGCCTTTCACAACTCCGCATGACCCGAGGAACAATCAAAGGAGAAGAACTTAAAAGCCACTTTAAATTTCAGACCAATTCAATTTTGGAATATCACACGTAAGGTGCTTCCAGACGAAATTTCTAAATGACTCATACTCTTCTTTGTCCATTTCAAGGGAAAATGAATGTTGCTGCTGACATTTGACATCAATCGCCCAATCACATGTTGTCACATCATTACTCAGCTCTGTGACAAAGGCAGAGGAAAGAGACCTGGGCTGAAATGGTACTACTGGACAAGGAACCAATTCAGGGACTCCGGCGATGATCGAACAGGGAACAAAATGAAATTTGGCTAAAGAAGCTCCTTGTGATGGGTCCTGTTGAGGAGGAAATGGAATGAGATGATTCTGCTTTCTCAGGATGGCTGTTCATTTCACGTATAATTTTTTAAGTTCCATCTGCATATTAATTTGGTGGTAGTGTGCCATTGGTGAGCCTGTCATCCAAGGCAGCTGGCCATTAGTGCGGAAATGGTGAGCTGTCTGTTACTGCAGTTAAAGAGCAGGCTAGCTCCATCACCAGCAACTTTAAAAATCAGGCCTCTGCTATCTCTTGTTCACATGCCCAGGAAAAAGTATATTTCTACTGCCAAGAGAAAGGAGAGGAATCCGCCACATAGTCACCGAGACCAGCCCTCTAGGTGCATGGAAGCTGGCAACCAGGGCTGAATTAAAACTACCATGGCTCAGAGATACCGCTGAAATCTTGTGCCGGAAGAACAGCCTTCCGAGTCCATAGAATCCATGCGAGAGGTGTGGGATTCAGTGGTCTTTACCCACTGTTTTGCCTGTAAGTAGTTTACATGCGTGGGACCCATTCCTCTATCACAACCCAATTTTGCAATGATATTCTTGGTAGGACATGGGCAGCGCTGGCCAGGAAACAGCAGACGTATCAAGGATGGTAGTATTCACAGGAGAAAGCAGTCAATGCTTCATTCCTTCTTTGCTGTCTGAAGAAGAACACAGAGGACACAGGGCTCCTCAGCCCTCAACCAACTCTTAATTCTTGCCTTTCATCTGGACCTGGGCTTCCAGATGCACGTGTGAAGGTGGCAAAGTAAGTGGGGATAATCCTACCCTCTCCCTGTCACACTACCTCAGGAATACACTTTAATGGCCATACCTTTGGCGAAACAGCTTAGCTTGCCCCATGAATCTTTTGTTTCTGTTACATGTGCACGTTATATGTTACGACTAGGACTGAGGTAGGAGCTTGGGCATAAGTTGAGATTTTCCACATTAATTCTCACAGACCTATTTTTCCCTTTCTAAGTCCTTTCTACATAGGTTGGATTTTCCTGGAATGCAACCTCGACAAATGATATGGAGCCCCTGTAATGAGTAGTCTCGGTGAGAAGAGAAGGAGGCTGCAAAGGCAGAGCAGAAATGGCAGGGCCCAATGAGGACCAGGCAGGTGTGAGATAAGGGAGGTGTGGGACAAGGTTGTGGGAACATCCGGGAAATAGCTGAAGTCTCAAGTCTGGGGAAAGGTTGTCCCAGGTACAGAACAGGCACCTCTGGAGGAGACGGAGGCTGCAGAAATGGACATGATGCTGGCCAACATCCCAAGAGAGACCTGGATGAGAGAGAGAAGCCTGGGCAGGAGAGGTGGATGTGTCGATTACACACGAAGAGGCATCAGTGACGCCCTGTGATCTTACCTCAGGAGACACACATCCCAAATACATATAAAGGACAAGAATTTACCCACAGAAATAAATGGAAATGTGATCAAGTCCCTTAGGAAAAGGGAAACTTTGCCCTGATGGGTTCTTGTCAAAATACACATGGCCTCTTCTTCGTCGTTTAATTGGGTAGGCTAATCTCCTCTCAGCTATAAAATATTGGCATGGGTTGCTTATTTTCCTAAAAGCCCTAAATTCAAATATGTAGGTTTGTGTTTGCCTGTAATTAGCATGATGTATCTATTCAGAATAACTACAACATCCCTTCCTGGTAATGAAAAGTGATTAATTACCAATTACAGCAAGTATCCAATTTCATGCAGTTCACCACTGGTCTGTACCATTGAATTGCTAGCATTTAATTGCAGACATTAAAAGTTCTAGGTAATTATTGTTGAAAGATCAGTAATATTAAAAATATTGGTTGCAGCTATTATTACATTTGCTCTAAATGCAACCAAGACTTAAATTTATGCCTGAGCTGCCACCCATCTCGTCAGGCTATTTCTGTGACTGGTTTGGAACAACTGGTTTTTATTTCCCTTTCTCAGAGACTATTACAACAAGTCTATTAACAGCTCTGGGCTTCCCATTTTGAAAAGCTTTCATTAAGTGAAACAAGCTAAAAAATCACTAGTAGGTGCCTTTAGCAAAGTAGGGAGGTAATTATCTCATTTACAGATAACTACGTGCATTTCATTTTTCAAAGCACAAAGAGGAAACTAGCTCTAAATGACACTTTTTCCAACTCATTAAATTCACAAGAGAAATATCAAATTAGGAATTTTCAGTGCAAATGCCGTCATGAACTCTGGCAACAGCTATCAACAACAGGGACATTTGGAGGAAATGTACTCACACCCCAAGTGGAAATCACGGAAGAACCTGGGAGCTTGAAAAGTTTTTTAGTGTTGTTTTATTTCAGTCTCCCAAACACCTGAACTATACTTCTAAATGGCTGGTTTATCTGTTACCATGGCAGGCACAGTTAAGAAAACTGGAGGTTCCATGCACACTGGGCTGCCCTGGGCAGCTCAGGATGGCCAGTCATCAACACAGATGACTGCAGTTCAGACTTAGATATGCATGGTGCATCTAAGGACCAGCAGAGGGAGATGAGAGAGACTGCTAAATGCCATTCAGTGATCCTAACATAGGTGAGTTAACATGGATGTCAGCACAAAGAAGAGCAGGGCCAACTCCATTGAGGATAGAATTCAGAATTCATGGAGGATGGGCTTGTTTCAACTGGGTCTTGAAGGATGAGTAGGAGTTTATTGGCAACATACAGAAGGTTAGGAGAAGGCACCCAAGAAAGGGTTAATACCCTTGCAGAAAACATAGGGGCTTCATGGTGTTCTTTGCAATGAGAGGAGACATTTTGGAGACTAGAAAGTGTTCAGTTCAGCAGATCACTAAATTGGAGGCTGTTTCAGACAGTCTGTCAGCCTAACTAAGCTGTGGTACATACCAAACAACAGTGAGAGGTGACAGCGTGCTGGCAGTCCTCACAGCCCTCGCTCGCTCTTGGCGCCTCCTCTGCCTGGGCTCCCACTTTGGTGGCACTTGAGGAGCCCTTCAGCCCACCACTGCACTGTGGGAGCCCCTTTCTGGGCTGGCCAAGGCCGGAGCCGGCTCCCTCAGCTTGCAGGGAGGTGTGGAGGGTGAGGCGCGAGCGGGAACCCGGGCTGCGCGGCACTTGCGGGCCAGCTAGAGTTCCAGGTGGGCGTGGGCTTGGCGGGCCCCGCACTCTGAGCAGGCTTCGCCGGCCCTGCAGGCCCGGGCAAGGAGGGGCTTAGTACCCGGGCCGGCGGCTGCGGAGGGTGTACTGGGTCCCCCAGCAGTGCTGGCCCACCGGCCCTGCGCTCGATTTCTCGCCAGGCCTTAGCTGCCTTCCCGCGGGGCAGGGCTCGGGACCTGCAGCCCGCCATGCCTGAGCCTCCCACCCCCTCCGTGGGCTCCTGTGCGGCCCGAGCCTCCCCGACGAGCGCCGCCCCCTGCTCCAAGGCGCCCAGTCCCATCGACCACCCAAGGGCTGAGGAGTGGGGCGCATGGCACGGGACTGGCAGGCAGCTCCACCTGCAGCCCCTTTGCGGGATCCACTGGGTGAAGCCAGCTGCGCTCCTGAGTCTGGTGGGGACGTGGAGAACCTTTATGTCTAGCCCAGGGATTGTAAATACACCAATTGGCACTCTGTATCTAGCTCAAGGTTTGTAAACACACCAATCAGCACCCTGTGTCTAGCTCAGGGTTTGTGAATGCACCAATCGACACTCTGTATCTAGCTACTCTGGTGGGGACTTGGAGAACCTTTGTGTCCACACTCTGTATCTACCTAATCTGGTGGGGAGGTGGAGAACCTTTGTGTCTAGCTCAGGGATTGTAAACGCACCAATCAGTGCCCTGTCAAAACAGACCTCTTGGCTCTACCAATCAGCAGGATGTGGGTGGGGCCAGATAAGAGAATACAAGCAGGCTGCCGGAGCCAGCCGTGGCAACCCGCTGGGGTCCCCTTCTGCAGTGTGGAAGCTTTGTTCTTTTGCTCTTTGCAATAAATCTTGCTACTGCTCACTCTTTGGGTCCACACTGCTTTTGAGCCGTAACACTCACCACGAAGGTCTCCAGCTTCACTCCTGAAGCCAGCGAGACCACGAGCCCACCAGGAGGAACGAACAACTCCAGACGCGCCGCCTTAAGAGCTGTAACACTCGCCGCGAAGGTCTGCAGCTTCACTCCTGAGCCGGCGAGACCACGAACCCACCAGAAGGAAGAAACTCCGAACACATCTGAACATCAGAAGGAACAAACTCCGGACACGCCGCCTTTAAGAACTGTGACACTCACCGAGAGGGTCCGCGGCTTCATTCTTGAAGTCAGTGAGACCAAGAACCCACCAATTCCGGACACAACACGACTTTACCACAAAAATGTTAAAAGCTTAGAGAAATGTTTTTAAAGCAGGAAATAACATTGTGTAGACAGATTATCTCAAATATGTAAAATCATATACACAGAAGGCAGAAAATATACCAAATGTTAGCAGAGGTTGCCCCTGGATAGAGAACAGATTTTGCTGTTCTCCATACTTCTCCGTATTTTCCAAGTTTTTCATAATTAACTTGTGTTTGTGATAAGAAAAATAAAAGGGAAAAATCTGAATAATGAAAAACCCTGAGCCTAGAGACTAGAACCAAGAAGAACATAGAAAATGTCTGTGAAAAGCCCCTATATTATCAAGTGGTCCACCTCAGACAGGAAAGTCGGCCAGCACCTGAAAGCAAAATTCAAATCTGCAGACAGGTTTTTTGAGTTACTGACAATCATGATGATGATGATGATGATGATGATGATGATTATTAGAAATGTTTATTATTATTAGAAATGAAGTGGCCCAGGCTGGAGTGCAGTGGCATGATCTTGGCTCACTTAAACCTCTGCCTCCCGGGCTCAAGCAATTCTCCTACCTCAGCCTCCCGAGTAGCTGGGATTGCAGGTGCGTGTGCCACCACGCCGGGCTAATTTTTCTATTTTTAGTAGAGATGGGGTTTCACCATGTTAGCCAGGCTGGTCTCGAATGCCTGACCTCAAGTGATCCACCCGCCTCAGCCTCCCAAAGTGCTGGGATTACAGGCGTGAGCCACCATGCCCAGCCTCTATTTAGATTCTATAATCACAAAGATTAAGGAAAATTTTTGTCTCATTGGAGGGGTATTTTGCCCCAACCATTGCTCATCACCGCATGCTTGTCCGAAGGCCTCTGATGGTGCCATCTTGAGACCATTGAGTTCCAATCATGGAGATGGGACACTTGAAATAGTGGGATGCCCTGGCAGGGGGACACCCCCACAACAGGCTCAACAGCTTCCAGCTGTCATCACAAGGGCCTCAGAGGTGGAGCACTGATGGCGCATTAAGCATCCTGGAGCCATACATGAAGGGATGCATTGTTGGGCGTGATGTACTCATTTTGAGCACGTCTATGGTATAGTGGTTTTCTTTTTAACATGCTGTATACAGAAGGCAGGCCTGCCGCGAGGGAAACCGGGGCTATAAAACCCGATTGATTGACACGACCCATCACCGTTTTTAGGATCCGTTGCACAAACTATTTTGACAGTTGAGGCTCATAAATTAACAAGGAAGCCCAAAGTGACACAATGAAGAAGATGTTGCGGCTGCTTCAATTTAACCGCTGGGTGATTACTCAGAAACTCGGGGTGCAGAAGGCTGCCTCCCTCTTTTGTTCCTGCTTAGCTGGAAGATAAATGTCAGAAACTAAGGACCCCGGGCACTCAATAATAAAAACCTTTTAGAGAGGAGAGCCTTCCACTAGTTAAAAGAAACCTGTTTCATTTTTCTGGGGGAAGAAATGAAAGTAAGGTTTTCCAATGGCAGACATCGAGTCCTTTTATTGAGACTAAAAAGTGCAAATCCATGGAGGAAAAAAAGAAAGAAGGGAAAAGAGACAGATAAGAAAGGGAGGGAAGGAAGGAGCCAAATGAAGCTGGCAGAGCCGTGACTGGAGCAGCAGGGTAAATGTTGAGGGATTAAAGCAAATGAGCATAAAGCTTATGCATTTGGGAGGCGCCCATACCTTCTTAGGTGTTAGCAAGATTAATAAGAAAATCTGTGGCTTAGAATCCCCAACGAGCTATTACAGGACTTCACAGTACTGTGTTTGCTCAAAACAAATGGTGGCTGCAGTATTTTAATCTCTGAAGAGAAAGAAACTCATATGTGAGTGAGAGGCTTAGATTCTAAAAGGATTTTATATAGAGACATATATGTCACAGAACACAACCCCCAAAATGGACTTGCTGTTCTCATCCAAAAGTAATTATTGCCAAAGAACAAGTGATGGTTGAAGAGACTGCCCCTCCCAGAGGCGCAGTGAAAGGTAGAACCGATTAGAAATAGAGTCACAAGTTGGATCAGAACACCAATTTCATAATTGAGTAAAATGTACTCCTTCTTCTTTTCCTTATGAAAGTAATTCCCTGAAAAAAAAAAAATCAAGTGAATTGAATTACCCACGTACAAATGGCACCCTTTCAGCTGAGCAGACATCACCCCGTATTTCAGTCCGAGCAACTTTTAAATTACGTGGAGAATTCATGGAATGTTTCTCAGTTTGACAGCTGTCAAGCCAAAAAGCATGCTGCTATGTAGGAAGCAAACCCTCCAAAGATTTATTTTTATAATGGATTGGAAATTAAAAGGGCTTCAAAATGCCCTTTAGAGACACAGCTGGGGGAATTGGGCAGAGTTACAAAGAGACTTTTCCTTACAAGTGCTGAGAATTGGGACTGAAAGGGCAGGTCAGAGGCATTTGGATTGTGTCTACATGAAGCCAAAACAAGCATTTGAAAAGTTAAAGATGCAATCAAGCCAGTGGGTCATTTTGTCTACACAATACCAAAATGCCAGATTGGCCAGATGTGTTCCACCAACTCTGAAGTGAGAGAAAGGGAAACAGAAAGGACCTTTGAGCAATAAGCCAGTACAGAGGAAGAAACTGAGGCACAGGACAGAAGGAAGGGAGAACTCTCCCAGGGTCCCGTGACCAAAGAAAAGATGGAGCAAAGTCAGAATCTGGGTAACAGCAATCTCAGAGGGACTCCCCAAACCAATGGACAGAGACCTCAAGTTGGGCATTTTTACATAGGATGAGGGGCCATTGGGATGCCAGATTTCGCAAATAAAAATTCAGGACAGTGAGTCAAATTTTAATCCAGATACACAGTAAATAATTTTTAGTTTAAGTATGTCCCATACAGTATTTGGATACTAATTACTGAAAATTATTCATCGAGTATCTGAAACTCAAATTTAATCAGGCATGCAGTTAAGTCTGTCAACACTATGTGGGGACATTTCTTGGGGACAGGAACAAAGTCTGACACATCTCTCTTCCCTGCCCTACAGCAGCCAGAACCACATGACACGCAGAGCAGTCCGGAGTCTGCGACTAACCAGGTAGATGACACCAATGGGCTTCAGTGGCACCTAAAGATCTAGGAGTTATAGGAGCCTGGTGCTTTCCCACAAAGTGTCCCATTTAATCTTCCTAATCACCCCTCAGGCTAGGCCTCATTACCTTCCACAGTTCACAGATGAGGAGACCAAGGCTCAGAGAAGGCCTCGGTGAGTGGCAAGAACATTGTTTCCCAGGTGCCTGGACTCCTCGAGCACCACTTTTTCCACAACGTTAAGAGGAGCAGGCCAGGCGCAGTGGCTCACGCCTGTAATCCCAGCACTTTGGGAGGCCAAGGCGGGCAGATTATCTGAGGTCAGGAGTTCAAGACCAGCCTGGCCAACATGGTGAGACCTCCCCCCACCCCAATCTCTACTGAAAATACAAAAATTAGCTGGGCATGGTGGCACACGCCTGTAATCCCAGCTACTCAGGAGGCTGAGGCAGGAGAATTGCTTGAGCCTGGGAGGCAGAGGTTGCAGTGAGCCGAGATCATGACACTGCACTCCAGTCTGGCTGACAGAGCAAGACTCTGTCTCACAAAAAAAAAGGGGGGTGAGCAGCCATGCCTCTGGAATAGCACCCCCAAGGCCAGACTCCACTCCAGACACTGCATGTTTCATCCTTAACCTCCTCAACAACCCTGTGAAATAGATAGGCGATTTTCCTCATTTTCTAATGTAGAAGCTGCAGCACAGAGCAGTGAAGACACCCACCCTGGCTCACACAGCCAGGACCTACCCAGCTGTCTGACTCATGCCCTCCCTGCTACACAGCCCTCCACCACAGGGCCCTATGGCCTCCATCATACCTCATCACACCAAGACCTGGTCAGGATTCGCAGTTCATATAAACACAGCCATACTCCATCTAGTGCTCTAAGAAGAATGCAAAACCCAGTATGCTCTGTTGGGAGCTGCTTTGGCCTACAGGCCCAACCTGCTGCTGTGACATACACTTGCAAGACAACAGTAACTCTCCCTGATCAGGAGCTGGCTGTGGAGCAAAGGCACTGGGGCAGAGGCTGGGGCATGGTGTGTTATGGCTGTGATATGGTTTGGCTGTATTCCCACCCAAATCTTGAATTGTAGCTCCCATAATTCCCATGTATTGTGGGAGGGACCCACTGGGAGATAATTGAATCACAGGGGTGGTTTCCCCCAAGCTCTTCTCCTGGTAGCGAATAAGTCTCACAAGAGCTGATGGTTTTATAACGGGTTTCCCTTTTCTCTTGGCTCTCTCATTCTCTCTTGTCTGCCTCCAGGTAAGAAGTGCCTTTCACCTTCCACCATGATTGTGAGGTCTCCCCAGCCATGTGGAACTGTGAGTCCATTAAACCTCTTTTTCTTTATAAATTACCCAGTCTTGGGCATGCCTTTATCAGCAGCATGAGAATGGACTAATACAGGCCTTAAGGCCCAGCTGTAGCAGGCTTCCTCCAAACAACAGGACACATCTCTCTACTCTGAAAATGCAGATTGGGGTTTGCTATGGATTTTGACATAACTGCTACAAACCAATATGACCACTTGATGGACATTGCCCTTTAATTGCTGTGCTTCTAGAACAAATTAACATTCTCCTTATAGGAGAATGTGCTTTGTGCCTGGGATGTCTGTGAATCACTTCTGCCAAACTTGATTTCTGCTTATACTTAGAGATGCCTTTCAAAGGGATCCCATTTAGCACGAATGCTCCAAAGCCTCTTCAACTCCCAGTAGCAATTCAACAAAACAGTGGACACTCCCCAAGGGCGCAGGTGCCATGCCCGCTGTACAGAAGGAAGATGTGGTTGGGCCTGGGATGAGGCCCTGTGGGGGTGGGGAGTGCCATCTGCAGCGGGCACAACTAGATCTCCCAATAAAACCCCGCAGAACCAGATGCAGGTCTCATCCTTGGCTTCCAAAAGCGTGGGCGTGAAGAACTAAACTCCGAAGTCAGATGGCTGCACTCACGGCCTGGTGCCACCACCGCTAGGTGACTTGGGCAAGCTTTTTGTCTCTTTTAGGCCACAGTCTCTCATTTCATCCTCATAACACATATCGAGCACCCAATAGATATTAACAAAAAATCAATCAAGAAATACATCCTATTCTGAACTCTAAACTCCATTGTGCTATGAATTAGAATTACTATCCAAATATGAAAAAGTAGCACTTACAACTAACACAATGGAAACAACCTACCTCTTAACCCAAAAATTTATTCCAAAGTATTAAGGCTATTGTGTAAAAGAATAAGATTTATAAAAATAGTAGTGAACAGATCTTTGAGAAAATTTCTTTGACAGGGGAAAATCCTTTCTGCATAAGAAGTTGCTCACTGAGAGATAGTTATATATTTTTGTGGTTTTTTAATATGTTCTTTTCACCCAGTGGGGTGAGAGGGAGTCACCCGTCTGTCCAGTTCCTCCAGCTGAGGGGACGTAAAACCTCAGCCACAGCTTCAGTCCTGCCTTGTGCTGAGCCATGTTAGACCCCTACTCAAGCTCCGGAGTGTGCTCCCCTCCCTGGGCACCCACACCTGGATGACACCCCCTTCCTCAAGGACTGGAATGCAGCATACCCCACAGCCGATGCTCCAAGTAACACCACTGTAAAATTCCACGTGTATCAGGATGCCTGCTGCACACCAGGATCCCAGGCCCCCTTGCCCTCCTGGCCAGGAGGCACAACTGCAGAACCTCCTGTCTGTCCTCAAGTGCTTGCTTGCCCCACTTATGGAAGAGGACCTTCCCCTGAGGCATCTGTGCTGGTGTCCTGTGGCTGTTGTGATAAATTACCACAAACTGAGTGGCTTAAAACAAGGGAAATTTATCATCTCAGAGTACTAGAGGACAGAAGGCCAAAATCAAGGTGTGGACAGGGCTGTGCCCCACCAAAGGCTTTAGAGAATCCATTTATTGCTTCTTCCAGATTCTGGTGGCTGCCAGCATGTTTTGGCTTTTGGCCACATCATCCCAATCTCTGTTTCCATCTCTTCCATTACCTTCCCCTCTCTGTGTCACATCTCCCTCTGCTTCTCTCCTATGAGGACACTTGTGATTGCATTTAAGGCCCACCTGGATAATTTCCCATCTCAAGATCCTTAACTTAAATCACATCTGGGAAGACCTTTTTTACTTATAAAGGTAACAACATTCACAGGTTCTAGGGCTTAGGACTTGATATATTCAGAGCGGTTACAGTCAGCCTGCCAGAGCCATTCTTACCTGCATTTTACAGATTAGAAAACCACTTCTCAAGCTGAATTAGAGTGAGAGTGCCCCAGAGTTGGGATCTGAACTCTAATGAATGTGGGATATGGATCGAAGGGATCCTTTTCTGACTGATACCTTTGAATAAAGGATGCACAGAAGCTCTAAAGAGACCCTTCTCTCTCCCTTCCCCCCGCCCCCCACCCCCAGAGCTGCTCTCTGGGAAGGAAGGCACCTCTGGAACATCTCCCGAACTTCACCTTGACAGATATTTCCAAAAAAAGAGTCTCATTTTCAGAAGACAAGAATGGGACGGACAAGGAAACAGGACAGGACAGGTGACTTCCATGGCCCTCCCTGTCCCAGTTCTGCCCTCCTGGGCTTGTGAGTCTCTGTTGAGCCAGGAGCCATCCTAGAGGCCCTGAAGCTCCCAGCCTTGCCCCTGCCATTCCTTTGAGGGACCCAAAAGCTGTGTGCACACTCCTCCACAGGGGATGGAATCTGCCCCTCCTCTTTCCCTTTTATTTCCAAACCTGCATCGGAGCCAACCCACCCAGCCTGGAAGGCAGATGTGAAACCCTCAAGGCTCAATTTACAGGAAGACCTCACCCATCAGCCCAGTTTGGACATGGGTTGCGGGAGGAAGGTGTGGGTTTTGCCACAAACTTAATTTCAATCTTTTTTAATTAGCCAAATTCAGGTGCATTGTTAATAGTGGTCAAATGGCTTGTTGGCTTCCTGCTTGCAGGTTTGGGCATTTAAAATTGACCCCCAGCCCTTCTGTAACAAGAAGCCCCTCGTGATGCCCCCACTCTCCGAGCCTGGCGTCAGATCCACATAATCCACACACTCGCAGCTCCCGGCTGCCTTCCCGCTCGCCGGCCGGGCAGCGGCTACCAGGCACATAATTGCAAAAGGAAAGGGCCGCTTGTTTGCCGGCTCTTCCGAGAATGATTAAAGGTAGAAGTTTTTCAGACATTAGCGACAGAAAGAGTATAGTTAAAGCTGCTTTAAAAAGGGAGAGGCATATAAAGAGATGGTACTCAAAGCACTATTAAAAGCATCATGCTTGTTAAAACCAGTAAAAAGGCAGGGAATCGGCGAGGGAAAGGCAGCTTCCTCTCCAATTACGGCGAGGGGCACACACCTTGACGGTGTCTTTGAATTGTGGCCGCCAGCCCCTGCCCCCTCCCTTTCCCCGCCGCCCCCTCCGCCGGGCCATTCATCCGTACATTAGGGAGGAGGTGGGAGGGTGGCAAGTCTCCCCCAAGCTCACTTCTCGCTTGTTACAGGCGACCCATTTAGAGCTGAATGACTATGTTCAGAGACGGCGCTAAATGACACCCTCCACCTCTTCATGAAGCCACTTGGTTTTGTCTTTTTTTTTTTTTTTTGTATCCCGGAGAAATAATTGATAAACCCAACGGCCGTCCACCTTAAAGGACGGCGCCTCCCTCTCGCCACCTGGTTAAAATTCCTCCTCCTCTCCCCACCTCCCTCCATCCATTTTGCTCTGTGCTGTTTAAACAATACTTCATCAAATGCAGCCTGGAGCAAATAAGAAAGCTCAGTAGAGTAAATAAAAAGTCAAAAAAAAAATCACCGGCTGGAGGGTAAGTACTTTTATTCCTGTACTTTCATTGCCTGGGGAATTATTATTCCATTGCCCGATCTGGGCGGGAGGGAGGGCCGTGTTATTCACAAAATGGATTGCTTCTCTCCCTTTTACTCCTCTGGCTCTCGAGAGCCCACTGATTACAACCAAGTGTGGCCATCCATTCCGTCTTATTGACAAAGGTCCTTAATTACCGCGGCAGCAGTAATACCTGCTATTAAATTCTGCTAAACAGAGGCCGCAAATTAGCTGTGGATCTCAGGCACCTTTTGTGTGTAATTACGGGGAGTGGGATTGACGGGGAGGCCGGATAACTGACCCTAGCCAGAGCAGCGGGGAAACCTTTGTTTATCACCTGCGGTGGGGGCCAAAATGTGAAATTAAAAGCTCTCCATCAGCTGAAGGCCTTCGGAAGGCCCAGGGGAAGAAGAAGGAAAAAAAGCAACAGGCCAAAGCAAACTGTGCTTACCGGTATTTATAAGCATTTCGCTTGACTGCAATTTACACTGACAGTTGATTAACCGAAAGCTCAACTAATTCCGTAGGTAAGTAATGCAAAGTCCAAAATGGCAAAAAATTTAGGCCATGTTTTAAGGTATATTCTATATTTCACAGGGCCTTTAACCTGCATTTAAAAGCCTGTTTAATGCAATTGCGAGCCATAAACACCTGTCACTTACAGTCTGCGCTTTTCACATCGCTCCTTCTGGAGACCCTGGATTAATGAGAACCATTCCAAATATGGTAGCTCTCATCTGCAGCCGGCCCAATTTATAAATTCATTCCTGACGCCTACTTGGTGTTTCATTGAAGGCAATTACTTTGGGGGAAATTTCATTTAAATATATTCAACTTTCCTTTCCATTAAGGTAGAGGTAGGGTTAGCAGCCCTGAGCTTGCAGGGAACAATGAGTGGTCAGAATGCAATAACTTAACACAAAACGCTTAACATCAAGATAATTAAATTTCATTAAGGTTTTAATCACTCTGAATGGAGGCTATTAAAATTCATGGGGTTCCTGTCACACTGTAGACAATGGGCCTGGGTCCTGAACAAGCCTGGAAAGCCCACTTCTAGCCTTGTCCCAGGAAACAAGCTTCTGAGGGCAGTGGAGCTTTTCCTCCAACTACCCAAGGGCTAGAGCGTGTTCTTGCACATGGTATGCGGGTCCCTCAAAGGTGGGATGTCCCAAGCCCAGCCTAGTGTTTAACTAGCTCTGTCTCCCCAGTAGCCCTCCATAGGTCTTGTTGGTGCCCAGTATGAAATCTGTTTCTGCCACTCATGAAATCACAGAAATCTTTGGACAGATGTTATTTGGCCCCATGCCTGCTGTGCACAGGTAAAATAGAACTTGAGGACCAAGGTAATGAAGATCCTCCTCACTCAGGTCTGGGCACAAACACCACAACCTCTGGGAAGCCTTTCCTGATTCTAGGCAAATGTAAGTGTTCTCACGCACAGCACAGTGGACAAAGTGCTTATCTGGAGTCATTTTCTTATTACACAGTAATTGTTTGTATGAAAATCTTCCCTTGACACACTGAGTTCCATGGAGGTAGGGACTGTGTCTTTGTCATATTTGGATTTCTAACCCCTAGTATACTGTGGGTGTTTGGTAAGGATGGATAGATGAACAGGTGTTTGGATGGAATGGATGCGTGGAGAGGCAGATGAGCAGATAGGTGGATAGATGGATGAACAGACAGATGGATAGCTGTTTGGATGGATGGATGGACAGATTTATTGATAGAAGGATAGATGGATGATTGGGCAGATAGATAAATGTTTGGGTAGATGGATGGGCAGACAGATGGTCAGCTATACAGTTTGACACAGATGACCTAAGGTCACAATGTAGCAGATCCCAGACCCCTTAACTCCATTTCTCTTTTCACTCAGCCTACAGTTGTCTCTTCTGCACACATGGCTCAGCTCAACCTCTTTCCTAACAATGAAATAATCTTGCATTGCCCATCATGTTCATACAGGTCCTTTAATCCTTTCCAGAAATTTCCATAGAATTTTTTTTTATCATGGCAATGAATCTTCCTTTGTTCCTTCACATATTCTCATCGATTTATTCATCAAGTATCTTCTCTAACAGGAACGATGCCCCTTGTGGAATACTGAGAGGTTCATCTCTGGCCCTCTGATACTTTTAGTCTAGGAGACTAGCCTAACTTTTGTAGCAGAGTGCGCATAATAAACTGGCTGATAGGGTAAAATCTGCTTCCTTCCATCACACAGCTAGAGGGGGCCCTAGAGATCCTCTGGTCCAACTTCTTCCAGACGAAATGGTACCTAACTGAAAACATCCTGTCTGAATTTATTGTTTCATTGGTTCTTGTCACCAATCAATTTGCTCTTATCAGGCAGAATGCCTCCTTTGAAATGTATGCCAGGCAGAAATTGGAGAATGTTCACAATTCCATGTGGCAAATGCTTGGAGATAAGCGAATTGGAGGACGTGCTCTGGGAGCCAGAGCAGCAAAAGGCAGGCAGGAATTTTCTAGGAAATGTATTAGTCGGGATTATCCAGAGAAACAGAACCAGCAGGATGTACAGTTGTCCCTCAGTATCCTCAAGGATTGGTTTCAGGACTTCCCTCAGACTCCAAAATCTACAGATGCTCAAGTCCCATAGTGTATTAGTTCCTTTTCACACTGCTATAAAGATACTACCTGACACTGGGTAATTTATGTATATATATATAGAAGAAGGATAAAGAGGTTTAATTGACTCACAGTTCCACATAGCTGGGGAGGCTTCAGGACACTCAATCATGGCAGAAGGCAAAGGGGAAGCAAGAACCTTCTTCACTGGGTGGCAGGAGAGAGAGTGCATGCAGGGAAATTGACACTTTTAAACCATCGGATCTCGAGAGAACTCCCTTACTATCCCAAGAACAGCGTGGAAGAAACCGCCCTCCTATTCTCCCTATCCTCGGGTTCCCCATCCCACAAATGTATTTTCAGTTGGATAGTTGGTTGAATCCATGAATGTGGAACCCACGCATACACAAAGCCAACTGTATAGAGCTATGTAGAAAGGGATTTATTATGAAGATTGGCTCCTAGAGACTGTCCCACAACCTACCATCTGCAAGTTGGAGACCCAGATAAGCCAGTAATGTAGTTCAGTCCATGACCAAAGGCCTGAGAACCAGAGGAGTTGATGGTGTAAATCCTATTCTGAAGGTGAAAGACCAAGGCCTCCACTCAAACAGGAAGAAAGGACAAATTATCCCTTCACCTTTTGTTTATTCAGGCCCTCAATGGATTGGAGGATGCCCACCCACATTGAGGAGGGTCATCTCCTTTACCGAGTCCTCCAGTGCAAATGCAGATCTCACCCAGAAACAATGTTTAGCCAAGTATCTGGGAACCCCATATTCAGTCAAGTTAACACATAAACTTAACCGTAACAGCAAAGGGAAGAAAGGTCCAATCCCAGCAGAGGGTCAAGTCAAGCTGGAAAAACTAAGCAAGTCTGTACAAATGGGATATAAAGTCACAGAGTCATCACAGAGCAAAGCTCAAAACCAGTAAACCAAGAGTCCTGGCACAGCTGTTCTTAGTCCCCGTGTGGTCTCACATGTCAAGGCTTAATTGCATGCCCTCTGATGGGAAGGTTGTCACAGAGAAGAGCCATAGACCAAGGCTGGGAGGAATGAAAGAATGTGGGCTGCCAGCTAGGGTTGGGGAGTGGGAGATGGAAGAGGAGACAGTGGTCAGGCCCCATTCAGAGGCCTTGAATGCCAGGTTAGGCGATTCGACTTGACTCTTTAGGGGACTCACCAAAGGGTTTTATGCAGGAAAGTAATGTAACATACAGGTCTTTGTTTAGAAAAGGTAGAGTTTTCCTTTTGGCCTGTTCATTTAGGATGTTGTAAAAATGGGAGAAATCAGAGGAGGGAAGACCAATTAGGAATTGTCCAGGCTAGAGGTGATTTTCAAAAACCCTTCTTCTAAAGCCAGGTTTAAAAGTTCCACACCTAAAAAGGGTACAAGCTGGTAGTTGAGGGGGATGAAGCAGCAAATAACACCAAAATTTGTTCCCTATTTATAAAATGAATCATCAGTGAGCTGCCATTCTCACTGTCTCAGCTGAGCTAATCTCATACCATAGCAAACCTCAACATTGTATTCCATTCTCTACTATTTGAGCTGATTCCAGTCTAAAGTGATTTCTGGCACAAAACCACAGCCAACAGAGTCCAACACTTAGAATAGCTGGGGTTTTAGAAGATAAAACCGAGAAAACCACACAAACTTAACCACAACAGCAAAGAAAGGGAAAATGTCCAATCCCAGCAGAGAGTCAAATCGAAGTGGAAAAGCTAAGCAAATCTGTAGACTTTTTATTCTTTTTTTTTTATTTTTTGGAGAGATGAGGTCTCACTAAGTTGCCCAACCTGGTCTCGAACTCCTGGCCTCAAGTGATCCTCCCACTTCAGCCTCACAAAGTGTTGGAATTATTGGCATGAGCCACCATGCTCAGCCCTGTACACATTTGAAAGGGGAAAGGTCACTCTAGGTCGTGTTAGAAATTATCAGAAGGCACTGATTATATTGTTAATAAGGCAACTAGGAATTTTAAAGGAAATTAAGCAGTATTGACTAAAGGATTTTTTTCCTAATTATCCCATTTTAGGGATAATCCTGGTTTCTTTTCTTTTCATGATCTAGTCCTCCCAGAGGACTATCTTGTACAATATGTTTTGTGGTGTGTTTGGAGTTTGAACTTTGGAATAAGGCCAAAAGGATAATTTAGTGATTGACTTTGCTCTCCTCAGGCTGCAATGCAGAAATTTGTGAGCCCATGGCCCAGACTCCTCACTACCAGGTCCGAGACAGCCCCTTCACAAAACAATCACACCCCATTCTGTGCAATATTTATAGGCTCAATTTTGGTTAAAGGTAAAAATTTTGTTTGGACACTCTAGAAGTCCTTCCTTAAAGGAAACTTTTGCACACCAAATAATCACTGTCAATTCCCATTTTACTTCCCCCTGTTGGTATAATTTTTGTAAAACTGGATCACATTTCTTCCAGCAATAAGAAGACAAGAAGATTCTGAAGAACTCTCTCCCACTCATTATACTTAGAAATGCTGGGTAAAATGCAGCCTCCCAAAAAATGTAATACACAGATACACTCTAAAGAAAGAAAAGGAAATCTCCAGGTGCTGAAGAGGTCACTTAAAACCAGAATGGCAAACACAGAGCAGACAGCTTGGGGCCCGAGAGGGTATTGGATCCAGACATAAGCTCCACAGCTCAGGGCTGAGGGCAGAATACCCGGATGAGGGCAGGAGTCTGGGCCTTGGCCCGCACTGAAAAGGAATCCTGGACTAAAACACAGCATAATATGGCCAGGCGCAGTGGCTCACGCCTGTAATTCTGGCACTTTGGGAGGCCGAGGTGGGCAGATCGCTTGGGCTCAGGAGTTCAAGACCAGCCTGGGCAATGTGGTAAAACCCCCTACAAAAAATACACAAATTAGCTGGGTGCAGTGGTGCACACCTGTAGTCCCAGCTACTCGGGAGGCTGAGGAAGGAGAATCACTTGAGCCCGGGAGGTAGAGGTTGCAGTGAGCTGAGATCCTGCTGTTGCACTCTAGCCTGGGCGATAAGAGTGAAACCCCGTCTCAATAAAAGAAAAGACACAACACAATAGAGGAGCCCTAATAAGGCTGCCTGTCCATCAAAATGGGACTAGAAAATTCCCACCTTAGGAAGAAACAATGAAAATAATGCTATTTGATGAGACTCTGGGTGGTGGGGAAATTTCCTCCATCCTCTGAGAAATCCAAATCCCAAGCATGCGTAAGTGAGGTGTTCAAATCTGTACTATCCACATGGTATGGGAATCTTAAAAGAAAACAATATTGTAACTGTTCCAGTAGCTAAGGCAGTGCCACACTACACTCTGTTGATAATGCTGTGGACAAACAGGCAGCTCAAACATTGATGCGGTGGGGGGTGTGAAATGAGACAATCCCTGTGAAGGGGGACTGGCGCTATCTAACAAATTCGCTCTGCAGTTACCATTTATCCAGCAATCCCATTTCTCAGAATCTATCCCAAAGATACACAAGAAAAAAATGCAAAGCCATGTAAGCACAAGACTATTGATTTCGGCATTTATTATAATAGCTAAATGATACAAATGAGTCAAATGCCCAACACTTAGAGTGATATCACAATGCAGTATCATGCACACTAAAAAGTATGCTATCTTTTGACTAAGAAAAGACTGTGTGTGTGTGTGTGTGTGTGTATGCATGCGCGCGCTTGCTTATATTTCCAAAAAGAAATAATGGGAGGGTAAACCAAAAACTAATGAAAATGATTACAAATAGAAGGAAGTAAGAAATGAAATAGAAAGAAAAAAAAAGATGGAAGCAAGATTTCTGTAGATGGACCCTATTATATGGTTTGAGGTTTTTGGTTTTATTTTTCAGTTTAGAATTATTAGCAATGTTTTCATGCTTAACAAAATCTTTTTAAGAAATCCTAAAAATTGAAAAAACACTGAAACAAATGAACCTAACTACCTATCAGATTGGTGGTGTAGACACACAAAGCAATTTAATTGACTTTAAAGTACTGTGTTCTGACTGTGTATCCCTAAGAGGTATAATTTGGGGACAAAAAGAACTGAAAAGAAGTCTTAAACTGTTTTCAATAGCTTATTTATCCCATAAATATTGTGAAGGTTATTTTGAAGCCACTAGTAATACAGTCTAGAATAAAATAAATAATTATGTTAATCTAAAAGAAGATTTTCATCATAAAAGAGATACAGTATAGAATCAAAGAAGTAGAAACACTGTGACTCTAAATTTGAATTTAAAATAACAGTATGACTTCATAATTTATCTTTTAAAAAATACATATTTTAGCTCTGTTTACTGAAAAACCTAGAAACAATGACAATCCCCTAGTAATGAGCACACCAAGTGCCCAGATATAGTCTCTAAATACCATCCCAAAGCAACCAGGTCTTATTGGGGAAGTGATGGATTTGAGGGATGGGTAGAAAATGCACAATATTAGCTTGGTACATCTTTTTCTGCCAGGAAACAAAGTAGTGATAAAAGGCTCCTGGAATTGTGTCAAAGGATACAGAAGCCAACCCGAAGAGCTATTTAAAGAAAAAAAAAAGTTGGTTTAAAAAAAAAATGGGTCACCTTTGTGGAATACTGATCTATCACTTCATTATCCTGAAAACTGGTAAAGAGAAAATATTAGAAAATCACCATTTTGTAACCCATAATGAACTAATGGATCTAAACAAATATCATAAGTGAATGACAAAAGCAGTAAGTGAGTACACCCATGTTGATAGCAGCAGTAATCACAATAGCCAAATGGTAGAAGCAAGCCAAGTGCCCATCAATGGATAAAATGTGGTACATACATATAATGGAATGTGATTCAGCTTTAAAAAATGAGGAAATTCTTCATATGCGACAACATGGATAAGCCTTACAGACATTATGCTAAGTGAAATAAACCAAAAGAAAAAGGACAAATGCTGTATGATTCCACTCATATGAGGTATCTGGAGTCATCAAATTTGTAGAGAGAGAACAGTGGTTGTCAGGGGCTGGGGGGAGGAGGGAATAATGAGTTGTTTAATGGGTACAGAGTTTCAGTTGGGGATTGCCTTAGTCCATTATGCTATAGCAAAATACTTGAGAGTGGGTAATTTATGAAGAACAGAAATTTATTCTCTCACAGTTCTAGAGACTGGGAAACCAAGATCAAGGCACCAGCAGGTTTGGTTGTCTGGTGAGGGCTGCTCTCTGCTTCCAAGATGGCCCCCTGTTGCCACATCCTCCAGAGGGCAGGGACGCTGTGCCCTCATACGGCGGAAGGCAGAAGGGCAAGGAAGCTCACAGTGAGACGTGTTTTATGCGGGCCTAAGTGCCCCTCAGGAAGGGGGAGCCCTAATGACCTAATCACCTCTTAAAGGCTCCCCCTCTTAATACTGTCACATTGGCAGTATTAAGGTAGAGCCTGAGTCTTGAAGGGGACACATCGAAACCACAGCAGGAATGATGAAAAAGTTCTGGAGCTGGATGGTAGTGATGCTTGCAACATTGTGAGTATGCTTAAAACCACTTAAAAATCGTTAAAATGGTAAGTTTTGTGTAATGTATGTTTTCTGTGTATTTTACAGTAAACAAGTATTAAACGAAAGTTTTGACTTCCTAAATGAGAGATTCAGCTGATACCACCTGAGTGTTGATCAATGAATAAAGTAGGACAGCAGACATTTCTGTGCTTCTCACTGTGATGCATTCAGTAAATGGCAATATCTCCAAAGTGTTATAACCCAGAAAGTCCTGAATTTAAAATAATTACTGAATTTAAATGCTGGTTCACAGTACCTTAGAAAATAGAAGAATAAGCTGTAGGACACCAAATAGAAGCAACTGGCAAAATGTGGACCACTGGGCATTTTACATTTTCTTCAAAGTACAAATGACTAAAAAAAAAAATTAATTAATTTAATTAAAACAATGGGGGAAGGGTGGACTTTAGTTAAGAAAATATCAAATGTGATATGTGAAACTTATTTGTTATTTATTCAAACAGAACATCTGTAAAAAGAAATTTTGAGACAACTAGGAAAATTTAAATATGCAGGGGACAGGAGATCATATTAAAATATTATTATTAATTTTGTTTACTGTGATAATGGTATAGTGATTATATTAACAGGGAAAAAGTTCTTGTTAGCCAAGTATTTCTAGGTGAAATGACATGATCTCTGAGATTTGCTGTAAAATATCCCATAATAATAACAGCAACAGAAATAATTGTAGTAATGAGAGGGGTAGATGAAATAACATTACCAAATGTTAATTGTTACTGCTGGTTGATAGCTAATGTTCTAATGACCTCCCATTATTTAGAAGAAGGATAAAGAAACTTCATTTGTTAATATAAGTATGCACATTAAAATGTTAAGAATAGCCACTAAACAAACAGAAATAACATATATCACTTTAATTCAATGTAGAGATTAATTAGAAAAAATTTTCAGAAGTAAACCCATGTAGACCAAAATCTCAAGCAAGGGAACTAAGAAATTATTCCATATACAAACTTTTATACAACAATCAACCTGACTTTGAATTTGAAACATTCTGCAAGCCCAGCAATCATTCATGAAGAAGTGAGTTGACCCTTTCTCTGGCCGTGGGCCATGAGTTTCCCATGGAAATCATGGAAAGAGTCTGTGCTTACACTAGAATCAGCATGTTCAGATCAGTAGCTGATGGGCACCTGCCAACCCACACCACTCACAGCACCCAGGCCGACTTGGCCAGGTCAGTGTCAGCAGGCATGCTCTCGAGCACCAAAGCACTTAACCCTTATGGGTTGTACCTGTCTATTTGCCATCCATATGGCAACCCTACAGCATCAGTCTTACCATCTCCACTTCACAGGTGAGAAAAGTGAGGCCTAACACGAGGCAGCATTTACCCTCTGAGACACAGTTAGGAGGTGGTGGAGTCAGGATTCATCTCACTGACCAGTCAAAAGAGTAAGAATGGTTGTGTAAAAGCCCATGTCTATCTGAAAAAAACCCATGAAAAGCCCATGTCTGAACAACGGTGGAGGCAAAAGCTTAATCATCAGAAAGAAACCAAAGTGACAAGACTGTGGGAGTGTCTTGTTCTGGGGCCACCTAAGCCTGTGCAGGAGAGGAATGGTGGACTGCTGGTGGAAATTACAAAAATAAAACAGGCATGGTATGGGGGTGCAATCTGAATTTATAATATTAAGAAATTAAAAATTAAGATCTCACTGACAATATAGAGATGGGGAAACCTCAAATACCCAGGCATATACTGGAATCCCAAAGAGATACTTCAGTTCATCCTCAGAAGAATATGGGATAAAAATTATGAACAAAGAAATGTATAATAGTTCTGGATTATTATTATTATTATGGGTATTATATAAATTTGCTTAATAAGTTGTAAGCAAAATTCTGGCATTGGGAGGGAGAGTGATTTCAGGCATTGAGGCCGGGAAATATCTTGGCATGGGACTTTTCTCAGGCCACCATCCCAATTTCCCTGAGATTCAGCGGGCTCCCAGGATGGAGGACTTTCAGTGCTAAACAGGGAAAGCCCTGGACAACCCAGATCAAGTTGGTCACCCTACAGATGGCCTTGAACCCAAATGCATAATACGCTGACTCTGCCAGACAATTCAGAGTATTTGATATGGGTACAACCCAAATGAAACAAGAACCTACTTCCACAAAACAGCCGTAGCTGCCTCTGCAGAGAGAATTCTGTGATAGATAAAATTTTTAAAGTACAATGACAAGGTCACTCTTGAAATTGAAGTCTTTCCTAAAAGCAAGGAGCCAGAGCCCTGCCCCCCTCAGCCTCCCTGGGGTCTATTTGTAATGAAAGAACACTCCTGGAATTAAAGTCAGGGTTAATGTACAGACGTTCACTTGGCTTCCCAGATCATGCCCATTATTAAACAGAAATCTTTTACAGAAAGACTGGCAACTTAAATCCCTCTAATCATTGGTCCATCCTATGAATTAAGACCAAGGCCTGGCAAATGTGCTGAGTGAGGAAGAACAATTACCAGGTTCATGGCTCCAGGTTCTGTTTACCCTGATATTGTCCAGGATAATCATTTATTTCCTGCTGCCTTCTAAGTTTTATTAAGCTGTTCAGAAAAGTTTCAGCCATGCTTTATGGCTATGTGAACTGCCCGTGTATCCATTTCACAATTTGATTCATTCTGATTAAATTGTTCAACTGTTAATGAGTTTTAGATTGCAAAATGGAGAGGCAAACAATTCAGAATATTTCACAAGTTCTTGCTGAAAACATAAAACAAAAGGCTCATTTCTGGGAGGAGAGACTGTACTAATTACCCTCTGTAAAAATAAATGTGTGCGGCCGCCTATACATTCTCCAGGCACCTGTGTAGTCACGCTCATGTGTAGAGAGCCAGGCAGTTCGTGGAAATCTCATAGATATCTAAAGAAATTCTGATCTTTTCAAGCCAATTTCAACAGAGAAGATAACCATCTTGACATATTATTCCAAATAATTTCTGGGGCTAGACAAAAAATTGATTCTTACTCGCTTTACTTCACAGTCTAATGAGTTTTGCCTGGATGAGGTGCTGAAGCATCTCACGTCCTGAGGCTTCGGAGAGGGATTGGAATTATGGACCAGGTGACTAAATACTGCTCTTCAAGCAATTCGACCCTTCTCCCACTCCCTCTCCCTCTGCCTCTTCTGCTCCCCCTCCAGCTCCTCCTCCTCCTTCCCACCTACTGTATGTTCTTGGCTCATCATCTGTTTCTCCAGTGATGCAGCGTTTGTTATAACAGTAATTGAGTAAAGATTCACTGGCTTCACCCTTTAAACATTTTTCCTTGGGCCTCCCTCCTTCTCATGAACCCTCTTGGAGTATAAACTATAGCCAATAGAGGCCATCAAAATACTGAGGGTCATGAGGCCTTGCATTGGTCACAAACTCTGGGGAAAAAAAAAATCCAACTTTTCATTTATAAAGTGGGAACATTTTCAGCCTAAAAGCAAAGTGCTCAAATTGATGATTTCTTCCGCTTTGTCTATAGTATAGACATGACTTCATTTCAAAGCAACTTTTCATTTGAGCAGCTCTTCAAATCCAGGAAAAGAAGAGGCATTTTAACCATGAAGAGTGAAGAGTTCTCTGCACACATTCCATAAGGGAAAGCATCGAGGAGCCTGGGAAAGCATCGAGGAGCCTGGAAAAGCACGTGCCATATGATCGCAGAATGTGAGGAGCAGCAGGGGCCTCTGAGGCCGGCAGGGCCAATGATACCGCTTTGCAGATGAGAAAGCTGAGGCCAGAGAAATCAAATGACTCACCCACAGCCAGGAATAGCCAAAGCAGGAGTAGGGATTAAAGAACAGCTGTGGAGAGGTGGAGCTCCCCAGATATGTCACCCAAGTGTTCTGCGCTCGGCTTAATCCAGCCCCAGCTGACCAAGAGGGTATTACTAGGGGCATTTCCCAAATGGGAAATATTAATGGATTGCTTCCCTTAGGCCACAATCCTAGGAAATGGCAGAATTGGGACTAGAACTCAGGTTTTCTAGCTCCAAAGCGATGCTTGCTCCTCTATTTCACGACGCATTATAAAAAGAGAACCACAAAGGGATGTGTGCTAAGAAAAGTGTGTGCAGAAGCAAGTCATCTCAGTGAGTTCAGTCTTTGTTTCCATGACTCCCATGACTTAGGCATGGCGAACCCTACCTCTGTATTCCATTTCTTAAGAATCCCCTTTCCCATCTCAAATGCCAGAAAGCCTGATTGATATACAATTTTTTGTTTGCCTTTTAGAATTTATTTTGACACACATTTTTAAATTAAATTAATTTACATTGGTTTTGCTTTAAGAATTTGAATGCACTGGAAGCCCCCTCAGATTTCCCAACCTAGCTTTGAAATTGGTGCTCTGAAAAGTCAGAGCAACTCCTGGGTGAATTGCAATCAACTTAGCTCTCAGGTCTCTAAACCCAAATTGGAACCTGAGTTATCTGAGTCCACCAGCCAAGCACCCGCAGCAAAACAGCACCTCCCCACTCCCCTGTGTTCCCCACTGCCTCCCCATCCACTGCAGCTTACATGTGAGGCAACTGCATTTCAGCACAAGCCCCCTTTGAAACATCTTAACTATCTCCAGAAAGAACTTCAAACATGTTTCAAAATTCTATTAACTGCTAAACAGATCATAAATGCATAAAATTATAACCTCTCACAGCATGTGTTCTGCCCTGAATCCTCTAGCATTCTTGGTCTTTAGGTCTGGCTTCAACAGACTCATGTTGGTCTACACCTCACAGCATGTTATGTGGAATCCCAGAATTCTCCTGGAAACCATCTAAGATGGCCGCCAGGGTGCCCTCAGCTGTGCCACAGGGACAAGGCTTTTAAAGGGACATCTCAGTTAGGAAAAACATTAATAACAACAGCAAGCCAACCTGCGAGCTGTACTTAATTGTGGATACTCATTCTATTATAAAGAAATACTAAAATGGGAGAAGTAAAATGTTTATGAGAAAGGTTCCCTTCATGTATTGTTGGTATGCTTCTGGAAGTCTTTTTTTCCCCTTGTTTTGGTAAAGTACAAGATATCTCAATAGCAACATAAACACCATATTGTCTACTAGTTACTATAGCAACTACTATCCATATAATTTGCTCATGCCTAAATTAAAGCTACCTAGGGTAGCTTTACTTGCGTCTCTCACATATTACTTTTTGATGGTGTTTTTCTTTAATGAGAATTCTGTCTCTTAAGTTGTAGGCAGGATGCTTACCACTCTGCCTTACTTGGAATTGACTTCCACCTTTGCCTGACTTTGTTTCCCATATTACTTTTAGGTATTTACCAAAAAGAGAACATACTTATTAACTGTATATATATATTCCATGAGGGTGGAGGAGGTGGAGGATGAAAGAGAAACAAGCTTTCCATCTGAAAAAACCATAAGCATCTGCCCAGCACTGAACTTCGCTGCTCTTGAACTCAACAATTCTTTTCTACTTCTTCATTTGACACAATGCAAACGGCATAACATGAAAAAGGATGTAATGGGAAGAGGTACTGAGATCCACTAAAGAAAAAGGCACAATAGTTAATCGTCTCTTCTCCAACATTCTTCCTTCCACCCCACAAAATAAACAAGTTGAGAAGTTCTTCAATGTTTGTGACTGTCAGCAATGTGGTGAGTTAATGCTCCTAAATGCTAGCACTGGAAAAATGAGTTCATTGTTGAGAAAGTTCTGGATGAGCCAGTAGCCAAGTATTATTAATTCTATTATATACTCTTGTTTGTGTCTGCTTAACGGTAAAGTTGGAAGAAGAACATTGCTGTGAAGAAATCCATTCAATAGACATGGCTTTGTGAAACATTGCATTTCAGATTGAAGATTTACTATGCTTTTCTTAAAGAATTCAAAGTCCTCAGTGGCCCTATTAAGATATGCAACAAAGTTCTCAAAAATTGCATTGGCAGGCAGGTGCTTACAACTACTTGATGAATTTTCACCGATTAAATATCCACCTGGAATTAAACCAGCACAAATTCATGAGAAAGAGCCATGAGGATCACTGTCCAACATGGTAACCGTCAGGATAGACAGTGGGCAAAGCCCCTAAATGCCCCTTTGCAGGGCTTTTGCAGGGCTCTGGATTCAGGTGCAGGAAATCTGTCTTTATCATTTTCATTACTGCTCCCAACACATTTTCAGTGTCATTAATTCATGGGAAGCATTTCATTATATTAGGTCCTCTTTGCAAATCCTCTCTTTTTGTCTTTCTTCTTTTCTTCCCTCCCTCTTTCTTTCCTTTCTTCCTTCTTTTCTCTTTTCTTGTAAATCTTTATCTAAACCAAGCGCATTTTGTGCTGGCTGCTCACAGCAGTGTGGGCGCTTGGAAACAGTCATACAAGCGCCGCCCGCCTCTGGACTGCAGCAAGCCTTTCTATTTGCCGGTATAATCCTGCAGACTTCAGCCGTTTCCCATTTGGTCCTTCATATCATCTCAGGCTAATCCGTCAAACATTTCAGACAGCCAAGCCAATCTCCAATTGCCGGGGACTTTGCCACAAGCACCATGTCTGTTAATAAGATTTTCATTTGGAAAGATGCCAGGGCTTCCATGTTTTCTATTGTATATAAATACTAAGATTTAATAGCTTCGGGTTTTGTTTAATGTAAACGTCAACTATTAAAAAAAAAAAAAGGGTTCTCAAATGCCTAGCCCAACAGTGAAATACCCCACTGACAGCTATTTGCAAGGGTAATGTTGTGGAAAACAACATCCATCTTGGAAACAGTTTCATTAGCCCCATCTAGCTGACCTCTCCACATAATGTTGTCAAATGTGACGGGCATCAGATTATTGGGAATATGAAGATCAATAAATATGCAACACCGGCTCTTAGAATGCTTCTGGCACCAGAGCCATACAAATGCCATGTAGCATGGCTCAGAGTAGCTGTCATCTGTCAAACCAGCTAGTAAACAGACAAGCTTAGGGGGAAGGCTATCTGTAATGGTAAAATATGTGGGTGAAGATGAATTAGACAGGGAGTGCACAGTCGAGGTTCTGATGCATGAAAGTTCCAAATGAAAAACACCAGGCAAACACTCTGGAGCAACAGCCTACCTTCTTTGGGGAATGGATATAAATTCTTGCCACCTAGTCAAAAGCTGCTCCATAGTCCTGCCTCTGTTTGCAATGTTGGCTGCCAAGGGAGTTATGTCTGCTTCTGGGATGCTTGCTGGCAGCTTGGAGTCTCTTGAATACATTTCTGTATAACATAAGGGAGACACACATTTCCCCAAATTCCTACTCACAATCCAACCACACAATGTGTCTTTCCATATGATTGCTGCCCAGGGCCAAAAACAGTGCCTGTACCGTCCAACAGGGCCTCCACCTTTGGGCCCACAAAAAAACAAGCTGGTTGAGCTGCTAAAGAAAACTCTGACCTGACTTAGTGTCTATCAAATTGCTCAGATAATAAGAGCTTTGGGGACCACTCTTCATGCCAGCTTCTGTATCAGGCCTCCCCTTTCTAAGACCTCTGCCTGCTGGATGGAGAACATCGCACCCACTCTTTGCCCACACCAGCCTTAAGCTGCGGGCCCTTGCTCTGCCCCCAGTGGTGCTCTTGGAATTCTCCAGAACAGGTACCACTGCCTGAATTATGCTTTTTCATAAACCCTCTTTCCCATGCAAAAAGTGCTTGAATCCAACTTAGTCCACCTTTAGGTTAAGGGAACATAAAGAAAAGCAAATTCTCACAACAGCAAGCACAGGAGATGTAAGCCACATTCGTGCATCTACTCAGACACCCTGTGCCAGAACAAACATGTTCCTCAAACCCAATTAATGTCGATGACCAGCAATGACCAACACACTTCCACCCCTCTGTGTTTTAAGAAATGTCATTCATCTCTATGGAAAAGAGAACAAACAAGAAGCATAAAGGTATTTTTGAAGTATACTGTTATGAGGTACTTGGCTAGTAATTTGCAGCCTAGGTACACAGCATACCTTTTAGCACGGCTATTTATCTCTCAGGGAGAATGCTGCCGTACTTACGATAAAGGCTCTGTTGGACCTCTTCATCAATAGCAAACCTTTAAGCACAGCACATCTCATAAATAGGAGTTCCACTAACACAGACTTCAAAAGGATAGAACTTGATAATTCAAAAATAGAGCTATATTAAGTGTTCCAGCAGTCCATCCATAAAAGCCGTCGTATATTCCAAATGCCAGAGTCCTCCGAGCAACATGACAGGTCTATTAGAATAATAGCAGGGGAAAGCATAATTACAAGTAATCATTGGCTGGAAAGGAGCTAGTTGTTTTTGTAGAGCAAAATGCTGCGCTGAGCCCCGCGGAAGATGCAGCTGGAGCAGCAGCGGCGAGGGCAGATAACCATCGAAAATCACCATGGCGCAAACCCTGCACTATTTATTTCTATTTATTAAGAACTCTTTGTATACCTTAATGTTTTCCCGGTGAAATCATCTTAATTTGAGCCCACATTTTCTTTGGATAAGATTATTACGTAATTGCTACTTACTGGCCACTATTTTCTATACATTTGTTGGTCAAACAGAGTGTCTGTCTCTTCCAGCCTGGCACACAGATCATTCCACCAGGCAGAGGCTCCTGGTTGGCTCCATGGAGCCATACCGTATATACCCTATGTGCCAAAAAGGATGAATAAAGCTAGACTAAGCATTAGCTTTTTACTGCAGAGATGAACGACTCCACCTATCAGAGGACTGGATTGTTTCCTCATTAGGGGTGGCAAACGATGGGGCACCCTTGGGCTGTTTTCCTATGGATTGGATTAAATTGGATACCAGAAACCTGATTCCTCTGGTGGCTTTTGTTTCTCCTCCTCCTTAATTAGATGGATTCCCTACCTTTTCCAAGCACTTTAAAGATTCCAAAATGCAAGGAGCCTTAACAACAAGCCCAGGAGGAAGTGAGGACAAGGATCATTAGCTCCACTTTGCAGACTTGCAAACTGAGGTTCCTGAAGTGAAGGCCCTTCCCAGGGGCACACAGTTGATGTGTAGGTGGGACTTGAGCCCTTCTTCCCACCCCATCATCCTGCTCTGACCAAATGCTTGTTATGCACCTGGTCATCTCTCTCACTTACTCTCTGGGAGGTGCTTGAAGGTAGAAGTCACATGCGTGTGCTCTCATGCACGTGAGACCAACATGGTCCCCACACTCTGGGATAGGCCTGTGTAGAAGCTTCTGGCCACACGCCTCAGCCTTCAGACCCCAGGGAGAGTGCAGGGGCTCACACCTGACACAGAAGGCAGTGTGCTCTCTGTGCAAAGAGAGACATAACCAAGTCACTTTCACCTGCGTCTTGACATTATTCACTCACCCACCATTGGGTTTATGAGCAGGATACCGGGGTGGAGGGAGGAAGGGGAAAACAGACAGAAATCTAGTCAGCTCCTTCACTGACTTTCTAGCCATCTGTATCTGGACTATTGACCTCATTGAGCCTCAGTGTTCACATCTAGAAAATGGAAATAACAATACTGCCTGGCTCAAAGAGTTGTAAAAGTAGGAGACTTTTACAACTTGTGCTGCACCGAGCGTAGTGCATGGTATATCGGAAGTGCTGAGCAAGTGGTCCTCATTTGATGTACCATAGGAAACCAGAGGAGGGAGTGATTCATGGGCCCTGTGTTCTTACGAAAGGTTTCCTGGAGGTGGTGGGAGCCCAGCCGGCACCTGGGGAGTAGGGGGATGGTTCTCTGAAAAGCCAGCACCCTAGGCCTGGTCATCGTGGTTCAGAAACTCAACTAGTCTCCTGCCAGGAGCTAATTTTTAATGAAACCATGATGAAAGACCCTGTTGGAGCTCAGGTTTGTAGATATGCCTGCTTCTCACATAGACCCCTACCAATATTGTGTCAGTTAGAACTTTAAAACCTTCTGGGGCTGGGCACAGTGACTCATGCCTATAATCCCAGCACTTTGGGAGGCCAAGGTGAGAGGATCACTTGATGCCAGGAGTTCAAGACCAGCCTGGGCAACATAGCAAGACCCCATCTCTACAAAATAAAAAATAGAAAAATTAGCTGGACATGGTGGCACACCTCTGTAGTCCCAGCTACTTGGGAAGCTGAGGCAGGAGAATCACTTGAGCCCAGGAGTTGGAGCCTGCAGTGAGCTATGGTCTTGCCACTGCACTCCAGCCTGGGTGACACAGCAAGACCCTGTCTCTAGAAAAAATAAAAAGAAATAAAACGTCCTTTTGGAATTCAAAAGCACATCAATGTTGGTTATAATAATATACAATCCTACTCCTTCTCCCAACGCTAAATACTCAAGTCCAAAATTAATTTGGTTTTGAGACAGTGACACTAGGATATCATCAAAGCAAGGTTAGAAACCCCTGGTACAATGAATATGCGTATTTAGAATGTAGGCTATTAAGGGATTTTCAGCTTATCAAGAGCTAGTCTTCATTCCTTCTACTGAGATACAGCTCCCGTAGTACCCAGCAAGACTATATTCTACATCCAGTGTACACGCCATGGAGATAAGACATCAAGGAAGAGGATGTGATGATGATGGTGGTGGTATGATGTTGATGATGGTGATGATAATGGTGGTGATGTGATAATGGTGGTGGTAATTATAGTGATGGTGTGATGGTGGTGGTGATGTGATGATGGTGATGGTAATGGTGGTGGTGGTGTACTGATGGTGGTGGTGTAATGATGGTGATGGTAATGATGGTGGGGGTGTGATGATGGTGATGGTAATGGTGGTGGTGGTGGTGTGATGATGGTGATGGTAATGGTGGGGGTGGTGTAATGATGGTGATGGTAATGGTGGTGGTGGTGGTGTGATGATGGTGATGGTGGTGGTGGTGGTGTGATGATGGTGATGGTGGTGGTGGTGGTGTGATGGTGGTGATGGTAATGGTGGTGGTGGTGGCGTGATGATGGTGATGGTAATGTTGGTGGTGGTGGTGTGATGATGGTGATGGTAATGATGGTGGTAGTGTGATGATGGTGATGGTAATGGTGGTGGTAGTGTGATGATGGTGATGGTAATGGTGGTGGTGGTGGTGTGATGATGGTGATGGTAATGTTGGTGGTGGTGGTGTGATGATGGTGATGGTAATGATGGTGGTGGCGGTGTGATGATGGTGATGGTATATGATGGTGGTGGTGGTGTGTTGATGGTGATGGTATATGATGGTGGTGGTGGTGTGATGATGGTGGTGGTGTGATGATGGTAATGGTGGTGGTGGTGGTGTGATGATGGTGATGGTAATGATGGTGGTGGTGTGATGATGGTGATGGTGGTGGTGGTGTGATGATGGTGATGGTGGTGGTGTGATGATGGTGATGGTAATGGTGGTGGTGGTGGTGTGATGATGGTGATGGTAATGGTGGTGGTGGTGTGATGATGGTGATGGTGATGGTGGTGGTGGTGGTGTGATGATGGTGATGATAATGATGGTGGTGGTGGTGTGATGGTGGTGGTGGTGTGATGATGGTGATGGTGATGGTGGTGGTGGTGTGATGATGGTGATGGTGGTGGTGTGATGATGATGATAGTGATGACAGTAGTGGTGGTGGTGGTGTGATGGTGGTGGTGATGGTGGTGGTGTGATGATGATGATGATAGTGATGACGACGGTGGCGGTGGTGGTGGTGTGATGGTGGTGGTGGTGGTGGTGACAGTGGTGGTGGTGGTGTGATGGTGGTGGTGGTGATGGTGGTGGTGTGGTGATGATGATGATGATAGTGATGATGGTGGTGGTGGTGGTGGTGTGATGATGATGATAGTGATGGTGACGGTGGTGGTGGTGGTGGTGGTGTGATGGTGGTGGTGGTGATGGTGGCGGTGTGATGATGATGATGATAGTGATGACGACGGTGGTGGTGGTGGTGGTGTGATGATGGTGGTGGTGGTGTGATGATGATGATAGTGATGACGACAGTGGTGGTGGTGGTGTGATGGTGGTGGTGGTGATGGTGGTGGTGTGGTGATGATGATGATAGTGATGATGGTGGTGGTGGTGGTGTGATGATGGTGGTGGTGATGGTGTGATGATGATAGTGATGATGGTGGTGGTGGTGGTGTGATGATGATAGTGATGATGGTGGTGGTGGTGGTGTGATGATGGTGGTGGTGATGATGATAGTAGTGGTGCGATGGTGACAATGGCTGTGTAAGTGGGGAAAGAAGGTTAGGCTCAGGGTCAGTTTTGAGCAAGAGATCCAGTTCGACAGAGAATGCAAATCCACCTAACATCAGCATGAATCATGACAGGGGACCTAGAGTTGACTGGCTGACTCCAAGTCCTGAGATCTGAGGCGACGCACTTTCCCTCAGCTGCTTCAAAATAAGGGGGTCAGGCTAGACTGGCTGGGGATCCCAAAACTCAGAAGTCTATCAACAGGTTTTACTGTGGAGAAGATCATCAACTCCAAAATAACCATTTTAGGCATATCTTGGACTGGGAAAAGATATAAACAGAAGTTAAGCCAACTAAAAAAGAATCTCTAAGGACTATATAAATCCACACAGCTCCTGTTTACCAAAGGCCACACATGCCCTGCCACTGGCTCTGTGGAAACTGGCTTATGTCCCGGCCCTCCCTTCCATGGCCCCACCGCTGGGTTTGTAAAATGATTTCTGAAATCACCTCTTGAAGGAAGCCTCATTACCCAGTGACATGTTGTAATCCCAGCCAATGCTTCCAGAAAAGTTTCAATGTCCATTACATTAGCTAGCCTTAAAATTGAATACAAATCCATTTAAATCAATATGTTGTAATAAATAGATATTAAGGCACCATGGCACTAATGTACAGGTAACTAATTAAAGCACCAGCATCTGCAGCACTCACATACCTCAATTTTCTCTACAAAATCCTTATTGAACCACTACTTTAAAAAAAAATAATTGCATTTGCAATTAGAAACACTGAAGTTACATTATCGATTTTCTGCTAAAAACCTTTTTAGTAAACAAGCACAAACTACATTCATTAAATGTAAGTGCTTGGAGCTATGGTGTGAAATTCAATTCAGCCATTATCATGAATTACACTGATTATTGCTGTAATTATTTTCTCTTGGATACAACTGCATTTCTGTCCCTTGCTAGTTCTGTTGGACATATAACCATGTTCATTTTATAGCTAATAATACTCAACTATAGTACCAGCAATTACTATCACTTATACAAATCATTAAGTTAAGCTACGGGTACCTAGTAAGATTCAAAAAAATTAAGTAAAACATCCTTTTTTACCCTTGAAATAACTAATAGCATTGGAGAACAAGGAAAATTACAGATGTTAACTGATTTACATTGCAAGCTTTAATCACCTGTACTTGACTCGTCAGAAATTTCTGCTGTCCTGACCACACTACACATTTTGAGAAAAAAATCCACCAACGGCCTTTTTTTTTTTTTAGAAATGAACAGTCAGTGGACTGTATTACACATCTGCAGCATCCTCAGGGAGGAGAAAAACCATGATCATTTGGTATGTTGCAAGAGAATAGATTTTATGTTTAATCAGAGCAAATAATGGCCTTGCATTTCTACGTGTGTTTGTTTGCTTAGGAATCTTATTAACTAAACAGATTTTTAGAGCAAAACCTCTCCTTTACTTTTCTTTCAGAAGCAGCTGTGGGTTTATGCAGTTCTTAAAGTGAATCCTCTAGGGAAAATAGATATTTTTCAAACGAGACCACCCTTCTCCCCTGGGGTGAGGGCATTGCACGGACCAGGCAAGGGTAGTAGACAATTCGAGATTCAGCAACCTTCCCTCCAAGTGGATGCAGTCTCTAGAGAGAACTGCCTTACAAGGAGAATGGATGGGAAAGAAGGAGGGAAGGAAAGAGGGAGGAGAAAAGATGTTTTTAAATTTGTGTGTGCGTAGTTTGCCACAGGAAGGTCTGCAGACTCTGGTCCCTGAGCTGGTGCAGAACCCCCACCTGCCAGCCAGAAAGGCTCTTCTCATTTGCCAAGGCCCTGTTCCACAGCCGGGACACTCACAAGACCTCATTTACAGAGAGGAGGATTGCTTCCTCCCGGCACAATTAAGAGTCCTTTGGAAAGTGAGCTTCCTGGGCCTCCTTGCTAAGCATTCCTCAGCCACCTTATCATCCCTCTCTTTTTTACCACTCTCCCCACTGGGCACTGGAGGGCTCAGCTCTGGGTGAGGTCCTGGGGTGGGCTGTAAATGAAGCAGAGATGCTTGGGTGGGAGACCTCAACTCCAGCAGAAAAATTGGGCCTTATTAAGGGGCTGGGAAGTCCTTTGCCATTTTATCAGTAGATGATTTTTTAGTATCACACACTATACACTTCACTTTATCTTTTTAAAAGGTGGAGGGAGGCTCATAGAAATCCATAAACAAAACCATTAACAAATAGAAAAGAATAGGGTAAGCGGGGGTGGCATAGAGGGTCTAGACACCTGGTTCTGCACCACAGGGTCCTACAAATTGCTAGAAGCCAGCCACAATTTGGGCTCAGAGCTTCCTCGTGGCAAAAGCAAAATGGGAAATACAATTGTATGGTCATAAAACTCATTGTTTCCAAATGATTGAATGTAAATTTTAAAATTTTGAAAAAAAATGTTTTTATTTGAAAAGAAAAATGTAAACAAAATCTTATACGTTAAAATTCAGAAATCAAGAAATAAAGGCATCATCTTAAAAAGTCAGATATTACTTCTTTCCTAGATTTTGTTTTTTCATGTAATATAAATCTCTGAAGATCATCAGTTGAAACTCCAATGCTATTTTTAACCATAAGAAGTATAAAAAGAAAAAAAAAGGACAAAATAGTATTGCCAGCACCTTTTAAAAGCTGAACAGCTGGGAGATAGTATGTGTTCACTATGTTGAACCACATTTAAATGACTCTAAATGGTCTGCTTTATGTTTTTGGAGTCATTAGAATTTTTCCAAAGCAGCTAAATGAATTTTCTGACCACTTTGGGCCATTTAAAGTATTAATTGATGTCACGCATTCAGTATGAAAAAGTCACATTTTGCTATTTCCAAAAAAAAGTTTCAGATTTTTTTAAAGAATATTTCTTGCTGCTTCTGCTATCTGGGAAATTACCTGCAATAATTGCATATAGTTTTGAAATGATCCGAAGTCAGAATTCTCAGTCCCTTCCTTGAATCTATTTTAAATTAGTGAGCATTTTTTTCCTATGGAAGCAATTTATAGTAATGATATATATATATACATACATATATATATATACATATATATATATGTATGTATATATATATATATATATGGAACCAGTAAAATGAAGAGACAGCCACTCTAAGACAAGCAGAGCATGTACTCTGGTCTTGCATCCCCAGAGAAGGAAACATTTTAAACTACCGCATTTTGATTTGACTATATCCTGTTGCCTGTCTGGCTCTGGGTTCTTCCTAAGGAATCACATTAAAGAATTCAAAAGGTGGGCTCGGAAACTCGGAAAAGGGAAAATTAAATTCCTAGAGAGGGTCAAGAATATCTTATTCATAAAGAGCCTCTTCTGCAGGACCTTGGAAACATGTAATATAACCTTCAAAGTAAAAACGGTTGTTGCATTAGTTCTGCTTAGCTGACCATGAATACTAATTGCAGGAAGAATTAACTGTGCCCAATACCTGGGGGCAGAAGCACACAAAAGTGACCGGGGAAGGCAAACAATGAATAAAGTAAAAATGAGCATCCACACCCCTATTCAACTCAACAGGATCTGCAACAAAACCCTAAATTACAAAGAAATCAGTATCTGCCTCTCACCCCCAGAGATTAAAAGAAAGAAGAGAAGCAACTGCAGCAAGATTGGAGTTTTTCAGTAAAAATAATACATGCTTTTGCTCTCATTCCTCTTATTCACATTCTGGGTTTTTTTGTTTGTTTGTTTTGTGTGTGTGTGTGTGTGTGTTTTTTTTCCTCCTTATTCTCTATTCCAGCTGTTGCTGTTCCTCTACAGGTTCAGGAACGTTATTACTCTTGCTCAGGCCTCCCATTTTGCATGGTATCTCTGCATGAGAGATAACCTGGTTGGTGAAAGAGGGCTTTGGGGTAAAACAGGGCCTGGATGTGAATTTCATCTCTGCAGTTTACTGGCCATGTGACCTTAGGTAAGTTACTAAACCTCTCTGGCCCTCTGTTTCCTCAGCTGTAAAATAGGGACAATAGTGTCCAGGTCACAGAAGTCTGAAGGAAAAAATGAGAAAATATCTTTGAATTGCCTGGCACATAACAAATCCTGAACAAGCACTACTCTTTGACGTGGAAGCTGCTGGAAATTCCTTTAACACATTCATCATCCCCTGCCCCTTCCAGGGAAGACCTGCTTCCAGCACACTCCCAGCCAGAGCTGATTGCCCAAACAAGAACACCTGACCCAGACTCAACCAACCACATTCTCTCTTCCTATAATGCAGAATTGGGCCATATTCCAATGTGGAATCCCTCTGGGAGAGACAGTTGTGGGGCAGCCATGTGTTGCCTTGTGCTGTACCCTGAAGTGGGGAAGAAATGTGGTATGCTAGAATCAGCTCATAAGTACCAGCTCCCAAGGACTGATTTCTTAAATTAGCAGGAATTCTGCAAGCCAAATTGTGAACACAACCATTATTAAAAATTAAATTATATAAATTTAAATTATATTTAAAACAAAGGTAATAAGTACTGAAATGCACCACTTCCTAATTATTTTATTATAGTTTATTATAATCTATGCTCCTGAGATTCTTTACAGCCATATATCTGTAAGGTGGGAATACTATATAATCATAAGCTATTGCACATCTCTTCCCAACTCTGCCTCCACATTGGTAGCTTTGAATCAGCCATGGTGGAAGTATTTACACCATGGAAATTGGCAACCACTGCAAATCGGGGCATCTCTTTCATCAGAGAATTGAGTATTAGACATTTACTACAACACCAGTGGAGAAAATTTCCAGGGAGAGGGAAAAAATGAGGTAGTGGCTCTTTGGAGCACAGAGGCAGGAGAGATAGAGACAACACACCCAGCTTCCCTATACTAAGACCATTCCTTTCCAGAAGCCTAGCTGTACTTCTGCTCTTGGGTTCCAGCAAAAACCTCTGCATCCTTACAGTGAATTCCTTTGTTGGGCTTAAACTAGCTCAAGTTGGTTTCTGCACCCCAATCTCAACCAAATAACAAAACATAAAATCAATGAGAACACTGAGCTCTCTCTTTGGGGTCATTTTAATCTATTCTTAGCTAAACAAAATAATAAAGCTCTAATCACTGGTCAGCCATTGTTGAGATTTTTTCTTAATCTTTGAATAATACACCTTGTATCCTGGAGATATTCCTGCTATTTCTTCCTCATCACCAAGAACAATCGAGCACCAGGCTCATTGGCTGGATCCCACGGGCCCCTCTGATTTCTCAGCAGTACTTGGTATTGCTCAGACCAACATTTGTGTAACTACTCCAGGCTGTGCATTAATTACTGTGACACCACACCAATGATCCAATTAGGTCTTAAATGTTTACTTAAGAGAAAGCTCTGTTCATCAAAGGAAGACGGGGTGGCTGGTGGGAAACCAGAACACATTCGGCATGGTAGGTGAACCTCGAGCTTGCTTTTCACATATCAGGTGAGCTCCCAGTCAATTCAGTTTCCCAGGAAAATCAAAATGATTTTAATTTTCAATTATTTCCTTCAACAAAAGCTGAAATTCAAGCTGCTTTTTTCTCCTCTTCTCCTACCCCCCTGCTCCAACTTCCTCTATACTTTGCTAAGCTTATTTTCCTTCTGCTTATGGCTTCCCGTACAGTGCAGTCTGCAGCCTCTTCAAGTCTGTTGGTTTTCAGGATATTAAGATGGCAGATTCTCTCTAAATAGAAGAGAAATGGTAATCATGGAAACCCCATTCAGAGTGGTCCTCCCAATTGAGGGCAACAGGTGAGATGGCTTAGTGTCTGCACAGAAAGGTAAACTTGAAGACGAACAGTACAGGAAGTGCATGCAGTGACAAACATTTAACACCAGCTCTCACACATCCCACAAGCGCTGGTATCAGCTCCTGCTTCTGAGGCAGGCAGAGCTAAGATCAAGGTAATTGGGAAAATGTGTGTCTCAGATTCAAGTTCACTTTTCTTTCTTTTTTAATCTTTTTTTTTTTTTTGAGACAGAGTTTCATTCTTGTTGCCCAGGTTGGAGAGCAATGGTGTGGTCTCGGCTCACTGCAACCTCCGCCTTCCAGGTTCAAGCAATTCTCCTGCCTCAGCCTCCCAAGTAGCTGGGATTACAGGCACCTGCCACCACACCGGCTAATTTTTGTATTTTTAGTAGAGATGGGGTTTCACCATGTTTGCCAGGCTGATCTCAAACCCCTGACCTCAGGTGATCTGCCCGCCTCGGCCTCCCAAAGTGCTGGGAGTACAGGCGTGAGCCACTGCATCCAGCTCACCTTTCTATCTCATGAAAATCCTGAATATATTTATATTCCTGAATTAGAATTTGGAAAACAAGCTATTTAACCTGCTATCTGCTCTGAAAGCAGGTAAGCCAGCATGGAAATAGGACATAAATATTTGGGTTTATAGATGGCAATTTGTTTCTCAAGAGTCATTAGGGTGACCCAAAGACTTCTGTCCTAAAGCTCACCTTTTTCTGCTTAAGGCTTATTATTAATCAGGCTTGACTTAGCATATCCAGCTACAATTTAGCATAAAGCGTTTTTTTCTTTATGATAGGGGTCAGCAAACCATAGCCACCAGTCAAATCCAGTCCTCCACCTGTTTTTGTATGGCCTTCAAGCTCAGATAACTTTTTCCATTTTTAAAAGTTTCTTGTTTATCAAAAGAATATTTCAGGACGTGTGAAAAATACATGAAATTCAAAGTTTAGTGTCCATAAATAAAGTTTACTGAAACTCAGTCCCATGTCCATTCATTTATGTGTGTCTATGGCTGCATTCACATTTCAGCAGCAGAGTCAAGTAGCTGAGACAGAGACTGTGTGGCCTACACAACCTAAAATATCTACTATCTAGCTCTTAGCCTGAAAAGTTTGCCAATCCCTGCTTTAGGAAATAGAGATTGCTAAGTGTCTTAGGCTGTTTAGGTTACCATAACAAAATACCAGCTACTGGATAACTTCAACAACATACATTTATTTTCTCACAATTATGGAGATTAGAAGTCCAAGATCAGCCGGGCAGGGTAGCTCAAGCCTATAATCTCCCAGCACTTTGAGAGGCCGAGGCGGATGGATCGCTTGAGTCTAGAAGTTCGAGACCATCCTGGGCAACGTGGTGAAACCCATCTCTATGAAAAATATGAGAATTAGCTGGGCATGGTGGCGCATGCCTGTAGTCCCAACTACTTGGAAGGCTGAATTAGGAGAATTGTTTGACCCTGGGAGGTGGAGCTTGCAGTGATCTGAGATCATGCCATTGCACTCCAGCCTGGGCAACAGAGAGAGAGACTCTGTCTCAAAAATAAATAAATAAATAAAAGACATCCAAGATCGAGGTGCCTAGCAAGGACTCAACCCCTGGGTTGCAGGTGGCCAGCTTCTTGCCACCATGTGCGTGCGTGGCCTTTCCTCGGTACACAAGCAGAGAGAGCAAGCGCTTGGCTCTTTGTATAAGGACACTAATCCTATCAGTCTAGGACCCCACCCTTATGGCCTCATTTAGTCTTAATTACTACCTTAGAGACCTCATGTCCACATATAACCACACTGCAGGGCTGAGGCTTCAACGGGGGGGAATACAACATTCAGTTGTATGAATCAGCTGGGGAATACAACATTCAGTTCATAACACTGAGCAAACCAAATCTTTGTACAGCCTGAAAGCCAGTGACTCCTCTATCACATCACATGGTTTCTCAGCATTTCTTTCCTTTCTTAGGCTAACAATGTTTCTGGATAGAGGGGCAGAGTTAACTTTTTGTGGAGTAAATTTTAATCGTCACAAACTACTCTAGTAGATTACACATGTACAGTGCTGGGTAGGCAGTAGGTACTAAATAAGTACTCTTGTCTTTCCCTCAATCCCTGCCTTCCCTCACAAGGGATCACCTGCACTTGTTTGTTTGGTTGGTTGGGTTTTGTCCTGAACCAGCACTTTCTTGTCCTTAAGTCTGACCCACCCCAAGATCTGACTGCTCTCTGAAATCCCACGACTCCCCAGGGCCTTCTCATGAGCCTGGCAAATATCCCTTTAAAACATACCCATTTCTGTTTGAAACCTCAAATGTTGAAGTCAAGAGCAGTCTTTCTTACTAAAACCGGAATCACAGAAGATTTTTAAAGAACTATAATTCTATTGTGTTCAAATATGTATAGTGGCCGGGCACAGTGGCTCACACCTATAATCTCAACAATTTGGGAGACCAAGGTGGGAGGATTTCTAGAGGACAGGAGTTCAAGACCAGCCTGGGCAACATAGTAAGACCCCCATCGTACAAAAAAAATATTTTTTTTAACTGGCTAGACAAAGTGGTGTGCACCTGTAGTCCCAGATGCTCAAGAAGCTGAGGCTAGAGGATTGCTTGAGCCTGGGAGTCTGAGGCTGTAGTGAGCTATGATCACACCACAGCACTCCAACCTGGGTGACAGAGACAGATTCTATCTCTAACAATAGCAACAACAAAATGGTTACAAATTTATGAGTGAAATATGGAAAAAAATAAACCTGTGGAATTGGGTGAACTTCAAAATAGCTGGCTAACCCTGAGCCCAAATGTCTGCAATAGTAAGAGGCGGCCTTTGGTTCATATATTTATAATAAGACCTGAAAAAGCTTTTCTTAACTTGGGGCTTTCTGAAGACAATAAGAGGATTTGTTGAGAATGACAACATCCCCGCATCGGGAATGAGAAGTCCTGGGCAAGATTGCACGTGACAACTACAAATGACAGGCAGCACTCCTATTATTGATGTCTAAGTGCGCCTCACCGTGGAGCTGGAGAAGCCCTTTGGGCAGGCAGAACTCTACAAAATGAGCTCTTTTCTGATGCAGGTAAGTTGGCCCTTTGCTCATTGGTCCCTAGTGGGTCAAAACTGCATTGCGCGTTCCCCTCTGTGCTCATCCATTGACAGTCTCTACAAACATCTTCGGGGCCGAGGTCCCTTTTTCTAAGGGCAGAAAACTCTCATTATCTGTTGTGTGCCCTTGCAGAGATCCTTCAAGCACCAAATCATGATGCAAAATACAATATAAGTATTTATAGCACACTTTAAACTTTAAATGAGTACATTAGAAAAATATTATATGTAATGTAATAATATATACGACCCAGTGGGGTATTTTTACGAGTTTACCTTTTTGTATCTGGCTGCTTTGTCTATCTGCTGCTGCTTCTTGCTGTAGGACACGCCATACAACTCTACACTATGCTACTTGTGAGAGGCTTACTTCTTGCCTAGGTCCAGGCTGGAAATAGATCTCCCATTAAACAGATTCATATCCTTGCCATATTTCCTTCACAATGCTGCTAAGTCCCCTCTCTGGCCCCAGCTGCTCAGGATATCACACCCTTTTAGCCATTCATAGCCATTATCACATGAGCTACACTGCATTTGCATATCACTTCACATGTGGCAAGTACTACAGAAGCCATTTTACCTGCTCTCTAAGACACTTTCCTTTCTTAAGTCATGAGATGCCCTTTAGTCCTCTTGTTTGGATTCTTGTGGAATTGATAAGCATACACTTTCCTGGGTGTGTGGTAGCCAGCCTCCAAGGTGGTCCTCAGTGACTCCCACCTCCTGGTAGTCGTGTCTTCATGTAATCTTTTTCCACACTGAATGGAGCTGACCTGTGTAACTGATAGGATATTGCAAAAACAATAGTGTGTGACTTTCAAGTCTGGGCCAAAAAAGACATGGTGGCTTCCACCTTGCCCTTAATTGGCTCACTCACTTTGGGAGAGTTCGGGTGCCATGTTGTGAGGACACTAAGCAGCCCTATGGAGAAGTGCACCTGGGGAGGAACTGAGGTCTCCTGCCAACAGCCAGCAGTATCTTGCCCACCTCATGTGAGCCATTTTGGAAGTGGGGCCCCTGTAGAGCCTCCAGATGATGGCAGCCCCAGCAGACCTCTTTACTGCAACGCATGAGAGCCCCTGAGCCAGAACCACCCAGCCAAACAGCTCCCAAATTCCTGACCCACAGAAACTGTGAGACATAAAGAACGTTCATTATTGTTTTAAGCCTATATGTATAGTTATGCAGCAACAGATAACCAGTACATTGGGAGAGTATTTAGTCTGCAGTTTTTATGGTCAAACTGAGGTAAATAACAAAATCGTAGGGAAACTTGTGATTTAAGAAAGGTAAGTCATGCTTAGCAAGGCCTGTTCTGTAAATACTCATCAAAATCAGTGAGAGTGCCCAGGGAATGGACACTAGTGTCTGCATGTGTTTCCCAGTCTGTCAGGCAGGAGACTCAGTACTGACTCACCTTCTACCTATTAACCTTTGGTTCCAGGCCTGGAGACCCCAGGCCCTGGACTGAGACCACACTGTGGCTGGACTCACCAATGTCCAGGACGATAGCCCAGAGGCTCCTCGTCACCAGGGGAGAAATGTGTGGGAGATCCAGATGAGCACAAAAACAGAAAACCACTCCAAATATGTGCCCTGACAACCCACTTTAGGATGGCTTTGATATGGAAAACAAGAATCTTTCAAGGGACACTCTTCAATAAGTTTTCTCTGTGTCATCATCTGTAAAAGGGAGATCATAATATTTAGCTTATGGACTGTGAGTCATACCCAATGATAAAATGAAATCTTAAATGAGCATAGAGCTTTCCCATATGGAATCCAACCAGGACCAGCATCCTGCTTTCTAGTCTCTGTCCATTCTGAGCACCAAAAATGTGACTGCAGTGGTGAGGGAAGAGCCAGTGTGAAACATTCCCATTATAGCTGCACTGGAGAGAGTCCTTAACTCCAGGATTTATGAAGACAGTGAACTTGCTTGGTTGAGAATTCCTGAATCCTCCTGGTGGGGTAAGAATCTTAGGTAGTGTGCTACACAGTGGATTTACAAGAATTAATATTCCCCAGACAAATGCCCTACAATGAGGTTCCAAGATTACTTTCTAGCTCATTCTGCCCCCCCGAACACTTGGAAACCCTAAGTTAGGTGTGGCTTGTAGAAGGTTCTCTGCTGGGGTCCCTTCTGATTTATTTTCTTCTAGATGCTCGGCAGCCATAAGATCACTTGCCTGCCCCTTCCTTTTAGCACATATTTGTAGATTGAATGTGACTGTAGTCAGCACTCATTCTCCTAGAGCCATGCTAGGAAGCACCCCTACCTCCACTGTCCACTTTCCCTTCTTAAACTAAATCGTGGCTACACTGACAGAGCAGTCCCACGGCTTGGCAGCCCCAAGTGCGTCGTGCAGGGATGTGATCATCAAGCTGCTGGAGAAGCCAATGAATTATTATCCTTGGCATCTGAAGAGTGGCATAAAAGTTGTTTCTGATGCTCACATCCATTTCTTGAGACAATGATATTTTGTTGGCAGTTTTAGGGTCATGCTAAAATAAAAACAGAATCCAAATGAGGAGACCCAGCCATGCCACTGTTAAGAAGAATGAAACTGGAAATTGGAAGCACCAACTACTGTATGATGGGGGACGGTGGCGACTTTTCTTCCAAGATCAGGACTATGCCCTTGGTCCTAGGTCTCAAGAACGAGGTGCCTTTTCCCTAACTCCTGCCCTTCCCCACTTAACCCATAGACCTTTTCCTCACTTCTCCCTTTCCCTAAATCATTACCCTCCAGCTCCACAGGAGAAAGCTCACCGTCGTTTCTGAATGCAAACTCACCAACCAACTTGATGTTTAAATTCAATAGTATTGTTGAATTAGCATTAATTGGTGCTAACTTTTTGGAGGGAAATTTGATAACATCAAACAAAATTTGAAATAAACAAACCTTTCAATTCAGGAATTACACTTCTAGAAATTTATCTCACAAAAAACTTACAAGAGTATACAAAAAAGTTCATTGAAGCATTTGTTGTTATAGCAAAAAAAAAAGAAAAAAGAAATTGTCAACAACCTCAAATATCTATCAATAAAAAAGTAGGTAAAGTACAATGAATTTCCATAGAATCACTATGGAATGTATATGTAGCACACTCACAGCTTAAAATAAGTAAATACATTTTAAAATAGCATCTGTAAACACATCTATGATATGGATGCATGTGCCCACCTGTAATGCACAGAAAAAAATCTCTAAGGTAGAGACCACATTATTCCACTGGTTATCACTGAGGAGTAAGAAAGCTAGGAGTAGGTAAGAGAGCTCATTTTTTACATCACTTCCTGCTGTATTGGTTTATTTTTTACAGTGAGCACACATTCTTTTGGTAACAGGAAATTATCACGAATGTTTCAAAATACAGTTGTGCTGGCTAAGTGTTGCTGTTGCCCGAGCCACAGGATCTGAGGAACAGAACCCAGGGCAGGAAGGAGGTGCCAGGGCAGGAAGGAGGTACAGGCCAGTGCAAGCTCCTCAGACTCCCGGGGTGTAAATGGGGATCATTGTGGTATCCACATCCTAGGGTTTCTGTGCAGATAAAATGAAGTCATGCCTACGAAGCCCCCAGAACAGTGCCTGGCACGCAGTAAGCACATAATGTAATAAGTAGTAGCTGTTATAGCTGGGGCTGTTGGTGGTAACACTGCTGCCCAGAGACAGCCACAGCAGTCATGAGCCTGCATTACAGCAGTCTGTTGTCAAGTCTGGGTCCTGTACTAAACATAAGAAGATCAAAGGTGAAACAAAGTTCATCTCAACATCCCCAGTGCCTGGGACACTGAAGGATACACTAACATTTGATGAACAAATGTATGGACTGTCAGGAAATATGTGTCGATGGTAACTGAACTGGAATAAATTGGTCTCCACCAATAAGCAAACAGGCAGTTCCTATGACGTACCTGTACCCAAGCAGAAAAGCAGAGAGCACAGCCCCACCCTCCAGGTGCAGAGATCAACACATCTGAAAAAAAGCTAATGAGGAGTAAGTGACATACAGAATTACTTAACCACTTCCTCCTCATGGCCCCTTAGCATCTTATATACACCACTATCACAGTTCTTATGGTTCCCAGGAGCTTCTATTTCTTGAGATAGAAACGTTAGACCCTTAGTGAGCACTAGCTATGAAACAGGCCCTGTGCCAAACTGTTCATACACATTAGTTCATTTAATCCTCATAGCAAACCTACCATCATTGTCCCTGCTTTGCAGCTGAAGAAACTGGAACACAGAAAGGTTCAGTAATTTGCCTAAGATCACACAGTAAATGACAGGGCCAGGATTTGAACTTGGAAGAGCATGGTTTCAGAGTCCAGGACCTCCAATATTACATATTATTGTAGCCATTTAGATAGCAAGTGCCTTGGGGGCTGGGTCATGTCTTAGCGACCTTTGTATCATCAGAACCTGGATCAGAACTTGGCATGTAGTAGGTTCTGAATAAATATTTGTTGATTAAACAGGCTCAGGCTATGCTCACCTTTGGCTTAAAATGGAGTCAGTTTTCCCCACTGCCCTGTCCATCTACTGCCCAGAGCACCAGCCTTGGGTTCATGTGAGCAAGCCAGCCTCCCAGGCCCCAAAGCTGCCCTGGTACCCTCCGATATCTCAGCAAGTTTCTCCAAAAACAATTCAGCTCAATAGCCAGCCAGCCCACATTGGTGAGAGATTCTAGGCATAGCTGTCACTGATGAAAAGATTATATTTATGTCTTGAACAAAATCCATTCATTCATTTAAGTACCCAGAGTCCCCCAGAGAGTGTCATGAATCCACCCAACATGCCCTGGCTCTCGACTTTGTGTCTGCATCTTTGATTTAACTGATGGATGTGTAAAATCACAGGTGATACACACAGCCAGACAAATCCCAGGTGGCCCATCCAAAGGACCAAGAGCAAAAGTTATTCCAGTTGAGATCAGTGGAACTTGGATTCACAAAATCCCCCTGGAGATCCTCTCTCTGGCCTTTGATGATGATGATGATGATGATGATGATGATGATGACGCAGAAACATGGGGGCTTCCAAGGCTGTACCTCCTAGGCATCCTGGGGAAAGGAGCCCATCAGAACATCTTCTAGGCAGCTTAGCCCCTGCGCCCGAGGCCAGCACAGTTCCCACATTACACATGTAGTCTTCCCTCCATACTCTGGGACTGCTGCTCACTCACTTAGAAGGTTCTTTCTTCTCTCCTCTCTCTTTCCTGTGGTTGTTTTTATGGTAGCACCTTTCCTAGACATCTATTCACACCAGAAGTCTAAGGTCACCTCCCTTGAGAGGCCTTCCTTGATTTCCAGGAACCTTACTATAGTTACTTCTCAGAGCACTGAATCTGTACCTCTATTATAGTATTGATCAGTCTGTTCTGTAATTATTTACTTCCCTGCCTCTTCTCTCAGCTGTGAGTCCAGCACCAGATCCCTGGAGCCCAGCATTGAGCCTGGTACATGAGGGGCATTCAACAAATATGTGCTGAGTGAATTAACATCCACAGCCTCCCTGAACTTCATTTACAGGGAGCTCCTTTATAAGCACTTGCCACTCTCTTAAATAGCAGATGCTTATGTGTGTTGCCTCTCGGACCAGACCACAAGTTCCCTTGAGAAAAGATTATGTCTTATTAAATTAAATCTGCTGCCCCTAGTACTATGTGGCACATAGTATGTGCTCAATAAATAGGTAACTATCCAATTTATAGTCTTGAGAGTCCTTTTTTTTTTTTTAATGGAGTTTTGCTCTTCTCTTCCAGGCTGGGATCTCAGCTCACTGCAATCTCCGCCTCAAGGGTTCAAGCGATTCTCCTGCCTCAGCCTCCCAAGTAACTGGGATTGCAAGTGCCTGCCACCATGCCCAGCTAATTTTTTGTATATTTAGTAGAGACAGGGTTTCGCCATGTTGGGCAGGCTGGTCTCGAACTCCTGACCTCAGGTGATCCACCCATCTCAGCCTCCCAAGGGAGTCTTGAGAGTCTTTAAATCAAGATTTCAAATTATTTTAGCAAATAAGCTGAATTTATTATTTAAGCACGTTTTAGGTGGTAAGTTTGCCCCTTAAAGTGTCATTGGAGTCACAGGAGGACGGATGTTATTTCTGAGAAGCAAGAGAGTCCACACCACTCAGATGATCACTCAAGTCAGTGGTGGGGCCTGGCCATAAAAAAAGAAACAAACCGATTTTCCAAGGTTATGTTCTAACCATAAGATTATGCTGCCTCTTGAGAAAACATCAATCCTGGGTAGATGTTTAATTAATATCCTTTCTGTTAACTCCCTTTGTTTCTGCTCAAGCTGCACATCCCTGAGGATGGTAAAGTGTTTACTCTAAATTAAAATGAATGGAAATATATCTCCTTTGGAAAATTGGACCATGTTAATGGCAATTGGAATGGAGTGCACCAACAGATAAAATTCCACCACAGGGAACACCCAAAGACTCCAGACTGTTAGAATATAATATTTTCTCAGAAATAACTTCCAGGTCTTCAGAATCTGGAGGAAGAAAATGCCAGCTTTTAGTTTCTGTGTGGCAAACTAGTAAGGAAAGAGGAGGGTGGCATGCCCACATCATCCTGAACTCCTGCATCATATTGTAGATCAAGCACTGTGCAGAGACTGGGGGCAGAGGGTGGATGGGCTGCTGAGGCTGCCCCCGAAGGGTCTTACCAGTTAAAGAAGGAAGTGGGAAAATCAACGGGCAATTATGCCCACTGGTGTGCTGGTAAACTGCCTCTCTGGGAAAAACCAAATCAACAAACAAAAACACCCTGATTTGTAGCATTTGCAGATTTCGGTGGTGTAAATACTTCCACCGTTCTGATTTTAAGCTATCAAGGTGAAATCACTGAACTTGGAGCTGGAAAGAGATGCCCAGTATTGGCTCTCACATACCATTATAAACCAGTCTGAGCTGATATCAGCTGGTATGAGTTTGGGGCAGGGATCTGTAGATGCCTCCAGAAGAAAGTAGCCCCCTAAGCTGAGTCCTGAAGGTCAAACAGAAGATAGCCAAGAAGATAAAAGGAAAGGAGGTGAGGGAGGACATTTCAGAAAAAGGACACAGCACATGCAAAGAACCACGTGCAAATGTCGTGGAGAGCAGGGATGGCTTATAACACCGTGAATTGTAAATAAAGCCAGGATATGGGAGGAAAAGTGGGAAAGAAACCCTGAGCTGGGTCTGGGCCACATTATGAGAAGTGTTGCTGATTCTCTGGATGATAAAGAGTCACTAAAGATTTTAAGCAAAGGAAGGACCTTACTTTGGAAGGATCCCTCTGGCTCTTGAGTGGATGGGCAAGATTAGAGATAGGGGTATTGAGAGGGTTCATATTGGTATGGTGGTGCTATGACTAGAGCAATAGCAGTGACCATGGATAATGGCAGATCCTTTTGAGAGTTAACTAGGGGGAAAGTATTAACCAGAATGAGTGAATAAGTTCATGGGCAGGGGGAGAAGTGAGAGAGAAGGAGAGGACAAGAACTTGCCCGGGCTTTAGCTAGAGAAACCAGGATGATGGCAATGCTAATCAACAAACAAAAGAGAGAAGACAAGAGGAAAAGCAGCTTACAAGGTGAAGATGAGTTCTGCTCATCTTGGGACATATCAGGATTTTGGTGCTACCCAGACATCCAAGTGGAAATGTCCAGCAAGCATCCAGTTCTACAGATAGAGAATGCAAGAGAGATGCGTGAGCTGGAGAAAACAAAGGAAAGTTAAGTCATAGAAGAAAACCAAAGTGCCCAGGGCAAGTATGGAAGTGAGAAGAAAAGAGCCAAAGATAACCCTCTGCAGAGCAGCAACCCCCAAGGGATGGGAAGAAAACGTAGGTCAGTAAGGATGCTTTTGGTTGCAAGTAACACAACAGTTACTTGTTACCAAACAATAAAATAAATTTATGAAATTGGAAAGTCTGGAGATCTGGAGATAATCTCTTACTGGGCCAAGAATTGATCAAGGATGTAGCCACATCTGCAGGAACCCATTTTCTTTCCATTTCTCTGCTTAGCTTTCCTGAGTGTAGTCTTCATCTTTTTCTCTTTTACTTTGAGACGAAGTCTCACTATGTTGCCCAGGCTGGTCTCAAACAAGTGGCCTCAAGCAATCCTCCCACCTCAGCCTCTCAAGTGTCTGGGATTACAAGCACACACCACCCTGCCCATGTAGTCTTCATCTTAAACATGGATCCCAGAGCTACACCCTTCCTCAAAAAAAGGAGAATCTCTGGCCCAGCACAAGTCCAGTGCTTCCTTTCATTTGAACTGGCTCAATGGATGCCCACCTATGAAGCAGCTACCCTGGCCAGGGTCATGAAATGTGCTGATTGGCCAAACCCAGGCCCCAGGCTTCACCCTCAGAACATGGGGTGGTATCAGCTTCTCCTGAACCACAAGAATCCTTCCAGGAAATTAAAGCTGATGAGAGGAGAAAGGATAATTAATGTTTAGGAGACCACCAACAAACACCAATTGACAATGGACACTCTTCCTGAGAGAAGGAGGCTGAGATGGACGACCAAAGAGCTAGGAAGAAAACCAGCAGAGAACAATGGTTCAGAAACAAGGGAGGAGCAAGATGGCTGATTAGAGATGCCTGGTGCTTGTCCCACCCCTGAAACCCCCACAAGAAAAAACCAAGGCAATGAATAAAAGCTAAGATTTGACTAGAGTGCCAAAGGGAGAGTGCTGAAGTGCAGCGGGGAAGTAAAGAGATGCTGTGGTGATTGAAACCCAGGAGGGCAGCATGGAGGCACCTGGCCTCTGCACTCCATCTTCACTGCACCTCCCACCCCCAAGAGGGCAGCATGAAATAACCTAGCCTATGCAGCCCCATCTTCCCAACAGCACCTGGATCAGATTAGCCCGGAGACAGGAGGGACTTCCTTTGCAGGGAAAAGGTAAGTAGAAGAACCCCACCAGCCCCCATTGCCACCACAAATACCTGCAGTCCTTACTATAGGAGAATCCCACAGTCCTTGCAAGCCCTAAGTACAGTTTGGAGCATTGCCAAGAATTAATGCAGCTGCATTACTCCAGATTGGAGGACAAAGTGTGCACTCCCCACCTCCCACTCACCCACTGTGAGCCAAGCTGCTGCAGTACAGCACTCTCTTAAGTCCAGAGCCACTCTGAAGTGTGCCCTCCCCTGGGGATAAGTAGCCACTGCACCTATTCAGCATTGGGGCTCCATCTTCATTCACAGAAGCCCACACAAGTGGCTGAATGCCACTACCTCAACTGCGTGGAACCTGAGCCCAGGATCGGCTATGACTCTGGTCTTGTTCAGTGGGGAAACCAACCCCCCACTGCCTGTACTTACAGCTGGAGGAACAGTCTGGCAGTCCTGGCCAGGGTGAACCCATCCTTGAGCCAGCCAAACCCTCCCCTGAGAGGGAGAGGTCCTTGAGCCACCAAGAAGCTAACATGCCACCAGGCTGGAAAAGCAGCTACACACCCATGCTCAGGGCCTAAGAAACAGCCCCATAGGCCACCCCCCAGCAAACACACCCCAGGCTGGCCTAGCAACTACACACCCGCCCATGTCCCCAGCCAGAGTAACAGTTCCATGTCCTCAGTCTCAGCAAGCCAGACCCCTAATTGGCCTACCTACTGTGTGCATGTACATGCCCCCAATCTGAGCAACAGCCTGGTGAGTCCACCCTCAGAAAAGCAGCACCATGATCACCACAAACTCTCTTAGCCTAGGCCCCTGAGATACTCACAAATGCCACTAGCATGGATCACAGCTTAAGAAACCGTATGGAGACTACACTACTGCATCCACGTAGAACCAAGGCCTGTGAATAACCAACACACCCCACCATACTGACATCCCAAGGCCTATGAATAAGTCTTTCCCTGCCCTATAAAATTAGAGGAGGTGACTGTCCCACCAGATATGTAGAAATCAATGTGGGAACACATCAAACAGGAAAAAGCAAGAAAATATGACACCTCCAAAAGAACACAATAATTCTCCAGTAACAGACTCCAATCATGAGGAAATATACAAATGCCAGAAAAGGAACTCAAAATAATAATCTTAAGGAAACTCAGTGAGATACAAGAGAATACAGATAGGCAATTCAACAAAATCAGGAAAACAATTCATGATTTGAATGAGAAATTCAACAAAGAGATAGATGTCATTAAAAAAAAACCCAAAATCCTAGAGCTGAAGAATTTAATAAACAAAATGAAAAACACAACTGAGGGCTCCAACAACAGACTAGATCAAGCAAAAGAAACAATTTCTGAACTTGGGCCGGGCGTGGTGGCTCACGCCCATAATCCCAGCACTTGGGAGGCCAAGGAGGGCAGATCATGAGGTCAGGAGACCAAGACCATCCTGGCTAACAGGGTGAAACCCTGTATCTACTAAAAAATACAAAAAATTAGCCAGGTGTGGTGGCGGGCCCTTGTAGTCCCAACTACTTGGGAGGCTGAGGCAGGAGAATGGTGTGAACCTGGGAGGTGCAGCTTGCAGCGAGCTGAGATCACGCCACTGCACTCCAGCTTGGGCGACAGAGCAAGACTCTGTCTCAGAAAAAAAAAAAAAAAAAAAGAATTTCTGAACTTGAAGACAGGTCTTTTGAAACAACACTGGCAGACATTTAGCAGGGACACTTAACACAGACCTGAGGGCTCAGGAGAAGTTTGCCAGAGAAAGTAACATGTAACCTGACATTTGAAGGACAATCAGGAGTTGGGCAAGTGGAAGGCACATAGATGAGTGGGATGCAAGTCATGGTACGGGCAGCGGAAAGAATGTGTGCAAAACTCTGAGATGAGAGGAGCTTTGTATCCTCAAGGAGCTGCGTGAAGCTAGGTATGGCTGGGGCACATTGCTCTTATCCAATACCCTAGATGAAATGGGTCAGAGCCCTTGGCACACCTCCAGAGGCCTCACCCACCCAGTCCATGAATCATCTCTCCTCCAATATGATCATAAATCAACTTGTGGTGTCTCCATCTTGTTCCAGGGATTCCAAGGGAGGCCTGGTCTAACACCTTACTGAAGTGAGGTAAGTGAGGTATGCAATACTAAAGTCCTTCGTTTGACTGCAGCCTCCCAAAGGACATAGGGTGTTACCTGTTTTGTTTACTGCCATATCTCTGGCACCTAGTACAGTGCCTGGCAGTAGTAGGCACTCAATAAATAATTGTCGAAAAAATTTAAAAAGCAAGCAAGGAAAGAAGGATACAATTAACCTCACTGCCTGATTCACCTCTGTAGCCACCCTATCAAAAACAACAACAAATGCAGTAGCCTGTGCACATGTCTGTGCCTGGTGGTCACATGACTACTAAAAGCTCACAAGTTATCCTTGAAACCATTTATTGAGAATGAATATCAAATCTTTAGATGTCTCCTTCATTTTGTTGAAATTATGGGCTTCATTTCCCTGTCTCCACTCATTCTGACACCTCAGAGAAGGCAGATTAGTGGGGAGTATGGGAGGTCAGAGATCTCATCTCTAAATTCTATCTGATTCCTACTCTTTCCACATGCTTTTTTTCTACCTTATAGGTATATTGTATCTTGAAATGGAGATGATCAGGATTTTCCCCCTTCATTTTATTTTATTTTATTATTTATTTATTTATTTATTTATTTTTGAGACGGAGTCTTGCTCTGTCACCCAAGCTGGAGTGCAGTGGTGCGATCTCGGCTCACTGCAAGCTCCACCTCCCAGGTTCACACCGTTCTCCTGCCTCAGCCTCCCGAGTAGCTGGGACTACAGGCGCCTGCCACCACACCCAGCTAATTTTGTTTTTGTATTTTTAGTAGAGACGGGTTTCACCCTGTTAGCCAGGATGGTCTTGATCTCCTGACCTCGTGATCTGCCCACCTCGGCCTCCCAAAATCTACCTCCTATTTTAATGAGGCAATAGTTTAATTAAAAGTAGAATAACATTTATGTACATAATCATCACACCTCAACAAGAGGCAACTAAGAGCCTCTTATGAATGCACATCTTGCCACCTTGGCATGGGTTTTATGAAACATACCTGAAGGGCCAGTGTGGGGCTCACACCTGGAATCCTAGCACTTTGGGAGGGAGGGAAGGAGAAGAAAAGAAAGAAAAAAAGAGAAAGAAAGAAAGAAAGAAAAAGAAAGAAGGAAGGAAGGAAGGAAGGAAGGAAAGAAAGAAAGAAAGAAAGAAAGAAAGAAAGAAAGAAAGAAAGAAAGAAAGAAGGAAAGGAAAGAAAGAAAGAAAAGAAAAGAAAGGGAGGGAGAGAAAGGAGGGGAGGGGAGGGGAGGGGAGGGAAGGGAAGGGAAGGGAAGGGAAGGGAAGGGAAGGGAAGGGAAGGGAAGGGAAGGGAAGGGAAGGGAAGGGAGCTGAAGATCCACTAATTTTCTGTTTGGGTGATAGTGACAGGCTATTATCAATGAAAACCTTTATTGAATTAAAGTATGTGCATGAGGCTTAAAAGAGGCCCTTTAAGTGTCAGGTTCTCCAATATCATATCCTTTGCAGGGACATGGATAGAGCTGGAGGCCATCAATCTTAACAAACTAACACAGGAACAGAAAACCAAATACCGTATGTTCTCACTTATAAGTGGGAGCTAAATAATGAGAACACATGGACACATAGAGGGGAACAACAGACACTGGGCCTATCCAAGGGTGGAGGGTGGGAGGAAGGAGATGATTCGAAAAAATAACTAATGGGTACTAGACTTAATACCTGGGTAATGAAATAATCTGTACAACAAACCCCCATGACACAAGTTTACCTATGTAACTAACCTGCACTTGTACCCCTGAACTTAAATTTAAACACACACACACACACATATATATGTATGTATGTATATGTATATGTTTAAGTTCAGCAGTACAAGTATATATATATAGACAGAGAGAGACAGTATATATACATATATACATAGAGAGAGAGAGTCTAGAGAGAGAGAGAAAAAAATGAAGAAAATTTAACAAATTTAACAAATTCAAAAAAAGTGTTATGTTCTCATATTTGGAACAAAATAGATCACAATCCTATGTATAGTGATAATAATTTATGTGCTCATAAACGTTTAGTGCTTTTCAGGCTCTTCAAACTGTCTTGCTTGACCCCTAGAACCACACAGCCAGGTATGTAAGGGGAGTCATCACCCTTCATTTGCCAATGAGGAAAACAGAGGCTCTGGGAGGTAAGAAACATGTCCAAGGTTAACAGGGGACCAAGTCTTAGTTCTTAATCCAGTGCCCTTACTACCACTTCACACCATAAGATGATACATTCTATGGTTTTCTGGAATTATTGTTTGCCAAAAGTTAGTATCACTTAGGTACAGAGTGACATTCTTAGTGAAGAAACCATAAGATATACGTGTAAGATATTTATTACAAGACTTTAAGAGTCGGAGAATCTAGAAGGACCACAGGTCAGAGAAAGGGCTCTTGAGTAAGACTATCTGGGTTCAAATTCAGGCTCTGTCACTAATTACCTGTGTGAATCATGGACCAGTTACTTAATGTCCCTGTCCCCGGTGAACATCTGGGGTTGTCCCCAGCTACCATTCCCTGGGCTTCCATTTGGGATCCTCAAGGATTGAAGAACACTGTATTAGTACATTCTCACACTGCTTAAATAAACTACCCAAGACTTGGTAATTTATAAAGAAAGGAGATGTAATTGACTCACAGTTCCACATGGCTGGGGAGGCCTCAGGAAACTTACAATCATGGAGGAAGGCAAAGGGGAAGCAAGGCGTGTCTTACATTGCAGCAGGAAAGAGCGAGAGACGGGACGTGCCACACTTTTAAGACCACCAGATCTTTTGAGAACAGCATGGGGGAAACCATCAACATGATCCAATCACCAACCATCAGGTCTCTCCCTCAACACGTGGGGTTTGCAATTTGAGATGAGATTTAGGTGGGAACACAGAGTCAAACCATATCAAATAATGACTCTAACGATCAGCTCCAGGGGTAGCACAAGTGATCTAAATTAAGTCAATCAACTCATTCCATCACCCAGACCATGTCACTGATTCCACCATAACCATGTGACCTAAGCTAATCCAATCACAAGGACTCAAAGAAATGTTGGGACAAAAACATCTCACTGGATGTAAGCAAGGAAGCATGGTGTCCTGGGCGCTTCTGGCAGCCATCTTGGAACCATGAAAGGATGAAGTGGCACTTCTAGAAAGCAGAGACACAAAAAGAAACTGGGTCTGTGATATCACTGTTGACTTTCTGACTCAAGCCTACCATTCACTTTGGATCTTTGAGTTACTTGAAACAATACATTCTTGTTTAAGCCAATTGGAGTTGTTTCCTGTTATCTACAACCAAAAACATTCTGATTCTCACAGACTCCTCAACTGTAGAATAGGAATAAATAGCAATAGTCACCTTTATTAGTTTACTGTAAGACTCAAATAACACATGTGAATACTTGGCACAGTGCTGTATATGACATGGACACTTGGAAACATGTCATCTTTTTTCTCATTATAATATCTGGTTCTTTATGCCAAAAAGGCCAAGTCTTTCAAAGATAAATATCACATTTAGCCTGGGGGTCCCAGATAAACTGCATTTGCCCACACTTTTATGCATGGGCTCATTGAGGATGTGCTATTTTTAAATTGTGTTATATTGGAAACTGCTGTAGCGGGAGGGCAGAGCTATTTTGTCATAATCATATTGCTCATCATTTCCAGGGGTTTGGTGATTTTACTACCTTTTTCCCAGTATCACCTGGGTTGGTGTCCTTAACCTATTATGTAATGATGTTTCAGGGTCTGGGAGATGAATTACTCTCTACGTAAAATATGGCAGCAGATCTATACCCCTAAGCTCTGATAATTACTTTTTAATGCAACTACAATTCTTTTGAAGAGATCTTTTCGTGCTCTAAAATCTTCTTAAAAGCATCCCTTAGGCTGAAATTAAGTTGGAAGGAATGTCATGGAGGTCTGTGGCAAGGGGTGAGATGGGTTCAGGTTACCAACCCGCCTGACATGATTCATGAGCCTTGAGCAATGAGAAGCCCAGCCTCCCTCTCACCTCTGTGGCCATGCCTGTTCCTGCACACAGCTGCCAAGGCAAAGAGCGAGAATGCACTTCATCACCGAACATGACACCCACACAATGGTGACAAATGAGTCTTCGAGGAGGGGGAGAGTGAGCAGGGTGGGGGCTCACAAGGGGCTGGGACTGAGCTGGATGGGGGGCACCTACCAAGGCTACCCTTTGCACTGCATCAAAGAGTTTTTCTCTATCAAAATAATTGTGGATTTCTGATATGGTTTGGCTGTGTCCCCACCCAAATGTCATCTTGAATTGTAACGCCCACAATTCCCACATCCCAGTGGGAGGTAATTATATTATGGGGGTGGGTGTTTCCCATCCTGTTATAGTGATAGTGAATAAGTCTTACGAGATCTGATGGTTTTAAAAATGGAAGTTTCCCACACAAGCTCTCTGTCTGCCTCCATCTATGTAAGACGTGACTTTCTCCTCCTTGCCTTCTGCCATGATTGTGAGGCCTCCCCAGCCATGTGGAACTGTAAGTCCATTAAACCTCCTTATTTTGTAAATTGCCCAGTCTCAGGTATGTCTTTATCACAGCGTGAAAATGGACTAATACTTCTTTTCTATAATATTAACAAATATTTCAGTTAAGGCATTTAGAATTCCTAAAGGACCACAGCCAATGGGTTCCTTAGGAAGAAATGTCAGAGTCCTTCTGGAAACCCTTTGGCTACTGGACTTGGCTGTGGATTGCCAGCGTCTTCCACTATTTCCTCACTGTGTGTGCAAAAATGTCTTCCATTTCATTTTGGTATTCTCAAAATTAAGATTGTTTGGTCTCTGCAAAAACAAACAGGCCATCTTGTCTACAGGGAGCTCTACATACAGGTGCCATAGCTAAAACATCATCTGTCGTAATTAGCCTCTATGCAACTAATGCATGAAGTGCTTAATTAGCTACACAGAGGAAAGCAAATGGGAACCCGCATAACATAAAGATACCCAAAGGGGATGGGATACCACAAAATGCTAAGGTCTCTGAATTCCAAAGAAATTCAAAATCCCCAAATGCCCAGCAGATCTATGAAAACATTTCCTTTCCCTCTGCCTGAAGCTACCCTTAGAAAAACTTTAAGGAGTTTAAAAACTAAGACAAACTAGAGTTCTTTACTTTGATCATCAGACACACAGAGGATGGGCAGCCCCTAACAGCTCTCTGTCAAGGTGCTCTCTAATGGTCAGGTGAGGGAGCCTAACAGGTGCATGGGCCAAGGGGGTATAGTCCCTTCTCATGGTGTGAGGTCTCCGTAGTCACAGACAGATTCCCAGGGGAACTGTAGGGACAAAAAGAAGACAGAGTTGGCACAAATGACTTTATAAAAACAGCAAACACGATTTGATAGCACTGCTTTCATATGAAAAGAATGAGAAATGGATTTTCAACATAACTCAGAAAAAACATCCTGTAAGAGCATATGCTCACGTGATTTGGGCATGTTGCTCTCTGATGACCTGTAAAACATGATAGAAAAAGTAGAATTTAGAATTCCCGGAGGATTAGATGGGCTGTGTGTCCATTACATTGTATTCTAAAATTGACACTTTGTCCTTTTTTGGTACGGAGAGATTCTTGTCATCAAGGGGTACCTGGTGTGCTGATGTGTTCTATCGGCAGCTGAAGATAGACCAATAAGTTTTAAATTCCAAAGGAATGAGTGGCAGGGTATTGTTCCAACCAATGTTTCACTCAAACCAAAGACCAAGGCTCTCAAAACCATGCATTTGAGGAATGAGGGCAGGAAACAGAGAGTTATACCTAGAGAAGAGATTTCATGGGGACATAATAGCCACCTGTCTTAGTCTAGTCAGGCTGCTATAACAAAAATACCATAAACTTGGTGGTTTATAAATAACACACATTTATTTCTCACAGTTCTGGAAGATGGGAAATCTAAGATTAAGGAGCTAGGAGATTCTGTGTTATATGAGGGCCTGTTTCTTACGGATGGCGCCTTCTCACTGTGTCCTTACATGGTAGAACTGGGTAAAGAAGCTCCCCTAGGTCTCGTTTATAAGGGCATTAAGCCCATGCATGACCTACTCACCTCCCAAAGGCCCCTCTTCTTAATACAAGCACAATGGGTATTAGGCTTCAGCATATAAATTTTAGGGGGGACACAAACATTCACACCATAGCACCACCTTCAATATTTGAGAAACCATCTTACAGAGAAGAGATTTTACTGATTCTTGTGTCATATCAGAGGACAAAACAAGGACCAATGACTTTGAGGTAGAAATAGACAAATTGCAGCTCCATAAATGAAGAACTTTCTAATACTTCAGGCTACCAAACTAAGGAATGAGCATCCAGGAAAACTGAGATAGCCATCTCTCAAGCAGAGGCTGGAAGTAGGTGACAATGGGATGAACACAGTGACCTGTCCTCAAGTGTTTACTTTTTTCCAAGCTCTTTGGTACCGGCTTGACAGGTGTAGACTCATTTCATCTTCTAAGTATGTACTGATATCATCACCGATTTCAGAAGAGGAAAACCAAGGCTAATGACTAATAACTGACAAAGCTAAGACTCAACCCTGCTAGTTCAACTCTGCAACTCACAAGTTTAAGAACTAGATAACCCATCCACTTCTGTCACTGAAGGGATTCCTACAGACTCAATTATCCCTGCTAAATTCCTTTGAACTCCCAAAGTGAATATATAGTCATGATTTGCTTAACCATGGAGATACATTCTGAGAAATGTGTCACTGTGCAAACATCACAGAGTGAACTTACACAAACCTAGATGTGCTACTACACACCTAGGCTATATGGGATAGACTAGTGCTTAGTGCTCCTACACTACAAACCTGTACAGCATGTTACCGTACTGAATACTGTGGGCAATTATAGCACAATGGTAAGTATTTGTGCATATAAATATATTCAAACATAGAAAAGGTGCAGTAAAAATACCATATAAAAGATATTTAAAAGGTACACATGTATAGATCGCTGACCAAGATTGGAGCTTGCAGGACTGGAAGTTGCTCTGAGTGAGTGTCAGTGAGTGAGTGAAGAGTGCATGTGAAGGCCTAGGACATTATGGTACACTACTGTAGATGTTTAAACACCATACACTTAGGCTACACTAAATTTATAAAAACTTATTTTTATTTTATTTCGTCAATAATAAATTAATCTTAGCTTATGTAACCTTTTTACTTTATAAACGTTTTAATTCTATTTTAAGAACTTTGATATTTTTGTAATAACATAGCTTTAAATACAAACATATTGTACAGCTATAGAAAAATATTTCCTTTATATTATTACTCTATAAGCTTTTTTCTACTTTAATTTTTTTTCTTTTTTTCTTGTTTTTGTTTTTGTTTTTGTTTTGAGACAGGATCTCACTTTGTCACCCAGGCTGGAATTCAGTGGCACAATCACAGCTCACTGCAGCTTCAACCTCACAGGCTCGGTTAATCCTCACTAGCTCAGCCTCCCGAATAGCTGGGAATACAGGTGTGCACCACCATGCCTCGCTAATTTTTTGTATTTTTGGTAGAGACAGAGTTTTATCATGTTGCCCAGGCTGGTCTCAAACTCCAGGACTCAAGCAATCTACCTGCCTTGGTCTCCAAAAGTGCTGGGATTACAGGTATGAGCCACCACATCTGGCTTTTTTTTTTCCTTTGTAAAAAATATGCTGTTAAAAACTAAGACAGAGCAGGGTGCAGTGACTCACACCTGTAATCCCAGTTACTTGGGAGGCTGAGGTGGAAGGATTACTTGAGGCCATTTCAAGATCAGCCTGGAAAACAAGACCCCCGTCTCTAAAAAAATTTTGTTTTAATTAGTTGGGCTTAGTGGCATAGGCCTCTACTCCCAGCTACTCAGGAGGCAGGAGGATCCCTTGAGCCCAGGAGTTTGCAGCTGCAGTGAGCTATGATCACGCTGCTGCACTCCAGCCTGGGTGACAGAGAGAACTGTCTCATTATCTCTTGTCTGCCGCCATGTAAGACGTGGCTTTTGCCTTCCACCACAATTGTGAGGCCTCCCCAGCCAAGTGGAACTGTGAGTCCATTAAACTTCTTTTTCTTTATAAAGTATCCATTTTCACGTATATCTTTATCAGCAGCGTGAAAACAGACTAATACAGTAAATTGGTACTGGTAAGGTGGGTGCTGCTGTAAAGATACCCGAAAACATGGAAGCAACTTTGGAGCTGGGTAACAGGCAGAGGTTGGAATGATTTGGAGGGCTCAGAAGAAGACAAGAAAATGTGGGAAGCTTTGGAACTTCCTAGTGACTTAAAAGGCTTTGACCAAAATGCTGATAATGATACGGACAATGAAATCCAGGCTGAGGTGGTCTCAGATGGAGATGAGGAACTTGTGAACTGGAGTAAAGGTGACTCTTGCTGTTTTAGCAAAGCGACTGGTGGCATTTTGCCCCTGCCCTGGAGATTTGTAGAACTTTGAACTTGAGGGAGATGATTTAGGGAATCTGGTGGAAGAAATTTCTAAGCAGCAAAGCATTCAAGAAGTGACTTGGGTACTGTTAAAAGCATTCAGTTTTAAAAGGAAAACAGAGCATAAAAGTTTGAAAAATGTGCAGCCTGATGATGAAATAGAAAAGAAAAAACCATTTTCTGAGGAGAAATTCAAGCTGGCTGCAGAAATTTGCATAAGTAACTAGGAGCCAAATGTTAATCACCAAAATAATGCAGAAAATGTCTCCAGGGCATGTCAGAGACCTTTGTGGCAGCCCCTCCCATCACAGGCCTGGAGGCCTAGGAAGAAAATATGGTTTCATGGGCCAGGCCCGAGGCCCCCCTGTTGTGTGCAGCCTAGGGACTTGGTGTCATGCGTCCCAGCCACTCTAGCCATGGCTAAAAGGGGCCAAGATACAGCTCAGGCCATAGCTTCAGAGGATGCAAGCCCCAAGCCTTAGCAGCTTCCACATGGTGTTGAGCCTGCAGGTGCACAGAAGTCAAGAATTGAGGTTAGGGAACCTCTGCCTAGATTTCAGAGGATGTATGGAAACGGATGTCCTGGAAGTCCAGGCAGAAGTTTGCTGCAGGGGCGGGGCTTTCATGGAGAACCTCTGCTAGGGCAGTGCAGAAGGGAAATGTGGGGTTAGAGTCCCCACACAGAGTCCCTACTGGGGCACCACCTAGTGGAGCTGTGAGAAGAGGGTCACAGTCCTCCAGACCCCAGAATGGTAGATCCAGCAACAGCTTGCACTGTGCACCTGGAAAAGCCACAGACACTCAATGGCAGCCTGTGAAAGCAGCCGGGAGAGAGGCTGTACCCTGCAAAGCCACAGAGGCAGAGCTGTCCAAGACTGTGGGAGCCCATCTCTTGCATCAGCATGATATGGATATGAGACATGGAGTCAAAGGAGATCATTTTGGAGCTTTAATATTTGACTGCCCTGCTGGATTTCAGACTTGCATGGGGCCAGTAGCCCCTTTGTCTTGGCCAATTTCTCCCATTTGGAGGAGCTGTATTTACCCAATGCCTGTACCCCCATTGTATCTAGGAAGTAACTAACTTGCTTTTGATTTTACAGGCTCGTAGGCAGAAAGGACTTGCCTTGTCTCAAACGAGACTTTGAACTATGGACTTCTGAGTTAATGCTGAAATGAGTTAAGACTTTGGGGAACTGTTGGGAACGTATGATTAGTTTTGAAATGTGAGGACATGTGATTTGGGAGGGGCCAGGGATGGAATGATATGGTTTGGCTGTGTCCCCACCCAAATCTTATCTGGAATTGTAGCTCCTATAATTCCTATGTGTTGTGAGAGGGACCTGGTGGGAGATAATTGGATCATGGGGGTGGTTTCCCCCATACTGTTCTTGTGGTAGTAAACAAGTCTCATGAGATCTGATGGTTTTATAAGGAGAAACCCCTTTCACTTGGCTCTCATTTTCTCTTGTCTGCCACCATGTAAGATGTACCTTTTGCCTTCCGCCATGATTTTGAGGCCTCCCCAGCCACGTGGAACTGTGAGTCCACTAAAATTCTTTTTCTTTATAAATTGCCCAGTCTTGGGTTTGTCTTTGTCAGTTGTGTGAAAACGGACTAATACACCATCTCTTAAAAAACATTAATAACAAAAACTAAGACACTAACACACACATCAGCCTAGGCCAGCACAGGGTCAGGATCATCAATATCACTGTCTTCCACCTCCACATCTTGTCCCACTTGAAGGTATTCAGGTGCAATAACATGCATGGAGCTGTCGTCTCTATGACGACAATGCCTTTTTTTGAAATACCTTCTGAAAGACTTGCCTGAGGCAGTTTTACAGTTAACTGCTTTTTTATAAGTAGAAGAAATATACTCTAAAATAACAATAAAAAGTATAATATAGTAAATAAACCAGTAACAATGCCATTTATTATCATTATCAAGTACTATGTACTATACATAATTGTGTATGTTAGACTTTCATATAACTGGCAGTGCAGTAGGTTTGTTTATTCCAGCATGACTATAAACACCTTAGTAATGCATTCTGCTAGACATTCACAACAACTACAATGTCACTAGGTCATAGCTGAATTTTTCAGCTCCATTAAAATCACCTTATGAGAAGCTGGTCAGTCATTGATGCATGACTGTAATTATGCTAAAATCCAGGGTTCTCTTGAGGGGATTGTAAAAGGTGAGGTCCTTGTGGCCAGGAGTGGCAGGGAAAACAAGGACCTGCAAAGCCTTGTGAGAGGGGCTAATAAGGGTGCAGCTGAGAGAGGAAGGACATTCCAGGTAAGGGGATCAGGGCGAGCAAAGGGGTAGCGCCAGAATGAGGACCAGAGAGAAAATTGCAGTGGCTGGAAGACTGATTTTGAGTCTAAGCACAATGGGCCATAACTTTGGAATGGTTGGTCGGAACCAGACTACAGAAACCATAGAAAGCCAGGTTAAGACTTTAGATTTTGACCAGGCGCAGTGGCTCACGCCTGTAATCCCAGCACTTTGGGAGGCCGAGGTGGGCAGATCATGAGGTCAGGAGATTGAGACCTGGCTAACACAGTGAAACCCAGTCTCTACTAAAAATACAAAAATTAGCCGGGCGTGGTGGCGGGCGCCTGTAGTCCCAGCTATTCGGGAGGCTGAGGCAGGAGAATGGCATGAACCCGGGAGGCGGAGCTTGCAGTGAGCTGAGATCATGCCACTGCACTCCAGCCTGGGCAACAGAGTGAGAGTCTCAAAAAAAAAAAAAAAAAATTTTAGATTTCATTGGTAGATACAAGGAAATCATTGAAAGTTTTAGGGCAGGAGAATGACACAATAAAAGTACCATTCTAGAAAGATTAGCCTGGAAGCAGGGTAGAGGACAGATTACAACAAAGAAATGCTGGAATGGGGCAGGCCACTTAGGAAGTAATGGAAACAATCCACCAACAAGGTGTGAAGGCTTAACCGAGATAAGGGAGGAATCAACGTTCAGTAACTCAGTATCATTTCACAAGTTTATTTCGAGGTGGGGATTTGCCTTCTGGACTAAGGATAAGGCTGAAGATTAGTGCTTTTCTCCATGGTCAGTGAAGTTAGCTGTATTTAATACGTGTACATCTTCACCTTCAGCTAGTTAATTAAATAAAGTCAACCTGATCATTTGCTGTAGTGGAAGCTCTTGAGTTATACGGGTAATCTACTACCTTAGTGATCCCCAATGAACCACACCTCCTCATATTCAGGCCTTTGTGTAGTTCCCTCCTCTTGAATCTGGACTGAGACTGCAACCTGCTTTAACCAATAAAATGCAGGGAAAGTGATACCATGCCAATTCTTGGCCTCAGCTTCCAGAACGTTTTAAAGCTGCTGCTTTTAACCTCCTGGGAGCCTAGTGCCACCATATAAGAAGTCGAGCTACCCTGCTAGAGACTCCAGATGGAGAGGTTATTATGAAGAGAGATGCCTTGAGACAACAAGCCCCATACCCAGGACTTATTGCAGCCCTGGGTACCTTCTAGCTGAGCTACAGACAGTGAGTGAAAAAGACATTGTGGCTGTTCCAGCCCCCATGGACATCAAGTGGAACAGAGACAAACCAATCCCACTATGCTCTGTGCAAATTCTTAACTCACTGAATCATAAGAAATGACAAAGTTGGCAGTCATTTTAAGCTACTAAGTTTTGGGTTAGTTTCCTAAACAATAATACATAACTGAAACAGGTGTCTACCAAACTCACTAAAAGCCCCTTTCTGTGAGAGCTACTTCTCCCAACCCAAGGGGAAAGACCCCGGCAGCCTCGTTAGTCATACTTAACTCCACCCCTGACCACATTATTGGCCTTGGGATGGAGGTTAGAATTGAAGCTGGAGTATATTTGTCTTGGTCCCTGAGACTGGCTAGAAGGGAGACATGTAAACTCTCCAGGTTATAGGAGAGCCATCTTCAGCCATGAGGTATGACTGGGAGAAAAGTGAAAAAGATGGCAGCCTCTGGACGTGGCCCTTTCCAATCCTGCTTCCTCTCCCACATGAGGGCCCACAGTAACTGAGTATCTTTGAATTACTTACAATTCCTTTGTGTTGTTATAACATAATCTCGTTTTAAAAAATCTTTTATTTTTATGGATTTGGAGGTACAAGTGCACTTGTGTTACATGGAAACACTGCATAGTGATAAAGTCTGGGCTTTTAGTGTACCCATCACCCACATGGTGTCCCCAATAGGTAGTATGTCATCTCTTACCCTCTTCCCACCCTCCTAACTTTTGGAGTCTCCATGTCTCCTATCCCCCTCTATATGCCTGTGTGTGGCCATTAAGTCCCACCTATCAGTGAGAACATGTGGTTTTTGACTTTCTAGTTCTGAGTCAATTCACTAATGATAATGGCCTCCAGTTCCATCCATGTTGCTGCAAAAGACATGCACAATCCCAGTAAATTTTTATTTACTGCAGTGTGCATTGGGTTTTTCTTACTAGCAACCAAGAAAAAATTATTGGAATAACAATTTTTCAATCTACCCCTCCCCCTGCCCCCCTCCACTCACAAACAAATTGTTCTCCTGATTTGAATGAACCCCTATTCAAGCTGAATGCATTAAATTGGCTTGTCAGGGTAAATGTGGCCTCAGAGTGTCAACCCAGAGAGAGGGACCAATCCACAGGCCATGTGACTAAGGAGACTACCCCACTACATTACCCTGTGAAGTTCTCCAATCAATGCCAGGATAAGACCACCCCAATCTGAGAATAGCCATTTCTTGGTCACCTCTGAGAATTCGGGAGCTCAAAGAAAGCAGAGACTTGACTCTGCAGTTCAAAGCTTCTCCAGGAACATGCAAGCAGACAGAACAGAAGATTGTCAAGACAGATGTGGTAATAAAGTTCCCACCAAGTGTAACTTCAAGCAAATTGAACTTCTTCAATCTATCACCAGACGTGGGAGGTTGAGACCCATTCTTCTGTGTCAAGTGTAGTCATTGGCGGGTTAATGGAAGCAACCTGTAACTTTCAGCTGGCAGCTGCTTCTCCTAGTTTGTTCTCAAGCAACTGAGCTATGGCCACAGGGTCTGTGGAATTGGGTTAAAGTGACACCGTGTCTCGCTTAGACATTGAGAAGTATCTCCTGAGGTGTGATGGACACTGGGGAGATGGGGGCTCAGATCTATGCAGGGCAAGTATCAAGTTTGGACATCCTCATGATAAATGTTTTCCATCTTCAAGGGTGCCCTTCCTTCTCTGAATGCCTTACCCTTCTGAAGAAATGACTGAAAATTTATTTAATAACACACTTCATGTTCCCTTCAGCCCATTCTCCTCCAAGGAAGTATGTTGTTAGCAAAGTAGATGATATTGTCTTTCCTTTCTCCCTGCCTGTCCTATGCCTTGGTAGTCCTAAGACTGTCATGTGACAGTTTCTAAGGCTGGGAACATGCATCTGATTGGTTACTAAATAATATGCACAGCATTAAGACACCCTGAGTCTCTCAACAGAACACCTCCTTTCTACAACTACCATGTGTATAGAGCCCCACAATCCACCAAGTACTTTCACATATGATTGTTTTTGATGACGATGATGATGATGATAGCTAATATTTATGTAGCAGACACTCTGTTAAATGCTTTATATCCATCAGGGCATTTTAGCCTCACTGCAGCCTTATTAGGCAGGGATGTAATTATCCCAGTTTACAGATGAGGAAATTGAGGCCCAGAGGAGAAGTTACTTGCCCTTGAGGGCATACAACTAGGAAATGGCAGTGACGGGCACTGCCTGCAGTTCCAATGACTCTAAAGCCCAATTCTTGAGCTATTCCTTATTTACAAATGGATGCTTCAGTGGAAGGACTGCATAGAGGCCCTCTCCTCTCTGATGATGGCTCTGGAACTTCTCTGACCTTTTCATCCTGCAACACTTGCCCCATGGCTAGCCATGGGGGACCAGCAGGGGCAGGAGGAGAATGGGATGGAGGTCAAGGTGTAGTTGGGGAAAGGAGGGAAGAGCAGGGAACAGCAGCCACACTCCTATCCTGCTCCCCATTCCAGAGCACACCACAGCCCTGAGACAAAGGCCCTGTGACCTTTTCTGTGTGAAGATGGCCAAGAGGAACAACCTGAAGCTCCCTCTAAAGGGCAGAAAACTCCCACCCTGGGCCCCATCCAAGGTCACAAAGGGCCCTCTCCTCTGCCATCCCCCAGTCACTACACCTCAGTAATCAGTCTGCACTGGTGGTTCTCAAATCAGTGTAATTTTGCTCCTTGGGAGGCATCTGACAATGTCCAGGGGCATTTTTTGATTGTCACATGGGGGAAAGGTGCTACTGGCAACTAGTGGATAAAGGCCAAAGATGCTGTTCAACACCCTACTGTATGTAGAGCAGCCCTCCACAACAAAGAATTATCTGATTCAAACTGTCAATAGTGCCCAGGTCGGTCCACACCAAGGGTGATCTTGTTGGACCCTCAACAGCTTTCAGGGTGTTCACAGCACCTGCCAGATCAGGTGAAGGCCCTTCAGCAGGCTGCAAAATCAGAGGCAAAGATGTGGATTAGAGCCCATGCCCCTACCCCTGAAGGGATGTCAACACCAGGACAAGGGTGGAGCCGTGGTCCAGGATCAGGGAGCAGAATCGGCAGCTCCATCCTACTTCCATTGCGAAGAGAAAGAACATCATGGCTCTCTTTGTAGGCATCAGGCACTATGTTCAGTGTATCCTTCACCTCTTTTAATTCTCACAGAGGATTACCTATGAGGCTGATTCCCCTTTTATTGCCATTTTCCAGATGATAAAAACGAAGGCTTACAGATCTAAGTAACTAAATGAACCGGAGCAGTTGTCCAAGATCACGCAGCTGCACAAATGACTTCATAAGCATCTTGCCTGTTCCCCCACCCAGGGCTCTATCCTGCTCTCCTGCTCCCTGTGAGAAGATGGCTCCCTGAACATCTTGCTCCCATTAAAAACAAATGAAAATGCTTTAACTTTCTCTTACTTAAAAAAAAGAAAAAAAAAAGCAACTTCCAAATCAACCATTGCTCTCACCCCACATTGGCTCAGTCAGTCCACTTCCTCTCCTATCTTCCTCACACATCCACATCCAGTCCCTTGGTAAATGCTGCCAACTCAACCTTTGCCGTAGATATGGAGTCTCACTTCTTACCACCACTCTGGCTTCCACTGTCCTCCTCCCAGCCACCATATCTGACCCTGGATCTTACCATAGCCTTTTCACTGCTCTCCTGCTCCACCCTCTGATCCACCCCATGCCTGAGCTATTAATATTTTTCATAAGGCAATCAGGGTGAACTTTCTAAAACTACAATCCGATCTTGCCACACCTCAAAGCCCTCCAGTGGACCCACAGAGGCCAAGTGGGGAACCTAAACATCCACCCTCATCAGGCTGCAACAAGCCACCCCAACCCCCACCCTAGCCTTGCTAGGGAGGTGTCAAAGAAGGCTGAGAGAGAGCTTGAACTTTCATCCCACCCAGAGAAACAAGGTGCCCCACCACCACCAAGGTGTCAGTGGAGACCTCATGGGGAGCTTAGATTTTCACCCAATCCATGTATAAAAAGGTGCTCCTTCTCCCCACTGGGGTGGTATCATTGGAGAGAACAAGGCCACCCCTTCACCCAACACACATACATACATAATGGCAGTGGAGACCATGTAGGGTGTAGAAAAGAGGCACTAATGCCCCTCCTAGCCATGGTGGTTTCTTTCATCCACTAGAGTAGTGTCAGAGAAAGCCTGCTAAAACACAAATTTTAAGTAAGACCCAGAGTCTCATAACATAATATCAAAATTCCTAGGTTTTATTCAAAATCACTCCTCATACCAAGAACCAGGAAGATCTCAAAATAAATGAAAAAAGACTATTAACAGATGTCAACACCAAAATGACACAGATGTTAGAATTATTTAATAAGGATTTTTAAGTAGTCATTACAAAAATATTTCAATAAGCAGTTAAGAACATGCAACAAATTTTTAAAAATTGAAAATAACAGCAAAGAAACAGAAAATACTACCAAAGCTATAAGGAAGCTATAAGGAAAAATCAAATGGAAATATTAGAACCAAAAAACACAATAACCAAAATAAAACCTCAATGGATGGGCTCAACAGCAGCATGGAGAAGACACAGAAAAGAATCCATGAACTTGAAGACAAAACAATAGAAACTACTCAAATTGATTAGAGAGAAAATAAACTAAAAATAATGAACAGAACATCAGGAGCCTGGGAAATACAGTTGGCCCTCTGTATCCATGGATTCCTCATCCATGGATTCAACCAACCATAGATTGAAAATATTTGGGGGAAAAAAAATAAAAAATGATACAATAATAAAAATAATACAAATAAATAACAATGCAGTATAAAGCTATTAATATTGTATTAGGTATTATATTGTATGACATTTTACATAGTATTAGGTATTATAAGTAATCTAGGGATGATTTAAAGTATATAGAAGGATGCACCTAGGTTAGATGCAAATACTATGCAATTTTATTTAAGGGACTTGAACATCGGTGGATTTGGGTATTCGAGAGGGGTCCTGGAACTAATCTCCTGTGGATACCAAGAGATGACTACTGCATAACAAAAGATCAAACATTTGTGTCAGTAGAGTCCCAGGAGGAGAGGAGGAAGTGGATACAGCTGAAAAGGTACTTGAAGAAATAATGGCTAAAAACTAACAAAATTTGGCAAGAGACATAAACCTACAAATTCAGAAAGCTGAGCAAACCCAAACAGGATAAACCCAAAGAAATCCACTTCAACATACATTACAGTCAAATTTCTAAAAATTAAAGACAAGAAAAAAATATTGAAAGCAGCCAGAAAAAAAGTAACTTGTTGCTTATAAGAGAAAAACCATCCAAATTACTATAGATTTCTCATCAGAAACTAAAAAAGCCAGAAGAAATTGGCACATTTTTCAGTACTGAAAGAAAAGACCTGTCAATGCAGAACTTTATATCCAGTAAAAAAGAAATATTATTCATGAATGGAGAGGAAGTCGAGACATTCCCAGATTAAAAAAAAAAAAAACTAAGATGATTTCTCACCAGCAGACCTGTCCTAAGAGAATAATTAAATGAAGTTCCCTCAACAGAAAGAAAATGATTAAAGAAGAAATCTTGCAACCTCAGGAGGGAAGAATGAGCACAGAAAATGCAAAAATACAGATAAATACAATAGTGTTTCCTTTTTCTCTTGAGCTTTCTATATTAGTTTGGCAGTTGAAGCAAAAATTATAAAATTGTCTAATGTGGTTCTCAATGTACCTAGAGAAAATGTTTAAGACAATAATATGATAAATCAAGAATGACAAAAGGATATAAAAGATGATAAGGTCTCTACACTTCACTTGAACTGGTAAATGTGGACGCTAGTCAATTTAGATAAGTTATGTACATGTACTGCAATGTCTAAAGCAACCACTAAAAAAAAGTCATACAAAGAGATATACCCAAAAACATTAGCATTCTAAAAAATGTTCAAGCAACTCACAGAAAGGCAGAAAAAAAAACAGAAAAATGAAAAAGGAGAAGAAACATAAAACAAAAAAAGGGGCAAACTTAAGCTTATCACAGCAATAGTCACATTAAATGTAAATGATATAAACACGCCAATTAAAAAACAGAGATTGTCAGAATTGACTTCAAAAAAATGACCTAACTATATGCTGTCTATAAGAAACTCTCTTCAAATATAGTGATATATATAAGTTGAAAGTATTTGTAGTTTCCACATCTGTGGAGTCAACTATTAGGTTGGTACAAAAGTAATTGTGGTTTTTGTCATTATTTTTAACGTCAAAAACTGCAATTACTTTTGCACCAACATAATAACTGTGAATTGAAAATATCTGAAAGAAAAACTGCACCTATACTGAACATGTACAGATTTTTTCCTTGTCATTATTCCCTAAGTAATACAGTATAACAACTATTTACATCACATTTACATTGTATTAGGTATTATATGTAACCTAGAGATAATTTAAAGTATACAGAAGGATGTGTGTAGGTTACGTGCAAATACTACACCATTGTATATAAGGGACTTAAGCATCAGCAGATTTTGGCATCCACAGAAGGTCCTAGAACCAATTCCCCAAGGATACTAAGAAATGACCATACCATCCAGACATTAATCAAAAGAAAGCAACAGGAGTAGCTATATTAACACAAGAAAAAAAGTTGACTTCAAAGTAAAGAAAATTGCCAGGGACAGAGAGGGATATTACATAATGATAAAAGGGTCAATTTACCGTGAAAACATAACAATCTTAAAAAAAAAAATCAGTCTTACTATACAACCCATCAATTGCATCCTAGGCACTTATCCCAGAGAAATGAAGGTTTATGTCCTCACAAAGGCCTGTACATGATTGTTTATTGCAGCTTTCTGTAATAGCCAAAAACTAAAACCAAAGTGTCACTCAGTAGGTAAGTGGTTAAACAAACTGTGCTACATTCATACTATGGAATACTACTCAGCAAAAAAAAAAAAGAAGAAGAAGAAGGAATGGAATACTGATTCATGCAACAACATGGACAGATCTCAAGGGTATTATGTTAAGTGAAAAAAGCCAATCTCAAGATCACATAATGCAAAATTCCATCTATAGAGCATTCTTGAAACAAAATGAAAGAGATCGATGGTTGCCAGAAGTTAGAGTTGGTGGAAGGTTGTGGGAGAATGGATATAAATAACTATGAAATGGGAGATATTTGTGGTAATGGAATAGTTCTGTATCTTGATTGCAGTAGTGGATACAAAAGCCTACACATATAATAAAATATCATAGAACTGTACACACACATTGTATTAATGTCAATTTTCTCATTTTTTATGTTGTACTATAATTATGTAAAATATAACCACTGGGATAAACTGGATAAGGGTGTGTGGAACCACCCACCCCCAACTCCTGTATCACCTTTGTAATAATCAGTTTAAAAACAATTTACTTCTTCTGTGAAGTGACCCTCACCTTCTTAAAGGGGCTGCCCCTTGATCCGCAGCCCTGTCCCCATATCTATTCTCCCACCAGCCTCTGGACAGGGGCTAGGACTTCTTTTTCTTTTTTGTATCTCTTCAAACAGTGCCTGGGTTACAGTAGCTTCTCAGTAAATATTTGTTGAATGACTAAGTGAGGGTATGACTTGCAACCCTGGTTCTATCACAGAACAACCTGGGCCACATGGGAGAAGAATGTCACAGCCTAAGACAAGAAAAAGTAGTGTAAATTTTAAGTCACCCAGATAAGCTGGCTTCTTTCTGATCTGACTAGATCCACTCTGGCTGCTCAGAAATACAGTCTTTTGCCAAACAACTGCATCTCCAGGAACCTAGTTGTGTCCCACTAATTACAAAAATAATACATGTGAGAATTGCCAGGATGCTACAACTATTAAGTTTAATGGGAAACAGGATATTTACAAGATTCAGATTATTTATTAATTACAAAAAAGAAAATAGTAATTTAACAGTGGCAGACACTAGCTTTCTTACCTGATGCTAATCCAAATTAACATCACTTCTAATGAGACAAATTGGCATCACGTGCCACTTACATAATGCACTGAGAACAACAATCTATGGCTTCCTGCCCAAACACATAACCTGAATCTAATCATGAAACATCGGACACACACAGAGTGAGGGATATTCTACAAAACAAAACTAGTCCTTATTCTTCAAAAATATCAAGCTATGGCCAGGAGTAGTGAGGTGGGAGGATAGTTTGAGGCCAGGAGTTCAAGACCAGCCTGGACAATACAGCAAGACCCTGTCTCTACGAAAATTTAAAAATTAGCCTGGTGTGGTGTTGCATGCCTGTAGTTCTAGCTACCCAGGAGGCTGAGGTGAAGGGATTACTTAAGCCCAGGAGTTTGAGGCTACAGTGAGCTATGATCACACCACTGCACTCCAGCCTGGGCGACAGAGCAAGACTCTATCTTAAGAAAGTATATTATCACGGTCGTAAAACGCAAAGAAAGGCTAAAGAATCATTCCAGATAAAAGAAGATTAAAAAATAGAACACTTGCTATAATTTGAATATGGACTGTAGGTTGGATAACAGCATGTGTGCATACATGCAGGTATCACTGTTACATTTCCCAGTGTCAATAACCTTACTACCATGTGCAGGAGAATGTCCCTGTGTTCAGGGGATACACACTGAAGTATTTACATGTGAAAGAGAAATTGTAGAAACAAAGCAATGTGGCAAAATGGTACTGACTGGTGAATCTAGGTGACTGGTACACAGGAGTTATTTTCGGTAAATTTTAAATTATTTCAAAATAAAAAGGCTTTTAAAAATCATACACATTTACATTTGTATGCCGGGAAGAAAGGCAGCTTTAGGCCGACTGTGAGTTGCAGCATCTTGTAGCAAATCAAAAACAAAAAAGAAAGAAAAGAAACTATCCCTGAATGTCTTCAAGTTCTCTAAATGCCTACCCGGCTCTTTGCACCCCCCAGCATTCTGTCTGCTCAAATGCTCCACTGGGGCTGGAGGAAGAGACCCCTCCTGTCCTTGCAGCTGCAGCTCACTCGGCCTAAGTTAAAATGGAGGGAGGAGGCCAGGGGAATGCAGGAGGCCCGGGAAGCACCTGAGACAATAAGATAAGCAGCCCCTGCCTGAATCATGGCAATTTGATCAAAATGGTCTCTGAGATGCTCTCTCTCACCTCTTCTCACAAAGGCACGATAGCCCTATTTGGCTCAAGCCAACTCATAGATTTTACTCATTATTTTTCCTGTTGAACTCTTGGTCCACAGTGAAGATCATTTGCAAATAAAGCTCAGGGTTTCTAAAGGCTTTATGAGACAATCAAACAGGCAGGAATGTAGTCTCCAGTGTCAAATCAGTCTCTGACTATCCATTATTATTCTTTTTTTTTTAATATCACTCATTTTTTTCTCTGTTAAAGTTGTTTCTATTCATCTCACTTTACCACTGCCCAGACCAATCTTCCTAAATTAGCAGAGGCCTGCAGCACCCTGCATGGGGAAGGAAAGTGCGGGGGGGCGGGAATAGACAGACAGACTGTCTGCAGCAAAACTATTTAATTCGAGCTGGTTGCCCCCTCTGAAAAATGATGTCCACATCAGATAAGGAGACGGGCAGTTTAAATTGTTCTATCAGAACCGAGTTGCCTGTTTTTGAAGCTCATTCTAGACAATTGAAAACTGTTCTCTTCTCCTTTTTCTATAACGCAATTGCCCAACTTGAAGGCTGTTTGTGATTGAAGTAGGGGCCACAATAATTTATACAGTAAAAGCCTCTATCTAGATCAAATTGTATATTTTCTACGTAAATATGCTGGGTAAATAGTCCCTCTGTTTTATCTTTAATGCAGTATCTTTATGCATTCTGTCAAGCTAACACTCCTTTGGGAATATTTTACATGCTAGAACACAGGCAACTTGCTACTTATTACATTTAATGTGGTTTGGCTTTTCGCAGATGAGAATATTAAGTGTTATGTCTGCCTTCCTTAGAAGCAGTTTGCCCTGTGAATGTGCATTTGTTGCCCTAATGGGTCTTTTCCTGTTTTAATTAATATGACAACATAGTATTGTCATCAACCAATATTTATGGAGCAACCCTCTAAAGGCTTGTGGCCTGTGCTGGGGGCTTTAATTAAAAGGTCCTATCTTATTCTGGGGATCTATGCAACAGAGATATTCACGCAGCTGTGCAAGGGCAGCTATACAAGGAGCTGGCTGCAGCATCATTTGGTATAGCAAAACAATGGGATTGACTAAATAGATTATTATACAGCCATTAAAGAACTGGATCAATGAGTATTAATTAAAGTGGAAAGATACCCATGATATATTGGGGAATCAAAAAAAGAGAACTGAAAAATATTACTATAGGATGATCCAATTTTCAAGGAGAAAAAAAATCTCAGGCCAGGCACAGTGGCTCATGCCTGTGACCCTACCACTTTGGACAGCCAAAGCAGAAAGATCACTTGAGCCCAGGATGAGACCAGCCAGAACAACATAATGAGACCCCATCTCTACAAAAACATTTAAAAAACAAAAATTAGCCAGGCATGGTGGCTCACACCTATGAGGCGGGAGGATTGTTTAAGCACAGGAGATCAAGCCTACAGTGAGCTATGCTCATGCCACTGCACTCCAGCCTAGGCAACACAACAAGACCCTGTCTCAAAAAAAAAAAAAAAAAAAAAACTCAATATATGCATTGTGTGGATGTGTGGGTATGAGTGTTTGTGTTCACAAGTAGCTGTGCATGAAGCTTCTATTTACATTTCTAAAATCTAGAATAATATACACCTAACTTTGGTCAATAGTAACCCTTTAGGGAGTAATACTAAAGTAGAGGGCAAGGAGATATTTATACTCTATTTCAAACATCTGTATATTATTTGAACTTTCTACAAAGAACATAGGCCTTTTGCAAATAGGAAAAATAAAACATTTCTTAAGAGATAGTATTCATTCCACTTATACACTGTTGGTGGGAGTGTAAATTAGTTCAACCATTGTGAAAGACAGTGTGGTGATTCCTCAAAGACCTAAAGACAGAAATACCATTTGACCCAGCAATACAATTACTGGGTATATACCCAAAGGAATATAAATTGTTCTACTATAAAGACACATGCACATGTATGTTCATTGCAGCCCTAGTCACAGTAGCAAAGACATGGAATCAACCTAAATGCCCATCACTGATAGTCTGGATAAAGAAAATGTGGTACATATACACCATGGAATTCTGTGCAGCCATAGAAAGGAATGAGATCATGTCCTTTGCAGGGACGTGGATGGAGCTGAAGGCCATTATCCCTAGCAAACTAATGGGAACAGAAAACCAAATACCACATGTTCTCACTTACGAATGGGAGATAAATGATGAGAACACATGGACACATAGAGGGGAACAACACACACTGGGGCCTATCAGAGGGTGGGGGGTGGGAGGAGGGACAGGATCAGGAAAAATAACTAATGGGTGCTGGGCTTCATACTTGGGTGATGAAATAATCTGTACAGTAAACCCCACGTTTACCTATGTAGCAAACCTGCACATGTACCCCTGAACTTAAAATAAAAGTTAAAAAAAAGAGAGACAGTGTTCATTTAATAATTATGTATGCTATGTTTATAATCACAGGAACAAGCAAAAGAGAGCCCAAAATAACCAAATAAATAATCTTCACAAATGAACAAAAACTCTTTAAATTAACTATTTTCCTTTGTTCAGGGGGCACACTGGGAGACCCCCTGAACATTCAGGATGGGTCAATCATCACTTCATGAACAATTAAAACAGCAGAACACTAACACCTCCATGCCTAAGGGGTGCTGTGATTTCCAGTTCTTCAATGGAGATGAAGATAAAGAGCTCTATCTCCAGGGCTTCATGAGAGGCTGAGAGGATCCTGGGCAGCTAGAAGAGAAATCTGGAGAAAAAAATAATAAAGATGCAGCCCTCTTAAAAGACTTAGGACTTGAAGCTCTTGATTACACCAGGATTCTATATACCAGATGTAGACTCCAGGATCTACTGTTTTCTGAACACACTGTTCTGTTGAGACCATAAAAATAACCAGATTTCTGGGAATCACTAACAATGGTGTGGAGTAGGGGAGGGAGGGGGACAAAAACCCGACCCCCCCACCTCGAGCATGCCCTGGCATATCATACACAGGTGTGTGGCTGGACTTATGCAAACCAGCCATGATGGAAACTGGGGAGATCACAAATACATCCAAAATCAATCACCTGCCTGGGAAGAGCAATGGAAACATAAGCTTCTCATAATTTTTGAAAAACAGAAAGTTAAAGACAAACATGTTTGAAATCCATAAAATAATTAGTGGTAAAAAGTAAATCAGTGGCATCTCAAATGCAAATTTAACTTAGGAACTACCTTAGAACCTGACCATTAGAGAAGATTCACCTGTCCCAGGCATCCTAAGCCCAGTGGCCAAGGCTGCAAGAGGGACAGCATTTTCTGTTTAGCTCCACTGCGCAGTCAACTTGAAAATGCAAGCAGCCATGCTCTCCTGTATAACATTTTAAAACACCATTGTATGTGGAATTTATCAAGGAAGTTTAATACTCAAAACAATCATTTATTGAGCAGGTACTGTGTGCTGAATAGTGTGCATGGTGCTTTCACATTTATCACTTCACTAACTCCTCACAACTCACCAATGCTTTAATGTGTATTAAGGATGATGATTACGGAGGGTGATGTTGAGTTAAAATAGAGTAAATCCTGCAAGCAAGCAAGAACCCCTTGGGTTACCCAAATTCCAAACTTCACTACCAGGGACTTCAGATTATCTTAAATGCAGAACAGGGTGAACACCCAAAAATCTGTCAATCTGTATATACATTTTCTTTTATTCCTTCCTTTGGTCCAACTCAGTGTTCTTAATTTTTTTTTTTTTTTTAAAGGTTCTCACTCCCATTGCCCAGTCTGGAGTGCAGTGGTGCTATCTCGGCTCACTGCAGCCTCAACAGCCTGGGCTTAAGGGATCCTCCCACCTCAGCCCCTCAAGTAGCTGTGACTACAGACATGCACCACCATGCCTCGCAAATTTTTGTATTTTTTTGTTTTTGTTTTTTCTTTTTTTTTTTTGAGACAGAGTCTCGCTCTGTCGCCAGGCTGGAGTGCAGTGGCACCATCTAGGCTCACTGCAACCTCCGCCCCCTGGGTTCAAGCAATTCTCCTGCCTCAGCCTCCCAAGTAGCTGGGACTACAGGGGCACGCCGCCATGCCTGGCTAATTTTTTTTTTTTTTTTTTTTTCGGTAGAGACGGAGTTTCACCATGGTGCCCAGGTTGGTCTTGAACTCCTGGGCTCAAGCAATCCGCCTGCCCCAGCCTCCCGAAGTGTTGGGATTACAAGCGTGAGCCATTGCACCGGGCCACAGTGTTCTTAATCTTTAATGAGCATAAGAATAACTGTACTGGCCCGGCACCGTGGCTCACGCCTGTAATCCAGGCACTTTGGGAGGCTGAGGTGGGCAGATCACGAGGTTGGAAGTTCGAGACCAGCATGGTCAGCATGGTGAAACCCTGTCTCTACTAAAAATATAAAAATCAGCCAGGCATGGTGGCGGATGCCTGCAGTCCCAGCTACTCGGGAGGCTGTGGCAAGGGAATTGCTTGAACCTGGCAGATGAAGGTTGCAGTGAGCAGAGATTGTGCCACTGCACTCCAGCCTAGGCAACAGAGTGAGACACCATCTCGGGAAAAAAAAAAAAGAAAAGAATAACCGTAACCGTACTATACAGAGTTATTGTACAGGACATTTGTGGGGTTTTGGGTAGAGGCAGACAGGACAATCTGTATAGCATACAACACGCACCAGCCTTGTTGGAAAGCAGTATACCCTTCCTAATCATAAACAACAAGAGAACTTGAGCCTCCCTCTCACCATCTCCCAATAGTCTACTCAACCAATCAGATACTTCCACCCAGGACTTTGAATCTGGAACAAATGAGAAAATAAACAAGAGAAAGTTAGAATCCGAAAGCAGTGGTAGCAGTGGTAATATCTAGCAGAAACAGCAGTGTCCTGGCAAGACTATTACAACTAAAACACTGTAGCTATATATTCAATTCATTAGGCTAGTATAACTTCATCATGAAAATCTGATAAATACAGTACAATAAAAGAAAATCATATCCCAATCTCTCATTCACATGGATATAAAAATCCTAAACAAATATTAACACACCAAATCCAGCAATATAGATCAAGTTGGGTTTAGAGCAGGAATTCAAGGTTGGTTTAACATTAGAAAAATCCATGTATTTTACCACATTCACAGATTAAAGAAAAAAAATTAAGTGACTTTTTTTCATAGTACAGAAGAAGCATTTGATAATATTCATCATCCTTCATGATGGGGGGAGGAAAAAGTTGTAATAAACCAGAAATAGAAGGAAGTTTCCCTAAACTGATAAAGGATATACACTCTCACCAAACATTATGCTTAATGGTAAAATTATGAGAGTTTTATTTTTAAGATTGCAAACAAGACAATGATGTCCACTGTCACTACTTCTATTGAACATTTTACAAGAGGTCCTAGCCAGTGCAATAAGGCAAATAAATAAATAGTGTAAGGATTGGAAAGGAAGACATGAAACTGTCATTATTTGTGGATGATACTATTGTTTATATTTTAAAATCCTTTAAAATCCTTAGTTTATTATAATTAATAATGGAATTCGGCAAGCCTACTACATTTTTTTTAAAAATCAATATATAAAAAATAATTGTATTTCTATATACAAAAAATAATTTTTAATGATACAATTTTCAGTTGCATCAAAAGTAGCAAGTACTTCTTCAAGACCTCCATGGATAAAACCACATAATTATGAAACTATTAAAGAAGACCTAAGTATACTATGCATTTACCTGGGTGACAAAATAATCTGTACACCAAATTTTCATAACATGCAGATTACCTATGTAACAAACCTGCACATATACCTTTGAACCTAAAATAAAAGTTAAAAAGAGACCTAAGTAAATGGAAGCTTTTAATTTGAATGTAATGAATGTTACCAATCTTTTGCTTTATAATTAATGTTTTATAATTCTTTCTCACAAAGACAGTCTTCTGTACTATTTTGCCTTTTACATTTAGGTCTATAATCTGCCTGGAGTTGACTTTTGAGTATAGTGTGACGTAGAGGTCCACTTTAATTTTTTTCATATGGATATCAAATTGTCTCAGCTCTATTTGTTATCCTCCCCCATGGATTGGCAGTGCTAGCTTTACAATAAATCAAGTGTCCATACATGCTGGGATTTGTTTCTTGGTTTTATATTCTGTTCCATTGGTCTATTTGTCTCTCTTTGAGCCAGTATACTGTGCTACGTATACATGATGTTCATGGATTGGAAGCCTCAATGATTGCAAAGATACTAATTTTCTCGCTAAAATGATCCATAGATTCAATGCAATACCATTAGCAAAATCCCAACAGATATTTTGTGTAAATTGAAAGGCAAGTCTAAATTTTATATGAAAAAGCAAAAGGACAAGAATAGTTAAGAAACTCTTGAACAAGATAGAGTACTTTTCCTGCTAGCTGTTAAGATCAGAAAATAAAACTGTTATTAAATGTAGCACAGTATACTGGCTCAAAGAGAGACAAATAGACCAATGGAACAGAATATAAAACCAAGAAACAAATCCCAGCATGTATAGACACTTGATTTATTGTAAAGCTAGCACTGCCAATCCATGGGGGAGGATAACAAATAGAGCTGAGACAATTTGATATCCATATGAAAAAAATTAAAGTGGACCTCTACGTCACACTATACTCAAAAGTCAACTCCAGGCAGATTATAGACCTAAATGTAAAAGGCAAAATAGTACAGAAGACTGTCTTTGTGAGAAAGAATTATAAAACATTAATTATAAAGCAAAAGATTGGTAACATTCATTACATTCAAATTAAAAGTTTCTGTTTATCAAAACATACTAGTAAGAGAAAGGAAATGGAAGCCACAGAGCAGAAATTATTTCCAACACATAAAACCAACAAAGGGCTCACATCCAGAATATATCAAGAAGCCTCAGAAATCAGTATGAGAAACTCAGACAATTCAGTATTTTTTTCAAGACTTGAACAGACATTTTACAAAGTGGAAACCTAAATGCCAGTAAATATGTATTAATAAAAAGGTAATTGACCTCTTTTGTAATCAAGAAATTCAAATGAAAGTCACCAACAAGTTACCCTACAAATCTACCACACAGGCTAAGGCTGCTAAAAGTGTCCTTTATTTGATTATAAGGAAGGGGCCAGAGAGCCACCCTGACTCCATTCAGTTCTGACAGTGACTGTCTCCATGTAACTGAGAAGAGCATTGTTTTAGATATGAGAAATTTACTCGTATTATGAGTGATCCTCCCACTTTTTTGGTAGGCATTCAGATTAAAGCTGATTCCCTGCTCTGTATCACAAAGTCTCAGGATTGGAAGTAGCATGCATGCAAGTTTCTTGTTTCTTTTTCCTCTAATTCTTCTTTTAAACAATTCCGCCCCACCACTCTAGCCCCCTCAAAGCTCTCCTTCCCTTCTAGACTTGGGCTTTCTCCCTGGCTACTGCAAAATCGCATCTTTCAAATGTTGTCTGTGAAGGCCATTTGTTGCAAGTACTAAACTAGTCAGTGGTTTAGACCAATATACATGGTGTCCTAAAGCACATTTTCCACCTTCAAAATTGTCAAGTAACAAGCCCTGATAAAGTCAACTGTGTACCACACCACAGCACTCCCCAGAGAGGCAGATAGACACGGTTAACCCTGAATTAATTGGCAGCTGCTCTTTGGCTGCCTAGAGGGAGGAGATCATCAGAACAACTTTCTGGAAGCCAATCTGTGCCTTGGTGGGAGTCTAGGGCAGTGGAAATCATTACGGACTCATAATACCTGGACCTGGAAACAATTCTGATTATAAATCAAATTTATGAAACATGTTTCATCTTTCAGAAAAATAAAGTCCAAAAAGTTACAGTACATAGTTCAAGCTCAAACAACTGAAAATGGATCAAGTTGCAGAACTCAAACCACCCAGACCCCACTTCTGAACTTCATCCCACTTCCCTTCAGTCTACTTGTCTAACTGGACTGTTCCCATGTATAAACCTTGGGCAAACAACCTGACCAAAAGGATGTCAGACCTTATCTAGTTCATCAAATAATTCAAATGTTGTGCCAAATGCCAATATAGATTTCCCTGCTCTGAAAACAGTTTTTGTCTGCTGCTCATGAGAGAGCTCTCATGCATCCCCATGTTGTCCCATCGTAGCTCTTACAAAAGACTAGCGTCACTGTCCATCGGAGACACAGTCACTGATGTCTTTGTCTTATTCCTTGCACTTGCTCCAGGGACCGCACACCAAGAACACAGCATGGACACAAGGGAATAAGATGCGGCTGGCCTCCCTTCCTCACACCAGCGGCTTCCTTTTTCTTCTTACTCTGAGCACTTGAGTTTCCGATAAAGTGCCCATCTCCCATGACCAAGAAGAGGTCAAATTAAGAATGGTGCTCTCTTTAGCAACTACAAAAGGTTCTCATTTTCTCATCAAGTAAAGTTCCCTAATGGCTGGTATATGAGCCCAATTTCTTACCAGTCCTGAATTGAACCATTTCCCTCTCAGTGGCATGGGCTCCCCGTGGGGCAGATTGTCACAGGCACTGCAGGTGCCAGAAGGAATCAGCAGGAATCATCTCTCCCTTTTAGACTTCTTGCCTTTGGTGTTTTAATTCGGTTCCAAACCTAAACCTTACAAGGGGACTGAGAAATCACAAGCGTCCTTAGACCCTCTGCATCATAAGCTGCAACCCATATTTATTTAAAGAAAATCAGTTCCTCCTTTCTAGGCTGACCTAGAGAAGACAGAGGGTAAATTGGATGAGGCGGGAGAGGGAGCCTCATGTCGAATAAATGACTTAAATAATCATGGTCCAGGGACTCTGGAGCCTCTATATTGATGGCTTTTAAAAGATCTTGGAAATCTACCCCACACAAGCAACAGCCCTTGTACTGAGATACATTCTGTCTCTGGACCATGAAGTTTCCCAAGTGAGGTTTCTGGTCTCCCTACCTTGGCCCTGTGCATGCCACACCCAGCTGTGCCTTCTCCTGCCCAGTCTAAGCCAGGAGCCTGCGAAAAACAACCCAAGGGCCTCCCATTCTTCATGCAGCAGCTCAAAGGCAACTAAGAAGCAGCTGGAACATTCATGAAGCCTTAATATGATTTTAATTTAGGATATTAAGACAGCTGCAGTGACCTCACACTCCTAGCTTTTAAACTCAAGTCTAATGACTCTTTTGCTGCAGCCAATGCTGTCACAACTCTCCTGGCATCTCCTGACAATTTAAACTGCTGGGCCTGGTGAGTGCCCAGTGCTGTGGGTCAACACTACCTTCCCTTACTCATTCTGTCAATATTTGATGATCTCTACTCATGGTCAGTGGATGAAACAGATCATTCATGCAAGTGATTTCATTTCCTCTTCATGTTAAAAATGAGAAACACAGCCTAGACAACATAATGAAAACCTGTCTCTAGGAAAAATAGAATAACTAGCCAGGCATGGTGGTGCATGTGTGTAGTCTCAGCTGCTCGGGAGGCTGAGGCAGGGGGATCGATTGAGCCTGAGAGGTGGAGGCTGCAGTGAGCTATGATCCTGCCACTATACTCCAGCCTAGGTTACAGAGCAAGAACCTGCCTCAAAAGAAAAAAAAAGAGAGAGAGAGAGAGAGAGGGAGAGAAACCCAAAGCCCAGAGGGGTTAAGCGACTTGTCTGAGGTCACACAGCAGTAATGATACCTGATTCCAAGACCGACTCTGGTCCCTGGATGCTGGGCTACCTCCTTCCTAGGGCCCTGCTGATCTGCCACTCACTGGGCTTGCAGTTTGTGCTGTCCTTCCGTAATGGGAGTGAGTGTTCTCCCAGGTCGCCCCCTCTGTCCCTCAGGACCCCCTGTGGCCCCTGCACATGTCAGCCTCACAGGGGGACAGAGGAGCCATCTGAGTTTCTCCAGGGCACACTGGTGGCCACTGGTTCAGCAGCCTCTCATCTGACTCTGATCCACTTAGCCACCTTCTGTTGCTCATGTTGCCCAGATCACATCACATCTAGGTCTCTCAGTCTGGCACGCAGGCTCTCCAAGATCCTGCTCCAGCCTCCGCAGTCCCTGCAACTTCCTCCTGATCCTTATGGTCCAGGAGCTTGGACCTGCGCACCAGCCCCTGCACACCATGACCCCACACCTTGGCTTGTGCTCCTCCTTCTGCCAGGAGCATCCCTTCCCTCCTCACTTCTGATCTCACTCACATTCACCTCCCTTCTCCTGACTAGTCCTCAACTACTCGAATGACCCCTCCTCCAGGAAGCCCCTCTGATTCCACCCTCAGGCCCCTGCCTAGGCTCCATGGTACCTTGCTTCTCATGCCCTACCAAAGTCTTACAGCCCTGTCACATAGCAATCTGGCTGTGTGTCTGTCTCCCTCAGCAGCATCCAGAGTGCAGGGACCATGTCTTACCACACCTGTGTCCTCAGCACAGCCCTCAGCTGACACACACTGGGCTATGCCTGCCCTGGGACTGCCCAGCTTCCCAGCCTGGCAAGGGCACTGGCCCAAAGAAGGCCCCAGGCATCAGCCCCACCGAGGCTCTGCGGTTCTGCTCTGTGCTGCAGACAAAGGCCACGCTCACAAAGGGAACAGTGTGGTCACCTCTCCCAGAGCCAAGAACAAAGGGATGGCACGTGGGCATCGCCTTTGGCGGTGATGGCCACTCTACGCCAGGCTACACACACCTCACTGGTTGCCATGGCACATTTTAATTAAGCATAAGGATTTCGTGGCTTGATAACAGAAAATGCATCTTCCTTTTGCCTCTGGTCTCTTTGGGAACAGACATGGGGGTGTGGAGCTTGGAGCTGATTCTTAGCAAAGGGGAGGGGTCAGAAGGCCCCTGGAGAGACACCCCTGGTTCGGGGAAGACTGCCCCTCTGACATGCTCCTGTGCTCTTGCCTTGGGACTAGTCTCCACTGTCAGGAGGGGTGTCCCCCAAGCTGTTGGGGTTGCCCAGGATGGGCTAAGGATACAGGAGAGTGCTGGGAAGGCTGCTGTACTCTCACCCCCTTTGTCCGTAGTCTCTGCCTCCAACAGGATTCAAAACCAGGCCACAGCAGGGCACAGAAACAGAACAGCAATATGAGCAAATCCTGGCCACACACAGTGGTGCATGCTTGTAATCCCAGCACATTGGGAGGCTGAGGTAGGAGGATTGCTTAAGGCCAGCAGTTCAAGACCAGCCCTGGCAACATAATAAGACCTAGTCTCTACAAAAAAATAAAATTAAAAAAAAAATAGCCAGGCATGGTGGTGCATGCTGATAGTCCCAGCTACTCAGGAGGCTGAGATGAAAGGATCACCTGCCTGAGCCCAGGAGGTTGAGGCTTCACCAAAGGGGCTCTGCCAACAGCAAGCATATGGCTAGTGTGCAGCTGGCCCACATGTATGTGCATACATGCCCATGCGCTGCCATTCCTCAGCCTCATCCTACCACCCACACCTGAGCTGCTTTTAGCCTGAGCCAGTATGCACTTATATTAAGAGCTTGCCCAACGAGGCCTCCCATCAGCACAGTTACACCTCATTTGCACCTTTGAATTGGGCAGAGGGAGCTGAGCAGGGACTAGCAGACCCATTCTGCAGATGTGGAATCTTTGGTTCACAAGGTTAGGGACTCACCCAACCAGGAGTTGAACCAGGATTTGAATCCAGATTTGTCTGACTCCAAAGATCATGGAGTTCCCTCTCCCCCAGGGTGTCTGTTTGACATTCCTTGGACATCCACTGTGTTCTGAGCACTCACTCAGACGTGTATTGAGCATCTACTCTGCATTGAGCCCTTTGGAAGCTCTGGAGAGACACAGATGAGGACACCATCCAGGCTCATGGTGTAGGCCAGAGCTGCCCAATAGAAATAGAATGCCAACCATATACATCATTCCAAATTTTCTGGAAGCCCCATTAACTAAAGAAAAGAAACAGGTAAAATTAATTTTAATAAAAAATGTCTTTCACACACTATCCAAAATATCATTTCAACATGTTAATGAGATAATTTACATTCTTTTTCATATTAAGTCTTAGGAATCTGGGGGTATATTTTACATTTACAATACATCTCAATTCAGACATCTCACCCTGTTTTATCCTGTCGTATTAGTTAGAGTTCTCAAGAAAAATAGAACCATGGATATATAGATATATAACAGGGGATTTATTATGAGAATTGGCTCACGTGATTATGAAAGAAGCCCCCACAATATGCTGTCTGCAAGTTGGAGAACCAGTGAAGCCAGTGTTGTGATTCAGCCTGGGTCTGAAGGCCTGAGACCAGGGACGGAGAGACTGCTGGGGGTAAGCCTTAGAGTGTGAAGGCCTGAAAACATGGATCTCTGATGTCTGAGGGCAGGAGAAGACGGATGTCCCAGCTCAAATAGAGAGAGCAAATTCGCCTGTCCTCTACCTTTTTGTTCTAGTCTGGCCCTAAATGGATTGGCTGCTGCCCACCCACTTTGGTGAGGGCAGATCTTCTTTACTCAGCTCACTGATTCAATTGCTAATCTCTTCTGGAAACACCCTCACAGATGCACCCGGCCAGCTGAGCATCCCTTAGCGATCAAGTTGACATATAAAATTAACCATCACACCTGTCTTATCCCTGAGCTCCTAACTGCTACGGCACTTCCCATCCTTCCCACAAAGGATCTCCTTTTATTCCTACAGTGAGGCAATTGAGCAGGCACGATTGCCCCTTATTGGTGAGGACACTGAGGCCAGGGGTGGTTGCCAGCATTTCAAATGCCCCCCAATGGTCCTTGCCTCTGGATACTTGCATTCTTGTATAGTCCCCTCTGTATCAAATAAGGCTGCCCTGTGTAAGCAACAGTACATTGTGGAAATGTTGGAGTGTGACATCTCAGGCTGGGTCAGAAAAGCCGTTGCTTTCACCTTGTTCTCTCTTGGGTCACTCGCTCTCCAGAAAGCCAGCTGCCATGTTGTGAGGATACTCAAGCCACCCTATGAAGAGGTCCCCCTGGTGAGGAACTGAGGCCTCCTGCCCACAGCCAGCACCAACTTGCCAGGCACATGGGTGAGCTCCCTTGGAAGTGAATCCTCCAGCCCCATTCAAACCTTGAGATGACTGGAGCCCCTGCTGAGAGCTTGACTGTAGCCTTATGAGAGACCCTGAGTCAGAACCACCCAGCTATTCTGAAGTTGTGGGCAAACCCAACTCCATACTGGAAAATCCCAGTTTTTATCTGGGCCTGATCCCAAGGACCCCAGTCATGCTGCCCTCACATACCCTATGAGCCTCCCCTACTCCTCTGTCTCTATTTGACACCTCTTCCCTCAGATATTTGCCACTAAATTGCTTCATGACACATTCCTTTTCTTCAGTGTCCTCAAGGAATCATGATTTGGCCCATCTCAAACCACAGGCCAAGTGGAGACGCAGAGGCCACCACTGAATGGGAGGAAAATGGTGCATCTCACTGTCCAGGACTCCAACTTATGAAAGTAACTCTTCACTCCAGCAAACTCCTGGTCTTTCCTTTCAACTCTCTCCTGCTCATGTCTTTTCCTAGATTGCTGCCAGAAAAGCCAAGGCTCCCTATTAAACCCACTCCTGTGGCCCACCTTGTATTCTGATGCAGCAGATGTAAGGAATAGCCCCATTACAGCCCCTTGGAGGTTCCAGGGAGATGGGGTAGATGTACATGACATGGAGAGGCAACTATGAAGACAAATGCCCAACCCCATCCACTCCACTTCGAGTTTCCTCTGCTTTCAGGGGCTCTCAGTCTGTAACCTTGCAGGCTCTACGGTAGCTCCCATTCCCCTGCCTTCAGTGTCTCCCAGGAGAACGAGTTAGAATGTTGGACGGTTTTAAGCAGCCTTCCCCTTGGACTTCTCGGTACTGTGTAGAGTACTACTTCCAGGACCTCCAACTCCACTGCCCAGTCCCTGAGGACCAACCTAGGAGGCCCCCAAGCTTAGAGGGGTGGTGGGCAATGGTACCCTGAACTCCTCTCATCTCAGGTGTCAGAGACTGGCTGGAAGGATGGCACTATCACTAATGTGTTTATTTATTTAGCAAGAGGTCTTGAGGGCTCTTGAGGACTCAGTACAGGTGCTGACCCGGCTCAGGGGACCCACAAAAATGGGAGGATCAGGTGCCTCCTGAAGCTTGTTGGCTGGCCCAAGTGCAATGTGACAAGGCTGTGTGCGTTACATGCACACATGCAGATACCTAGGTTGAGTATCTTTTTTAGTCTAGGGAAAGCACAAGCTGTTTAAGATTTTACTTGGATGACGTGCTCTTCATCTTTTGCCATTTTTAACTGGTTTTTCTCTGGTTTACTCTGCACACTGAAGCCAGAATAAGCTTTTTGGAGCCCAAATTTGATCTCTCTCCTACCCTCAGAAAGCTTCCCACTGCTCTTAGGATGAAGACAAGACCTCAAAACATGGCCCTAACCCTCCTCACCACCCACACACCTCATACCACCCTCACTTCCTGCTCTCAGCTCCAACCCCACAGTCCCTGGCGCCTTCCCTAGGGCCTTTGCTCAGGCATCCTCTCCCCTCTGTCTTCCTCTCCAGTCCGGCAGTGTTTCCTCAGGGAAGCTCCCTGATAGGCTTTCCCAGGCCCTTGTTGCATCATATCTGTCATTTGTAGGAGCAAATAGAAATTCTTAGCCCAGCTGCAACTACGTGTCTCGTTTGTGGGGTTATTTACTTGTCTGCCTCCCCCATATCCCAAAAGGTCCATAAGGTCTGAATTTGCTCATCATGGCGTTCAAAGCTCCCCAAACGGTCCCTGGTACATAACAGCTGCTCAATAAACATTTCTTAAATAAATGAATGAATTATAAACTCCAGACCTTAGGATCTGAGACTAAATTTCCTCTGGCTCCACACCCTTTTATGAGTTCTCACATTTAACGCCTCTCTTTCAGCCTCCATCTCCTCATTTTTTAAGGGAATTATTACTTGCTTCTTGGCCTGCTGAACAAGACCACTGTGAGACTCACAGAAGCTCATGGGGTCCCTGCAGTGCGGTGCTTAAGGACATGGACTTTGATCTCTGAAGGATCAGAGTTTGAATACCTGTTCAGACCCTACCAGCTGTGCAGTGGTTATTCTGCTGGTGTTGCTAATAATTGCACACTTCACCATCGATATTTGTGCCTGAACACATAAGATACTCCAACTTTCCCTTATTTGTTAATGTGAATCCTAACATCTTCATGAGTTCTTTGTGTCAACGTAAATTTGTCACACAGTAACTTCTCACTCCATGTAGCTCTAACATTTAAAACATGTTTTCCACTTTACACAGAGTATTTTCACATTTATCTCCCTTTCCCAAACTAGGAAACTGAGGCCCACAGAGGTAAACTGACTTGCCCAAGATCACTCAACTGGGAAATGTCATAGCCACAACCCAAGTGCCAGTCACACTGCAAAGGGGAGTTGGTAATCCCCACCATAGGGTGGGTGGTGAGGGGTCTGTCAAGTGCAAAGCATAGTACCTGGGATATAGTAAGGTCTCAATGAAGCGCCACTGACTGCCCAAGTCCAGAAAGGCAAGAGGGTGGTTCCATGCCCACCACATCTCCCAAGGCACCGGTCCCGGGAGTGTCCAGGAAACCTGACACATATACTCTCTCTCTCTCTTCATTTCCCTATTTTTTTTTTTTGAGACAAAGTCTCACTGTGTCGCCCAGGCTGGGGTGCAGTGGCGTCATCTCATCTCACTGCAACTTACGCCTCCTGGGTTCAAGCAATTCTCCTGCCTCAGCCTCTCAAGTAGTTGGGATTACAGGCAACTGCCACCATGCCCAGCTAATTTTTGTATTTTTAGTAGAAAGGGGGTTTCACCATGTTGGCCAGGCTGTTCTCAAACTCCTGACCTCGGGTGATCCGCCTGCCTCAGCCTCCCAAAGTGCTGGGATTACAGGCATGAGCCACCGCACCCGGCCTATTTACCTTCATTTAAGGGCTTGCCCCCCCGCCCATCCCCACTTGTTGACCCAGTGTTGCAAGTAAGAATGCTGAGGGCCCATTTACCAGTAAACTGTGGCTGCCCTGGTCTGCCCTGCCACCCTGTGGGACTATGCTCCTGCAGGCCTCAGCGTCCACCAAGAAGAGGGGCCAGTTCCACTGATGAAGATGAGCTCCACCCCAGTGCCCTGGTCACTGCAGGACAGGCTGGGATCTCTAGCAGACCCAGAGAGGTTCTCAGACCAGAGAATCCAGGATCCTCATCCTCTGTCCAGGCTGGATAACCTCTATCGAGGGTCCCTGCTGCAGAAAGAGATCCTGACGAGACAGAGGGCACTTTGTGTCTTTTAGAATCCCAGGACACCATCTGCACACAGCAGCCCCTGCTTGGCGCCCAGTGGAGCCCCATACAAAGGGTGGGAGTGTCAGATGACTCAATGTCATCATGAAGCTCATGAATGACTAAAGCGACTAGGGTGTTATAACTCCAAAACAACCGGGTCCTCAGCATAGAGAGTGCTTGGTACATTCATCTTGCCTCCACAGTGACAGTCCCAGCCACACACCCTGACCACACCTCTGTCCAGGAGAATAACGGTTCATTACTTGTTGCAGCACGTCATATGGAGACAAACTTTTACTCCACATTATGTAGTCAGAATTAGCCAAGAATGGCATCAGAAGGTGGCTGCCATCTTCACTCATATAATGTCCTCTGTTTCCCTGTTGCTCTTGTTGCTGGAAGAGCAGAGAGGAACATGGGCTTTCAGCAACTTCCACCAGAGACTGTCCCAGCTATTTTCTAAAGAACAAGGGTACCCTCAGCGTCTCTGAGCAAAAGTAAATAACTGTGGCTCCCCAGGCCCTCTCCTTTCCTGCACCTGCTCTTCCTGATTTAGAGTCTGCTTCAAGCAAAGATGCCTGTGAAGAAGGAGGCAATTATTTGCCCGATGATTAAAAGTGCTGTCTAAAATAACAAGTGTCAGTGAAGAAGTGGGGAAACTGGAATCCTCAGACATTGCTGGTGGGAATGTGAAATGGTGCGGTTCATGTGGAAAACAGTTTGGTAGCTCCTCACAAAGTTAAACATACAATTACCAATGACCCAGCAATTACACACCTAGGTAATTTTCACCCAAAAGAACTGAAAGCAGTCACTCAAACAGATATTTGTACACCAATGTTCACAGCAGCACTCATCACAATAGCCAAAAGGTAGAAACAGCCCAAGTGTCCATCAGTAACTAAATGGATAAACAAAATGGATAACCAAAATCTATGCAGGGGAATATTATCCGGGCTTAGAAAGAAATGAAATTCTGCTATCTGCTACAACATGGATAAATGTTGAAAACATACTAAATGAAAGAAGCCAGATCTAAAAGGCCAAATATTGTACAATTCCACCTATGTGAGGCATCCAGAATAGGCAAATTCATAAAGATGGAAAGTAAAATAAAGGCTGGGGGAGGAGAGAATGTGGAGTTACTGCTTAATGGGTACAGAGTTTCTGTAAGGGATGAAGGAAAGTTCTCGAAACAGATGGTGGTGATGGTTGCACAACACTGCGAATGTGCTTAATGCACTGAATTTTACACTTGGAAATGGTTAAGACAGTTAAAAAAGAAAAAGAAAAAAATAAGAAAGAAGAAAAAAAGAAAAAGAGGTGTTGTCTATATGCAGACGCCCCTTTCCTTTCAAGGTTCGGTTTCCCTGTTTATTCGATAGGTGTTCACTGGGAATCAGCCAGGGCAGGCCCCATGCCGAGCTAGGCCTGGGATGAGGTGGAGGAAAAGTGCTCTCCCTCCATGAGCGGCTCACCCTCATGTGGATCCTGAGTACAGACATTTAACCACAATCCCAGTGCAGGAAGATCACTGAGATGACGTCTGAGGAGTAAAAATCAAGGTTCCGGGGAAAAGAAGCAGCCTGCAGTGTGGTAGCCAAGCTCCCACCTGAACTGCCTCCCCAGGTGTTGGGGGTTGGAGGTGGTAGGGTGCAAGTCTCCCCAGATACTCAGGGAGGATAAACAGAGTGAGAAAATGGGGGAGGTAAGTGAGCAAGAGGAGCTAGGCAGGCCGAGAGTGACAAGACGAATTCCACCTTCTCACTCCAACCTTAACCCTTCATCCACCCTGTCAAAGATAACAGAGTTAGCTGGGTGTGGTGGCTCATGCCTGTAATCCCAACATTTTGCAAGGTAGAGACATGGGGATTGCTCAGGAGTTCAAGACCAGCCTGGGCAACATGGTGAAACCCCGTCTCCACAAAAAATACAAAAATTAGCCAGATGTTACAGTGCGCCACTGTAACCCCAATTACTTGGGAGGCTGAGATGGAGGGACTGCTTGAGTCCGGGAAGCAGAGGCTACAATGAGCCATGACCACACCACTGCCCTCCACCCTGAGGGATAGAGCAAGACCCTGTCTCAAAAAAATAAATAAGTAACAGAGCTCTGTGAGCAGCATAAATTTTATTAATGAATAACAATCACAAGAAGACAAAGCAAAGCTGTTACTGAGTGCTTCCTACAGGCCAATCTCTGTGAGTTCTACTTGCATTTTCTTGTCTAATACCCACCACAGCCCAGGGAGATAACTGCAATTATTACATCATTTTACAAAAGAAAAAACAGTTCTGAGATGAAAATGTGTCCAAGGTCTCACAGCTGGAAAAATGTTTGCCAGTTGGAAACTTTGTGCAGAAAATTTGTTTCTTTCATTTTCTTCTCAAAACAAATAGGGAACATGCCTGGGTGGTGAAAACACATAGGTAATGGTGGTGCTTTCTCAAACCCTAAACCTTCCCATGTGATGGCTTTGGTGCTAACCCCCAGCCAAGAATGTGGAGCGCATTTATTGCCTTGGATTATCCATGGACTTAGGTCTTTGTTCGATGCCTCTGCCCTGGGATGCGGGTCAAGGGGGCTGACAAAGAGCTCTCGAGACTCAGTCTTCCTGTGGTCATCCTTCTGCAGCTCTTGCTCCCTCCCAGGAGAGTTGGAAGGTGCAGACACTGGAAGACAACACTCTGATACAAATCCCTGGCATTGGCCCCGGGCTTCAGAATGTAAAAGGCATTTTGGGCATGCACTCATTTATCGCCCTCTAGAATCTGAGAGAGTAAAACATCTCGTCCCCATTTCCCAGATGAAGAGCTGAGGCTCGGAGAAGCGAAATAACTTGTCTTAGAGTCCCAGAGGGAATACAGAAGTGGCTACATAATTTGCGGGGCCAGGGAACTTGAAAATGTAGAGTCCTTGTTCAAAAGTTACTAAGGATTGGTGACACTAGAGCACTGAACCAAATGTGGAGGCCTTCTCAGCCCGCAAACACGGTGCAGGCCCAGGAAGTCAGCCCTGGAGTTAGGAACTGAGCCCTGACTTCTTAGGGGGTTTAGAGCATGTGCCAGCACCCCACAGCTGCCTCTTCCGAAATACAGCCACTTCCTGGCCCCTGGCCTGCAGCCCTCAGAGTGGGGAGGGGGTCTCCAAAGCAAGGGAGCAGACTGAAGCGCCTCCACAGAGCCTGACCACAGGCTCCAGCGGGGCCCCCATGTTGCTGATCACATTAGCTGAATTCAATTGTGATGCCCTCTAATTACAATCCTTTTCTAGGAACAAGAGGGCCAAACTGAATTAGGAGGGGGAAACAGTCCATACTTTCATTCAGAAAAAAAAAAAAACTGGAATAAAGGCAAAATTAGATTTTACTCCATGGGTCCTGGATTTAGAAGCCAGAGGACAGAGTTGAATCTTACCTCTGACACTTCAACTTACATGGGACCAGCAACAATGACATCTCTCTCAGCCTTGGTTTCTGTATCTATGAAATGGGAGTAAAGTATTTTTGGAGCATTGAAGAAGATTAAGTTAGACAATGCACTGGTACTTAATCTTCTGGGGGAGGCTCTCAAAAAAACACCTCCTCCATTTAATTTCAGGGAGTTTCATGGTGCCCTGAAGTATAAGCACAGTATCCCTGGACATGCCTGGAAGTTGAGTTAAGAAACACTCAAATAAGAAATTAAAATATTTTTGGTAATTTTGTGGGATTTTAAACCACTGTACTATGAATACATTGAATTAGAAAGGCTTTGTTGAAATATTCACAGACTTAACAAACAAGCCAGAGGACCCGTGCATTATTTTATTCTGCTCTAGCATGAATATTTCATAAATTACATGCAATTATTAACAACATCAACACCAGCAAATTAATTACTGTCAATTCATATTAATAAAATTGCATTTTGTAATAAATAAAGTTAGTTTACTGCGCCCCATCAGTCTCAGAGGTATTCACATTTGTCAATTGTCCTCTACTTCAGGCTAAAACAAAAGTAATCAAATAACTAATTATTGTACAAAATGTATCACCGCTTACACGTCAATGAAAACTCACAGTTATTTATAACCCTCACAACTGAATATTCAAATCACTGTTTATTCTTATGCTAAGAGGAATTTTCCAGCCCTCTCCTTTTTACCGACTCCCTCGGTCTCTGCCCTCCGCCACCTGAGGAATAGCATGTGGCCTCCTGAGCCATGGTGAAGGTGTCTCAGCAACGAAAGAGTGAGGGGCTCACAGCGGCGAACAGGAACTCAAGCAGAAACTCCAGAGAGATTTGCAGAATCTGCCATGGGCCTTCCCATCGCCAGTGGCCAGTTGCTCCATTTCTTGAATTCCATGCCACATAGGCTCCCCGCCTTCCGTTTTTCATTCTTACAAATAAAAAATGTCTTCTCCTTCAATAAAGGCTCCAGAACTGTAGCCTGGGATTACAACACGTATTCTGCCTCCCTGTGTTCATTTCAAAACCTGGGGTAGTCGACTCACCAAAGTGAAGTCAAAATAACTGCAATGAAAATTATCTACAGAGCCCGTTGCATGCAGAGCTAAATCACACACTCTTGATTTCCTCTGATGCTCACTCATAACAATTTAGTGTGTTCCATTTAGAGGTGGAGAAACTTGGGTTCCACAAGATCAGGTGACTTGTCCAGGAACCTTCAGGAAGGAAGAAGACAGCTAAGACTAGAACCGGCTCTGTCAATCTCACCTCCTGTGAGGTGTCCACCGAGCATCCCCGAGGCTCTGGAAAGGTAGCAATACACAAATGGAGGTTTGCATCTGCCCAGCCAGTCGTCGGCCTCCTCCCTGCACATGCTCAGGCCTGGCCGGGAAGACAGAAGACCTGGGACTCAGCCAGTCCCATATGGGCCAGAGGTGCCTTATACCCTCAGCATTTAACTCCCATTTTAAAAAAATACGTCAACGCCCATTTTGCCCAGAGGGGGAAATTCTCTTCTAAGATTTGAATTGATGTTTATAAAGCTGGAAGCATGTCAACTATTCACAAAGTGGGCCTCATCAGCAGAGTTTCTGCCTCAGTGTAGGATTCTCAAAATGTGACTTGGAGCCTGTCACATTTCCTAGGGCTGCCGTAACAAATCATCCGCAACTTGAGGGGTTCAAACAATAGGAATGTATTCTCTCGCAGTTCTGGAAGTCAGAAGTCTGCCCCTTCCAGAGCCTCTAGAGAAGAATCCGTCCTTGCCTATTTCAGCTTCTGTAGCCGCTTCTTGGCTTGTGGCAGCATCACTCCAATCTCTGCCTCCACAGGCAAATGACCAACTTCCATCTATGTCTGTTTCTGTGTACAAAGTTCCCCTCTTCTTATAAGGACACCCAGTTACATTGAATTTATGGCCCATCTTATTCCAGCATGACCTCATCTTAACTTGATTATATCTGCAAAAACCCTATTTCCAAATAAGGTTACATTCATGGATTCCAGGTGGACAGGAATTTTGGGAGGGGACACTATTCAGCCCAGTATAGAGTGCACTTCTTGATTCAATGGGGCAGTATTTGGCCCCACTAAACACAGACATTGCCCATGCCAGGAGTATGCCCCTTGTGGGTTCCCAGGCTGGGCACCAGAGTCGTCTTAAAAGCACGTAGCTAACACATTCCCGGACTCCATCTTGGCAGTTCTGGTGCAGAAGTTCAAGGGGGAGCCCAGGAATCTTTGTTTAAGGGCTGTCCACATGATTCTCATGGGTAGCAGCCAGGTTTGAGAATCTGTCATGTAGAAAGGCTAATAATCATCACTGTAATGATAACAAGAGCGGCCAACGTCGGTGAGCCATGCATGGAGCTAAGAGCCGCACATGCCCGCTCACTCCATCCTCGCTCACCATCTGTCAGTGAGATTGTAGCGTCAGTTATGCTCGGTTGACAGAAGAGAAAATGGGGGAGAGGGAAGGGAGACTCTGTGACATGCCCAAGGCCACATGCTGCTAAGAGGGAAGCCTGGGCTAGAAGCTTGTGCTGACCGCTTCACCACTCACCCAGCCATGGGTCAAGCAGCGAGTGCAGGTTCCATCCCAGGGACTCACTGTGCCAACGGACTTCATCCACAGCACAGCTCATGCTCCACTGGCGCCTGAGGAGAGGGCTGGGATTCCAAAAGTGATTTCCCTCAATTCAGTCTCTGTTCACATAGCTCCTCCATGGGAAATGATGTACTAGGACCAACGTGGAAAAGAGGAGAACAGGAGTGACTGAGAGAGGGCCCTGTGCGTTATATGTGGCCACAGCAAAGCATGGGCCTGCAGGCCTGTGGGGGATGCAGAGGGCCCTTCCCACTAGGACAGTCACCAAAGCTGTGTCTGAGATGAGCCCAACAGGCCAATAGGACTGGCACATCATGGATGCTCCCCATAAGTATTTGATGAATAAATGAATGGAGATGAATAAATGAATGGAGATGAATAAATGAATGGCAGGGGAAGTAAGAAAGGGAAAATATGCTGGGCAGAGAAACCTGTATAAACAGAGGCACAAGGACAGGAGAGCCTGGGGTGAGTTAGGAACCAGTGGTTGGGATGTGGCACACATACATCTAGGCAAGCAGTAAAAGGTGAGGTAGTAATCATAACAACAATAATACCAGCAGTTCACATTACTCAGCAGTTAAGTCCCAAGCTCTGTGCCTTACATGTATCTTATTTTACCTGACGAGGTATTATTACGATGCTCATTTTTAAGATGAGAAAACAGGCTCAGAAATGGTAAGCAACTTGCCCAAGATCACAGACTCTGTGAGTGGCAGATCTAAGACTCAGACCCGAATCCATCTGACTCTGGGCCCACCTCTGGTCCACGCTGAGATTCAGAGTTTACACTGTGATGTGGTCATCATGGAGCTCCTGAAGGGTGCTGAGCTGAGAAGGCACGTGCCTGGAGCTATGCCTATGGAGGACCCATCAGGAAGCCGGCATGAGCCTCCTCGGTGATCCCAAGTGAAACAGTGAAGTGACCAACATAACTATCCTATAACAGAATTATTCCAAACAGCAGTTTCTTAAAATAAAAACTCCGGATGGGAGGTTTTTATTGCAGGCTAATTATACAAGTGAGAAAGATTTATCATTTTGGTAAACATTCCCCATTCCCCAAACATGAAGAAATCAGCTCACATCAGTCTTTTGACATTTATCTGAAAAGGACGGTATTATTTTCAGAACACTGCTGTTGATTTCAAATATGCAAACAAACAAAAAAATTCTCCGGCTGCCCTCAAGAAAAGGAAAATATTAGGCTACCCATGACTCAAGGGAAACTGAGGGCTGCAGTGAAGGACCCCAGTTCATTCACACCTGAAACACTGACCCTGTATGGACAGGGCATCCCGGTTCACTCACACCTGAAACTGATCCTGGGTGGACAGGGCACTGGGTGGCATCTCCCTCTGCAGCGAATGACCCTGGTTCACTCGCACCTGAAACACTGACCCTGTGTGGACAGGGCATCCCGGTTCACTCACACCTGAAACTGATCCTGGGTGGACAGGGCACTGGGTGGCATCTCCCTCTGCAGCGAATGACCCTGGTTCACTCGCACCTGAAACACTGATCCTGCGTGGACAGGGCACTGGTGGCATCTCCCTACTTTCCAGGCCTAGAAGTTTAGTAGAACCCAAACAGGAACCATACGACCATCAGCAAGACAGGAGATGGGGGCACCTGGATCCCTGGGAACCAGCATCTTTACAAGGGATGATAGAGCAGGTGGTGGGGGGCAAAAAATGACAACAACAATCCAACCTCAAACTTTAAATCTGGGCTACTTTGCTATAACCCCAACGACATGGTTCTTTTGCTAACTGATAGGAAGATCTTTCAAGTTTCTAAAGACTGGAGATCCTCTGCTGCGACTCATACATTTTACACAGGAGGGAACTGAAGCTCAAAAAGATTGTCTTGCCCGAAGCACACAGCCAGGTGGGAGTAAATGGAGTCTACCCTACAACTCCAGCCCCCTGGCTCCCCGGCCAAAGCTCTCTTTTCCTCTTTTCATCTCATTTGGCTGCTTCTTCCAAAGAAATGTTTCTTCTGCACAAACAAAAATAAAAAATGGCAGAAGTGTGCATTTGCACAAACACACACACAAACATATAATTCTTAAAATTGGTAAAAATAATTAAATCCAGAAAACCAAAGTTCAGCATGACATTGTCCTTAATTAAATGATGCTCTCCCCATATTTTTCTTTCCTCGAATTTGCTTTTTAACAACAGAAAGAGCTAAGTAGAGTGACTATATTAACTGAGTTTCTTGCCTTTTAATAGTTGGTGTCACCACCTTCATGTGATTCAAATTTAGTTGCTTTGCGCCTAATTAAAGCATTGCACAAAAATAGGTAATTTGACATCCAAAGGAGGAGTGAGAGGAGACCAGAGAAAAGAGGGGACATATTACTTAACTTTATGATGATAATTACCTGAACACAAAGACGCTTATAAGAACATTCTACGCTGGATACCATCCAGAAAAATTAAACCTATGTTGCTGCTTCAATACATCTGAATACTAGGAATTGGCAGAAAAAAAAATCTGTTCTATGAATAATAGCCTCTACAGTCCCAGAGGAAAGCAGTACATGAATTGAAAAAAAAAAAAAAAGAAGAAAGAAAGAGAAAAAGAAAAAGAAAAAATGGAGTCTTGAGCCTTTTCCAAAATGGTGCTAATGCGCCACTGAAACTTAATTTTATAATTTACTGGCAGTCAAGATGGCAGGAAATAAAATAATTTGCTATATTCTGCACAACAAACCCTGCTTTTCCTGGGAAGGGGTAATTATCCCCATGGAAAAAGAAAAAAAGAAAAAAATACGCCATCTCATATTAAGCTAAAGTCTCATCAAGAAGAGAAAAAGTGCCTCATTACATGTAATTACCAGGGAATTAGAAACATCATTTAACTAAATGAGCGAATAATGCTCAGGATATTGAAGAAACTTGCCTGCACTTCTGCAAAGCACTCTAAGTCCCATTACAAAAATTGCCCCTCTTTAATGGAATAATTTTAGGCCTTGTCTGCCTTGCTTTAAAAATAAAGAGCCTCCGAGCGGCAGAAAGAGGCTGAAACTGCCATAAACAACTGTTGAAAGGGACTGAAGGGAAGGCGCTGTCTCTCTTGGAGACCAAGACCCAGAATGACTCATAATCTACCATAATCAGGAAAATTAAACCTGAGGACTTGAAAAAAGGATTACCCCCTTTTTAATTGTACTTCCTCAAGACTGCGATGTGCTTGTGAGTATGTATTAGGGATAACAGATGAAAGATTTTCAAGTTCGGGTACGGCTTCCCTGCTTCGATACAAAAGCAGTTACAGCCAGTCAATGTTATCTTAAAAAAATAAAATTATAACATACCTGCAGATTGATGTTTATTGTGTCTTAATGCAATGATTTTCCAGCCATTCAAAAGCTTCCAGGCTTGAGTTAGGATCCCCTCCCCTTTTTCCCTTTGCTTTTCATATTTGTCAAGATTTAGCATAGAAGCAATGAATTTAATATAACCATCTCACCTTCCAGCAATGCTAATCTTTCTTCACCCAGAAACCAGAAAAGGAAAGTATATTGATACTGGTCACTCCATCTTAGTTTCTTGACTTTAGAGCAAGAAAAATTCAGAAAGTAATTGGTATTGGTCAGATTCCTAGCAGATGGCCAAAGAAGGCTCTCAAGAGGCCATTTTAAAGAAGAAATGAGTCAGGGAAGGGATTGCAATATCATCCTGAGATATCCTGCCCTGAGACCCAACAAAGAGCCACCAATCCCCACCGCTGCATGAGGACCAGGGCCTTCCCTGGAACAGGGGAAGCCAGAGCAACCAAAAGTGCCATTCCCTCAGCCATGGACTTCAAGCCACCATCAACAGCAACACCCCTTTTCAGCAATGAGGAAGCTAAAACCAGCCAAGGTCTCAGAGTTCCCTCTTCCAGTCCCTTGTGGCCAAGTCCAGATTCATATATGTCAAGCACAGTCACCTCTCAGCAGGGCAGGAATGACATTCCTACCTACCATACCTCATCTGAATTCTCTATCCCCTCACAGAGGTTCCGTAGTCTAAATACATTGCTTCCTGGTCCAGTACATGTAAATATGATAGTAAGAAGAGATGACAAAGTGCCAGCACCATAGGTGTGCTCACCACAAACACCTGCCCTTGGGATGGTTGGAGATGGTAGGCGGAGAAGGCAGCAGAGCTAGGACAGGAGATAGCTGAGCTTGATCTATTCCTCTGTCCCCTTGGGCCCTTGGACATGTCCCTCAGAAACACTTTCAAGTTCTAGGGCCCTATACCCAAGAAATAAAAAGAAATAATGAAAGGCAAAGCAAATATGAGAAGAGCTTCACATAGATAAAGCCCTGGAAAAAGAAACCACATTTAAGATTGATAATGGGCAAAGTGCCCTGGGCATTTTAGGTCCCCTCATTTAACTCCGAGATGGAATTTGGCACTAATGAAGTGTTTGGGTGATAGGAAACAAAGAGGAAGCCAACGTCCTATCCCAGGTAAACAGAAAAAAAAAGCACACAGTATAATATCATTTCACGATGAGTCAGGTTAACTGACTTGCCTGCTAAGATCACACAAAAAATAAGGGAAACCCAGAATCAAAACACAGATCCACCTGCTTCCAAAACTATTTCCCTGGGCCACACAATGCTGTCCTCTCCAATGAGTATAAACAAGGAGCATTAGTAATAGCACTCACCATACTATAGCATCCCAATGTATTTCAAAGAGCTTTAACACATGTTCTCGCCAATGAGGTAGATAAGGATGGCACAATCTCCATTTCATACCAAAACTTGAAATGATCAGGGCAAAGTCATCCTGCCACCAGCTGCCAAGACCAGTGATACTTTCTCCCGACTGATGATCATACTGGTAGTGAGAGTAGAACAAATTCTGAAAGAAGGTCCATCTGGACTAAGATTTGCAAACACAACAAATGTTTATTTTCTCAATGTAAGCAATACTAATTGCTTACCAATAAAAGAAGTTTTTACTTTCTAATTGTTTCTTTTATTTTTATTTTCTAATTGTTTCCCACCAGATCATCTATCTTGTGACATTAGTAAGGCAAAAATTTTTAATCATATGAGTTAACCAGTTGACACAATAAGCTCACATTGAACACTCTCTGCTCCAAACACCACAGCAATGACAGCTAAATCATAAGAGAAAACAAAAAAGGCACAGTCAGACTCCAAAGTAAAAAATAAACATTTCTGTGGACTTAAATAGCTGATCTCTGGGGCTGGAAGCAGGAAGCAGTGGCAGGGAGTTTACCACTACAGCTGCAGTTGCAGCTACTCCAGACGTGGGAGGATTGCCTGAGTCCAGGAGGTCGAGGCTGCAGTGAGCTATGATCACGCCATTGCATTTCAGCCTGGACAACAGAACAAGACTCTGTCTCAAAAAATAAAGCCTGGAAATCAAAATTGTATGTCAGCCCTCAAAATCAAAATTGAAATCTATATTTACCCTAGATGAAATTAAAATTTTATAGCTCCCTGTACCAAAGCCTTCATTTATGTTTAAAATATTCAAGGAGGTAAATGAATGTATAACTTCATTGAAAACAATTCAAGAGGCTGGGCATGGTGACTCACGCCTGTAATCCCAGTACTTTGAGATGCTGAGGTGGGCAGATCACCTGAGGTTGGGAGTTCGAGACCAGCCTGACCAATATGGAGAAACCCCATCTCTACTAAAAATACAAAATTATCCAGGTGTGGTGGCGCATGCCTGTGATCCCAGCTACTCGGGAGGCTGAGGCAGGAAAATTGCTTGAACCCAGGAGGCGGAGGTTGTGGTAAACTGAGATCACACCATTGGACTCCGGCCTGGGCAACCGGGCAGGCTGGGCAGCCAAGAGCAAAACTCCATCTCAAAGAAAAAAACAAACAAAAAATTCAAGAAATTATGTATCAAAAATAAGCAAATGCAAAACAAGAAGAGGTGGATATGAAATAAAATAGAAATCCAAGAATTTTTTTGAAAACTTACTAGGTGAAATAAATTCTGGATTAGACACAAAGAGAGAATTAGTAAATTGCAGAGAGTTCTGAGGAACTCATCCAGAACATAGCATGGAGAGAAAACAAAACTAAAATATGGAAGAGCAATTAAGAGACACAGACAGAGAATTATAAGGTTCCAACATTCACCAAGCAGGGATACCAGAACAAGAGAATGTAGGGACTGGTGGGGAAGCACTATTCAGAAATACAAATGCTGAAAATCTTTAAGAACTGAAGATGTATATTACATTTTCAGCACTAAGCAAGAATATATGAAAATAAATCCACAACTAGACATATCACAATGAAATTGCAGAATAAAAAGAATAAAAAGACAATCTTAATAGCTTCCAGAGTGCTATGGCTACTTTTATGTGTCAACTTCGCTGGGCCAGGATACCTAGACATTTGGAAATTATTCTAGATTTTTCTGTGAGGGTGTTTTTAGATGAGATTTACATTTAAATCAACTTTGAGTAAAGCAAATTGCTCTCCATAATATGGGTGGGGTTCATCCAATCTGCTGAAGACCTGAACAGAACAAAGGGCTGACCTTCCCCAAGCAAGAGAGAATTCTGTCAGCAGATTGCCTTCAGACTTCATTTGCAACATTGGCTATTCCTTGTTTACCACCAGACTGCATTTGGATTTGAACTGCAACTCTTCCCTGATTGTCCAGTCTCCTCTATCAAATTTTAGACTTGCCAAGCCTCTGTGTTGCATGAGCTAATTCTTTACAATAAATATCTTTATACATATATATGTGTGTATGTGTATGTATAACTATATATATAAATGTATGTATGTATACATACACACACACACACATTATTTTATTGATTCTGTTTCTCGGGCAAAACCTAACTAATACACAGAGGGAAAGAAAGATAGCTTCTAAAGGAACAATAGTTAGGCTCACAGCGGACTTCTCAACAGGAAGTACAGATGTACAAAAAGTATGCAGAGAGAAAATTAACTATCAACCTAGAATTTCATATCCAGCTAAACTATCTTTTGAGAGTGAGGACAAAATAAAGACATTATCTGGAATACAAAAACATACTCAGATTCTCATTACAAAACAAACAAAACAAAAAATTACTAAAGGATACATTTCAGCAAGAAAAAAAGTAACTCAAAGGTAAAGAGCAACTATTGGCAGATATATATACATACACACATACATACATAGTATATTAATATAAGTAATTAACTGCTGAACTATAAAATAACTAACTTTGATATTTTAAAATTGAAGAAAAATAAAACTATAAATAGCAATTATAAGATAGTTAAAGGGAGTGATCTGTGAGTAGGTAACGTGAGAAATGACTGTTACTATTGGAAAGAAGCTAGAATTATTGAATAACTATAGAGTTTGATGGAAAATAGATAGAATACTTTAAAGGTAACTATCAATCTATAGCTTTCAAGCCAGAAGTGAGGTGGGGAAGAGGGGAGAAATATGAAAAACTATCAATCCAACAAAAGGCAGAGGAGGAAGAAAGAGAAAACAAAAGCATTATAAGTAAAAATACCTAAATAAGGCAGCAGAACTGAAGAAATAAACTCATATATATTACTAATCACAAAGAAATCTAAATGGATTAAATCTACCTATTTAAAGACTGAAATTATTATACTGCATTTGCATTTTTAATCTAGCTATATGATGCTTAAAATAGACACACCTGGCCGGGCATGGTGGCTCACACCTGTAATCCCAGCATTTTGGGAGGCCAAGACAGGCAGATCACTTGAGGTCAGGAGTTCAAGGCCAGCCTGGCCAACATGGTGAAACCCCGTCTCTACTAAAAATACAAAAACTAGCCAGATGTGGTGGCACACACCTGTAATCCCAGCTACTAGGGAGGCTGAGGCAGGAGAATCGCTTGAACACAGGGGAAGGAGGTTGCAGTGAGCCAAGATCATGCCACTGCACTCCAACCTGGGCAACAGAGCAAGATTCCATCTCAAAAAAAAAAAAAAAAAACAGACACACCTGAAACCCACAAGAAAGACTGAAAATAATAAAACATAAATATATGTCACATGCAAATATTAACCAAAATAAAGCTCACAGAATGTTGCATCAGTTAATATGTAAAGCCAAAGGTGTTAATAGGGATGAAGAGGCATACTTTGTAATAATAAAGGAAAAAAATTCACCTAGAGGATATAATAATTATTAATAATCATAAACTTGTATGCAACTAATAACACAGCCTCAAAATTACATAATTCATTACATACATTAAAAATATTAAAGCAAAACAAGTAACAAATTACATAAAGCAAAAACAGAATTTAAAGCAGAAACTGACAAATCAACATAATGAGAGATCTTAACATATCAGAAAAATTGATAGATAATGTAGGTCAAAATTTAATAAGAACAGAAGATAACTGAATAACACAATTAACAATCTAATGAATATAAAAATTCATCATTGTACCTAACAAATAGAGAAAGTTATTTGCAAGTGTATTATAAGCCATTTATAAAGATTAATTGTGTTACAGTGGAAAACTTAACAAATCACAAAAATTGGTATCATTCAGATGACTCTGACTACACTGCCATTAAGTTATAAATGAGCAATAAAAAATAGCCCACATGTTTGTAAGCTTAAAAATATACATCTCAGTAATTTATGGTAAAAGAGGAAATCTCAGTGGAAATCATAAGTATGTAGAACCAAACAATTATGAAATATCTCACATCAAAACTTTTGAGATGGGCCAGGCATGGTAGCTCACACGTGTAATACCAGCACTTTGGGAGGGCTAACAGGGGAGGATTGTTTGGGTCCAGGAGTTTGAGACCAGCCTCGACGACATAGTGAGACCTTGTCTCCACAGATTTAAAAAAAAATTTTTTTTTAATTAGTCAGGCACGGTGATGTGCACCTGTAATCCCAGCTACTTAGGAGGCTGAGGTGGGAGGATCACTTGAGCCCAAGAGGTGGAGGCTACAGTAAGCAATGATCACACCACTGGACTCTCACTTGGGTGACAGAGCAAGACCCTGTTGCTTAAAAAAAAAAAAAAAAAAAAAAAAAAATGGTGTGAGATGTAGTAAAGGACGTATTTGAAAGTAAATGTGTAACTTTATATAAATTTATTTTTAAATGAGAAAGATTGAGAATTTGTGACTATTGTATTTAGCTTAAGAAGTCAGAAAGAGGCCGGGCATGGTGGCTCATGCCTGTAATCCCAGCACTTTGGGAGGCTGAGGTGGGCGGATCACAAGGTCAGGAGATCGAGACCATCCTGGCTAACATGGTGAAACCTCGTCTCTACTAAAACTACAAAAAATTAGCCAGGCATGGTGGCGGGCGCCTGTAGTCCCAGCTACTTGGGAGGCTGAGGCAGGAGAATGGCATGAACCCAGGAGGTGGAGTTTGCAGTGAGCCGAGATAGTGCCACTGTACTCCAGCCTGGGCGACAGAGCGAGACTCTGCCTCAAAAAAAAAAAAAAAAAAAAAAAAAAAGAAGAAGTCAGAAAGAGAACAGAAGAATAAGCCTAAAGAAGGTGGGCAAATTGAGGCTGGATGTGGTGGCTCACGCCTGTAATCCCAGAACTTTGGGAGGCTGAGGTGGGTGGATCACCTGAGGTCAGGAGTTCGAGACTGTCCTGGCCAACATGGTGAAACCCCGTCTCTACTAAAAATGCAAAAATTAGATGGGCATGGTGGCGGGCCCCTGTAATTCCAGCTACTCGGGAGGCTGAGGTAGGAGAATTGCTTGAACCCAGGAGACGGAGGCTGCAGTGAGCCGAGATGGCGCCACTGCCCTCCAGCCTGCACAACAGAGCGAGACTCCATCTCAAAAAAAAAAAAAAAAGAAGAAGGTGGAAGAATTGGAAAGACAAGCAAGAATCTAGCAAGAATCAGAAAGGACATTCTTTTTTCCCCTCTGCTACATTTCTGCAAAGCCGTATTTTGCTTGCTGTGGGGTACGACTAGGTGATTCAGGTGGAGATGAAATCAGTCAAACCTTGGTCATGAGGCTGTACCTCCAGGGCATAATAACACAAACCCAAGAGGCCCTTTTTTTTTTTTTTTTAAGGCAGCCAGTGTTTATTCAGACTGTGTGCTGAACACTTTGTTAAGATGTGTGGGTTAAAATGTACATAAAATTTATTACTTTAACCATTTTTAAGTGTACATTTCAGTGGCATTAAGTACATTCACATAGTTGTGCAACCATCTCACCATCCACTCCACAACTTTTTCATTTTCCCAAACTGAAATTCTGTACTCATTAAGCAATAACTCCCCAAATCCACCCTTTTCCCAGCCTCTGGCAACCACCGTTTTACTCTCTGTCTCTATGAATTTGATTACTCTAGACACTTCACGTAAGTGGAATCATACAGTAGTTGTCTTTTCACATCTAGCTTATTTCACTTAGCATACTGTTCTGAGGGGGTTCATCCATGTTGTAGCATATGTCAGAATTTCTCTTCTTTTAAGGCTAATATTCCATTGTGTGTATACACATTTTCTTTATTCATTCATCCATCGATGGGCACTTGAGTTGTTTCTATCTTTTGGCTGTTGTGAATAATGCTGTATGAACATGAGTGTACAAGTATCTCTTCAAGTCCCTGCTCTCATTTCCTTTAGGTATATACCCAGAGGCAGAATTGCTGGATCATATGGTAATTCTGTTTAATTTTTTTGAGAAACCACTATACTGCTTTACGTAGAGACTGCACCATTTTACATTCCTACTAGCAGTACACAAGAGTTCTAATCTCTCCACATCCTCACCTACACTTGCTATTTTCTGGAATTTTAATAACGGCTATCCTAATGGGTGAGGTGGCATCTCACTGCAGTAGCAGGGACTTTATTAATACTAGAGAGCACTGTAGGCATCCTCAGAGGTGGACTCCCACTCCCACATTAGCAGTTCAGAGTTTATAACTCAACTTATGTTTTGAAAGAGACTGGAGAATAAAATGGAAATTAGGAAGATGTAGTTACATAATGCACTGCCTGAAATAAAAAGTTCTCTCCCATTAGGAAAAGAATATTAGATTTAATGAATGCCCTAAGAATCTAATGTTACAGAATAACATGACATTCGTATAGCCCAAAAGAAAAAAAATAGAAATTTTTATTTATTTTTTGGCTTCTTTGGTCAAAGACCATCTTCAAAAGGAATATATATATCTCTCTCTATAAAATATATATGCTCCTTTTGAAGATATATACATACAAAATATATATATTCTTTTTGAAGGCATATATATGCCATATATATTATTTGAAAACAAATAATGGCTAGTATTATATATAAATTAATATATATTTACATATATTTAATATATTTATATATAATACTAGCGATAATATTTTTTAAAATATCAATAATTAGCATGTATTGAGTTATCACTATATGCCAGGCACTGGATTAAATATGTTACATACATTTTCATTTAATCTTCCTAACAATATTTTGGGTTGTCTTTAACAAATGAGGCAGCTGGAGCCTAGGATGTAGAAAATTTGCCCCGGATCACATAGCTAATCACTGGCAAAGCTAGGATTCGAGCCACGGGCTGCCTGATTTGGAATTTTCCATTCTACAAGTCATACGATTTCAAGATGTTTTTTGTGCTGCTTCAATTTTCTTTCTAGTAAAACCTCAGTGCAAGCTCCACTTTGCTCACTAAGACAGCACCCGCACACTTCAGAAAATGGGAACTGCCCTGAAAAGGATCTTCATGAGCCATGCTGCAGTTCTCACATGAACTTGTTGCTTCCCAGTTATTGACAAAATTCTTCTCCCAGTGGAAACCATGAAGAGCACACACCCAGCTGGTCCTCTTTGAACTGTGGCACACATTAAATGCTGAAGGCGCAAGATTGGATTGCCTTACAAACTCACCAGAAAATTGGGTAGGGTTTGTACCTCCAAAAATAAAGCTCCCAAATGTAAATGGAATAGCATATATCTGGTGATTAATAGCCAATTGATTTGTTATTATTATTATACTTTAAGTTGTGGGATACATGTGCAAAACGTGTAGATTTGTTACATAGGTATACATGTGCCATGGTGGTTTGCTGCACCCATCAACCCGTCATCTACATTAGGTATTTCTCCTAATGCTATCCCTCCCCTAGCCCCCCACCCCTCGACAGGCCCTGGTGTGTGATGTTCCCCTCCCTGTGTCCATGTGTTCTCATTGTTCAACTCCCACTTATGAGTGAGAAAATGCGGTGTTTGGGTTTCTGTTCCTGTGTTAGTTTGCTGAGAATGATGGTTTCCAGCTTCATCCATATCCCTGCAAAGGACATGAACTCATCCTTTTTTATGGCTGCATAGTATTCCATGGTATATATGTGCCACATTTTCTTTATCTAGTCTATCATTGATGGGCATCTGGGTTGACTCCAAGTCTTTGCTATTGCGAACAGTACAGAACAATAAACATATGTGTGCATGTGTCTTTACAGTAGAATTATGTATAATCCTTCGGGTATATACCCAGTAATAGGATTGCTGGGTCAAATGGTATTTCTGGTTCTAGATCCTTGAATTGCCATACTATCTTCCACAAAGGTTGAACTAATTTACACTCCCATCAACAATGTAAAAGTGTTCCTATTTCTCCACATCCTCTCCAGCATCTCTTGTTTCCTGACTTTTTAATGATAGCCATTCTAACTGGCATGAGATGGTATCACATTGTGGTTTTGATTTGCATTTCCCTAATGACCAGTGATTATAAGCTTTTTTTCACATGTTTGTTGGCCAGATAAATGTCTTCTTTTGAGAAGTGTCTGTTCATATCCTTCGCCTACTTTTTGATGGGGTTGTTTTTTTCTTGTAAATTTGTTTAAGTTCTTTGTAGAGTCCGGATATTAGTCCTTTGTCAGATGGATAGATTGCAAAAATTTTCTCCCATTCTGTAGGTTGCCTGTTCACTGATAATAGCTTCTTTTGCTGTGCAGAGCTCTTTAGTTTAATTAGATCACATTTGTCAATTTTTAGCCAACTGATTTTTAACTACAATGCAGAACAGAAAAAAGCCCTACAAGTGATCCTGTAGAATTGTATCCCAGTTCTACAAGATCTGCATACCCAACCAAGGGTATGTTTCCCAACAAAGGTTACATTTCTGCATACCCAACAAAGTTAGGTATGCAGGATGTGTGTTAGAAAATATAGCCCAGATGCCATTGCAAAACATATCCCTAGACCAAGTCTCAATGAAGGCAAGACCTCCATTTCTCAGGGGCCTCAAGATCTCTGCTCCTCAATGCATACCTCTGCTCCCTTCTCAACTTTCTCACCTGCTTGCATGTGGACCAGAAGTGGCTTCCCCAGCCCCCAAATCCACAGGACCCTCCAACTAGCTGCAAAGACCACCACCAATGGGTTCAGTCTCTTTAGTGCCCTAGGAATGAATTCCAGTTGATCCAGCTCATCTTTCTTGAGAAGGACAACTAAAGTCCAAGGTCACTGTCTTCAGGCCAACCAGGAAATCAAATGCCCTTGAGTCAAGTATCCATCTGGTGTCCACTTAAATATATTAGGGAGGTGTTGGGGGTGGAGAGGGGCATGTACATAGTTCTGTGGCTTTGGGTACCATCCTCAAAAAGGGGCTTAGTCCAGGACTGAAAGAGCCCCCATGCAGAGATTATGGTGGCAAAGCAATAGCTTGGGAAACTTTTTCTTAACAATGATTTTCATAATGATTATGCAAAGTATTTAAATTTTATATGTATCTACATAATGTTCATCCACTACAACTCTAATATCTCTAGGCTTAAGAGAGAAAATGCCTGCTTACATAAAAGGGAAGAAGCAAATACAAAAATGTATGACAACTCAAAAGAAATGACATATGAGGGAACTGGAAATGACTTTGGGTAACTTTGGAACTTATTCAAATGTGTTTGCTTATTCACATCCCTTTCAAGGTCAGGGAAAGAGGGCTTCTTTCTAAGTAGCACTAATTAATGTCTCCTTTCTCTCAGCTTCAGGCCACTTGGCTGATTTATATGCCTGTCCCATCCCAGTAAACTATATGTTTCTTGAAGGCAAAGGTCACATGTGATTCATCTTTGAATAATAACAATAACAGCAATTAACACTGTGCATGGTGTTAATCACTTTATATCTGCTATCTCACCTAATACATATAACAACCCTATGCAATAGGCATTGTTATTATCACCACTTAAAGGTAAGAACGCAAGGCTCAAAAGTTAAATAATGATCCCAAATCCCATAGCTAGGGAGTTACAGCACCTGCATTCAAGCCTGATAGGTCCACTATAGAGCCCAGCTTCCTAAACTCAATGCTATGTCCAAGGCTAGGTCAGAAATGTTAGGTTCAAGAGATGAATGAATGCGTGAATGGGTGAATGGATGATGGATGGATGGATGGATGGATGGACAAATGAATGAATCTTTTAGGAAAACAAAACGTGATCCACAAAGACAGTACTGTGGTGACTGGTGAGCTAAGCACATTAAGGCATGTTCCTGAGTGAGGTCAAGGGCATGGATTTGCTGTATTCCTTGTCTAGGAACCTCTAATAAAAAATAAAAAACCTGCACCTCTAATAAAAAATCCCCACCACAAGTCCTAGAAGCATAAGGGTCATGAGAGGGAAAGAGAGACGAAGGGATGAAGGACAGAAATAGACACGCGGTGAGTATTGATTCTGTTTTAGGTTTCACAAATCTGAATTTGTCTGATCAGCACAAATCCACCTTCAGAAATGGTGGAGGGTCAGAAGGATCATCTTCATATGAAAAAGACTCCCATTATGTTCTAGAGACCACAGGAGCTGAAAGGTTTTAGCACCTTCATCCACCTCTAAACATTTGCCCTTCACAACAACTTTAAAAGCAAAAGGCTTTGAAAGAACGAAAGCCCTTTTGAACAGACTTCATTCACACTTGCCTGTAACTCTCTTACTCCTTGTATCCAGTCAGGGTTCAGACAGGGAAGCAGAGTCCCAGGGGCTCATGGAATAGGGCTTGATTATAGGAATCTGACCTTGTAGTTGTGGGAGGAGCTGTTGGGGAGGCATGAAGGTCTGGACGGGGTGCTGGAGGATCGGCAAACACAAGCAGTCAGAGAGGCCAGGCACGTTTAGCCACCACAGAACTGCAAAAGGATCTGAGGAAAGGCTGTGTAGTTAATGTCCTGTGGGTCTGTAGCCAAGCATCTGGTGGCGGGCCCTTGGGCAAAGCCAATGAGTAAAGAGAAGCTAAACTCTATCAGGCACCTCTGCAACCATCCATCACTGCACCTGACAGCAAAGAAACCCAAAAGATAATGGCCACCATGTTTCTTCAGCCTTCCCTGTCCGTGTGTGTTCCCCTTTTGGCCAGCTCTAACTCAGAAGCATATAGGGAAGGGGATGCTGGGAAATGTAGTTCTCAGCTTAACCAAGTTGACCCAGCACAGTCCACCAGACTCCTTTAATTAAATATAGAATACTTAAAGTGATTATTCACATCTTTGGGGAGACTGCACATTTTAATCATAATTACATGATAAATATTTCATGGTATATATCTTTGTCATATAATTAGGAGTAAAATATGTAATTTCAAAAAGATGCTAAATAATTCAAATGGCTGAGGATGTGATTAAAATCATGACTGAGATATGGTCAAAAGGTAACTCAAGGTCTTCAAACATGATCTCCCAAGCCACATGTCTCCTGACAACTGGCCCAAACCTATTATCACTACCCTACATTCTCTCATGAAGTCTTATTTCAGAATGAAAATTTCAAGAACAAGCTCACAATATTTTCCCATCTTCCTCCCTCCAAAATTACTAGACTTGAAAAATCTCTACAGTATCCCAATAACCACCTGATTAATATGCAATTTTAACACCTGGTGGTGTCCCCAAATACCTATCTTCTGAAACTCCATGTTCAGCTAAACCTGAGCTGGGCCCAAAAGTGAGGATAAGAGTGTCTCCTAAGCTACTGCCTGGAAGATTCTCTCCACAATACATGTGTTTCAAGGTTTCACTGTACTATAAGTAAAATGGGCCCTGTCACCATGCCTTCAAAAGACACAATTCCTTCATGGCATATGCATGCTAGATCAGATCCAACTCTTGGGCTTATGGGCATGCCAACAGGCTCATTTATCCATTGCCACCCACCACCACCTGGACCAAATGGCATAATGGAGTAGCAAACAACTATTTCAAAACCCCACCAGCCACATTTTCCTAAGTCAAGCTGTGCACAAATGCCTTTTACTATTTATTGATTGAAGGAAAGAAGGAAGGGAGACACAAAGAAAGAAGTGACACAGAAACAGCAAAAAGAGAAGAAAAAGACACCGTATGCCCTGAATTACAGACCTTCATGATTACCTGTAAGCAGTGGTCAAGAGAAGACCTTCAATGGCATGCCATTGTAACAGTCAGCCTGGCACAGGCTTCTAATCCCTGAAGGTTATGAGGCTCTTGTGAAAGACCCCTATTTTTTCCAGCAAGCAGTTGGCAGTGATGGATGACTCCATTAGAACAGCCATGACTCCATGTTTTCTCAGAGGCCCTCAGCATCCAGTTAAGAGGCTGGGCCTTAAGAAGCTTTTTAGATCTCAATTCTTGGACGTCCAAAGGGCTGAGAGTACCACATTCAGCAAGTTTCAAAATAGCTCAGAGGAGGCTTGTTTCAAACTGATTCCTTCAGTTACCAATTCCTGACCTTTATCTCTATTTCTGGAGAGCTAATAAAAACAAAGATTAATCCCTGTCTCACAAAAGTAATGACAATTCCACCCACAAATTTATTGGTTCATACTCTGGCACACCTGTCAATCTGCCCAACAAGTCCTCTTCCTTCTCTTACCAGGTTCTCCTGATTGCCCAAAAGCAGGACCTTTTATAAGCATATCTGTCCTCATAATTACAAATCAATAACTAGATGCTTATATCAACAGGTATTAAAAACAATTTCCCCTAATCTTATTTTTTCTTCTCATCCATTTTACTAAGCTCTAATCAGGGAGAAGCCAGTTTAGATTAAAAAGATGAAATTGATCAGGAATGTTGGCCAAAGAAATCTAAACACAGCCCAAAAGAGAAAAGAAAGCTTTTTCCTGAGTTCTATTTATTTTGGAGTCAAAAGTAAATAAGAAAACCTTTGTTAAAGTTTTGACTAGTGGCCAAATTAAAATTTCATATTTAAATTTTGCATTAGTCCAATTATTTCCCAGTTCATCCACATAGGCTAGTTTCCCTGCATGTTTCCATAGGGTTGTCCTGAATTGGAGGTCTTGGGTGAATCAAACTGATTTATTGTTTTCAGCCAAAAAGTGTTTTCCTAGAAATATTAAATGTGTCCAACCTCAGTAATGCAGACAGCTAGTCAAGTGTTTCCACACAGAGGTCTTGTTCAATATACAGGTCAAATATCACTATTATTATTAACAATGTGTTAAAATCTATAAAGAATTCACAATTTAGGAGTTAGGATATCCTCTGTAATCTCATTTGATTTTTTTCCTGTCATGTCAATTTATCATATTCTGTGTCAGTGGAGTCCAAATAAATGCAACTGATCTAACTTTTCAATAGCTTTACAGTTGAGTCAAAAGCAAAACCCTGGGCCGGGCGTGGTGGCTCACGCCTATAATCCCAGCACTTTTGGAGGCCGAGGCGGGCGGATCACAAGGTCAGATCGAGACCACCCTGGCTAACATGATGAAACCCCATCTCTACTAAAAATGCAAAAAGTTAGCCGGGCATGGCGGCAGGCGCCTGTAGTCCCAGCTACTCGGGAGGCTGAGGCAGGAGAATGGCATGAACCCAGGAGGCGGAGCTTGCAGTGAGCCAAGATCGTGCCACTGCACTCCAGCCTGGATGACAGAGCAAGACTCCATCTCAAAAAAAATAAATAAATAAACAAAAGCAAAACCCTGGGTAATGGATGGCAACACAAGTACGGGATGTTTTGAGATAGTATGTCCTATTGCAAAGCTAAGCAAAACAAAGGTGAAGTCCACATTCTAACAGTACACAATTAACAATATGTATTCCATTAGTATAACTAAAGTGACCAGAAAGCCAAGCTACCAAGTAACAAGCTCTCAATGAATAATGCCCATTCTAGACTTCTACTAGCAACTGAGGTCCACGTTCACCTGATGAACAGGAGAAACAAAACGTATTGTGTTGAGAAGCTTATTGGTATACTTGTCCTCCATTTCCATGATCACCTTTATGCTAGAGTCACATATGGAAAGCTGTGTTTCTCCATATGACCAGCAATTTTGATGAACTAACAGTGAACCCATCAAGAGAGTTGCTTCTATATCCAAAGCTTGATGAAGGCATACAGTGCTACTATTCCGTGCGAGGGTATTTCTTTACGTGGAGAATGCTAATAACTGAATGCCATGTTAGCCTGTGAAATGATGAAGGAACTGAAGGATTTTTTGTCAGACAATTCAATAAGAATGTTAGGTCTTAGCAGCTGAGGAGGGTAATATAACACTGAAGACAAATCGTCTGGGCTCTTTAAGAATACATGGCTGGTGCTAAGAAAATCTTCAAGAGCCAAGTATTTTGAGAATTATAAAGTGATGTTATAACAAGGTCAGGAGTCTAGGTACATAGGTTTTAAATTACTGCAATAGCCTATAACAGAGTCCTATAAAGGGGATGAAAGGTACTTTGTTACAACATTGGAAAAGCAAACTTAGGTGCTTCTGAGACCAGTAGGTATAATTTGTATGGCTTCTTCAGGTTTGTGTTAACTGCACAGAGTTGGCTAGTATGGTCAGAGGTGAAAGAATATTTCTTGGGAAATTAGTTAATGAAGTAAACCATTGGAAATGAACCTTCAATTACTGAAATTTGACACCTGCTAAAATAAAGCTCAGTAAAGCATTTCATTTTCCTTTTTTCTATTCAAGTCAGGCGATTTGGAAAGTCATACCAGTGGTGTATTTAAGGAAAGCAAAACAACAAAATAAAACCAATTGCTTTTCATTTAAAATAAGTCTGAAGTCTCTCCAGTCTGTGCCTCCAAGATGACAAAAGAAGGAACAACGGTCGTGCCAAAAAGGGCCATGGCCACGTGCAGCCTATTTGCTGCACTAACTGTGCCCAATGCGTGCCCAAGGACAAGGCCATTAAGAAATTCGTCATTCGAAACATAGTGGAGGCCGCAGCAGTCAGGGACATTTCTGAAGCGGGCATCTTCGATGCCTATGTGCTTCCCAAGCTGTATGTGAAGCTACATTACTGTGTGAGTTGTGCAATTCACAACAAAGTAGTCAGGAATCAATCTTGTGAAGCCCGCAAGGACCGAACACCCCCACCCCGATTTAGACCTGCGGGTGCTGCCCCACCTCCCCTACCAAAGCCCATATAAGGAGCTGAGTCCTTAAAGACTGAAGACAGACTATTCTCTGGAGAAAAAATAAAATGGAAATTGTACTTAAAAAATAAATAAATAAATAAATAAGTCTGAAGACCAGTTGCCAAATCATGAGTTATATTAAATGGGTGGGCCAACTCACGTCATGTTCTCCCAATTACAGCCCTCTATAAATCACAGTACAGTCTAGTTTTTATCTTCTGATTTTTTTTTCATCAGGACACAAAATGATTCCCAACTAAGTGCCTTACAACCACCCCAGGACAAGTTCTGTGGGCATCCTTCGAAAATGAAAGCACCGTTACAACACACCACTGATCAAGGGGAAAGTGCCTTTGTACTCAATGGCGCAATTGGTATTTGCGGCCACAGGTACAGCAGCTTTCTTTCATTTCTCTCAGTGCTAGTTCCAAAGGCAACATAGCCAGGTGCCATTCTGAAAGGAAACTGCTATAACTAGTCTTAATAGCATAAATCAGTACTTTCCCAAGTGAAAGATGGGCTACCCAGAGACATTTCAAAGACTGAAGTGGGGAAGTCAAAGGAGAGAAGAACCATGAAACTGGCGCTGTGTTTGCTCCTCAGATGTCAACACAGATGTTGTTTTTAATCCACCTTATCTATTGAATACTAACATGCTCACATAGTTTCCTGAGGAAAAGAACAATTTCTGTTTGATTATGCAGTTTTCACCAAGTCAGAGACAATTGCCATTCCATTACAAAAATGGTGGCTGACCTCAAAGGAGGGGGCGCTCAGCTCCGCCACTCCCCTGCCCAACCTTGCTGCTGCTAAGTTGTTTCCCGGTCAGTGATGGATTGTAGCTTTGTCCCTTTCCCTTTCCTACATCTTATTAACCACACTTGATGTTAAATAGGGGTGGGCTTATTCTGGGATAGAAACGGTTACCAGTTACCATTTATACAAACTTGCAAAAAATGCAAAGCCCGTATTTTATATGGATACTATATAAGCAAAAAAAGCATAAATGGGCACAACACTGAAGAAAAGTGGAAAATGGAAATGGGGCGAGGGAGGGGTACAAATGAGGCTTCAAACATGTGCAAAACTTTATTTTAAAATGAAGAGATAAAATACAGAAAAACATTGAACTTTTTAAAATCTAAACAGTGGGTTTATGGGTATGATCCTGAGTTTTTCTGAATGTTTGAAATAGTTCATAAATATTTTAACAGAAAAAAAATACTGGCATTTAAGAACTAGAAATCCCGTATATATCTGAGAACTACATCATGTAAAAGAAAAAAGAATCTAAAAAGTCAGCTAATAATTATATCTGAGAGTGAAGTGTTAAATATTTTTCATCCAAAGAGAGTAGATATTTTCAACTCACTGTCAGGCACACTCTGATAAATATTTAACATACTTGTTCCTAACTCCATGAGCTAGGTATTCTCTTCATTTTACAGATGAGGAAAATAAGGCTCAGAAATTTTATTTTTTAGATTAAGATAAGGTCTCACTCTGTCACCTAGGCTGGAGTGCAGTGGTGCAACTTCAGCTCACTGCAACCTCAACCTCCCGCACTCAGGTTATCCTCCCGCCTCAGCCTCCAGAGTAGCTATGAACTACAGGCATGCACCACCACATCCAGTTAATTTTTGTATCTTTTGTAGAGATGGGTCACGCCATGTTGCCCAGGCTCACAAATTAACTTAGCTAGTGGCCCCCTGAATAAGCAGTAAAGTCAGGATTCAGCGCCAGGTTCAAAGGCTGGACTCTAAGATTCACGCTGTCAAATCACACTGCCTGACCTGTTAAACCAGCAGATTCAATTCTGGATGAGTGACAGGCCCTCTGAGTGAGTGGGCTCAAAGATTTGACAAGATGCTAGGCTCCCTTCTTTTTAAAGTATAACCAGAAGGCTCTCGAACAAGGAATTTCTGCCCACATTGCTTTTCCTAGTGCCCAGATTGTCACAGTGCCTGCATTAGCCACTTTGGTGATCTTAGACTTCAAGCAGTCACCAAACTTAACTAAGTCCCTTACTACCAGGGCAGTGGCTGTGAAGACCAAAGGTTGGCCAAGGTCTTGAAAACAAAATGTGGCCACGTTGTGGTATCACAGCATCTGTCACAGTGTTTTGAGCCCCAGAACCTAGCAGTGGCTGGCACATCACAGGCACTAAATAGTTGCTCAAATAATCAAATTCTAACTAGGTGGCCCTTAAAAATAAGGTAAAAAATAAATCATGGGCAAAATTTCATATTAAGTGCATGAAGCAAGATATTTATGTAATATGATCCAAATTTTGTAAAAATTATGTATACTAACTGGCCCTCACTTGCTCAGGCGCATCTTAGCCACAGGTACGTAAGTGGACACCTGCAGCCTCTCGCTCTGGAACAGCCGATAGGGGGAAAGCCCGTGCAAGGCTCACTCACAACTATCACCAGCCACATGGAGCACCTGCCCACATGATACCTGGGGGTGCAAATTTGAAGTTGCCATTTTCCCTCCATGTCATGGAATTCCTCATGGCCAGAATCCTGATAGTCATAGCCACAGGCTCTTTTGTATCCAGGCGTCAGATGCTCTAGGGCAGGGGTGTCCAATCTTTTGGCTTTCCTGGTCCACACTGGAAGAATTGTCTTGAGCTACACATAAAATACACTAATACAATAGCTGATGAGCTTAAAAAAAAAAAAGTCACAGCTGGGTGCAGTGGCTCATGCCTGTATCCCAGCACTTTGGGAGACCAAGGAGGGCGGATTACCTGAAGTCAGGAGTTCAAGACCAACCTGGCCAACATGATGAAACCCGGTCTCTACTAAAAGAAATACAAAAATTAGCCGGGCGTGATGGCGGGTGCCTGTAATCCCAACTACTCGGGTGGCTGAGGCAGGAGAATTGCTTGAACCCGAGAGGCGGAGCTTGCAATGAGCGGAGATCGCGCCACTTGCACTCCAGCCTGGGCGACAGAACGAGACTGTGTCTCGAAAAAAAAAAAATCACAAAAAATCTCACGTTTTACAAAAGTTTATGAATTTGTTTTGGGCCACCTTCAAAGCCATCCTGGGCAGCATGTGGCCCATGGACAACAAATTGGACAAGCTTGCTCTAGAGGATGACTTCTAAGTATAGCTATGGGCATCCCCCTCAAAGTGGACACCATGCAGGCTGTGTGGCTTGTGCAAGTCACACCATCCCAAATAACATCTTTAAATTTGTCTACCCAGGCATTTCACATGATGTAGCTAACAAAAACTTTTGCTGTTAGAGAAATATACAGAAAATCCTGAAGGATGGATATACACCAAGAATGTTAAAAGTAGCTGCCTCCTATGAGATGAGTAAGTTCTGGAGCCCTGACATACAGTGTGGTGGCTATCTTAGTAATAATGAATTGTATACTTGAAATTTGCTGAGATTATTTATTCTCACCACATAAAAAAATGACATAGGCCGGGTGGGGTGGCTCACGCCTATAATCCCAGCTCTTAGGGAGGCAAGAGGCGGGAGGATAGCTTGAGCCCAGGAGTTCGAGACCTGCCTGGGCAGTATAGCGAGACCCCGTTCTCCAGAAAAAGGAGAAAAAAAAAAAGCGTAAAAAATTACATAAATTTGTAAATGTAATTTGTCAACTTGTAAATTTGTTTAACTCAATTTAACAAGGTGATGGAGATGTTTAGTAACCTCCTTGTGGTAATCATTTCACAATGTATACATGTATCAAAACATTATATACCTTAAATATATACAATTTTCATCAAATACCTCCATGAAGCTATAAAGAAATTTTTAAGTTATATCATAGGATTGTGATAGTATGTTTCATTTTTTGCATGCTATCCAAATTTTTCTGCAGTAAACATATCACTTCTAAGACACTAAATGCTTAATGAACAAAGCCAAAGGTCACCTGTCTAGTGCACTGGACAAGATGTCTATACTCCAAAATTATATTTCAAATTATTTTAAAAGGAGTCTATATAATTCAGCAATATCAAAGTGGTCCAACAGTCATGTGCCAGAGCATACAAAAAGATGTGGTCCTGCTCTTGCTTTAAGTAGGAAAGCAAGATGTACGCATACAAAAATGTTTAAATGCCAGGCAATATGAGGAACTACTGCTAAAGGTATACAAGCAGGAGGTGTTTCATACGTGTTTTGAGAAAGGGCACACTTATTTGTGAGCTGCAACAAGGAAGAAGGGCTTCATGGAAAAGGGGGCCTTGAACAGGACTTTGCAGGATTCAAATTAAATCCTGAAAGAGCAATTCAGAAAGAGAATGACCCTGGGCAGACTGAGATTTGGGAATCAACACAAGCGTCGGAGTGATAGTGAAGAAAGTAACCTGGCTCTCAGCGTAAGAGAAGAACCCCAGTGTTTTCTGGGGGAGTGGTAAAAGGTAAAATGATTGTGGGAACAAGACCAGAAAAAGTAGAACCGGCTTAAATGAATTTGGGGAAAACTGAGTTAAACAAATTTACAAGGATTCGTTGTAGTGATCTAAGCTCTCAGTAGGCTAATGTGCGTTGAGTCCCCACTGAGGGAAGGAAGCTAGTGTTATTAGGGTATAGAAGATACCTTTGGCAAAGCAGGAGTTTAACAGATAATGGAGGAAAAACAATGAAGGGTTTGAATGCTAAGGCTAAACTGGGCATTCTGGCCTTGGTCCTTCTAACAAGGCCTGGATCTCCCACAGAACAAAGGCTAACCTGCTAATATACCTTTAAGTTTTTACACAACAGAACTCAGAACCAGATATTGCTGTCACTTCCCATCCCATCCACTTATTTATATTCCCAACAAAGGTTAGTCCCATCTTCTGAGAGCACCTTACAGTCCGCGGCCCCTTCCTGATGATCTAGAAGCTTGGGAAGCAGCACACCTCCTTATGAAATCACTGAAGGGTGACTATGAGCAACAGGAAGCAGTGGAGGATTCCAAGTATGACATCAGAATACATTTTTTAAAAATCTTTTAGAAATTTTTTAGAATCTGATCAAGCAGTTTTTGCAAATTACAGGTGACAGGCATTTGTTGTAAAATCAATTCAAGGTGACATAGCCAGGATTTCTTAAAAAGCAAAGAAAAAAATGCACACATGCACCAGATACATCGCATGCAAGAAGGGCAAGTCATATTTCAGGATCCTTCTGTCATGTATAATATACTGACCTCTGTGTTCTGAACTGTAGTTCAAAATGTATTTCTTACTTGGGTCACAACTACAAGGTTCAAAAGTCACTACTCTATTAGATGGAGGACTTAAGGCAGAAATTGGAGGCTGCCACATTCACCCAAAAGGCCCTGGGATGGTAGCAGTAGGAAGAAAAGATAAACAGAAGAGACACTTAAAGAATGTGGGTGAGGGAAACCAATGAGAAGGCCAAGGTAACTACACCTGGGTAACTTGGGGAAAAGGTAGCTATAACCATAAACAAGTAAATTGTGGAGAGCTGGTTAAGGGGTATGTAGAGATGGCAGGGAGGCACACTTGATTTCCAGAGACAAGAGGACATCCAGATGGAACCACAAAATAAGCCCTCCCTCACCACCTCAAAAACAAGTCCACATTACTATAATTTGGTTACCTATAACAATACTATATTAATTCTTTCACTTATACAATGTTTTAAACTTATGGTCTGTCCTCAACCAAGTGGTTAGGGACTTTTAGAAGCACATAATCACACTAAAGAACTAATACCATCAGTCCCTGGCTATTACATTATTTACCTTCCCAAGGGCTTCACTGTGATTTAGTATTTGATGGCTAAGTACAGAAGGGTCTGTTATTTGGCTCTGTGTGGACTATGACTACATCAACACGGGGATGCACAAGCTACCTAAGCACTACTGCGCTGGCACTAGTAAAGCACTGAGCCAAAAGGTCCCCAGAGGCTGCCACATAGTCTCTGCCCATCCTGAGTGAAGCTGCACACTTGGCTCAAAGGCCCTGCTGATCCACCGAGAGGGCACAAGGGGGCATGAGGGAAATGGCTGAACTCCAACAAATCACTTTATGCAGGACTGAATCCCCAACACACATCAGAGGAGACAATTAAACGAGGGAGAGTGGACTTAAAGGTAAAATGTCATCCCCCAACATGCCTGTGATGACGAGTTTTGCCTTACACAAGCCTTTTTAAGTAAATTATATTAATTACCAACATTCAAAAACATCCAACATTCAAGGGTTCTGCATCTCGTTTATTAGCACAGAAATAACAGGTTTAGAGTATATTACAAAAAGAGCTCAAACTGTTCAGATACAGCAACTGGGCTTACTAGGGGACAGAAGGGGAAATACGTCAGACTACTGTACAGGGACACAAAGACTCCTCATCCTAAACAAAGTATTAAGGTACATAGACAAGTTTCTTGTAAGACAGAAAACAGAGAAATCCACAGTAACTCTAACACATCCCTTAAGGAATAAGCATGTATTTGTAGGAAGCAAACAAAGCTTTCCATAGAGAAACCACTTTCACAGGATGATTAGGTGGACCTGCAATGAAGAAAATACATTTCAAAAGATGGGTTCAGACTTACACCAAGTTTTCACTGAAATACTTAAAAAAAAAAAGACCCTTCTCTGTATCAAAAGAATTAAAAAAAATACATCACGGATAAAATAAATCTCAGGAAAGGTCCAAGTCCTACTCAGAGACATACATTTGCAAATTAATATAAATTTTAAAGTTTGACAACAAAAATACTATTTGGAACTACCTAGAATAGGCCAAGCTAAGTTCGTGTTCTGCTTTAGTGCATTACATTGAAATGAATCTCATTCTCACTATAATTTTTTTCTTTTTAACTTTAATCACCAGCGGCTGGTCAACTGAAATGGACATAAGAACTATATAAATGTCAGAGAAATATGTAAACCTCATTAATGTTTCCAAAAATTCATTTAGAGATAGAAACAGGTCCAAATAGATGCCTGTCTAAATGCACTGCAATTACGTTACAATTATTTTTCCAAATACACAGATATGCTCTGTCTTTTCTCAGCTCATTACTGACTCAAACAATTTGCCCTTCTGGGATCAATTGTTTGCTAATAAATAATTGTTTACAGTCACAAAATGATATTAGGAGGTTTTCTTATTAGTTTTCCTTCTGCACCCTAATAAGATTGAAAACTAGCTGATTCCCAAGAGTCTAACCTTAACCTCGCTTTGTTTAACAGCCCAGGAAATGATGAACCATCTGCTTCAGAAAATAATGGACGGCCAAGAGGAAATATTGTTTAATTGTAGATTAACCTCCTCATGAAGCAGTCTGAAGCAGCTTTAGAATTAGCAACTATAACCAGCAAAAGAAACAAATGGCTCACGAGCCTTTTCCTCTACCATTTAAGGTCCAGAAAGAATGCAAAGGGATTTTTATTACACTTATTTACAAACATTTATTTCCACAGTGGAAACAAAAAATCATCAAGGTCAAAACTGATTCTCAAAACTGCAGTCACTTGCCCTCCAATTTTGTTTGCCCAAATACCTTTAATGCAGCAAACCATCAAACCATCTCATGCACTTAAGAAGGTGTTTATTTAAAAAAAAAAATTCAAAAACCTCTTTTCCATTATTTTCAGGTTGTTATAATATTAAAATTAATATTTTCCCTGGTTTCTTTAATAGTAATAAATCCACCATTGGGGAGTACGAATTGTTTTATTATCATCAACATGGCACTTAAGTAAATGAAATCTTGTCAAGTACATGGTGACCTACAAGTTCAAAAGAAAAAAAGAACAGCATGAGATCAAAATGGCCAGCCAGGACAGGAGATACAAAAGTGACAGATTAAATGCAAACACAGCCCTTTATCCAACAGGCTTCACATGCTAAGACTTTTCTAAAGTCAAACCTGTAAAAGCATATCTGATATGGAATATTTAATATTCTGCCCCCTCTTAGGGGCTCAACCAATCAGCAAGGGTACCATATCCATTTTAACTCAGCAAAGTACAGGAATCCTGAAAACATTCAGTTATTCTACAAATATGTATCGAGAACTTCCTTTAAGGGCCTGGGGAGAGGGGACAAGGAACTGGGCAGATACTTGGAGTAGGTATTTTATAGTTTAACACATGCTGAAGTATCAGATTTCCCTTAAAGCCTGGTAGAGGTAATTAAGTAAAAAGCTTTGCCCTGTTGGTATCAAAAAATGTAAATGGCTCTTCTCAGTCAACAGTTACAACCAAGAACCAAAGACATCTATGAAAATTTCAAAACTAAGGAAATTTGCAATTCCAGGCAAGGCCATATTACTCTGAGTTTCCAATAAGACCTGAAGGTCACTTACTTTGTGTTAATATTAAAGAAACAACCTCTGTGGAGAGGAAAGATTTTTGGCAGTTCAAATTCTTAAACATCTTAAATAGAATTTACTAAAATAAATTATTCTTGAATTCCTCAACTTAATTTTGAAGCAATGAGCTGGTAATAACTCCAGAGATTCAAATAATAGAGCCTATTCAAGAAGAATAAGAGTTTGACATTCTTCTCTACAAAACAACTAGGCACAATTTTATCCATCAGACGTCTATCAACCTACGGATATTGAAAGCTTGGGAGAACATGATAACATCAACTCCAACCCTACAGTCAGCTGTAATATCGAGCAGGCATCAACAATGCTATTCATGAATTTAGAAAAATTAATAAATCCTGGGTTGAATGCAAGAAAAGGCTCAAATACAGGTGAAGCATACTCACTTGGGTTTTGTTTCTGCATCTGTCACTTGGCGAATGAAGATACCATCTTCAGGATGTTCTGTGTCATCCATTTCATACATATATGATGACGCTATTGCAAGCGTAGTCCCATCATTACTGAAGGCAAGTGATGCGATGCTCGTGGGGTACCGATGGAATTGGCACAGTCGCTTTTTGTTAAATGGATCCCAAATATTTACAAAGCCATCAGAACCACCTGGAAGTAATTTCAAAACAGTTAAAATGGTTCTTAACACCAGATACAGAAATAACCATTCTCTTAACAGTTAATTTTTAAGGTCATAGAAGTTACATTTCCCTAAAGCACTGTACAGATTTTTTTTCACTAAATACCATAAAAAGCAAGCACCAAATAGTATAATAATTAAATATAGGTCAGCATGCCATACTTTACCTGTGGCAAATGTATTGTGGATATTGTGAAAAGAAATGGCATTGACTGGGTAAATCTGCTCAATATTATTTTCTTTTAGTCTGTGACATTTGAAGGCATACTTCTTCTTCTGTACCTCAGGGCTTGGGTCCAAATACTCAACTGCCACTCGGCCTTCAATAGAGCTTAATACATAACCCTGCCAAGAGAGAACCAGAGGAAAAAAATGGTAAATTCCAGCTTCCAAAAACAAGGTGCTAATTCCCAAATTCAACCCACACTAAAGAGTGATTATTTCAGAAATGAGAAGTACAGCAGGCTTTAATGAAGTGTTTAGGCTGTACTAACATGGTTATGACGACTTTAAAAAGAAAATAAGACTCATCACATGCTTTCCTCACAGGTACCAGGGCCTTGCACATTACAATAAAAAATATCTAGTTACTGCATCAAACCTAAACAAAAATTTAAAGTGTTTTAGTGTCGCTTATTTGTTGTCCTGCCCAGCAGACTCAAATTTGTTCCCTCAGTTAAAATATATTCTTCTATGTTCTGTGCCTCTTCATCGCGAACAACTGTTAAGAATTGTGTTTCCTTCATTGGGGGCATCAATAATCCAAATCAACTAGAACACCAGTCTTCCATCTCAGTCATACTACTTCTTGCATTTAATACAGCAAGTCAGGTTTGCACAAAGACTTTCAGGGACATTCAAAAGTGGTTTACAATTTTAAACGTTTTTTCATCTTTCGTTGAAATGACAGTATCTTAAAAAATAAGAGCTAACACACCAAATATGAAATCTATGATTTTTTAATCCTTCAAGGTATGAAAAAGATTTATTCCTGAAAACTGTTTATGAAGAAATATATAAGTCAGTAAAATCCTACTTTTTAACTTCCATTACAAAGTAGAAATAATCCTATATAAAATATTAGATATAATGGCATTAAAATAATGTTCACAATGTAAGCATATTTTAATCACATATCTAAATCTCTGAAGTTTCACATAACTGCAATTCTTTATCTTCGATGGAAACTTACAATTTCCTAAAAAAAAAGGAACTGTGATCACCATTTGAGGTACTGGCCTTTGCAGGTTAAAAAGCAAAGAGAATAACATACCTGCTTCAAGTTCTACAACCACCAAAGGACAGCCATAAGATACCAGAGACACCTTCTGTTTTTAATGACTTTTCCTCTTGCAAAATTCCTATTGCACCTGACCACACCACCATCTCCTCTTAGAACTTTAAGGACTTGAGGGAGGAGGGAGCTCACTAATAAACAGGCTAATATCATTTAGCGATGATGGAAGGTGACCCACCCTGTACATCAAGAGTCAGTCATAAGAGGGGCCCTGCCTCTCTAATCTCAGTTGAGTTTAAGAAAAAAAAAAACTATCAAAGTTCTATTGTCAAACTGGGGAAAGAACTCCATAAGCATTAGGGTTACAAAAAGGCAAAAAGAAAACAGCAAATTCCATAAGCTTAAAATCCAGATATAAATTTTAATTCAGCATTTTGTAAACTGAAATATCTGCAAAGCGCTCTTTGATTACTGTATACCTATGAAGCATCCTGGACCAGGATCAACAAAAGGTCAGAAAACCTCCTCTATTCAAACCACTTCCTGAGCAGATTACTTGGTCTCTCTGAACATCAAGGTCGTCTCTAAAATGGGGGTTAACGCACTTCCTGTTAACACATGGCTGTCAAAAATATCAAGGAAGAATACACCTAACAGCAAATTCTAAATCACTACTGAAAAAAAAAAAGAAGGCTTTAGGGGCTAGTGGCCAAATCATTATAATATAAGATCATATTATTTTCAAATTCCAGAAAGAAGAGGAGGTATAGTTCAATACCTGCTTGTTTGGAAACGCTCGTATGCAGCGAGTCTGGTATTTCAGGCTGGACTCCCTGCGCTGCTGCACGTAACCCATGTTCCGTAAGTCCCACACCAACACTCTGCGGCCTGCTGTTCCCACAATCAGCCGGTCTCCAGACACTGAGAGGGTATATACCTTTTAAAAAAGATCAAAACTTGCTAAAAATCACCTTCTTGCCTGAAAATGGCATTTTGCCCCAAAATAAAGTCCATCTGATCATAAGACCATAAAAAATTAGCTGACTGAATTCCCCAATCACAGATAACAATTTTAGATACTGCAATTATTCAAACCAAGTAATTCACATAAAATAGCAAACCCATGATGCTCTCCATACTTCACCAAGCATCATATAATGTACATTCTAAGTAATTCTGTAAAGGAGCTTTTGAAGTCTTAATTCTCTCCATTACTAAAACAAATTAAACTATTTTTCCTAGCCTTCATGTTTCATTTAGAGACAACATAAAAGTGTAAAAAAAAATTCAAAAATGAGATAATAGAGCCATAAAATAATTCAAGGTAGAGCTTAATGGGTTTCTGGCTTTTCATAAAACAATCATTTTCAAAACTATTTTTCTAAAACCACCTTTTAGAATATTTCATTTTGCAACTCTAAAAATCTTGATTTTTTTTCCCCAGTTGTTACATGGAATAAATAGGCCTTTCCAGGAAGGGTGAGGGAGCCACCACTAATTAGATGTTTAGCAGCCTTTGGTGGCATACAAACTCAAAATTAAAAGACAAGATAGTGGTCTGACATATGACAAAGCAATTCTTGTGCCCTGATGTAATACTATGCATTCAAGATAGAAGTTCAACATTAGGGAAAATTTTTAAAAGTAGTGTATCCCCTATTTTTCCCCTTATAATGTCTTTCTTCAATATTAAACTTTCCACAAAAATTCCTTTATAATAAACCATAGAATTTCCTACAAGCAAACATTTAGTGGTTTATTTGCAAATATAGTGTTACTTGGAAACAAAACAGAGGTAGCCAACTCATTAAAAAGGTGGCAAAAAAATATTCTCCTGATCATGTTCAGTCACTTTTTAAAAATCTAGACTTGCGATTCACAACTGTGCTCTATTATTTTCAATTAATAAGAAACTCTAATCTGACTTAGCATTTTCAAACCTGAAGAACTGCCATAAAAAATGCAGAGAGGCCCCATGGCAAGGTAAGATGATGTCTCTTCAACATTCAGTACTTAAGCCATATGTTAATAATCACTAGTATGTTAACCACATACCATCAGCTGAAGAACCAAGTTAGCTTTAACAACGCCATGTCCCACCCCTCTCTAGAATCTGGCCTTAAAATTCAACAATTAATGTGACCAAGGGAAAAATAAGGAATTAAAATTAAGATTCAAAACAATAGATTTAATATAAGCAGATATAAATGTCAGAAATGTTAAGATTTATCATAGCTTACTCAGAAAACAAAATGTTTGCAGTAAAATGAAAATTAAGATGTATAAAGTACCAAACTTTAAAAATAAAGAATCCAGAAAGAGATCGATTTATAATGGTACAATCATACTGGGAATTTTATCTTAAATCTTTACTATATAGGTGACACACAAGCTTCTAATAGTGCTTTCTATCCCCACTGATCATAAATCAAGTGAAACCACTGTCATGCTACTGACTAGGTATATACATTTATCAAAGAAAGTATTAAAAAAAGTGACATAATGAACCTTGCTGAACCAATAAGCAGCTTGATTCAGTGTGGCTGTCCATTATATGATATTCTGTCAGCAATTTATCACAGTTCTTAACATGTTACATACAACCATAAATCAAAACTAGAAACAATGCAATTATTTTATTCTGAACAAAGGTCTTGCCAGGAGTAGATTCGACTGTGATGTGACAAAAATAATGGCTCTTTGGATGCACTATTGTAAATAATGATGGCTAACAGGAATTGAATAGTATATTCACGCTGAGGAAATAGACTCAAGTGAGGGATACCTTTAAACTGCTTAAACAATCAATCTTTAAAATTAACTACCACCTGATAAAGTCTGATGAGGATACAGAAGGAAAGCTCAATTACACTTTTATCATACAGATCAAAAGGTTAGAATAATACACAAAGTTTTGGTTTTAAAAAGCTTTGTTCACTAAGGTGCCTTGAAACTACATCTGTCAGTATTAAAAAATAAATATACGAACAGTACAAGCCAGGGAACATAAAACACCTTTCTTACTGAACTTGAAATGATAACCCATTTTGCCCTCTCAACAGTCAACCCAAAGAAACCTCAGATAACAAATGAAAATAAGTGATGCTCCATCCAATCTTCTGGTTTGGGATGGAGCGTCAATTTAAGACAATCGAACAGTCTGCTAAATGACTTCTCTGAAAAGGCAGTGAGTTGCTTCTCAATTTTGCGATTTAAAGCATTAACAATACATGGAAGCAAATATAACAACTGACAAATAAAAGTTGGCCCAAAATCCCAAAGTTAATTTTCTTTTGCATTAAAGCATTTCTATGTAGTTGGATTTATAAAACCAACTGTCAACCTTTTTTCCCCCCATGTTGACTTTTCACCTTTAAATTCAACAAGCATAGTCAACAATCATGCACCAAGACAAAAATCACCCCAAAACCATCAACTCCTGCAATGAATATAAAGAGCCTACCTTTTCAGGCTGAGAGAAGGTCCCAGCATTACAAGGAGTTCTGGGATCCCACAGTTTAACTGTCTGATCCCAACTTCCAGTGACCATCACATTCACTTCTGGACAGTATTCAACACATCTGATAGGGGCATCATGGGTCCCAACAAGATTTTCTATAGAGAAAAAAAAAGGGGAAAAAACCCCAACATCTAGCTTACTACCTTTACTAAAGATTCCTAAAATAAACAATTAAAAGAAACATTCATTCAACTGTAATGAATTTGCCTCATCCAACCCCATGGAAATGTCTACTACAGACAGAAAAATCTCTCCATGACTACAAAGTTATCCGTTCCTCTCTGTTCACCTTACAGTGCACACTTCACATGACTCACTAGTATTGCACATACCAAAGGCTGTCTTGAATTTCAGATTACATTAACATAGTGGCATGTCTGTTATCTTCCTCACTTGATTCTAGATTTCCTATCAGGAACTGCGTTTACCTCTGTGATCTCTGCCCGTATCTAGTGCAAGGTCTGGTACAGGCTAGGTGCTCAAGAAATATCTGTTGAATAAACAAATGAATGGAGAACTCTGGTCTTCTGGATCAACAACATTTATGTTGAACATTAAGCCAATGCTGCTAAGAAACTTATTTACATGGCTAAAGGGTTATGAGAACTGGGAGTGAAGTCCTCTCATTACTGCACTTGGTTCCACTGTGGTTCAAATTTTCAATAGACATTTTCTTTTCAATTTGAACCTTCTCACTATATCTCATTTATTCCTTCAACTAACATCTACTATGTACCAGAATCTGTGCCAACTGCTAAGGATATAGGAATGAACAATATATGGTCCTGACCTGCAAACAGTAAGATTAGCCCCAGCATTTTGGGAGGCCAAGGTGGGCGGATCACGAGATCAGGAGTTCAAGACCATCCTGGACAACACAGTGAAACCCCGCCTCTACTAAAAAATACAAAAATTAGCCGAGCATGGTGGCGCACACCTGTAGTCCCAGCTACTCGGGAGGCTGAGGCAGAATTGCCTGAATGCGGGTGGCGGAGGCTGTGGTGAGCCAAGATCACACCACTGCACTCCAGCCTGGTCAACAGAGTGAGACTCTAGCTCAAAAAAAAAAACAAGAAAGAAAAAGAAAGGATTTCATGAAGTTTGGCAGTGACTTTCATAGAATAAACAGCTAATTCTCTATGTAACACTGAAAATCGAGACGTTTGCTTTTCAGTGTTTCTCCCTACCCCTACAAGTTTCTGAACAAATAGAACCTAGACTTACAAGCTTACTTATTACACAGGGTAAGCTACTGGCAAACAAAACCCAATACCTGCAGTATAAGTTACAGAAGAAGTAGCTTTCATGCAAAAGCCTCTTCTAATTGGGTGCTTAGTTTTTTGACAAAATGTGGCCATCCTCCATCCATTCTCCTGTTGCTCAACTCATCTTCTCTCTAGTCATATCTCTGTACCCTCCTATCTCCTTAGAATACCTATGTCTGATGAATACACATGCAAACAAATGTTCAGCTAGAGAGCTCTATGCATTTGGGCTCCAGTCCAATCTCTAACACTGTGCCAATGTCACCAAAAAAATTTGAGTAAGTCATTTCATATCTGGATCTCTAAGAAATTACTTAACCGAAAGGAAATGTATCATCTAGTTACTCATTCAAAAAATGCAACGGAAACATATTTTGCTAAATACCTAAAACAAACACAATTAATATAGACATGATTGCCTATTTTTTGTCAGGTTTTAAATCTACCTTTAGCTTCTGAAAACTAAATTAGCTTCTAAAAACTGAACTCTCAAAACATCAGCATTGTAGTGGAAAATCCTAATGAAACGCTGGCCAGTCTGGGATCCAGCCCACTTCTAAGGACAAAATAAAGGCCAAATACTTGAGTGTCAATTTATGTAAACACTGACAATGGCGACCATAACTGGCTTTACTGCAAAAATACATGCATAATATTCTGTAATCAGTAACTTAATGGTTATCATTTAAATTAAAAAAATCCTAAATTCAAGCCACCTGTACTTAAGCAACTTAGTAACTAAGCAATTTAGGAACCACTCTTCCTACATAAACATTTATACTTAAGAACACTAGCCAAGAAAACAAACTGGTAAAGATATGGTCACATTACCTTGATCAGTGTTCAAATCATGCATTTTCAATTGATGATCTAGTCCTCCACTCCAGGCATGCGTTGGATCCTATAAAATAGTTTTGAACCGTTTAAAAACTAGAACTTTTGAAAGGGTTTCAACATTCTTATTTCTACAAGCAAGTGTTCAGTTTATGCTCGGGATATGCACTGGGCTCAACTATTCATGGTAAACAAACCAAAAAACAGCATAAAAAAGCAAGTGGTCACTAAACTCCTGTGTCTGGAAATTAAAGGAGGGCTGCTTTATCCTAGCCAACACGCTAGCTGAGGGTAAACATACATTTCCCCTAAACGGTTCCTTTCAATACGGCAGCCAAAACAGTATTGTTGCAAATATAATGATCGTATTTTCAGAAAGTTTAGAGTTACTCCACAAGCGTGTAACAGAAAAGGGGAGACGGAGTTTCCAATGTCTGCATGTCTCCAACCCAAAACGGTACAGGTTCAAGGCAGATGCTCCTGAAAAGCTAAAGAACTGTCCAAATAACCCCACCGACAGACGCCTCTACCCAACACTGGAAAAGAAACGCTCCTCACGTGGAGAATCGTTAACACAGTAAGAGGGCAGGAGCAGGGCGGGAGGGCACCTACGTAGAAGGCGCAGTCCAGGACGGCGCCGGTGTGCTGGTACTTGAGCCGCATGGAGTTGGCCGGCACATCGTAGAGACGCACGGACGTGTCCCAGGAGGAGACAAGCAGGAACTGGGAGGTGTTGGGGCTGAACTTCACGGAGGAGATGCCATCCTCGGGTGGCTGGTTCAGCTTGAACTCGTTAGAACCGGTCATCTGCAGAACAGGCGCCCAGAGTCCCCAGGGGTCCCGCGGGCTGGGGCTGCGCACTGACAGCCTGGCACTGGGGGTCCCCCCAGAGGGAGGGGCCGAGAGGACGACCGCGAGGAGACTCTGCGCTTGCGCCTGCGCCGAGCACTCGCCCGCCAAGGTCCGGACTCGCCCCATCATCCGGCCCCCGCCGCGCCCAAACCGGCCCAGCCCGCACCGCCGTCCCCCTAAACCCAGCCCGGCCCACAGCGATGCCCGGACCCCAGACTGTTCCCTTTCCCCTCTCCCGGGGTCCCGTCGCCCCGGGCACTCCTAAAAATAAAGGGAAAACAACAGAAACGAAACGGGATCCCCTGCGAATCGAACGGCCCTGCCAGTTGCGGACCCGGGAAGTCCCTGGAGAGCCCGCTCCCGCACACCGTCGCCTCGCCTCCCTACCTTGGGCTCCCCTCAGAAGCAACGTTTCCACTACTCGCCACTCGCTGCGGCCGCCGCCGCCTCCTTGCTTCCCTCAGAACACTCGCAGGCTAGGCGAAGGAGGCGGAGAGGAAGCTCCAGTGTAGACCTGCCATTGGCTGATTTCAAACGCCAACGTCTCAGTCTAGGGGGCCGATTGGTCCGCTCAGCTGCCCAGCATCGGTCAACCCAGTCATCCTGTTCCGGCTCAAAGGGAAACCGCTGCTTTTCCGATCACGTGGGCTCATTTTACCACCGCGCTGGGGCATCAGCGTTCGAGCTGGACGCGTGGAAACTACACCTCCCAAGGAGCATCGCGCCAAGGCTCTGTTCATGCCCTCTCCCGCCTGCGTATGGCATTCTGGGAAATGTAGTTTTCTAGGGGCTGACGCTCTGCCCGCCCTCTTCATAGAAAGCGGGAAAGATCTTTACAGCTCTGTCCATGGCGCCCTCCCCTTGAAGTTAGTCTCTGAAACACAAGAATCCCATTTTGGGCAATACTTATATAGTCCTAAAGTTGTCTCCCTATCCCTGGGCGTGCACACGCCCGTGAAGCTAACCAAAAGTTGATGTAGAGGAGGAAATATTTGCTCTATCAACTGCATTATTTTGCCTTGATTTTTTTTTTCTCATTTCTTGGGAATTTCCACCTATAAACCAGGGTCTCCCATTTCCCATTGTCTCAAGTTCTGCTGAAGAAACCCATTCATATTTATATTATGCTTTATCTCTCCACCCCATCTTTCCACAAACATTTATTGAGCCTCCACTGGCGCCAGGCCTGGTGAGAGGCTCTGGAAAGATGCATGTAATCAGACCAGCCTTTGCCCTTCAGGAACCCCCCTTCAGAAGGGTGAACAGCCTGGGAGACAGTACTCTGCAATGTGTTAAAGCTCCCACCACTTCTTTTAGAGCTCTTTTTTGAAGGGTCCTGAAACGACAGCTACAAGCCTCTCCCCTTCCACTCTGTCCTGCCACTCCCCAAAGTTGCAGGCTCAGTGTGCTCCATTTGCTGTTTTCTAGAATCCTCTAGAAATGAGGATCAAGAAGGTTGCTTGAGTATGAGAAATTATTTTATCTCCATGAAAGAAAAGCAATACTTAATCAGTAGAATGAAGTGACTGAGTTATTCTTGAATGTCAAAGGCTCACTGAAAAATTTCAATTTAATCCATGCTTTAACCGCTTTTTCACTGCCTTTTGTAAAAGAAAAATATATATCGTTTTATTTGATTTTGTGTGAAGTGAGAGAAAATTGTGGGGTTAAAGTGATTAACTTTTAAGGGACATTAATGAGAAAGTGTTGATGATCTTTATGCATTCACACACCCTGAATTGGATGCACCTCTTTCTGTGATTCCTGACACAAGAAACACACATACAACAACAACCTTTCTGCCTACTGCATTGATGACATTACTGCTGAAAGACTCTTGCCCTCCTTCCTTGCCAGTCCTGGTACTTGGTTCTCTATCTCTTCTCTTTCCACAAGTTAATGGCTGAATTCAAAATTTTGAAATGCAGTTCCTTACTTCCATTCTAACTTTAGCTAAATAATTTTACCTCCTGACTTATCTGGTTCCTTCTCCCAGTTGTTTATTTAATTATATTATTGTTCCAAGATTCTGAGCATGAATTACCCACTAATAAAATCTAAGTGTATTTCATTATCCAGTGTGTGTATGATTCAGGTCCCTCTGGGCATGCAGTTGCAGCCCGACTCGATTTGAGTTTTAAGAAACGTCAATCTTTTAAATCCAGTTTAGAGGCTGAAAGGAGGCTGATGATTTTGCTGATTATTCAAATGAATTGATAGTCTTGAGACAGGAAATCTGGCAACAATGGAGTCCTGAACATTTAAATCCAAATGCAAAGTTGTGTGTGTGTGTGTGTGTGTGTGTGTGTGTGTGTGTGTGTGTAAAACCTAGTTACCTGTGAGAGAGGAATTCCTAAGAACTAATTATACTGTTGGATCACGGTTGACAGCTAGTTTCTGGATTAGTAAAAAGAATGAAATATACACATCATGACAAACTGGAAAAGGATCATTCCCTAAAATTTTAAGGGCACAAATCACTGTCATTAAGTGACTGAAATGGCTATAAGAAACCACTTCCTATAAGGGAAACCTACAGAGGATACAGTGACCCAATACTGTTAAAACCATGATCTCTTGTAAAAACTGTAATCTATTGAAATGCAAACAAAAATGATATGGATGGAATATTCCTATAGAAGCAGTTCTTTGGACGCAGTTTGGTTTTTTCGTGGAATATTCCAAGAACATTAGAAAAAATTTCAAAAGGGTCATCTGAAGCAAAAGAATTTCATTGAAACGAAGTATATGTATACGATAAATCACAAGAAAACGAATCCACTGTCTCTTTTATCTGACTACCCAATAGCATAGTTTCTCAGCATGTACTAGGGCCCAGTAAATATTTACTGATGTAAGCTCAGTTGAAATAAATGTAATTGAACTAAGCTAGTGTCGGCAGATGTGTTCTTGGGTAACATCCTTCTGACATCACCCTGGAATAGATTGTGATTTTTATGAAATCTAATGTGAGAAGAAAAAACATGATCTCAAAATGGACAACATGAGATAGAATATGTTTGGCCAGTTTACAAAAAATACTGCGAGTCACATAGATGTTTACAGATATCCTGTATATATTCACAAAATGTAGATGATTTCGATGCCTTGCAGCTCAGAGTCAACTCTCACACGCAAATGTTTTCCTTCTAGCGGATGAGATAGGGCCTCAGCGCTGCGGACTCCAGGCTCCTTTGCATCCGCTCTGCCCAGCCAGAGGCCGGAGGAGCTCGCCCCAGGTGGTGCTGAACCACCGGCTTCCTCCAAGCTCAGGCTTCCTTTTCCGAGGTTTTGCCAAGAACAGGTGGCTGCAATCTATTGGGAGCGAGAATCTGCAATTTGCATGATACTCCCGCGGCTATTCTCTCGGTGCAGCGCCCTCCCAGCCCCTGCGCGGCCGCAGGTGTCAGGGCGAGGAAGTCCGTGGGCGCCCCCGCCGCGCGTCAAGGTTCCATTCAGAGCAAGCGGCCGCGTGCTAGCCGGTGATCCAGCCACACGCTGAACCAATGCAAACTATTAACAACAAAAGAGTGTAGGGAAGCGCCTTTGCCTCCCTCACCTTCTTTGCCTGGTCCCGGGCCTCGGATCTCTCCTGAGCCGCAGAACTGCCTCACCGCGCCCAGTTCCCTCTCCGCGCGAGACACATAACTCTGCCACCGGCCGGGTAGCTGGGCGCAGCGACAAGCTGGTCGCGCCAAGCTCGCGGCGAGCAAAGTGGAGGCTTTACTAGGTACAAGCAGCGCCATCGCCTGCTTTATACCCCTGGAGAGGAAGTGCGCGGCACAGGGCATGTCATAGCGGGAGCTGCTGTGGCCAAGCTCAAGGCGAGCCCAGTGCCGGGAATATGCCGCTGGGCACCCAGCTCGCTTGTTCCCAGAAGGCAATCGCTTAAATGGCGAGGCCTGCCTCCCAGTCTTTGTCTTTCTCCGCGCGGACTCTTGAGCTGGATTCCAGCCGGGGTGCGCCCCAGCCCGCGCGACGATTCTGGGCGTTAGGAGGGAGAGTGGGCGGGCAGCTCCAGCCACGTGCAGTCTGGGCGGCGCCAAGGTCCCGACCTTTAACCCCTGACCCCGGTCCCACCCTCCACGTGGAGCGAGCCAAACTTCCACAGACAGACGCATGCAAGTCTTTCCACCGAAAAACCTGAAAACCTTCCGTGCGTTATCATGCCGGGTAACCAAGCCCACCAAAGTTAGCAAAGATGTTTAAAATGTTTTATTTTTTTTTCTTTTTAAAAATATTTACAGATCTGAACTCTCCCCTTTTCGTCCCTACCATCCTCGGGATGAGGGAAACGAAAAGAAGCAATTTAGTAATTGTCCAAAGCCTCTGAGGGCCTGGCTTGGCCGAGCGTGTATGCATGTACATATATACAGGTGTATATATGGGGGAGGAGTGTACCTGGTTTTGTAGGTGTTTTCCTGATTTTTTTCCCTACCAACCACAGCCTGTCTGGCCAAAACTCCCTTTCCCACCACCACCCGAGAACATCTCACTCCGAATGGTTTTCAAAGCGTACTGGTTCGGTCTAGGTAGGAAGCAGGCTCTCTGACTTAGGGAATGCCAATAAATACCCGAAACAATCAAAACAAAAAGTAGGGCAGAGACCATAAATAAGAGCTAATGAATACACATGGTGTATTTCTTCATATTTCTGGAAACACGCCGCCTTGCTCCGGAGCCCTGCTTACAGTACAGTACGCGCCCGGCTCTGCGGGCAGCTGGGGGCGGCGCGGGGCGGCGGGCCGGTCAGTAGTCGAGCTTGTTGTATAGGTTGTAGAGAGGTAAGGCCGAGAGGTTGCTTCCCGGGTAGTAGAGCGGCGCGGGAAAGGCGAGCGAGCGCGGCACCGGCACGCGCAGCAGCGAACTGTCCCGGAACACCAGCGGCATGCTCACCAGAGTCTGCGCCGACGCGTGCGCCATGTTGGCCGCCTCCAGCTCAGCCGAGAGCTGCCGCTTCCACTTGTTGCGGCGGTTCTGGAACCAAGTCTTTACCTGGGTCTCCGTGAGCTGCAGGCTGGAGGCGAGGCAGGCGCGCTCCGAGCTGCTCAGGTAGCGCTTCATGTCGAAGGTGGACTCGAGCTGGTACACCTGGCTGCGCGAAAAGACGGTGCGCGTCTTCTTCTTGGCCGCGCCGGCCTGCCGCTCAGCGCCGCCGTCCCGCGGCCGCTCGGACCCCGGCGAGGGCGAGCCCGCGGGCAGGAGCCTCTCTTTCTCTTCTTTAAAGTCCGAGTGCGAAGGAGAGAGGAAAGGCGTGCGCTCCAAGCCGCCCGGGCCCGAGCCTCCGCTGCCCTTGGGGGTACCTGAGGAGCGAGAACAGACAGAAAGGCCATGGAGTTGGTTGGGGAGCCTCGGAGACCGCCAGCTCTCCCTGGGACCAAGCGGTTGGCAAGCGCCTGCAGCCTTGGTCCCACCTTACCAATCCCCTCCTCTTATCCCTCTCACTGGCCCCCCAAACCCAGCACCCCGTCCTTTAAAAGCGACAAGAGAGGGACCCAGCTACTTGGAGTATGGGGTCTCTGTGCTCCCACCTTTATGAATGGGCCAGGGGCAACAGGGAGAGGAGGTCTGGAGGGGGAAACATTAGCATGGTTTTAAAAGGCGAATTTGCTTGGTGGTAATTGAGCTGGAAGAGTTCCTCGAGCTTTATAGGGTGGCATCATTTCACAGGCCGTTTGTTTGGAAATCACGCTAAGGACTAACGCAGGACTCCCCTTCGTCAAATGTTGTAAAGAGGAACCGTCTCTGAAATGCACCATTGTCAATCATCTTGGAGTGCTAATCATTCCAAGGAGGAGAGAGAGAGAAAGGCAGAGATACGGAGCGAGTGAGGAAGAAGACTCAGAAAGAGATTACGGTGGAGACAGACTGCCCAGACCCGACTTGCAGATCTCCACCTCGTGTCCGGAAAGAAAGTACCAGATGTGCAGTGATTGAGGACAGCCGGGTGTAAGGCCGGCCGCGTGTCCCTCTCGCTGTGGTCCACTCTCTCAACAACTCAACCTTCCCCAGGAAGCCCAAGCCGGCACGGGTCTGTGTTCGCCTGCTCCCAGGGGCCCACCGGGCGGAGGAGGCACCACAGTGCGCGCCCCTCTCCCCGCGGTCCCGAACCCCCGGCTGCCGCAGCTCTGGCCAGAGGGGGCCCGGCGCGGGAGTCTTGGCGGGGCGCTCAGCCTCCCTCCCCTCGCGCTCGCTCGCTGCCACACTGGCGACGTGCGATCCTTACCCAGGCAAGGAAAAGGGATGGGGGGATGGTGCTTGGGGCCCTGCTCCTTAGGGCCGTGCTGGTCTGGGCAGAAGCAGGCGGGCGCCTTCCAGCCGTCGTCCGGCTCCTCCTCCTCCGAGGACACGGACAGGCTGCGCTTCCTGGCTGGCCAGCCGACGGGCTCCCGCGGTGCCTCCGAGGGGCCCCCGCCCAGGATGGACTGGATGGTGAAGCTGGAGACGCCACCGGCCGCCGGACACCCCTTGCCCGCATCTTCTTTGCTGCCCATCCTGGGTTCATAAGAAATCGAAGGAAACCAAGAACTCCCTTTAGAGACGATCTGGGTGATCTGGGTGGAAGGTGGTGCAGCAGGCAGGCAGTGGGGAGGGGCGGGGAGGAAATCTAGGGGGAGGGGGCGCCGAGGCTGGTGAGGCGTCCCTTCCGCGCCAGGGACATGCAGGCACCGGATGGCTGCGCAGGGGTTCCTGCCCGCCTGGCTCTGGGTGCGCCCGCCCAGCCCCGGTGCAAATGCCCCTTCCTCGCCCGCCAACTCGCCGGGTCTCCGGCGGCGCGGAGGCGGCGCGGCCTCATTTGCATAGAGGTTACCCGAACGCGGCCAATCGCAGCGCCGCCGAGCGGCCCCGGAAAATTTCAAAACGCTCCGGCCAGGCACACAGCACCGGTGCGCCCCCAGAGCGCGCCGAGGGCCTGGCGGGCATCAGCGGCGTCTAACCAGGGGCAGCCAGGGCTGAAAGCAGCTGCAGATTCTAGCCCGGGTTCCTGGCGGCTGCGGCAACTCCGACTCCTTGGACCCCTTGGACCCTTCTCTCCAGAGGCAGGGGCGGTGCGGGACTCGGAGCTGGAGTGGCTCGACGCCTCCGCAGGCGACGGGTCTCCGCGCCTCCCAGGGGCTTGTACAGGCTGCTCCACCATCCTCCCCCAGCCCTCCACCCCTTCTAGCCCCAGTGGGCGGGCAAAGCCGGCACTCCTGGGACCGTGGCGCCCTGCGTGGGGGTGAGGTGGGTTAGGAGCAGGCGTCTCCAGGCGGACGCTCATCCTCTCCAGCATGGCCAGGAGCCTTGGGAGCAGACATTCCCCTTCCCCGTCTGCAGACCTCATCCCTGTCACAGGTTCTACGGACCTACAGAATCTTTAGGGGGAGGGAGGAAGCCCTAAGACCTCTAGTCAAGAGATCTGGGTTCAAATTCCGGCACAACTATTTACACACTGCATGAACTTGCACAACTCATGCCGATTAAAGCCTCTCTGCCCTCATAGTTGAAAATAACTTCTCGGATTGCCTCAGGTAGGGATTAAAAGCCTCGAAGCACTAGCAGCGCATAGTAGGTACTCCATAAACCTGGCCGGGTAGCCCATGGCCCACCCGTGTTTTAAGCGAATCTGTGTTTTTGTTTTGTAAATTTTGAAGGTTTCCGAACTGCTGCAGAAATAGACGCCTTACTCCCAGGAAGAAGATAAGGAACTGGTGACAGGACTCGGTTTTAGAATTGAGCAGACTCGACTCAATTCTCGGCTGGGTGATCTTGGGGGAAGACATTTGGAAATTCTGAGGCTCGGTTTCTTTATTCCTAAAATTGGAGGAAGCAGTGCCTCCCTCGCAGAGGCTGTTGTGAGGTCAAACTACCCAGCACCGAGCCTGGCACACCGTGGTGCTCAGTAAATAGTGATTCCCTCTGTGTTCTCATAGCCCCCTTCTGTGCCCTGGCTCTCGCCCCTTTAATTCCTAGATCAGCTGTTACCCGAGCTAGAATTAGCCCAGCCAAGCAAAGCGGTTTGGGGCCACAGTCGTCTGCACAAGCTTCCTGGAAACTGAAGTGAGGCAAGGCCCGAAGTGCTCAGGCAACCCCGTCCCCTCAAGCTGTGACCTCTAGACCTCTTGGCCAAGAGATTCCAGAAGCCCTGTCTTTAGGGTGCCCCCCAAGTGCAGCCAAGGGTGAGTGGAGACTCTGGAATCAGTCCCCACAAATGTCCAGACACTGCATGACTGTGCAGTTCCTTCCTCGCCTGCACCGCGCCCGGGTTATTAAGTAAAGCGCTTATAATATCATTAGCCGCGGTGAGTTACCGACTGCGGCCCTGCCCGTGGCAGAACTCTTCCCTACTTAACTCCTCGAGGGGCTCGTTAATGGGCTAATTGATTAGGAGTCGGCCGCGCAGCCGGGGCAGGGGCAGGCGAGGGGGCGGGGGCCAGGGGGTGCGCGCAGCGGCCCGGGAGGCCAGCGAGGGGCAGGTGCCGGCCTCCGTCACCGCATTAACCTCTTCAGGGCTCAGCGGCAGGGTCGAGACACATTACAAATGGTCAGCTTTAATCATGGTGTCAGCTCATTAACCCGGAAGGACCTGGCGCTGAAATACAATTTGTGCGTTCTCCTCTGCGCCGCGGCGGCGCAGGCTCCTGGGCCACGTCGCAGCGGGTCCCGCGTGCTCCCGCGCTGTTGGGGGGTACGCGGGAGGTTCAGCGAAAGAATCGTCGGATTCTCACTAACCATCCGCTTCTCGCAGACATCCTGAGCTAGGCGCTGCCTCCGGAGCCAGGGTCAAGGCAGCCCCGAGGGGAACTGGCCAGCTAACTCGGGGAGCAGTGCCAGCCACCCCGCTGGGGAAGAAAGCTGGGGGCAGGCAGGGAAAGTTGGTCGAACCTTCCTGAACTGTAAATATGTCGTGCGGGGAACATGCTGGAAGCTCCCCAGCATTCTTCGCTTTAATCCTGATGGCAAACAAGTGACACAGATCTATTCACTCAATGTACAGGCCGGGAAACTGAGGCTCAAGAAAACAAGAGACTAGCCCAGGCAGACAAAGCAAGACTCGTGCTCAAGGTTGTTCCACTGCCAATACATCACATTTGGGAGGAGGGAGAGAGGAGCAGACACAGGCATTGAGCTTGGAGGATGGCTGCGGGGAAGACTGTGAGGATCCTGCTGACTCGGGATGGCGGGGGCGGGTATATGGGTGGGGCAAGAGCCCAAGGAGTGATCTCTGTCAGATCAGGGGACCTCGAAGTGGGCCTCGGAAAAGCAACTCCCAGGCCCTGAAACAGTGAGAGACTGGGGAGTCGACCCTTGCAAGAAGCCTGGCTTGCGGACTCTAAACAAGGAAGTTATGAAGCCTTGCGTCCCTATCTCTCCTTCCCCTAGGGATAGTTTGGGAAGTCAAAAAGATCCATCTTGCCTTGTATTTCCTCTGTCCCGTCCCTCTAATCGCTTCGAGGGTCTGATCTTCACCGAGGCACTTCCTCTGCTGCCACACCCGGCAAAGGACGCATTAATTCGCATGAAGGCACTTGCATAAACGCCTGCGCACACTCACACATTCATTCAGCAAACGTTCACTGAGCTCCTACTAGTGCGTGCACTTTACCAGGGAAGAGATGGTGGTGGGCACGGGGCTGGGGCAAGGAAGGCTGTGGTGGAGACCCAGCTCTGCAGCCTGACTGACTGCAGTTCCCCTGAGCTCCCCTCGATTGATAGCCCGAGGGACCTCCCGCCCCTCCAGCACCTATAGCCGTCACACCGCAAGGACGGGAGGGACAAGAAACAACCTTCCTTGCCGCCCCTTTCTAGCATATGGGGATCTTCACCGGGAGCACGGAGGCCCAGACGCCCTCTCCTGGGCCCAGTGTAGCTACAAAACTCACTCCCAGGAACACTCAGTTCCTGGAACCACCACCCACAGACACCTCATGTCTCTCCCCTAACGAGTGGCAATCCTTCAACTCAGTACTATCCCACACCCCGCCCACCTCCCTAGCCTTGGGATAGCTCCGCCCAATCCTACTCAGTTTAATACCCACACCTTGGAGGATGGCCCCTCTGCATCTTTGGGATCGACCCCCTGTCTCCCTCTCCTAGGAATTAGGCATAACCAGGTTCCAAGGAATGATAAACTTTCTGAGCCTGAAAGAACGCTTAAAGTTTAGGTCCCGAGATTATGCCACTGCTCAATATTAAAGCGGCCCAGAGCAAACTTGCCGAGGATCCTAATAAAAATTGATCCTCTCTGCTCTGCGGCAGTTGGGAAATAGGCTGGCTGAGCCGGGTAATAGAAGAAGGCTCCCTCCGAAATGACAGATGAAGTCATAAACAAGTTTGATCTTGGAATCAAGCTTCGATAAATATTAAACACAGTCTGCCCCCCCGCCCCCACGCGAGTGGATTATGATATATGGCGCGTCCAAACTTTAAAATAAGGAAATACCAGAGAAAATGATCTCAATAAATTTTCTAAGTATAAACGTTGATTATGTTTCGATTTTCGTTCAAGGGCCTCTGCTGTTCGTTCTTTGGTGCAAATGACATCTCACAATAGGCTTTTGGGGAAAAGGGCTCCCTATTTGAAAAAGAGAGCCCCAGAGGTGTACAATTTATGTAATCTGCTGCTGGAAAATGAATTGTGTAATTTATTGGAAAACAGAAAGTCATGAAGATTGGATCAGCATAGCCGAGTCCCGACACTCTCCACCCCCCTCCCCACCCCCCCACATCCATCAAGTTCCAATTAACAGCCTAACCAGAGAGCTTTAATGGGTTTCCAATCTAGTGGCCTGATAGACTCATCAATTCCTCTGGGAGAAATTAAGAAAATCGACCGCCCCTTGGCGACGCAGTGTCATTCCTTTCTGCAACTATATGTCAAATTAAAAACACAATTAAAATTTAAACTGTTTCAATCAAAGGGTGCCCTGCAACCTATGTTTCACTTAATAGAACTTTGATGAAAATCTGATGCGTGCACTCCATCACCAACGGGGGCGAGGGCGGTGAAGGAGCTCACGAAAGAAGGGGATTCTTTATATTTCTTTAAGACATTAGCGCTTGGGTGAGGCACAGCAGGTGACTCCACCTCACCGCTCCTGCCTCAGTGATAGGCGCAACGCGCTCTCTCGCTGGCTCTATACCTCTCCCAGGCCTAAACCCAAAGGGATCCTTTTGGAACCCCGGCAACTCAGACTTTGGGAAGTTTCCCCCGGAGATGCATCGCCAGGAGCAGCAGCCAAGGAAGAGATCTGCGCTAGTACAACTCATGCGCACCTCCAGGGGACTCTCGGAGAAGGCGCGCTGCAGTCTCCAGCTATCCCTTCCCTCGGGTCTCCAGAACCGCCCCGTCGCTGGAGTGATACCCTTAGGGGTCCTGGAAATGGAAGGGTGGGGAGGAATCCCAGGCGCATACATGGGCCCCAGTGAGGACGAGGGTTGTGTTTCTATCCAGGACCCGATTACCCACCTCAGCCTATGCTCCCCACCTCGTGCACCTTCAGGGTACTCCGCCGGAGAGACACACCGGGGACAAGTGCAGCCCAAATCTCAACCCCAGACTCCGATCGGAGACACCCGGCAGGGCTCAAAAGTACATCCCGCCTAGTTGTTCTCGTGGCTCTTTCCTCTCTTCCGCCATCCTTCCTCCGCTCCCCAGCCCCCAACTGTTTTCAGGTCAAAAGGTCAACACCATCCACCCTGCACAACGGCCGTGCACACTTCCAGAGTCCTAGGCCCAGAGGCAAGGGATCGCTCACACCTCAAAGCCCGGGTTAGGGGGTGGGGGACAGCGAGAGGGCGGGGAGCCGAGCGTGGGAGCCCTGCGGCTGGGTCCTGCGGGGCCACGTGTACATGCGGGGGCGGATGTTGTCCTCTGGGAGTGCCCGGCTGGGCTTTGGACCCCAAGCAGAGGTTTCTATGAGGCTCCTGGTTCTTACACCCTGACCCCATCGCGCGCACCCGGGTAGACAGGTCTTCTTAGCCTCTTTGCGGAGTCTACATTTGGACCGCTAGCGGAAGACGCCCCCTGGCTGGGTCACTGAGCCGCGGGAAGTGGACGACCCGAGTAAATGGGGCAAAATGGAATCGTGGAGGGCAGCGTAGCGCCCAGCAGAAGCTCAGGCCCCACGGGGACTCTTAAGGGGAGTCCAGGTGCCCCGCGGGCGCAAGGGGGTGAAAGCAGCAGCGCGTGGCCCTTGCGCAGGCGGCCGGACAACGCGATGCCTCTTCAAACCGCTTGCAGGAAGCAGCCGGCAGCACCGCCCTCCCGCCCCCAAGCCTCCGACCCTGGTCCCCATCTCCCAGGCCCTAGCTGGCCCAGAAGGCCGCAGAAGGGAAAGCAGATCCCACTAACCTTTTCGCCGGCTCCTCTTTCTCCCAACTCTACCTCCGGCCTCTCACACAAGAAGAGCGCACGCACTGGGGTTCTCACCGCGTGGCCTCTGGCTCTGCGGTGCCGGGAGCCTGTTGAGGGGGCGTCGCGGCTCAGAATGAGCGCCCGGTGGTGGGGGGGCAGTTTATATCTGTCTTTCTGTTGTTTGATGTACACACACCCACTCTATTTACTACCAAATAAAAGAAATACATCTGTGTTGCCAACAGAAACAGTTCGCGTGCTGGCTCTGTGGTCTCCCAGGGTCCAGAGGCCTCGGGGGTGCTCAGAGCGGCAGAGCCTGGCACTGTAAGGAGGCGGACACTGAGTAGGATCCCAGCCTACAAGAGCAAGGGGGTCTGCGGTGGGATGGTGGCAGGCTCCGCTAGTGTATCCCAGGTGGCTTGTGAGGAGGGACTTCGAGGCATCCCGGTCCAAAGGATGTTCACTAAGGCTTCCTGCAGCAGAGGTGGGAGCGCCACCTCACTCTGCCCAGTCCTTTCCCAGGATTCTCCCCAGCTTGCCTAAGCCTAAGGCCATCGGAGTAAAGGGTCACTTCGAACAAGATGTGTGTAATTACGTCTGTGCCTTAGCAATGGTGGTGATGCCAAACACATTTGTGATTGGGTATGCTAGGAACCCAAGGAAATGGTGTTAGGAGGTCTACAGTGTGTGGATGTGTATGGTGAGTGTTTATATCAAATGTGAGTGTATCCTCCTGTGTGTTGTTTCCATGTGTGTCTCTTTGGGTGATGCAGAAAGGATTTAGCCTGGAAGCTGAAGTCATTTGCGTTGACTTGAAGATTAATTGGGGTGCAGATGGGAAGAATCTAAAGCTAGGGTTGGCAAAGAGAAGCTGGGCTCCACAGTCTGAAGGAGGGGTGAAAAGACAAAATTGAGAGTGCCAGTTCAGTGTCCTAGGAGAGAGGACATGGGATGCCCTGTCTTCCCCTAGGGAATGTCCAGGAGGAATTTTGTGTAGGCACATTCACTTTTCCCAAAAAAGGCCCCTTTTTGTGAGTGGTGGCAGCAGCTCCTAGTAATCTTTGCAGAGGCAGCAGGGAGGGAGGCATTCTGGGTGGGGGAAGAAGACGGCCAGCTCTGGAGATGTGACAGCCCCACTAAGTGCCTTCTTGGATTCTCCTGGCTTGAAACCACAGAAAAACTTGCAGTTGAGCTTAGGATGCTTTGTGTAGAGTGGCTTCTGTGCTCCACAGCCCCGCACCCTGGCTCAACCCCTTTGCTTGCCCTGGGATAAATATGGTGACCCCTGACAGGAGGGAAGGGGACATTTCCCACCTGGGCCAGCTTCTAGGCTCACACAGCCACCAGTCCCCAGGCGAAGTTGGCACCACCTCCCTCCCCCAGGGCGCAGATCACTGTTTGGAGGAGGAATGCTCGGGGGTCCAGGGCAGTGGGGCTCCCCAACAGGAGGAAAAGGGAGGCTGTAGGAGCAGGACAAAGGATAAACTGTGCTTGTGGAGAACCAGTTATTTCCCGACTTTGTAAAGACCTGATCAGTCAAGAACCGTTTTCTAGAATCCAAACACAAATAAAGAAGCATTTTCTTGGCCTTTGATAACATCGTGTTCTGGCTGTAAAAATCTAAGAACGTGTTTGCTGTTGCAACATTATTTTTAATGAGCTGTTATTGGCCTGTCCTGCAGTTGGTATTGCCAACAGTAAAAGGCATCACCATGTTTGTAGGTAACACAAGGAACAACATATTTTGACCCGAATTTCTGTTTATGTTTCATTTATGACACATGCCCTCGTTTTTATTCCAAACCAGAGGGAAATAAAGAGAGATCTATCTTCACTGGGGTCCAGGCTAAAATTTTGCCATAAATACGCATGTCGGTTTATTCGGAGGGCAGTTTTCCATTAACAGAAAACTATACTGGACGTTTCAGCCACAGTAGAATCAATTGTGTCGATTGAATTTGAGGAGCCTAGCAACGCACTGCGAGAGGAAAGAGAGGCGTGCAGGCGCTCCCCAGCGGTCGCGCCCTATGGCTGCTCTCTGGAATCTTTTTCACCCTCTGGGTTCCTCATCTCCCCCTTTCGGCTCCCCAGCTTCAAAGGTGCCCCGCCAGGAATTGTACGTGCAGACCCCCAGCTTAAAGGCAGGCGGCCACACCCGGCCAGCGAGTGTCGCCCAGGCACCTGCTTCTGTCGGGCGGACCCACCCTTCCAGGCGGTTCCGGCGCGCTGTGCCTCCGCAGGCTGCTCACTAAGAGCGCGGCGGCCTGGAACCCAGTAGCGCGCGGGTGTGGTGAGCGCTACGCTTCTCGGCGTCTGCCAGGACAGGGTCGGGGATCTAGAGATGCCGCCCAGGAGGTGTTGGGCGCCAGGGGAAAGAGAAGAGCCTGGCACGGAAGAGACAAGGTCTTCTCTGTTGCAGCTGCAGCAGCTAGGTAGCCTCTGTTCCCTCACACTTAGCACATCAGGACCGCGCCCATGCTCGAGTCGCCCCGGGAATCTCAGCTCTGCAAGACCTGAGGAAGTTCCCCTCTCCTGGTAGTGGGAGCCGCTGTCCCAAGAGCTGGCTGTCCCTGGGGTTGTCCTCTTGTGGCCCAGCCTTTCCTAGCCTGACTTGGCAATCGGCCTACGGCTGCAGCTAAACTCTGAACTCACTCCCTTCTTCCCTCCAACCAGAGCCCACCGAAGTTAACCAGCTGACGAATGCCCAGGGATGCCCTGCCCAAAAGCTCTCGGCTCCCGAAGGAACCCAGGTTTAAGAACAGAACGGGAGGCTGCAGACCAGTGTTCGGAAATACCAGCTGTCTCTGGTATCTCGCCTCGCGCGCTGTCGCTTTGCTCAATTTCGCAAACTAGATAAGCCTAAGTCCACTCCCCTTCCGCCCAGCATTCTTCCCTGCTCGCTGGGCGTTTCAGGCCGCGGAAAGTACAGGGGAGAGAGTGCCTCTGGTCGCGAACAAAGCCGCCTCTGTCTCCACCGCCTCCCGGAATACAGGGTTGTGCGTCCAGGTTGTACTTAGAGAGCGCAGAGGCAGTCAGCGAGCAAGACAGAAAAGAGTTTTGGAGACATTTGCTCTAGGGAAAATCGTCCAAACTTACACACTCTGGCAACACGTAAAGCTTTTCTTTTCTTTTTAATTAATTCAATGTCACGACAACATTAGTGTAACAATATTTTGTGGGTTTTTTTTTTCTCTTTTTCTTAAAAAGGGACTCAACCCAGGCAGAGGTGAGGGAGATGAGGGGAAACAAACTATCACAGAACAACAGGTGTACCGACAGAAAGAAAACAGATTGGGTGACAGAGCCAGGAGCCCTGCGGAGTAGAGGGTGAACTTTACAAGAAATCTGTACATTTATCAAATAAGTTAAAATTCTGCTAAATTGATTGTCCTTCACTTAAAGCGCTCCAGTATGCCTAACTTACTCCTTTGAGCATCACTACCTAAGCTTGTTTCTTTCTTCCCCCCTTTCCCCTGCCTACTTTTTTCTTTCTAAATGAATGACCATGATTATACAGTGAAAAGGTCTGTTTCCCACGGTGGAGGAGGAAACAGCTTTCTCAGGAGATTTTGTACAATATTGCACAGGTCAACGTACAATAATTACTGCAGAACATGAAAAGTAAGAGGAGAGGATAAAAGATATCATATTAAAAATACTGAAATTACTCTCTCAAAACAGGGAACAAAGTAATAATAGTAATATTAATAATAATTTACAAATGAAATTCTCAAAATAAATGCTACTAATAAATAAGACCACTTAGACCAGGCCAGATATGGAGCTGTTTCAAATAGTCAGAGTTCTGATTTTTGGCTGTCTTTTCTCTTTAGACACTTAGAGAATTCTTCCATCACAAAGTAAGACCGATGAAGAGGCTAATTGCAACAGACCTCTCCAGAAGAGAAAAGCGGCCTGAGTCGGGATTCTTATGAGAGGCTGCTCATATTTTGAAAATTAAGGTGGATAACTGATTTGGGGGTTGGGAGGAAGAAACATACCCAGAAATCCAGAAATAAAAGTACTATCATATGAATTCTCTCCCTCTCTGGATTCTGAAAACAGTTCTATAGAAAAGGAATAAACTAGGCCGGGCGCAGTGGCTCACGCCTGTAATCCCAGCACTTTGGGAGGCCGAGGCGGGCGGATCACGAGGTCAGGAGCTCAAGACCAGCCTGGCCAACATGGTGAAACCGCGTCTCTACTAAAAATACAAAAATTAGCCGGACGTGGTGGCACACACCTGCAATCCCAGCTACTCGGGAGGCTGAGACAGGAGAATCACTTGAACCCGGGAGGCGGAGGTCGAAGTGAGCCGAGATCGCGCCACTGCACTCCAGCCTGGGCAATAGATAGAGCAAGATTCCGTCTCGGAAAAAAAAAAAAAAGCAGAAAAGAATAAACTAGAGGGATTTAGGTTTTGCGCTTATTTTCCTTCTATAAAAATAAAACCAAAAAGCCACCGCGCAATGGAAATTTGGAAGGGAGGGCTGCACATTTTACAAAAACTATCGGCCGAAATCTCTGACCCGAAAATTTTGTCTTGTTCCTGCTTTCTCTTAATATAAGCCAAAAACCAAAAGTAAGAGGGGAAGCGCCTCCAATCCATTAGGGATGAATTGCACGAAAATGCATTGCAAATACTTACAAAATGCTACCGACTGGGGGAGGGGAAGCAGAGGCTGCGCGCCCAAGCCCCAGTTCCTGAAGGCCGCTGGACTTCTCGGCGCCCTCGGCCCGGCCCAGTCTCCTCCGGGGTCCGGACAAGGAGGCCGGGCGCTCCCTCCCCCACCCCTCTGGGGCCTCAGACCGGCCGTAGCAGCGGCACGGAAGAGACCACCGGGTGCGAGTAGTAGACGGGGTGCGGGAAGGTGAGCAGCGGCTGGCTGACTGGCACCGGGGCCCCCGCGGCTGCAGCCGCCGCGCCCTCGGCCGCCGAGTTCTCGTGGTAGAGGATGGGCACCCGCACGATGCGCTGCGCCGCGGCATGGCTCAGGTTGGCCGCCTCCAGCTCCGCCGCCAGCTGCCGCTTCCACTTGTTGCGGCGGTTCTGGAACCAGATCTTGACCTGCGTCTCGGTGAGGTGCAGGGACGCGGCCAGGCCGGCTCGCTCCGAGCTGCTCAGATAGCGCTTCATGTCGAAGGTGGACTCGAGCTGGAAGACCTGGCTGCGCGAGAAGACTGTGCGCGTCTTCTTCTTGCGGCACGCCGGCTTCTTCTCTGGACTTTCAGCGCCCTTCTTCCAGTCTTCTGCGCCCGGAGTGGCCGCCGCCGCCCCTACGCTCGCCCCGGCCGCGCCTGGCGCCGCTTCGCCTTCCTTTTTGCTTTCCTCGGAGTCGCTCTCCTCCAGAATGATCTCGTCCGGGCTCTTGGAGTCCAGCTCCTTGTGATCGGGGTCGGCCTTGAGCAGTGGCTCCGGAGAGTCGCGGTCTGTGCCGGAGGCGGGGGAGGAGTCTCTCAGCAAGGCCTTCTCCGAGGCTGGGGAGACAGACAGACGGACGCACACACATGCACACCGACACAGCCTTGAGCGAGGCCCGGCGCCTGGGGACGGCAGGCTCAACCCGCGCCGGCCTCCAGGTCCCAGGCCATGAGGCCTCACCATTCCCGCGGGCTGCCTCCTTCTCGGCTGGGCCAGAGAAGGGACGCCGAGTCCTGGGATCCCCCTCCTCCCGAGGACAGGCAAGCAGATGGTGGTAGCGCGGCCACCTCCTTCCATTCCCTCAGCTTCCTCGCCAGGGGCCGGCAGAACGGTTCCCTTTCGGCTTAGGCGCATTGGAATCACCCCCTCCTTCCAGGCCGTGTCCCAAGCCCCGGCCGTCCGAAGCCTCCCTATTCACGCCCGAGGCCACTTTTCCCGGGAAGCACCGTGCCCGGGGCTCCAATTCCACTTCTTTTCTCACCAAGTGGGATTGGATTAACGGGCAGCGCAACCCAGCGCGAGGGCAGGCTAGGGGCCGAAAAAAACTGACCGAGCAGAGGGTTTGCGGGTGCTGGGGTCCCAGAACTGCGGAGGGAAGCAGCGCGGGGCGGGGACGGGGCGGGCGCGCAGGGGGACAACGAAAGTTCAAAGAGAGGTCGGTACCTTCAGGTCGCGGGAGGTGGCCGCCGGCGGGGGTCAGGGTGTAGGGGTACCACCAGGCTGGGGAGCGCTCCAGGTAGTGCGCGGGCAGGGCAAACCTCTGCGCCGGGATCTCAAAGCGAGGGAAAGCCAGGTCGCCCACCTGCGAGAGCGCGAAGCCCGCGGCGCCCTCCAGGGCCCCCTTGGCCGCCGCGGCAGCGGCAGCGGCGGCGGCGGCGGCAGCCGAGGCTGGCGCGAAGAGCGTCCGTGGGGGCGGCTGAGGCTTAGGGGGCGGCCGGTGGTGGTCTCCGTTGAGCAGGTTCTTGATGGAGAACGGGGACTCCTTGGGAGCGGGTGGGGGGGGCGGCGGCGGTTGGGGCTGTGCGCTGGCGGTGCCGGCAGCGTCCGGCCCGGGTTCCGGCATGGTCCCCTCTCCTCCGGGTCCCCGGGAGGGAGGGAGCGGGACAGGCGGGCGGCGGGGCGAGCAGGCGAGAGGCCGGAAATCAGACCATAAACGGAACTCAACTACGGGGCGCAAAGTCGGGGGCCGCCCCGGGCGCAAATCCAACGGCGGGAGGGCGGAGTGAGGACCCAGACGGGCGGGCTCGCATGAGGGAGGGGTGCGGAGGGGCGGGGAGCGGCCCTGCCGCGGCACCGAGGGATCGAGGCGGCTCGGCTGCGGCTGCGGCTCCCGCGGAGGAGGCAGCAAGAGCAGTCCCCGGCTCGAGGCTGCGTCAATCCGGCGCCGGATGCTAATGATGAAATCAAAATGTCATCCAAGTTAAATGCGGGGAGTATACGGCGATTGGGCGCGTACAATGGCAAATGGGATTAGGCAGGCGAAGGCTCAGCCGAGCCCCGGCCCCGCAGCCGCCTCCGCCACCGCCCCCTCCTCGCCTTCCCTCGGATTTTGGCGCTTTGGCTTCGGGCTATAAGAGCCCGCCCGTTATTGGCTTTATATAGTCCAATTAGGCAGCAAATGAGGACAAGCCTATTAGCACAAAAGGATATTGGCTCCCGCTAAAGAGGCACTCGGAGCGCTCCTGCGAGCGCAGGAGGCGAGCGAGGGACGCGGAGCAGGCGGCGCCCTTGGCCGAAGCGCACTAACGGCCGCGAGCCCGGAGACCGCGCCTGCCTCTCCCCCCTGCGGCGCAGGGACCCGCTTCCCGCCGCCAGGCCTGCGGGAGGGGGGAGGGGCGGACCAGGCCCTCCCGGGTCACCTCGGGGTTATCTGCGCTCGCAGCTGCCGCTCCCCCGCCCCCTGGGGCTGGACAGGGGCCCGCCGCCCCCACGCAGCTGGAGAGCCACGCAGCGCCGGCCCAAGAGGCAGGACGTGACCTCGGCCCTCGGAGAACTCATCATTTTCCTACCCTTTGGGGTCCGGCGACCTCGGTATTTTTCCTAAAGCCTGCTAGGAAGGGCGAGGCCAAGAAGAGAGGGATTTGGGTTCCCCACCCACCATCCAGCCGATAGTAAGGGAATCCAGGTGTAAGTCCTCGCACTGCGTCTTCGGACTCAGAAATCCGCGTGGCCTTGGCCTTTAGCCCTGGAAAACCGAAGAGTGAGCCTTCCCCCGGGACCAGGAGTGGGTGTGCCTGTGTGCGTATGCGCGCTGACCCGGCCAAAACCCGCGCGTCACTCGGTGGGGCTGCTGGGGCAACAGCTTCTCGGCACCGACGGCTGCTCTCGGAAGGGCACCCCTCTGCTCTGGCCGCCGGTGCCCAAGGCTCGCGGATCAACTCCGAGTCTGTGACCCCGACGACAGCACTTTCTCCCAGGAAGTCTCTCCGGCCAGCTGGCGTTTGGAGCTGTCTAACTAACGCTTTAATGGGGGCAAGGTGAACCGAAGGCGCAGCGGCGTAGCTTCCTCCGCCGCGGCAAGCAGCGGCATCCGCTGCGCGTCTCGACGGCAGCGAAGTCCTTAGAGAACCACACTGGACCTTTGCAGAACGGCTTAGTGAAAGGACATTCCACTCCACTGGCTTTAAAAACAGCTCCCCGGTTCGCACGAGAAGCCCATGAGGCAGACATTTAAGACTCATGATTTAAGCATCAAGTAAATCAGAATTGTTTGTGAGGTCCCCTCCCGAGAGACAGCTTTCTTATCAGAGAAAGGTGACAAACTGGCCTCACCCTCTTCCACCCTGGTGAAGCTCCCGCACACGAGGGCTTTTTGGGATCCCTTCACCTCCCCACCGCTTTCTTTTTCGTTAGATTGAGCCTCGCCTAATTCAAGGCCGCCCTGCATTGGCAGACGTGATCGTGTGGGGTCCCCACTTGAGAGGTAGATTTTGTTTTTCGGTCCTGGGGCGTCAGACCCTCCCCCACCAAATCTCGACGGGCATATGTAATGTTTCTTTCTGCATTCATCTACAGCAGCGAACCCCATTTTTGCTTTGGAAATCTGGAAACGTAAATGGCGCTTCCATAAACAATTACTGTTATTACTCCCTTGAGTTTACACAGGGCTTTACTGGAATGCAAAACGCTACGCCATCCAAAATCTGGGTTGGAACGGATCACTGCCCTGAGACCCCAGCAGGGTGGGTCTCATACTTGGATTTTGTAAGTGGAAACCCGCGCCCAGAGAGGAGGAAACTGGGCCTAGGTCGCCCAATCGCTGCTGGATACCCAGAGGTCATTTTCCCCCAACCGCAGAAATAGCTCGATGCACGTAGGTCTATGAGGGTTGGGTGGGCACCGCCTGCACACAGCCTGCCACGCGGCCGAGTATGCGTGGAGAGACCCCGGCGTGTATGCCTGTGTGTTTTGGGAGCTTCGCCATTCAGCGCAGACGCATGCAAACTTGGCTAGAGTTCTGACGCACGAAAGTCGACTTTAAACTGGGAATGCTGAGGGTTCAGTCTGGGGAGGGGGACTCGTGGCTGATCACAACTCCAGCGCTAGACTCAGATGGGGAGGGGACAGGCCCAGTGTGGCGGGAGAAGAGTCCGGGACAGCCGCCCGCATCCCTGCTGTGCGGCTACCGGATCCCGGCTTTCCGGTTGTCGCCCCAAGTTCTCCGGTTGACTCCCCTCCCAGGGGCGCGCAGGGGCGCTGTTATGTGCTTGTGTTTGGCCCGGGAGAGGAGCTTCTCCAGTGTCAGCACTCTCAGCCCATCCTCTCAGTTTTAGGGATTGCTGGGCTTGAAAAGCGGGATGTATTGAGTAGATCTTTCCCTTCCCCTTCGAGAAAGCTGGTGGGAGTCGGGTCTGGGCGCGGACTCAGCCCTTTACTCGCCGTCTGGCGAGAGGTGTTGCCAGCGTTCTTGCGCTCACGACTCCATTCAAAGTCAGGCAGACAGCGCCCTCTATGGGACAGCCTCTGAACCAAGCCTGCAGGTTCCGCTGGAGAAACCGCTGTCCCGGCGCAGGACGTTTAAAAGCCATTGAGGTCTCGCCCTTCGCCGCCGCAGTTAGAAAACAAAAGCATTTTTTCTCTGGATCCCGGGAGAAGAAGTGGGTGAAATCGCCTTCAGATCTCTGCTGATCTCTACCTGGCCACGACAGGAAGTGGTCTCGCCTGCCTGTCATCCTCCTTCCCGCTTTTCCTGCCTGTTTTAGGGCCCATTCTGTGGTCCCCGTCTCGTTCTATCCTTTAGGTGCCGGTCCTAACCTCAGGCTAGGTGTTCTCCAGGAAGGACTCGGGGAGGGAAGGAGGGAACGGGCCTGCCTCATTCGTCTTCCCAGGACTCAGCGCCGCCGGCCGATCAGCGGACGAAACGCTTGTGCTCAGGAAATGCTTGTGCTCAGGAAACGCTTGTATTAATGCCTGAATGCCTGAGTGAGACGAATGAATGAATGGATGAATGAATGAATGGATTCACAGTTCCCTTACAGAGAATTGGCCCACTTGATTAGGGACCTTCAGATAGCCTGATCATACCCAAAAGCTGTTTTTAAAGAGTTTAATGAAATCTGAGATCTTTTGATGCTGCATTTTACAAAACCTAAAGGAGCCCAAGGAATAGGACCTTTGGGGGACCTTTCCCAGGCTAATCTCAGGCAGATGGGCTGTGAGAGCGGGTCTCTACACCACCCACCCTTGGGACAAGGAGCCAAGAGGGCAGAAGGGGACTGGAGAATGCCAGTGATTAACACCCAACTTTTACACAAAAGCATGAGGCCTGATACAGGAGTGCTTGGCATGGCATTCTCACCTGCCCCAGGCCCACCACACACACAAAGCACATACACGTTTGTGCACACACACAAGTCAGTAAGCAAGGCGCTTCCCAAAGGAGGGGAGCTTTCCATATTTTTCAGTACTTCATCTAAGAGAAGGCTGCTTCCTTCCCTCCATAGCCATACTACGGTCCTTCTCCTTGGAGCAGCTTCCTGGCACAGCCCACCTCCTTATCCATGGACGGGGTGGGGACTGCTTAGGCTTCTAGCCAAAGCTGCAAAACTCCCAGGCTGGAGGCCCCCACAATTAACATAGAGGGTTTGCCCTGGTCCTGATGGCCTCATTTTACCACCCACCTCTTCTGACCTGCAGGTCCTTGCTTTGAAGGCAGAATGGACAAAAGCCTGGAATTGTGATCCTGGGGAAACTGTGCTACCTACACATGCTACACAAGCTCTTTACTGGGACTTTCCTGGAAAGTTCTCTCCCATCTTTCTCGATGCCACCAGGAATGCTGCCAATGATGTCTCCCTCTGACTAAATACTGACCCTTAGAAAATACACAGCCCTGGGAGACAGGTCACAGCCAAGCTGTGCCTGATCACATATGTTTCCTGCATCACATACAATGTCCTTAGAGTGACTGAATGTCTTACCCTTTCATGACAGTGAGGGTAACAGTTATGTGGAGGTAATGTCGGCTCACGGTCATTGAATCCTTATTAGAAGCCAGGCACTATAACTTGGTGAGGTAGGTACTATTATTCTTTCTGATTGATAGATGAGGAAACTGAGGTCCCAAGTATGACAAGGAAGAGCTGGAGAGAGTACTAAAACATTTAGCCTCATAGGGTTGTTACAAGGACAGGGCTGGCCTACAGTAAGTGCTATGTAAGTCCTAGCTATTGTGCTGTTATTCCTCATTCATTCATTCTTCAAGATGAACCCACAGGCCAAAGTCTGTTCTTGCAGTGTTGCCTTGAGAAAGCTAACACAGTTCTGCAATGGAGAGATGCCCCAAGAGTTGCTTCCTTGCTTCAAGGAGGCCTTACTCTTCTATCCAGAAATGAGCCAGCTCTCTCCCACGTCCTCGTTTCTCTTCCTGGTTCCCTTGTCTTCTTTGAAAGTTCTTCTTACAGTGAGGCACAGTGGCTCACATCCATAATCCCAGCACTTTGGGAAGCTGAGGTGGGAGGGCCTCACTTGAGACTAGGAGTTTGAGACCAACCTGAACAACACAGTGAGACCCTGTCTCTACAAAACATTTTTGAAAAAGTCTTTCTCCCCAAACCAAGAATCTTTCAAGTGTAATTATTTGCAGGTTGCTCTCTATCCTCAGAGTTCTCATTAGGGGAGAAGAAGTATAATTTACAATGCAATAAAATCCACAATTTTGAGAATACAACCTCATAAACTTTGACAAATATATACCCCTGAGTAATTATCAACTGTATTTCCCCACCCTGAAAGTTTTCTCCTGGCCCTTTGCAATCAATTCCCCCAAACCCCACCCTAAGAGACCACTGTTGACTTTTAGAATTAAGACGAGTTATTCTGGTTCTAGAAGTTCAATTAAATAACCACGTCCAGTATGTACTCTTTCTGAGTCTGCTTCTTTGAGTCAATGAATCTGTGTGATTCATTTGTTTTGTTGTGCAGGGTATTTTTAGCAGAAGAGTGGCATATCTGCCTTACATTTAAGTCAACTTTAGATTCATCAAGTTCCAATGGGATTCTCAACCTAAAGAAATTCCACATCCCATGAATGGAGGAAGAAAATGTGGTCTATCCATACAATGGAAAATTGTTCATCAATACAAAGGAATCCAGCACTGATACATGCTGCAATGTGGATGAGCCTTTGAAAGATGCCAAAGTAAAAGACCACATATTGTTTGACTCCATTTAAATGAAATGTCCAGAGGAGGCTACTTCATAGAGACAGAAAGGAAATAAGCGATTAGCAGATGCTAGGGGGATGAGGGGAATGAAGAGTGACTGCAAATGTGTATGGGGTTTCTTTTTGGGGGTGATGAAAATGTTTTAAAATTGGTTGTGATGATGGTTGTCCAACTCCATGACTGTACTAAAACTTTCAGTGAGTAGGTTGTATAATACATTAGTGCTGTCTCAGTCAAGTGGTTATGAAAATATTCACCTCCCAGCCACCATGCATAGGTACAAGCTTTCCAATGCCTCTTGTCTTGAGAGCCCGATGGAGCTGGTCCAGTGACCCAGCTGGGGCTCCCCCAACCTTCCCTGCATAGTTCCTCTTTCTGCTGGTGGCTGGGCAGGGGGTGAGGGATGCAAGGATCATTGGCTCAGCCTCCTGTGTATGAGAAACTCTCTCCCCACAGAATAGGGGGAAGCCTAGCCCATGTAGCCTTCAGTGAGGTCATGCAAGCCACATCAGAGCTGAGTACCTCGATAGCGAAGCCTGTCCCCATGGCCCACATTGGGCTGTTATCCAGGATGTCTCTCTTCTAGCTCTGATGCAATTTGATTCTGTGCTTCTTCCCTCAGTGACTGAGGAATGACCCATTCTCCCTGAGTCATCACTTCTGCCACACGAATGTGGCACAATCAGAACAATCAAAGGTCATGTCATATAAGCCAAGATGACTCCTAAGGACAACTGGGAGAGGAGTGGCTGAAGCTTCCTCCCAACAATGCCTGAGCAGCCCTGAAGAGTCATCTCATTTATTCACTTAGTTAGCAACATGCCTGGGCAGACATTGTGCCAGGCTCTGGGGGTATAAGACTAAATCAGTCACAACTTCTGTTCTTGGGGTGCTCATAGCCTAGAAATGAAAACTGAAAAGGGAGTGAATAATGGCAATGCAATGTGAGAGGCAAAGTACCTCTAGCACATTTAGGCACAAAGTGATTTGGGATCACAGAGAAGGAAACAACTAATTCAGTCTGGTGGTTTAGTGTAATCAGTGGAGGCTTCCTGGAGGAGGTGATCAACCAGGGTCTTGATGAGTGTGTTATCAGGTAGGGAAGGGAGAAGAACAAAGAGGCTGAGGAAATGTCAGAATGTAGCCATAGAGTTTGTGCTGGGGAGGGTGCACAGATTGCTGGAGATGGGGAACAGAGCTGGGCCAAAGAGACTGCTTCCCTTGAATTCCTGCATCAGCGATTGTGGGCCCTTGAATTCCTGCATCAAAATCAATAGGTCTTTCCACAAAGACCATCATATCATATTGTGGCAGCAGTAAGGAGAGCATGGGCTCAGGAATCTGCAATTTTGCTAGATGTAGTAAGCTGATTTCTAGCACCATCCCTGTATCACTTTCCTACGGTTGCCTTAACTAAGTGCCACAATCTGGAGGGCTTAAAACAATGGAAATCTATTGTTTCACAATTCTGGAGGCCAAATGTCCAAACTCAAGGAGTCAGTAAGGCCATGCTCTCTCTGAGTTTCCAAAGAAGAATTTGTTCTAGGGAAGGATACCTCTCTCCTAGCTTCTGGTAGGACAAGGTCCAAATAAGGTCAGTTTACAGATACTGGGAGTTAGGACTTCAGCATATCTTTTTGGAGGACACAATTCAACACCTGCCCACAGTGATCCCCACCTCTGAGCATTCATGTGCTTGTGTAATTCTCTCCCCCTGAATACAGGCTGGACCTAGTAACTTGATTGTAACCAACAGAATACAATAAAGGTGATGGAATGTCACTTCCATGACTGGGTTACAAGATTGTAACTTCTGTGCATTAGCTGACTCTCTCTATTCCCTTCTCAGTTTGCATGCTTTCATGAACCAAGGGTGGCCTCATACCAACAGCCAGTGATAAACTGACTTCCTAAGTTAAACAGCCTGTGAGAAACTCGGTGTTGCCAATAACCGCTTTGTGAGTTTGAAAGTGGATCTTTCTCCAATCAAGCCTTCAGTTGAGAACACAGCCCCTGGGACAACACTTTGATTGGAGCCTTGCAATAGACCATGAATCTGAGGCTCCTGTCCCACAGAAACTGTGAGATAATAAATATGTATGTCTTAAGCCACTAAGTTTTGGAGTAATTTGTTAAACAGTAGTCAATAACTAATAGAACAGTTCTCTAGGTATTTCTTATGCCTACCAGGGTCTGAAGACCTAAGCAATGGGGAGCCATAGAAAGATTTGCCACAGGAAGGCAAGAGGACCCGATCAGATTATGTTCTAGGAAGACCATTTAAATAGAGTGAAGGATTTGTCAGAGCAGGGAGGACCAGGAGGCTAGGAGGCTTGTTAGGAGGTGGTTAATGAGGACCTCAACTACCAGCAATTTTTAACAAATTGAATGCTCCCATAAAACCAGCACCCAGATTAAGAAACCAAACATACCAGAATCCGAGAAGGCCTCCTTGTGTTCCCATCCAATCATCCTTGCCCCCATCTGCAACAAGAATAATCACAATTCGTGGATTAGTTTTGCCTGCATTTGAACTTTATTTTAAAAGATTTTATTATTTTTTTTTAGATACAGTCTTGCTCTGTCACCTAAGCTGGAGTGCAGTGGCACAATCTCAGCTCACTGCAACTTCTGCCTCCCAAGTTCAAGTGATTCTTGTGCCTCAGTGTCCCAAGTAGCTGGGATTACAGGCATGCACCACTATTTCCAGCTATTTTTTTGTGGGTGTATTTTTAATAGAGACAGGGTTTCACTATGTTTTCTAGGCTGGTCTCAAACTCCTGGTCTCAAGTGATCCACCCCGCCTTGGCCTCCCAAAGTGCTGGGATTACAGGTGTGAACCATCATGCCCGGTCCATTTGAACTTTATATAAATAGAATCATATGTAGTTTTCTATCTTTTGTGTCTGGCTTCTTTTGCTCAAGAATATGTTAGTGAGATGTAGTCATTTTGTTTCAGGTAATTTAATTTTTTTCATTGCTATTTTGTATTGCATTGGGTGAATACAACAAAATGTATTTACTCATTTTGCTTTTGATAGACTTATTGGCGGTTTCCAGTGTGGGGCAGTTATACATACAACTGATAGATATATATTTTCTAACAAACATATGTGTGCATTTCTGTTCAGCATCTCTAGGAGTAGAATTATGGACCATAGGATATATTTCTGTTCCCTTCTACACACAGGGGAAAAACCAGGTGACAGAGATTCATATGACAACAGGAAGCAAGGAGCTGTGTAGGGTGAAAGCTGAGCATCCCACAGGGGATCCTGGTGTACCTAGAACTGCTCAGGTCACCCCTGATGTGCCTCATGTAAGTGTCAGGCATATACTTTGAAAAGCACTTTCTCACTCAGTCTCCCACATCTTCCTCCTGACTCTGTGGTCAGGGGTCTCTATTATTCCCTTTCAGAAAACAAAACAAAAACAAATACTAAGGCCCAGGGATACTAAGCAACTTGCTATCATCTCCTTCATCCAGTTTGCCAAGCCTTTACCCTCCCTGACAACTTGGCTCAAATCCATTGATTAGAAATTGGTACCAGGCCCTTAGCTGCGGAGAGGCTGCCAGATTGTGCTGAGATCTTCATACAGGGTTCAGTTTTTCCGAGATGTCATGAAAGAAAATTCTTTCCTCCTGGTGTGGGTTCTAATGGACTTGCCAGGGAATAGGAATTGGGTTGGAAAGTGGGAAGCAGTTACTGAATAAATGCTTTAGAATCAGACAGAGCTTGCTTTAGATTCCAACTCTGCCACTTACAGGTTATATGAATTTTAGCAAGCTGTTCACTTCTGTTAAGTCTCAGGCCCCTTGTCTAAATGACAGGCCACTTGTCGGGGGAGTTGTGAGGCTGAAATGAGGTCGTGTGTGCAGAATGCCCAGCATGGAATCTGTCGCCTAATAAATGCTCAGTAAATGGCAACTGTCAAAACGTTAAGGCTGGACAGAGGGCAGGAGGGCAGCGACAGTGTGTCTCAGCCAGTGTAGGCTGCTATAACAAAAATACCAGAGACTGAGTGACTTAAACAGCAAACATTGATTTCTCCCAGTTCTGGAAGCTGGAAGTCTGAGATCAGGGTGCCTGCATGGTTGGGTTCTTGGTGAGGGCTGTCTTCCTGGTTTGCAGATGGCCACCTTCTTGTTGCAACTTGATATGGTGAAGAGAGAGATATAATCACTCAGTATCTCTTCTTAGAGGGACACAGATCTCATTCCTGAGGGCTCCACTTTCATGACCAAGTCACCTCCCAAAGGCCCCACCTCCTCATACCATCATATTGGAGATTACATTTCAACATATGAATTTTGGGAGAGGGGACACAGATATTCAGTCCCTAACACAGGGGAAGTGCTTGAAGGCTGAATATGGGTCAGTCCTGCTCATCACTGGCCACCTGTGTGGCTTGGCTGACTCCTTTGCCTCTGAAGAGCTCAATTTTCCTTGTTTCCTCATCCATAAAGTGAAATGCTGCAGTAGATAGATCCAGCCTGAAAGTGCTATGATTCTGTAGTGTGCTTTTCTCATTTCCTGTAGAAACTCCTGTAGATTGGACAGAATTGAAAGAGGACAGCATTCTCATACTCACAGTTCATAACTGACCTTCGATAAGGCTGGTCTTCTCAGGAATGGCAGCACGGACGATGTCACTTCAACACAAGAGTTTGCCCCAATTTTCTCCGTAAATGGGAGGCCCAAGAGCAACTCTAGCCCTGCAGATCTGTCCCTGAAAGACATAAATGTTTTCTAAAACTGTGAAAGGATTGTAATGACCAATCAGATAAACTGATTATCTTTAAATGCACAGGATGCTGTGATCTGCGTGGTTTGCATGTTGATCCCACCAGGGGTGTGCGTTGTTTGTCTGGAATATGGGGTGACTAGAGTGCTAAAAATAGAATCTAATTTGGAAAACATGTACAGGCACCCACCATGTGTTAAAACCCTGTAAGGGGGCAAGAATTCAATTGAGATATAGTCTCTGCTCTCTGGGACTTTACTATCTAGGGCAGGATCCAGACAGAGGCTACAGAAAGCTAAAAAGTCAAGTCAGAACAGGATAAGTGCTATCACAGAGATATGGTGTAGGTCTCTAAGATGGAGCTTTCAATAAGCACAGATGGGAGAGAGAGGAGAGTGTATTCCAGGCAGCAGGCAGAGGGGGCAGCATGTTTGGAGACACAGAGACTTGCAAATGCACAATGGGGTTGGCCCTCTCCTATACTTGGAGCACAGTCTGTGTGAGAGATGGGACAGTGAGAATGGAAGTTGTCTCCAAGTCATGAGAATCCTAATACCAGGCTAGGGAGCTGGGATATTCTTGTGGCAATGGGGAGCCAGAGAAGATGTGGAAGTAAGGGGACTGCAGGATCAAAGCTGTAGTTCATGAAGATAAATCTGCCATGGAGTGAGGCTGGATGGGAGCAGGGAGAGTCTGGTGACTGGGAGACCAGGCAGGAGTTTATGGCTACAGTTCAGAGCAGAGTGCATGAGGATATGAGCCAGGGAAATGGCCCTGAGAATGGAAGAGGAAACTGGATCGGAGGGTCACTGAGAAGGCAGAGTCACAGGACTAGTGACTAATTAGCCATGGGAGTCAGGGAGAGGGAGGAGTTGAAGGTGCTTGAGATAAGAACATTCAGGAGGAGGGTCGTAAATTGCCAATTTGGACTTGAATGGACATTTCTCCAAAGAAAGATGTGCAAATGCCAACGGATGTATGAAAAGAAGCTCAATGTCATTCATCATCAGGGAAATGCACATGAAAACCACAACGAGATAGCCCCTCACACCTGTTAGAATGGCTATTCTCAAGGAAAACAAAGGACAAGTGCTGGCCAGGATATGGAGAAATGAGAGCCCTATGCACTGTTGGTGGGAACACAAAAATAGTGCAGCCATCACAGAAAAACAATATGGAAGCTCCTCAAAAGACTAAAAGTAGAACTACCTACGATCCAACAATGCCACTTCTGGGTATTTATCCAAAAGAATTGAAATTAGGATTTTGAAGAGATATTAGGACTTTCATGTTCATTGCAGCACTATTCTCAATAGCCAAGATACGTTAACAACCTAAATATCCATTAATAGATGAATGGATAAACGAAACATGGTAGATACTGCAAATATTACTCAGCCTTAAAAAGGAAGGAAATTCTGACACATGCTACAAAATGGATGAACCCGGAGGACATTATGCTGAGTGAAATAAGCCAGTCACAGAAGGCCAATACTGCATTGTTCCACTTATATGAGGTATCCAGAATAGTCAAATGCACAGAAGCAAAGAGTGAAATAGAGGCCAGGCACGGTGGCTCATGCCGTGAGTAATCTAAGCACTTTGGGAGGCCAAGGTGGGCGGATGACCTGATGTCAGGAGTTCGAGACCAGCCTGGCCAATATGGTGAAACCCTGTCTCTACTAAAAATACAAAAATTAGCCGGGCGTGGTGGCGCGTGCCTGTAGTACCAGCTACTTGGGGAGGCTGAGGCAGGAGAATTGCTTGAACCTGGGAGGCAGAGGTTGCAGTGAGCCGAGATCACGCTGCTGCATTCTAGCCTGGGTGACAGAGCGAGATTACATCTCAAAAAATAAAAATAAATAAAAGAGTAAAATGGCGTTCCCTATTTTATTTTTCCAGGGGCTGGGGTTAGGGTCTAATGGGAAGTTGCTAATCAATGGGCCTAAGATTTCAGTTAAGCAAGATCAATTCTAGAGACCTGCTGTACAACATCATGCCTATAGTTATCAATACTGTATTGTGCACTTAAAATTTTGTTAAGAGAGTAGGTCTCATACTAAGTGTTCTTACCCCAATCAAATAGAATTTAAAATAAATAAATACATAATGTCTACACTTCTAAAAACAATATCAATCTCAAGATGCACCATCAATTCAATTACAGCTTTTCAGGTAAAAGAAAAAAAAGAAATCACTACAATAAATGCATATATTAGGTGTAGTTCATATCCCATTTTTAGAAATGGTAAATATAAAAGCACATATATCTTAGAACTAAGAAAACACAATAGTTTGGGGAACATAAGAGGAAAACTTGGTTTGAATATGTGACAGGTTAAATAGCTATTCAAAACAGCCACACACACATCCCCCCTCTCCCCGCCCCGTGGGAGGATTGCACCTCCCACTCCATTGATATGAAGCTTGGCCCTGGACTTGCTTTGGTCTAATAATGGGCAATTGTACCTGACCAATCCTGACTTCAGGCTTGGCCACCTGATCTGCTTAGGTCAATGAGATGGTGGCAGGCATGTTGCAAGTAGAGGCTTGACATGTACTTGTATGATGGACCTTGCCCTTCTGTGCCATAGTGATGAAGAGAATTTCCCTGGGGTAGCTGCTGTCATTTTAGGATGGGCCTCAGACTAAACAGAACTAAGCCCAATCCTTGGTGAGGAGCCAAGGCCAGTTGGACACTCAGCCTGAAGCAGAACTGAGCTTAGATCAGCCAGCTCACGAGAGTAGTTATAAATGGTTGTTACTTTAAGCCACTGAGTTTGAGATGGTTTGTTACACTGCACGAGCTGATTGATACAGAGGGTAATCATGATGAATCTGGTTTTAAATATGTGGAATAGAGAATAATCAGATTAAGAGAAAATAATAGTATAGGATGGACAGTAGTTTATCTGGAATATTTTTGGCCTGACCCATTCTAGATTAATAATATTTCTGAAGTTTCAAGCATAATGCTGAACAAATGACCTGCTGGTGTGTTTATATATATATGTGTGCATATAAATTATAATTTCAAAACTCTAATGCAGGTATTTTCTGTTAAAACATATAAATGTCCTAAAACTGTAGTGATTTGTGATGTTTCTGTGTCCAGCTCTACCTGGTCCCTATTTTGTCAACCAGGTCACTATCACATCACCACTTGGTGTTCCACTGTCACTATGAGTCAACCCTGGGCACACACTCTAAAATGAAAATGTATCAAGTAGTTTCTGAGTGCCAGGCTCTAGCATATCCCCTGGGAGACAGATGGACAGGACAGAGGGTCCTGATCTCCTGAGATTCGCATTCTGGTGGGGAAGACAAATTAGTAAATGAAATAAACAAGATTTCTGACTTGGAAAAAATAATGGTAATGGTATGCTGTTTCTTAAAAGGGCAATTGTAAAAATACTATACTATTGTAGAACAATTCTCTTACTTAATAATTCTAGTGTTTAGCCTCCCACATAATTTGACTTCAACTATAGATTTTATTTCCAGATTGCCAAACCTAGAGATTAAGCCTAGTGATCAGGGTAAGCCTTAAGCAAAAAAAGTGACCTTTTCCTTCATCACTCTTTCATCAAAATGTCCTGGGCATCTGTTGAGGGCAGGCGTAGTGTGAGGCACACGTTGCATGAATGCTATCTCATTCAGTACTCTCACATCTTAATCTTTCTGGAGGATTGCATCTGGGAAAGCAGAGGCTGACCAATCTGCCCAAGGAACCAAAGCTATAAGTGAAGTGGGGCACAGGGATACGAACTCCAAGTATTGCACAGCATTCTGTTTGCAAGCCACACTGCCTTCCCTCATGCCCATGGCCTCTATGCTCTCACTTCTAGCATGAATGGCTCTCAATTTGTTGAGACATCTCCTTTCCTGGGAATTGATCTTCCTTCTCCCTCTCTCTCTCATCCCCAGTAACACATGATAATGCCCACTGGCTGGAAATGTTTGGACACCTTTTACTCACCATATGCACAATGAAACAGAAAAAGTAGATCTGGAGAAAGAGAAGTAAGAAAACGTCCAGTGTAGAGGGGCTGGCTGCCCCTGAGGACTTTCTTGAACTTGGTTCTACTCACCTCCTGAGGCCTGGCTGCATTTTTGTCTTTGGACTCTGTGTGTCTTTCTATTACTAAATTTCCATTTTCTGATTAGGGTAGCTTAAGAACTTAATGTCACCTATCTGTCAATTTGGGAAGAGTTTTACTGATTCTTACTAAAGTGTATATGACTAACAACCCCCTTAGAATATTTGTAGCATGTGTGTTTTACAGCAGGAGCCTGTCGTGGTGCTAAACATTTCATGTACATTATCTGATTTTAAGCGCATGCTCTTAAACTTATGCTATACCAAGTTTGTCCAACCCGTGGCCCAGGGTGGCTTTGAATGCTGCCCAACACAAATGCATAAAATTTCTTAAAACATTACGAGATTTTTTTTTTAGCTCACCAGCTATTGCTAGTGTTAGTGTATTTTATGTGTGGCCCAAGACAATGCTTTTCCTTCCACTGTGGCCCAGAGAAGCCAAAAGATTGGACACACCTGTGCTATACCATATCCCTGGTAGACAACGCCCATAGGTATGAAGCCAAAAGCTTGGGATATTACACTTCAGCAGTTAACTGGGTTTGCAGAGTCACAAAAAATCTAGGAAGATAGAACTGGCCAAGGGCCCCCTGGTCCATCAAACCCCCACCGCTGCCTCCTTGGCTGACCTCATGCCTGTTCTATCTTTCACCAAATGTTGGTCATGACATTAGGACAAAGCCTCTACTCCCTTATGTTGCACAGATGTTTTTTGTTGTTCTTATTGTTTTTTGTTTTTGTTTTTGTTTTAGAGATAGGGTCTTGCTCTGTCACCCAGGCTGGAGTGCAGTGGTGCGATCATACTCCCTGCAACTTCAAACTGGGCTCAAGTAAATCCTCCCACCTCAGCCTCTAGAGTAGCTGAAACTACAGGCACACATCACTGCACCTGGCTAATTTTTAAAAAATGTTTGTGGAGACAGGGGTCTGGCTATGTTGCCCAGGCTGGTGTTGAACACCTGTACTCAAGTGATCCTCCCACCTCAGCCTCCTGAGTATGCACAAATGTTTTTAATCCACAAAGACAGCAGGCCAACTTGGCCATTCTGGGGGCCATGTGTGTATATGTGTGTGAGTAGGAGAGTGTGAGGAGAGGTGTCCATGGGTCATGGAGCCTCCGGAGGCAGGAGAGGCTGCAGGACATAAGTGGGGAAGGCATGTCACTTCATTTCTCTGAAGAACTATGAGGTGTGCACCGTGGCAGTGGCAATATGCCTGAGACCTGGACACTCTCCCCTTTATTCTCTAGGGATTAAGGTGAGACAAGGTGCCAGGTGGGCCTCCTTTGTCCTGGGGTGATCCCAGGCCCTCTGCGAGTCACCAGTGCTTCCACAACCTTCTCTCTTGATCCTCAGCATATCTCTGCTGAGTGGGCTGTGCTATGCATGAGGGAGGGATGTCAACGGTACGCTCTGCAGCCGAATTGCCTGGGGTTGAATCCTGTCTCTGCCACTCACCAGCTGTTTTGGTCAGTTTGGGCTGCTGAGTACCGTAGACCCTGTGGTTTGTTTCTTTCTCTCTCACAGTTCTGGAGCCTGGAAGTCTGAGATCAGGGTGCCAGGTATGTGGTGAGGTCCCTCTTCTTGGCTTACAGATGGCCATCCTCTTGTGGTGTCCTCACATGATGGCAAGAGGGCTGGCTAGCTCTCTGAGGTCCCTTTTGTAAGAGCACTGATCCCATTCATGAGCGTTCCATCTTCATGACCTAATCACCTTCCAAAGGCATCACCTCCTAATACCATCACATTGAGGGTTAGGATTTCAACACGTGAATTTTGGGAGGGACACAAAACACTCAGCCCTTGCACCGGCTGCGTGAATATGGACAAAGGGCTTAACTCCTCTGCTCCCCACCTCCTCATCTGTCAAATGGGGACAATGGAAGTAGCTTCCTCTTGGGGTTGCTGAGAGGATTAAGTGAGACAAAGTGTGGCAAGTGCCTTCATGCCAGCTTCCTGGCACACACTCCATAAGTGCCCCCTATTAGGAAGCATGGCTCAGAGGCACAGAGAAGGTTAAGAGCCTTGCCAGCGTCACTCAGCTAGAGAGTAGCTGTCCTCAGTCGGGTTCCCCCAAAGAAGGCCCTGAGGGAAGGATTGGTTTATTAAGGAAGTGCCCCCAGGAAGACTGGGAAGGGGCAGGGGTCACGGGGCAGGGAGGGAAGGGAAGCCAACCTGTCTAACCCCTGACCACAGCTTTGCAGTTGAGGGGATTCATCGTGATCCTCCCGGGAGCCCTGATGGACGAGTCATGCCTCAGGGTTGTCCCTTTCAGAGGCAAGGGCGCTGGACCTTTCATGTTCCTGCTCCCAGGCAGTCTGTGGTCAAGGTCACCCTGGGGAACATGAGCTCCCAGGCTCCTCTGGCTCTCTGGTCATAGGGGAAAATGGCTTCAGTCGTCCTCCAAAACAGTCACAGCTGCTTGCCATGGGAAGCCGAAGTGCCTGAAGCAAGCAGTGCCGGGGTGCAGAGGTGGAATGGAATGAGCAGGATTCAGGGGATCTGGGTAGGCACAGGCCTGTCCTATTCAGTGTGAAAGCAGGGCCCCACCTACCGTTTCTGGATTTAAGTTCTCTTCACACCTGGCCCCTTCATCCCTTAAATGGCCTAATCCGGCAAGACAGGCATGCACACAAACAGACACAGTCCTCACGTGTTAGCCCTTTTGGGGCTATCAGCAGGTTTTTCTCCTTTTGATGGCAATATTGAAAGAAGGGAGGCCACCCCACTCTGAGGACAAAAGAAGGCCCTCTCTTCAATCTGCTTCTTGTCTTTGGAAATTTGTGGCAACCATTTCAGTTTAAACATATGACAATTAAATCGTTAAGGGTTCTGATGCCGAATTAATTACCCAGTAGAAAAGGGATCAATTGTGTAAATATATCATTTATGTAATGAGTCCTGGCTGTGATTTAGATGTCCAGATTGGTTTTTCTTCCAGCTTCTGTCCTGAAAACAAGTCTAGCCTTTGAGCCAGGGCCAAACAAACAGCCTCTATTAGGTCTGAATCCAGGGCATTAAGTGGCCCAAATAGACAGGTGGGGGCAGGTGATACAGGGGGCTGAGATTGTGGAAAAATTGGAGCAATTTGCCAAAATGAGCCAAGTTCCTCCTATTATTCTTCCTGTCTCTGCGAAAATTACTCTTCAGAAACAGGGAGTGGAAGTTAAACATCCCCTTAAATGACACTTCAGGCACGGCCCATTTCACCCCCGCCTCCACCCTCCTCCACTCCCCTCCACCAGACACTGTAGTCGAATGACAGCCTTTCCTGAAAAAGGAGCCTCCGTTAGGTTCCAGGAGGCAGCCTCGGCCCCCAAACATTTAGCGTTCTTGGGATCATGGTTTCGGCCGTCCAGCTTGGGGCCTGCCTGCCAGCTCGGGCGGGTGGCCGACTTGCTGCAGTGCTGCTCCCAGTCCAGGCACTGGGTGGCGGCTCTGGTGGTGAAGCAGTCACTGACTTCGAATGTCCCGATCCATCCAACACTCCGTTTGGGGCGTGCTTCCGGTGTTCCCGCATAGGTCCCTCCCCTGGCTCCCCAGGCTCCCCAGGCTCAGAGCTCCACCTCTCCCCCTACCCTCACCGCACTGGGTTTATTCATCTCTCATGGCACCGAACACACAGCCAGTGTCCCCAGGACCCGCACAGAGCCCCGCACACAGAGAACCCTCCACCCTATTTGTGGAATGCATCAGGGAGCTTGGAATGGAGAGAAGGGCTGCTATGCTCCACCTCCCAGCCAGGTGCTGGGACCCCCAGGGAGCCTCACTTCTCTGACATGCACCCCACCCCCTGCATTCTTGGCCTTTCTTGGGATGAATCTGAGGCAGAAAGTGAGCTCACTTGAGCTCTAGCCCTGGCTTGCACCTTGGTGGGGTGGCGGTGGGGTCGTGCAACGCTTTTGCCTCCCGAGACTCATCTCAATAACAAGATGATGATTAGAAGAAGATCCCTGCCAGCCCAGCTCCTCCTCGGTGGGCTGCATCCAAGATTCCTGTCCTGGGGGCGGGGAAAAAGGTGCAAAGCTCATGCTCTATTTTAGGGGGTGAAACCTGGGACATAAGTGGGCTGAGGATGCCTTTGCCTTGAAGAAAATGAAATTGGGTGGGGGAGGTAATTATGCATCAAATGCCATGTATTTGTCAGGAATTCATTGTTTAATTGATGTTTTATTGCTCCAACTGACACGTGATCGAAATGAAATTGCATCTATAGAGAAGGGAATGAAATTTATTTCGGCTTGTATCTTAATGGGGGGATTAAAGCATCAATTCAACAATGAAGATGACGTATATTTGATGTATAACCTGAAGAAGGAATATTACTCCCTAAACTGTTATTTTTCAATTTACAGTAATGGAGCACCTGGTAATAAGGCAAGAGACACAGTTCACACATTTTTCATTATTTAAAAATAGCAAAAAAAAATCATTATTAAATAATAGAAGAAAACTTCACTTTTAATAGTATAGTATAAGCATTGTACCCGAAAGTGCTCTGGCAAGTTACCTAGCTAATAAATAACAGCTACAGTGCAGAGGAGTGGGAAGAATTCTGGGGGAAAAGATATGTCTTTTCCTGATCTTTAAAATTCGATGAAGGCTGGGCGCGGTGGCTCACGCCTGTAATCCCAGCACTTTGGGAGGCTGAGGTGGGCAGATCACGAGGTCAGGAGATCGAGACCATCCTGGCTAACATGGTGAAACCCCGTCTCTACTAAAAATACAAAAAATTAGCCGGGTGTGGTGGCGGGCGCCTGTAGTCTCAGCTACTCGGGAGGCTGAGGCAGGAGAATGGTGTGAACCCAGGAGGCGGAGCTTGCAGTGAGCCAAGATCGCACCACCGCACTCCAGCCTGGGCGACAGAACGAGACTCCGTCTCAAAAAAAAAAAAAAAAAAATTCGATGTAAAGGGACTCAGGAAGTCAAACTCGTAAAAGAAGCTGCTAACTGAGCCAGGCTCTGTGCTGGATCTGACTCCCTTGAACTCTAAACCCTGCAATAATCATGTTTTACAAAGAGGGAAACTGAGGCTCAGAGGCCTTGCCTGAGGTCACACAGCAATCATGGAGTTGACCCCAGGTCAGCCTGACTACAAGGGCCATCTCTTTCCTTTCTGACAGCAGATATTTAACAGAGAGGGAGGAAAATAAGAGACAATATTCACCCAAAGCAGGGAAGATTTCTCCAATGCAGGGACTAAGGTGAGATGGGAAGAAGTTTACGTAAGAGCAAAGGCCAATGGAAGGCAGTGGAGAGGGAAGGCATGAGAACCACAGGGAAGCACACAGAAAGTTCCAAAAAGGGGAGGTCAGTGTAGACATAGAGCTGACTTCTGTGTCTTTCACAAAGGTTGACTTCAGTTCAGAAGTTACTTTATGTAGAAGAAATCATGGTCAGTTAAGCCTGTACCTACTTTGTGAAAGAAACAGATTTTGTAAATCGAGAGTCTGCATAGCAAGTCCAGAAATTCTGCATTTATTTCTATTATCAAATTGGAAGTTTAGAATTTTTCAGAAAAAATTATGGTCTTCATATGCAACCAAAATATGCCTACAAATACAGAAAAACCATTGGAAAAATTTCTTGCCACAAATAAGACAAATAGTTAATATCCTTAATATATAAAAAGCAAGGGCAGGCACAGTGGCTCATGCCTATAATCCCAGCACTTTGGGAGGCCAAGGCAAGGGGATCACCCGAGGTCAGGAGTTTGAGACAAGCCTGGCCAACATGGTGAAACCCCATCTCTACTAAAAATATAAAAAATTAGCCGGCATGGTGGCACATGTCTGTAATCTCAGCTACTCGGGAGGCTGAAGCAGGAGAATCACTTGATCCGAGGAGGTGGAGGTTGCAGTGAGCAAAGATCACACCATTGCACTCCAGCCTGGGCAACAAGAGTGAAACTCTGTCTAAAAGATATATATAGATATATAGATATATAGATATATAGATATACACACACACACACATATATATTGCATATGTAGGGCTAGGCATGGTGGCTCGCATCTGTAATCCCAACACTTTGGAAGGCCAAGGTGGGAGCACTGCTTGAGGCCAGGAGTTTGAGACCAGCCTGGACAACATAGCGAGTCCCCATTTTAGCTGAGTGGGTGCACACCTGTAGTCCTAGCTACTTAGAAGGCTGAGGTGGGAGGATTGCTTGAGCCCAAGAGTTTGAGGCTGCAGTAAGCTATGAATGCACCATTGTACTCCAGGCTGGGTGACAGAGTGAGACTTTGTCTCCAAAATAAATACATAAATAAACATTTATGAGCCATTACAAAAATATTTAACAGGTGTAGAAGTCTAGGCAAAGAATATAAGGAGCAAGTCACAGAAATAATGAGCAGATCATAATCTTTATGAATTTAATAAATGCATATTAAAACATCAGTGAAATACCTGTCTGTTATTAAATTAGCGAAGCCAAGAAAAGAAGCTAATGCTTAATGCTGGTGAGGATGAAAAGTAAATGATATATTTACACCTCACCATTGGGAATAAATCAGTGTAAGTTTTCCAGAAAATAATTTGGCAGTATGGATCAAGAGCTCTTAAATTCAAACATCTTGAGCCAGGAGTTTCCCTTTAGAATACAGTATATCCTAAAAAAAAATAGCTGGATTCTTAACACACGCTCATACCTACCGATACACAGACATACATTCTATTATTACTTGTAATACAATAAAATGTAAATAAGCAAATGGTTAAATAAATCGTGGTATAGCCAAACAGTGGAATAGAATGTTACATAAGCCATCAAAATTGTTTTTTTTTTTTGTTTGTTTGTTTACTTACAAAACTGGTTTTTGAAGTCTGCTTAATGACAAGGAAAAGTTCTCACACAGTTTAAAAAAAAATACTGTGTCAATGTGTGTTTGACAGAGACAGAGAAGGGGTGTGTGTGTGTGTGTGTGTGTGTGTGTGTGTGTGTGTGTGTGTTGCGGGAGGGGACAGGGAACCTGAAAAATATAATAAGACTTTCGGTTTTGTTTTTTAATAATGAGATAATGGGTAATTTTATTTTAGTCTTAGTACTTTGTATAATTTTCCAATTCTCTGCAATAAGCAAGTATTTTTATAATCAGAAAAAAATGTTCTTTTTTTAAAAAAGCAAAGTACATTTGAAATAAAGCATTTAAAGGAAAGTATTTGAGGATAAAGTATGGATGCTATTTGTAATAAAATCACAAAATGAACACAGAAGATCTAGTGTGGGCTTCTGCTAAGCATCAATTTGCTTTGAAATCTAAGGACAAAATGATGGTAGTTTGAACAAATAACAGTAGATTGGAAAGTCACTTAATGGTGAAGCTGATGGTTAAGAATTTTTTTTTTTTTTTTTTTTTGAGATGGAGTTTTGCTCTTCTTGCCCAGGCTGGAGTGCAAAGGTGTGATTTCGGCTCACTGCAACCTCCACCTCCCAGGTTCAAGTGATTCTCCTGCCTCAGCCTCCCGAGTAGCTGGGATTACAGGCATGCGCCATCATGACTGGCTAATTTTGTATTTTTAGTAGAGACAGGGTTTCACCATGTTAGCCAGGCTGGTCTCGAACTCCTGAACTCAGGTGATTCACCTGCCTTGGCCTCCCAAAGTGCTGGGATTACAGGTGTGAGCCACCACGCCCGGCCAAAGAATAAATTAAACTGGTTGTTTGAGGACAAGATCAGCCAGCTCAGTCAAAGAGCGTGGATGTGTATTCCCGAAGACTCCATCTGAGGACACTTACCAGTGTGCGTTCATATGAGTACAGTGTATTTATTATTATGGTGGTCCCTAGCTAGGTGCACAATGCGATTTAGAATGTAGCTCTTTTAAATTTTATTTTAAAATAGGGTCTCGCTCTGTCGCCCAGGCTGGCGTGCAGTGGTGCAATCACAGCTCACTGCAGTCTCTACCTCCCTGGCTCAGGCAATCCTCCCACCTCAGCCTCCCAAGACTACTGGGACTACAGGCAAAGCCACCACACCCAGCTAATTTTTGTATTTTCTGTAGAGACCAGGTCTCACAATATTGCCCAGACTGGTCTCAAACTTCTGGGCTCAAGTAATCCTCCCGCCTTGGCCTCCCAAAATGCTGGATTACACTGTGCCCAGCGCTCTTTTTTAAGCTGGCAACCTGGTGGTCTCTTATTTAGTAAGTTGATGTGGGTGGAGGCTTTGGCTTTGATAGAAAGAGGAGTAAGATTTTTTTTGCTTTATTTTGTTTTTGTTCAACTAGAAGGAGAGATGAGAGGAGAAGAGACACAGAATGGCATGGTGTTTGCCCCATTCTTCCCAACCCCATGGACTGGCTTGGAGCCTGATACGGAGAGAGACGGAGGCCAGAATGAGGAGCTGTTTCACACAGAATTTGAGAGACTCTGGGCCCAGGCAGCATGGCTGTGGGACTCAGGCGTACTGGGGAAGGAGGCCAGTCTTGCACCTCTTTACAGAGTTGACTCAAGCACCCCCTGGCTTAGACTCTAGAATATTCGTGGTGGGTCTCGACAGCAGTGGCAGTGGAATTAGGCCAAAATAAATTCTTTGGAAAGACATGGGGCCATTCAAGAAGAGAGAGGACAGCTGGAGAACTGGCTCAGAAAAAAGCAGGAACCAAGGCTGTCCAGACAGCAGCAGGCACAGAGTGCCACCAGACAGGCTTGCCAGTTAGGACATGGCTGCTGTGGGTGCCACTAACACAGGACCTCACCAGCACGGCCACCAGCCTCTGCAGCCTCTGCTGGGAACAACACCAACTGTCCCGCATCTCTGCACCTCTCTCCCAAGGTGCAAAGTCTCTGCTGGGAGCATCTGATAGGTCAAGCCTAGGTGACATGCCTCATCCCAGCCACCAGTGATGGGAAGATAGCGGATTTGCCACACTTCAGCTTCCTCTGCCTCCACCTCCAGGATCCACGCAATGGTGTGATTCCCCTGTATCTCATGTCAGGTGGCCCAAACATGGTAAATGTCCCCTCGAAACCCCTGGGTGTTGTGAAGAAAGTTAAGTGAGAACATGCATATGAAGTGCTTGGCACACAGTGTGAGGTGGCACACAGGGGGGCTGGCACACAGGGGGGGCTCATTAAGTCTGCTGTGATCATTGTTACAACATTTGTTATTATTTTAATAATTATTGTAGATGAGACCTAGATTTGACCAACTGGATAATCTTACCAGGATCTCTGACTCCTGGGAGAATGATTAAGTTTGGTGCAAAAGCAGTGGAAGAAGGCGCTATTTTAGTGGAATTCTAAAGCGACAGCTTTTGCATAGAAAACATTCCATTGGGGGGAGGGATAACCAACAAGATCGAATCAATAAATATCTAATCAATAACCAGCCTAGTAACTATGTGCACTGTGCTCCGCAGAATAGGTGAGTGAAAGTGTTTGGATCCTCAGATTAATTGGGAAGAAGAGATCTTTGGGGCAGAGGCTGTTGGATGCCTCTTCCAGCACCCTCTTTCCTCTTCCCTGTAACAGACTCCAATTTTTAGGAGGGCACATTGCTGCCTGGAATAAAGAACTATATATCCCAGCCTTCCTTGCAGCTAGGATTGTCAAGCTCTTTGATTTTAGCCAACCAGGTACAAGTGGAGGTGTTGAAAGCGCCTCTGGAAAGTCTGCTATAGGATTTCTGTTCCGTGAAGCCAAAATTCATGCTACCCAGCACAACCTTAGTATCTTCATCTCTATTTAATGCAAGGTGAAGCTGGGGCTCAGAGGGATGAAGCAGCCAGTCCAAGAAATTGCTAGGCTGATGCAGTCAGGTCCTCTAACCTTGAGAATCGTGCTACTTTTCAATATAACCGCCCCATCCTGCATTTTAAAGAAGCAACATTATTGAGTATAATTTCCATGCCATAAAATGTACCAATTTTAAGTACATAGTGCAATGTTTTGTCAAATGCATATACCCTTGTAACCACCACCACAATCAAGATAAAGAGCATTTCCTGGTCCCTAGAAAGTTCCTGCTTCATTGCAATCTCCCTCTCTCTCCCAGCCTCAGGCAACCGCTGACCCGTTTTCTGCCACTATAGATTAGTTTGGCCCGTCCTAGAATTTCATTTAAATGGACTCATTTGATGTCTGCTCTGTTGTGTCTGGCTTCTTTAGCTCAGCAGAATGTTTTTGGAGTGATCTAAATTGTTGCTGGTATTAGTGGTTCACTCCTTTTTTTTGCAGTCTAGTATGCCTTTGTATGGATGTGCCACTATTTGTTCACCTGTTCATCTGTTGATGCACCCTTGGTTTGTTCTCAGTTTAGGATGACTATTCACATTTTTGTGCAAGTCTTTGTGTAGACATTTGCTTTCATTTCTCTTGACTAATACATAGCAGTGGAATTGCTGGGTCATAGAGTAGGGTTGTATCAGTCCATTCTCACACTGCTATGAAGAAACACCCAAGACTGGGTAATTTATAAAGGAAAGAGGTTTAATTGACTCACAGTTCCGTGGGGCTGGGGAGGCCTCAGGAAACTTACCATTATGGTGGAAGGGGAAGCAAACACGGGGAAGGTTTTATAAGGGAAAGCCCCTTATAAAACGATCAGAGAACTTACTGACTATCAAAAGAACGCATGGGAGAAACCGCCCCGTGTTCAATTACCTCCCACTGGGTCCCTCCCACCACATGTGGAGATGACCGCAACTACAATTCAGATGAGAATTGGGTGGGGACACAGCCAAACCATATCAACGGTTGTGTTTAAATTTATAAGAAACTGCCAAACCGTTTTTGAAAGCATTTCACAGTATTTTGTCTTTTAAAAAACTGAATTTGAGAATCTGAGTTTTAAACAAAGAAATCTGGAAATGTCTGGTTTATTTAGGTGAGGTTCACCCTAGGCCCTCCTGGGTGACATGCCTTTGGGCCATATACTCCCTTAGATCCCAAAGATCAGATCCGAAATCCTTGTTCAGCCTCTAAGTACTTTCATGAGGTTGAACAGGTTGCTTAATCTCAATGAGAACTAGCTTCTTCTATAACATGGAAGATAACAATAGCAATACCTACCTCACCTGGCTGTTGTTAGGATTAAGTGAGATACCATTTGCAGAAATGGATGGCATATCGTCGTTGCTTGCTACCTGGATATTAGCTTTATGATGAGGGGATTTTGCTGGAGAATAAGGCATCTTTTGTGCTCTACAGTTGAAGGGCTATCTATCATCAGGTTTTATAAGTTGTAGAAATAAGTCCTTTCAAATGGATTTGCTTCAACAGTTCATATTAGAATTGTTGACACTTCTTGGTGTCCTCATAGTCTAGAAGGCTATGTGTAACTCAGCAGGTGGGAAGGCTGTTGACAACATTAATTGTTTCATAAATAGTGTCAAGATGAGACTTTTTTCCCCCCTTTGGCTTAAGCCAAGTTACTGAAAAACCAATACTGTGCCATATGTTTATACTTTCCTTGGCACATAAACCAGATATTTTACAGATAGGGATGGGTAATAAAAGGCAAGTACTCACTCAAGTCACATGTTTTGATTCACCATCAAAGAAAAACAGCCATAACCATCCCAATTCCACTGAAATTGTATCAGAATTAGTTGTAAATCTCAAACATAGGAGATAGCACCTTAAGTAGAAATGGCTACAGAACTAAGAAAACTCCCCTTTCTAGGTGGCTGACACATCAAGGAAAACTCTGAATATGTGCTCCATTTTCTCACTGGTTGCTGGTATAGCAAATAAGTTAGGCAGATACATTTGGCATTAGGAAGGCTCACCAAAGGATTGTCATCATTACTAATGGCAAATCTGGTGACCCATTAGAATTCTTAAAAGTTGAATTGTGACAAGTAGGTGGCTCCCAAGGAGGCCCGGCCTCCTGATGACCTGCGGTTATTTTCCATCACAGAGGAATTGCATCATGTATAAGGTCAACATAAGTACATGCCGCAAGAGACAGACAGTGAGGGAAATTGGTTCTGTCTGAGTGTATGCCCTGGGGTGAGGGTGGGACCCAGGACCTGATCCTGTTCTTCCCTCCGAAGTATTGTTTCTGGGGCCCTCTCTGAGTGTGAGAATCACACCGAAGTTGAATGTGACTCTCGGATTTCAAGTTTTGTCTTCTTCCTACCACCCGGCCCCTAAATGTCAGCTATTTCATGATGGTGCTCTGCTCCCCTGCCCAAGGAAATCCTCTACACCTGAGCTGGGCCTGCTGGGAGATGACATGCCAGTGTTCTACGTGGCAAATAAACATGGCAGGGATCTGCACTTGAGGCTGATTTAAAGAAATTTCCAGAGTGATTTTGTCACTTTGCACCACACTCATTCCTGGCGGTTACCGCGCTCTTCTGCCCTCACTAATTTGCAGGTCCAGCTCAAATCTGGCCTTGGCTGGAGCCTCCCCAATGGACACAGATCCCCTTCTTGCCTCCATCTCCTCTAGCTGCAACTAGGGCCCAGCTCTGTATTTGGGTAATGTTATGTTTCTAGAAAGTAGGCATTGGGCCTGGAAATGACCCTCGCAGATGATTACTCAGCTGCTTCCCTTAGCAATGAGACTCGTCTTCACAAACAGATACACAGAACCACAACCCATGAAACAGACCAGAGAGCTGCCCCAGGGAAGCTGGGCTGTGGGTGAAGTTTGTAACAAACTCACCATTTTGCTGATGAGAAAACATGCTGGCAGCTTCACATTTCTGATGCCTGTAAGCAGAACACGATACAATTGCAAGCATTTATTTTTTTCTGGAAGAAATTACCAGAAACTGTTGACAGTGATTCCTTCTGTGGGATGGGGTGGAGAAGTGAGTGGCTTTTCAAAAAAAATCCTGGTGGGGCCTTGGCTGAAGCCTGTAATCCCAGCACTTTGGGAGGCCAGGACAGGCAGATCACCTGAAGTCAGGAGTTTGAGACCAGCCTGGCCAACATGGTGAAACCCCTGTCTCTACTAAAAATACAAAAATTAGCCAGGTGTGGTGGCGGGAACCTGTAATCCCAACTACTCAGGAGGCTGAGGCAGGATAATTACTTGAACCTAGGAGGCAGATGTTGCAATGAGATAAGATGGAGCCACTACACTCCAGTCTGGGTGACAGAGCAAGACTCCATCTCAATAAAAAAATTAATAATTTTTAAAAATATCCTTTTATGTAAGAGGCAGTAGGGCATAGTTGTTCCACTAGAGGCGGGGTTCAAATCCCAGCACTGCCCCTTCTGACCTGGGTGATCTCGGCCATGTTGAGTTTCCCTGTGCATCCGTGTTCTTATCCATAAAGCCAGGGTAATAACTTTGTCTGTCTTACACAATTTTTGTATACTTAAAACCATAGTGAGTGCTCTATAAATATTAGCTACTTCTCTCTCTCTTCTTGAACTTTCTAAGTGTACTTCCTCCATTTATTTAAAGAAGGTCAATATGTATTATCTGTGTATATTAGTCCATTTTCGCACTGCTATAAAGATACTACCTGAGACTGGGTAATTTATAAAGGAAAGAGGTTTAATTGACTCACAGTTCCCCATGGCTGGGGAGGCCTCAGGAAACTTACAATCATGGCAGAGAGGGAAGCAAGCACTTCTTACATGGCGGGAAGGGGGAGGGGAAAGCAAAGAGGGGAAGAGCCACTTATAAAATCATCAGATCTTGTGAGAACTCACTATCATGAGAACAGCATGAGGGAAACTGCGCCCATGATCTGATCACCTCCCTCCCTTGACGCATAGTGGTTACAATTTGAGATGAGATTTGGGTGGGGACACAGAGCCAAACCAAATCACTGTGCAATAAGATTATCTAATTTTCTTCCTTATGATGTTCTCTATTTATAAAATCCTAATAAGCATTTAAAAAACAAAAGAGGCCAGGCACAGTGGCTCACATCTGTAATCCCAGCAGTTTGGGAGGTCGAGGCAGAAGGATTGAGGCCAGGAGTTCAAGACCACCCTGACCAATATAGTGAGACCCTATGTCTAAGAAGTAAGAAAGTAAAACAATTTTCTAAAATTAAAAAACAAAAGATAATTGCCCCAATGTTTGTATAAGAGACACCCATATGAGTAGGTGAACTGGGGAAGGGGGAAGGTCAAGCACCCCTATTTTCTGGGGTCACTTACACAGAAACCAAACAGAAGGCTAATGGACCCAGGCTGGGTCGTGTGTCTTGGTGCCCCATTTTGGCTGGGTCTCTGCTGCTCTCATTGGCTGCTCAGGAGATGGGCTGGCTGTGTGAAGTATCTCTGGGGGTCATTAGTCTGGAAAGGATTCATTCTGGAAGAAACCAGGCTCTCTGCCACCCTGGCTCTGACAAGACTGCTGAAGCTTTTTTTTTTTTTTAACTTACATTTTAATTAGGAAAGTCACCCTTTGGTGAAAATGGCAAAATTCTTGTACTTAAGAATCAATAAAATGTGCACAGTCTAAAATGAGATTAATAATGGCCAACCTGTCTATTTTGGGTGTAATTATTTATTCATCAAAGAAAACCAGCTGCTTAAAACCATAGTCCATCATGAACGCATAAGACACTTCCACTTCAGTTCTGTTGTTAAAATTCCCTTCTATTGCTCCGTCTGGTGTTAAATATAAAAAGCAGGAAGGTTCATTCTCTACCTGCATACATTTTAAATAAGAATTTCAACATTATCTTGTCCATTTAAAATAATTGTATGAAAATGTGAAGAAATATGATCTTGTAAAAGCTGCAGTCTGACGCACCCAGGGAGTGAGCAAGAAAGAGCAAAGCCGCTATTATTTAAAATTCATGGAGACTGTGGTAAGATTGATCGTAAGAAGCTCCTTTCCAGGACAGTCCTGGAGCCTCGAGGTGAGAGGCTGACACAGGACTGGGGGATCAACCAGGGCCCCAGACCCAGGACGGACCAGGGGAGGGGCCACCCACTGCCCTGGCCTAGATGGAGACAGGACAGAGAGCCACTGGTTGCTCGGGATTTTTACACTGCGTTGGTCCCCATCAGGCCTGCTTTGGGACAAGAGGAAGGGATCAGTGTCTCTATGTGGGGTTTGGGCAAGTCTGAGCCTCCAAGTTGCGTCCTATAGACAGTGACACAATGGAGGCTGGGGTTGTGGAGCAGAGAGCTCAGGACTGACTGAGAAGAGAAGAGAGAGGACGTAACTTCTCCCTGCTTCGGACTTTAGCTGGCGTTTGAATAATTACCATCCCATTGCTGTGATCCCTAGCTCCCAGAGGGTAACAGTAACTGGGCATCACAAAATATTTCCCCTCCCCTGTGTCTACACCTCCTGACTGGTCCCTGCAATAGAGAGGTCTTGGACTGAGCCTACAGAATTGGGTTCAATTCTGCTGTTTTCTTTCTGTGTGTTTTCTTTCTTTCAGTTTCCTGTTGCTATTCTAAACAAAGTACCACAAATTTAGGGGCTTAAAACAACACAATTGCATTATGTTACAGTTTAGCAGGTTAGAAGTCCAAAGTGGGTCTCACTGGGTTAAGATCAAGGTGTTGGCAGGGCTGAGCTTCTAGAAGCTCTAGGGAACACTCCGTGTCTTTGCCTTTTCCAGCTACCAGAGGCTGCTCACACTCCTTGCCTCACAGTGTCCATCCTGCATCTTCAAAGCCAGCAAGAAGGGTCGAGTATTTTTCACATCAATCACAAACTCTGCTGCCTCTCTCTTTCTCCTATAAAAACTCTTGTCGGCCGGGCGCGGTGGCTCACGCCTGTAATCCCAGTACTTCGGGAGGCCGAGATGGGCGGATCACGAGGTCAGGAGATCGAGACCATCTTGGCTAAAACGGTGAAACCCCATTTCTACTAAAAATACAAAAAATTAGCCGGGCGTGTTGACGGGCGCCTGTAGTCCCAGCTACTCGGGAGGCTGAGGCAGGAGAATGGTGTGAACCCAGGAGAGGCGGAGCTTGCAGTGAGCTGAGATGGCGCCACTGCACTCCAGCCTGGGGGACACAGAGAGACTCTGTCTCAAAAAAAACAAAAAAACAAAAAAAACTCTTGTCATCACAAGGGTTATCCAGGACAATCTCCCTGTCTTAACATACCTAACTTAGTCACGTGCGCAAAGTCCCTTTTGCCATGGAAGTAACATATTCACCACTTTAGAGGATTAGTGTGTGAACATTTTCAGAAGCCATTATTCTGCTTACACAGTTACCTTGGGCAAGTCATTTGGCCTTTGTGGGCCTCAGTTTCTTTATCCTTAAAGTGGAGCAGTACCCGCTACCTCATGGTGTTTTTATAAGGATCTCAGGAGATGGAGCAATAAACGCACTTTGTAATCTGTTAATTTCCTTAGCAAGAAAAGATAATTTTGGTGCATTTGAAGTTAAAAGGTCTTTTCTGGAAGGGTCTGGATTCTGCCAAGGATTCTGCTTCACTGAATTTAACATTTTTCCCCTCCTCAAACTAGTTTGTGTTCACAGACAGCTCTGTTCCTGCTTCATCTAGAACCTCAGACTGGAGGTAAACAGTGAATTCTAAGGAGCTCTATGTGTGCACTTGCAGTCAGGATATTTTCACACACACCCTTTGTCAGTCCCGACAGAGTGCAGGAGAAAGCTGGCTCCGTATGTGTAGAAAGCGGGAATGGTCGAAACCAGGCTCCATGGCAGTGGTTGGTGAAGCGAGCGCAAGCCCCTGCCAATGGCAAGAAGAGGCCTGTGGCGCAGTAGAAAGAGCCCTAGACTGGGGAGTCCAAGTGCTGGCTCCCCTGTTATGTGGTTGACCTTGGACAGGTCATTCCTGGGCATTGCCTCTGCTTCCCCATTGGTAACATGTGGGAGGCAGAGGTCCCCACCCCTGGCCGCTTGTTCGCACCTTCGAGATTCTGTGTGGTCAATGAAGTCCCAGTGGGGACTCAGATTCAACAGCGCCTGGCTGATTTGAGTGCAGCTTGTGGCTCAATAATCCCCAAAGACCCTCATTACTGAAGGTCCAGGAATCTGGATCTAGAACTAGACTCCAGTGCATTGACTGATTCAGGATTTCTCAAGGCATGCCCATGGACCATCTGTCTTAGAGCCACATTACAGTCACCCCGGGAGATGGGTAAGAATTTACTAAAATACAGATGCCCAGGCCCCAACTCCATCTCCAGGCTGGAGTCCAGGAATCTGCATTTGAGGAACAAGCTTCCTGGTGATCCTGATGTGCTCCCAAATTTGAGAACCAAAACTCTGACCCCAGGGTCAGCCTCATGAAAGTGGGGCTCACTGCAATTCCATTTGAGCCCTTCTGCCTTCTTCTCATGCCTCCAAGGGGCTCAGTCCCCTTGCTTCCTGGCACTCTTTCTCAGGACACTAAATCAAGCACTGGCTTTCACGACGCTGCCCAGCCTGCGTCTCCAAGGCCTTGTGCCCTCCGGTCCTACCAGGAAAGAAATCCCTGTAGAGGAAAAGAGCTCTTGGAATAAGGAGTTTCCATATGGGAGCAGGAATGAGAAGGGGCTGAGAAGGCTGGCTCAGCCCCACCTCCGTATTTCCTGCCTGCAGGTGAGTCGCCACCTGTCTCCAACATGCCCGCAGCTGCCCGGAGCTCCCCGGCCCCTCCCCATCTTTCCCTTTAAACTCTGTCATTTGTACAGCCTATTAACCTTTAACTTTATGACTACCCAAAGATGAAATACTGGCAGCATTTAAGGCTGAGAATACTCCAGACCTACCTCCTTAGTTTGCAACAAGGGTGAAGCACTTTCTCTTAAATCAGTCATTTTTAATATCAGTCACAGAGACGCTACCCAAGGAGAGTATTTTTGGCTCCATATAGCTAGCTGATTCATAATAAATGTGGCAGCACTCGTTTCTACCTCCACACCTCCCCTAGGAATAGGAGTTCTTTCCTTTAGTTCCTGGGATAAAACCCTCTAGGTATTAATAACACCACCACTTATGGAATACCTACCATGGGCTAGGTCATTTGCAAGATGTCAAATTTGCATCAAGACCCTGCTGAAATATGCATATTTACCTTCATTTTCAGATGAGGCTCAGAGTTTAAGTAGCCTGACTAAGGCCACCCAGCTATTGAATGCCCAAATTGGGATGGAATCCTAGGTCTCTTTGACTCCAAATTCGGTGCAGATAAGCCCAAATCATCTAAGAACTTTTAGGGACAGTTGCTGTTTTAAGTTGCTATGAGAGGCCAGGCGCGGTGGCTGATACCTTTAATCCCAGCACTTTGGGAGGCTGAGGCGGGTGGATCACTTGAGGTCAGGAATTTGAGACCAGCCTGGCCAACATGGTGAAACCCCATCTCCACTAAAAAAAAAAAAAAAAAAAAAAAATTAGCCAGACATGGTGGTTCATGCCTATAGTCCAGCTACTCCAGAGGCTGAGGCAGGAGAGTCGCTTGAACCTGGAAGACGGAGGTTGCCGTAAGCCAAGATCGTGCCACTGCACTCCAGCCTGGGCGACAGAGCGAGGCTCAAAAATAAATAAATAAAAATGAGAGAAGAAACCAAATTGCTATGAGAATTTCCCAGGAGTGCATCAGCCTTAGTGAGGAGATGGCCCCCAAGGGGTGGTGGAAAGTCCTTTGACCCAGGTGAGATTGAGATCCAGCTCTACCACTTGCTTGAGGATGACCAACCATCCCAGCTTGCCTGGGACTGTGCTGGTTTAAGCACTGAAATTCCCAGGCAAACAGGGACATTTGGTCAACCTGCTTACCAAAGACATGCTGCCTCTGAGCCTTGGGCTCCCAGCTGTGCAGTGGGGATGGCGCTGCCTGCCTCACAGCAGGGCATGGGGCTCCTCCCATACAATGGTTTCTGGTGGCAGCATAGGGTGTCACCAGGACGCCATGGAGACTGGTTACCAGAGAAGCTAGGGAGCCAAAGGCAGGTGTGAGGCTGGATGGGGCACTCTGAGTGAAGGCCTGGGCACCTGGGAACCAGGAGAGACCTGCTCTGAAGGGCACACACTTGACCTTGTCCCTTTGCCCTGCTTTACACTAGGGGGTCAGTCCTCCCTAGCACTGACCACCCCCCTGAGATGGATTTACATATCCTGTCTATTGTAGTGCGCCAACTAGCACATAAGCTCTGGGAGGGGAGCAGAGGGAATTTTGTCTGCTTCATTGCTGTGTTCCTGGCACCTAGCACAGCGCCTGGAACTTACGTAAGCTCTCAATACCTTTTTTGTTAAATGAATGAATGGATGCATGAATGAATTAATGGATGAAAGAACAAATGAACAAACTAGGGGGTTTTCTGTTGCTCTTGAAGAGCAGCACCAGATGGCCAGCAGACTCAAAGCTGAGTTGCTGAGGGCTGCTAAGGGTCACCCTATCCCAGATAACGGCAAGCTCACTGTGATCTGCAGCCATTACCTTGCTGCTTCCGGAACCCACTCTCCACCAATGTCACCTGCTGGCCTGGATTCTTTGTGGCGTTTTTCTCTCCCACGGAATGAAAATCTCTGAAGCTGAATCTGGGCTATGGCCTCCTCTTGGAACTAAGCAAACCTCTACCCAGCCCTGGCACTGGGTGCATGACCCGTCAGGTGGTTCTGTTTGAAGCCATGCTCTGGGGTACCTGGAATGACGTCGGGAAGTCTGCACCTGGGTAATATAGCCTGTGACAGAACGCTGTCACCTTTGGCCCCCATGCACTGTGCTGACTGTGACTTCGCCACCTGGCTGCTGCGTCCTTACTCTAACTGCAGGCAGTGGGCGGCAGCAGAAGCCTGGCTCAACAGAACTCACAGCAAATTTGGGACCTTGGCATGGGTCTAATTCATGCATTAGTCCTCACTGTGATGTCTCTAACTTTTTAACATTCATGTAAAAGTTTCTGTCTTGTTTTAGTCCCATTTTATGGTTAGTATAAGGCCAGTCTGAAAGATAATATATTGTGACTGTTATATTATTTATTTTCAAGCCAACTTATTGATTATTGCGTGCTGAAAATGACAAATGGTGTCTGCGCGCGGCACCGTCAGCAGGTTCTATTAAAGAAATGATAGTATTGCTCATGGATTGTTAAAAGGTTCAGTTTAGGTTCTTTATAGGTTTATATCCATCACTATTTAATGACCAAATGATGAAAAATATGAGCTGTGGGGACAATTTTTTTCTTCTGGAGTTTTATGTTTAAGCAGTTAGCAAAATAAGATACTCCATTTTGGTGGGGGCATGGGGAAGTGGCAAGGGGATTGCAGTAAGACTTTATTTCCCCAGATTTAATAAATTGTAATAATTAATGTTGTAGATATTTAACCAAGAGGATGATGCTGATAAAGCACTGTGCCGCCAGGCTGAGAGATAAGCCACAATATTCTGGCATCCAGGGTTCTTGCTGGTGAGGGTCCCGGTGGTTTCAACACGAGATCATAGCCATCTGCTTCTTGTGGCTTTGGGGGTGGAGGTCTGGTGCTCATGCCAGGGCCAGGAGGCAAATGACAGGCATCATGGGAAACGGTCTTCCTTGTTGGATAGAAAGGGCCTGGTCAAAACTTCCTGGCCTGGTGGGAAGTAGAGAGGGACAGCAGGCTCTGCACATAAGATTGACTGTTTCGAGTCTGCAAAGCCACAGGCCCTCAAAGCAACCCAAGGGAGGAAGGCTGGTCCCCAGGCACTTTCCACGGGGCTCAGGGAGGCTGTTGGAGATGAGTGGGCATCCCAGAGCCCCAAAGCTCAGCCTTGCACTCAATATGCTGAACCAAGAAAAGCACAAAAGCCTCAGACTGTATGGTGGTGATCTGGGGATGCCCACCAGCCTGCCATTGTCCCAGACCACCTAGGTGAACTCCTCAAGGTGCTGCAGTGAGAGAGGGCTGGAGCAGGCTGGGCAGAGATGACCTGCAGGAGAATGAGTGGAGAGGGCTCTTTCTCTCTCGAGGGGCTTTCACAGAACTACTCCCAGAAGGCCCTGGAGACCTACTCTCAGGACATGCCTCAGCGGTCAAGTCTTTCCAGACAGGTCACACATCAAGATTGTGAGGGTCTCTGCCCTCTGTCCCAGTGATGGTGGGGAACAAAGCCTTGACTTCCCTCCCTTAACTGCTACCCCACCATCCACCCGAACTGCTCTGCACTATTTACATGAATGTGAAATCAGCTTGTTTGTTGGGGCCATGACTCATTTTTGGGTCTGTTAGTTTATCTCAACTAATACCCAGAAGTATGTGGTCCAGTTCTGTGGGAGAATGCCTGTATTCATTGCAATTCTTTCAGAAATGCAACTCAAACCAGCTCGGGAATAAAAGGAATTTGCTGCCCAGGTAATAGGTAGGATTCTGATGGGTTGGTCTCAGCCACAGGTGGATCCAGGAAGAAGGTCTCCCCTACCCACTGCCCACCCAGTTTCGTGCTCTGGGGTCAGCTTTTCTCTCTACGTTGTCAAGAGCCAATCCCCACCCACTCCCAGCACCAGCCGAAAACTAATGACCTGTGATTGGCCCAGCTTGGGTCAAGTAGCCACTTCCTCACCCAATCATAGTGGCCAAGCAGATGGGGCCCGCTGATTGGCCAGCCACTCCCCTCTGGCTGTGGGAAGAGAAGGGGTCTGAGCAGCCAAAATCAATGGCCCCACACAGCAGTTGTCCCTTAACTGATTTATTCTAAACTTTTTGAGTTTTGTTGAGGTAGGAAGTATTTTGCTAACAGATCATTTGGCTTTTCCCCTGGCAGTGGAGTAAAGTATCACGTGAGAAGGAGGCCTGTCCTGAAGCTTTGTTTTTTTTTTGTTTTGTTTTTTTTTTGTTTTTTTTTTTTTTGAGACGGAGTTTCGCTCTGTCGCCCAGGCTGGAGTGCAGTGGCGCGATCTCGACTCACTGCAAGCTCCGCCTCCCGGGTTCACGCCATTCTCCTGCCTCAGCCTCCTGTGTAGCTGGGACTACAGGCACGCGCCACCATGCCCGGCTAATTTTTGTATTTTTAGTAGAGACGGGGTTTCACCGTGTTAGCCAGGATGGTCTCGATCTCCTGACCTCGTGATCCGCCCGTCTCGGCCTCCCAAAGTGCTGGGATTACAGGCGTGAGCCACCGCGCCCGGCCTGTCCTGAAGCTTTGTGTGTGTGTGTGTGTGTTTTGTTTGTTTGTTTTGGTTTTTTTTGTTGTTTTTTTTTTGTGAGACGGAGTTTCGCTCTTGTTGCCCAGGCTGGAAGCTGGAGTGCAGTGGCTCAATCTCGGCTCACTTCAACCTCTGCCTCCCCGGTTCAAGTGATTCTCCTGTCTCAGCCTCCTGAGTAGCTGGGATTACAGGCATGTGCCACCACATCTGGTGAATTTTTGTATTTTCAGTAGAGACGGGGTTTCACCATTTTGGCCAGGCTGGTCTCGAACTCCTGACCTCAAGTGATCCTCCCGCCTCAGCCTCCCAAAGTTTTGGGATTACAGGTGTGAGCCACTGTGCCTGGCCTTGTCATGAGGCTCTTAGCTGTGCAACCAGGGACAAGGCCTTCATCCTCTCTGATCTGCTCTGTCCTCGGCTATTTGTTCAGTGGGGCTGTTCACATCATCCAGGGAAGTATCAGGGTCACGTTAGAAAGTATGTGTGGGAGGGCGTGGCATGCTGTGAAGAGAGGCACAGGTAAATGGGTCATTTCCGGGCACCACCCCTGCAAGGTTCACCACCAGGGGCTGCCTTGCCACATCCCTCTCCCTGAGAAAGGCTACCATGCCCCTCTGCCAGGGCCCCTGCCATGTGACAGTGGGTCAGATGTCTTGCTCCTCCAGAGTGGCAATGATCTTAGCATCCTTCACCGGCACAGCCTTGCCGAGCCCAGGGAGACGCATGAAGACGTGAAGGACTCCAAGGTAGAGGGCTCAGGCCGACAGAAAGGTTGGCTGTTTCAGCTCCACCCCTGGGACTCCTGCACTTACACTCTGCGCAGCCACTTTTGCCCCCATAGCTCTGTGCCTGGTAGTCAGTTGTTCATGCTCTCTGAGCCTCAGTTTCCTGAACAGCAAAATGGGCATAGTAATTCCTCCCTCACAGGGTCGGAATTATTGTGAAAATTAAGTGAAATGTTAGATATGAAAGCACCTATCGCATTGCCTAGCACGTATTGGGTGCCAAATAAATATATGTTTCCTTTTGTCAAAAGCGTACATAAGTGTAAACAGAACAGGCAGGCTTACTTGTTTGCATTTTGATTACACTTATTCCAAAATTGCTTTCTCAGTGGAGCATAAAGAGTCGATATTAGTAATTCATACGTTGGTATGAAACTCTGCCCTCTTCTCTATTGTCACCTAAAAAAATGCCAACATTACAGGGAGACCCTCAGTCCTTTTCCCTGTTGTGTTCATTTCCTCAGGCTGCCATAGCAAATTACCATAAACGGGGCGACTTAAACAACAGAAATTTATTCTCTTCCAGTTCAGGAGGCCAGAATTCTGAAATCAGAGTGTCAGCAGGGTTGGTCCCTTCTGGAGGCTCCAAGGGGGAGTCTGTGCCCTGCCTCTGTCCTGGTTTCTGGGGATTGCTGGCAATCCTTGGCGTCCCTGGGCTTGCAGCTGCATCCCTCCAGTCTGACTGGATGGCTCCACAGCCTTCTTTCCTCCATGTATCTGTGTATCTTCTCCCCTGCATACAAGAACACCAGTGATTAGATTGAGGGCCTGCCCTACTCCAATATGACTTCATCTTAACCAGTTACATCTGCAGAGACCCAATGTTTAAAAAAAGCCCAATTCTGGGGTTCTGGTGGCCATGAAATTTGGAGGGACACTATCCAACCCACTATCCCTGTCATTGGTGGGAGAGGAAGGGATCACAAAGTAGGGCACAGAAAGACAGAAGTGGAGGGTCCTGGGGAGTGCAGGAAAGCTTTACTGGCTTCACAGTTTTTTTTCCAGGTCCATTTAAAAAATGACTGCCCCAAGAGACACTCTTGTCCTCTGAAAAACAATGTGTTCCTCCTTAAGAATACACCCAGTGTCTGCCTCCTAGGTGTGGCTGTCCAAGGAAGGAGAATGAACAGGAGAACTTCCCTTACTTCCTCCTTGTTCCCATGCCCCTTCCTCCACCTCCCACAGCCATTCTCCTGACATCTTAAACACTATCGGTAGCAAATCGGAGCCCTCTTAAGGATGGCTTTATTGCCAGGAGCAAAGCTCACTCAGACTTAGCTTCAATAACGAGGGATTTATTAAACAGAGAAATCCACCAAGCCTGCTGGGTTAAGAGTCTGATTGTCCTCATGATGGCCAGAAACCAGGAAGCCAAGGCTCTCTGCATTCCTGGGGCCCCGTGGCCGCTCATTTCCACCTCTCTAAACCCAACTTGGTCATTCTTTGCTCTGCCAACACCCCGAATGTCTCTGCTTTCTATGCATCTGAGGGAAAGAAATCCTACATCACCTCTAGGCTGACAATGTCCCAATTCCAGATACCTACAACAGAGATTCTGATTGGTCCACGCCAGCCAATAGAGAGGCGCCCACTGGGTCAGGCATTCACCCAAAGTCCGGTCAGCAGCGAAAGAGCACCTGCTAACTGTGTAAACAGCACGAAGGCAGCTGCAGGGGTGTCCCCATGAAGGCATGGATGGGCAGTTCTCCTGGAGAGGGATGAAGCAGTAGAGCACCCTAGAGAGCCTCAACAAGGACCTTAAAATAGATCCCTCACCTCACACAGAGACCTAGGGAGGAGACCTTACACGTGATGGGCTATCCTGCGGCTCCTTTCTTTTTCCGCCAAAACTCCGTGGGTCTCACCTTTTTCTCAGAACAGCCAGGTCCAGCCTTTAGCCAGTTACTTGACAATGAATCCAAAATGGGAAGGCTGACTTTCTGTATATGTTTGTAGACATTATTTCCCTATCCATCTATTTATTCTCAATGATGTACTACTTTCTGTGGCAGAAGCAGGTGTGTTATAAACAGTAGATCGGTCTGCATGTGATTATCTGCAAGGCTGAACTAAAAGTCACTGTCACGAGTTTTGAGTCTCGCCCATATGTGAGGGCAGCCAGTTCCCCCTCATCTCCACTAGGCTGGAAGAGACTGAGGACCTTGGCTGCATGTCCAAGTGTAACACTCTCAAAGAGCCAAGAGAGGGAGGAGCTGGCAATGGCCCTAAGCTTCCTCACCTCACACACAGGTCACGTTGGGGAATGGTGGCTGTGCTCCCAGTGGCTCTGGGACTGCCGGGTCTCTGAAACACAGAGCCAATGGCAATGCCACAGCAGTCCACCTAATAGCATCAATGGTGAAGAGATGCTATCAGGCCAGCCCTGCAGAGGGTTGGCTGGTCTTCGTGATCCATGTGGGGCGTCCCTACTGTTTCAGTTAACCCACAAATTGTCTCATTTCTACTAGATTTTATGGGTTACTGGAAACCCCAAGTGGACCTTTGTGGTCCAATATTTAGGTGCCATCTATAATTAACTCCTTTGCTTACATCACTGGCAGCCCCTTTCTAGGCTCTTTGTTTTGTTTCATTTTGGTTTGTTTTCTGAGACAGGATCTCACTCTGTTGCCGAGGCTGAAGTACAGTGGTGCAATCACGGCTCACTGCAGCCTTGATTTCCTGGGCCCAAGCCATCCTCTCACTTCAGCCTCTTGTGTATCGGGGACTACAGGGGTGTGCAACCACACCCAGATAATTTTTTTTTCTTTTTCAGATGGAGTTTTGCTCTTGTTGCCCAAGCTGGAGTGCAATGGTGCGATCTCGGCTCACTGCAACCTCCACCTCCTGGGTTCAAGCGATTCTCCTGCCTCAGTCTCCTGAGTAGCTGGGATTACAGGTGGGCTCCACCACACCCGGCTAATTTTTTGTATTTTTAGTAGAAATGGGGTTTCACCATGTTAGCCAGGCTGGTCTCGAACTCCTGACCTCAGATGATCTGCCCGCCTCGGCCTCCCAAAGTGCTGGGATTACAGGCATGAGCCACCACGCCTGGCCACAATTTTTTAATTTTTTGTAAAGATGGACCCTCAGTATGTTGCTCAGGCTGATCTCGAATTTCTGGGTTCAAGTGATCCTCCTGCCTTGGCCTCCCTAAGTGCTGGGATTACAGTTGTGAACCACTGCACCAGGCCCTTTTCTAGGGTCATTAATAAGAACATTGCTGTGTTTCTAGGGCTTTTTTCCTCAATGCACGTCGTCCTTGATAACTGCAAAACTCAGGATAAGTTCTGACTTCTAGCTTTGGCTCTTCTGCTTACTGTGTGACCCTCGGCAAGTCAACCAACCTTTCTGAGCCTCCTTTTCTATATTTGTAGAGTGTAACTGGCTTGAAGTTACGTGGTGTGTGGGGTCTGTTTCAGTTCTAACACTCTAACATTAGCGTTATGCAGATTCTCATACTTGGATTTTCTTGGAAACTTTTTTTTTCTGTAATTCAATGGAACAAAATGCAAATTTCTTGGAACTATTAACTAGAAATAGCAACTCCTTGGGAGAAGGTACCATTGGGCTGCTGGCAGAGGGGGGTGTGGGGACACCGAGGACTGTCATTCTCTTTTGTAACATGGAACAGCGGCAGAGCTGGTAGAAAGCGTTGGGCTTGCCCCTTGGTATCAACCTCAGAGATCCTGATTCTGCAGGTTTGAGGTGGGGCCTGTGTTTCCTGGAAAACATTCATGAGCAATTGGGACCAAGCTCTGACAGAATGTATTCTGAGCATTCCAGCCGGTGGGGACTTGGAAGCATGGTGAAAGGTCAAACCCCAAAGTAGTGCTTGTGGCAAGAGGAGCCACACACTGTTCCCCAGCCCGGCACTGGGTTTGGGTTGGGAGCCAGACCCCAGCCCCTCCCTGATGGGCTTGTAGAGCCCAGGGCTCTATCTCTGTGGCCTGTGTTCCTGCTTCCTAACGACTCTACCCCCAAGCACATAAAGTCAAATTGCAGGGCATGGAGAATCTTCCTCACTGTTTCCTCCCAGGGAAAGCTGACGTCTCTGCTCCCCTCTTCCTTTGACCTGACTGCCTTTCTACCCTTCTCTTGGCAAGTGGCTGCCCATCCCCCAGTGCCCGACCCAAACTTGGCCTCCTCTGTGAAGCTTTTCATAGCAGCCTCAGCAGAAGGAACCATGGCCTGGTCCTCCAGGCCCTCTGTTTGCCCCATGATTACGGGGCTTGCCTTGCTGCCCCCAGCACTTAATTTTGTGTCTGTCTGTCTCATTTGTTTACAAGGTCTTCAAGAGCAGCTGCTTTGTAGCCTTCTGGGCTTTGTAACCTTTCTTACCTTTGTGACTTTCTGGGCTGAGGTAAATGCTCAACAAATATGGGAGGGAGGGAGAAAGATAAGAAGGAGAGAGGAAGAGAAAGAGAGGGAGGGAAGGAGGGAGGAAGAGAAAGAGAACAGGGAGGGGAGAAGGAAAGGAAGGAAGGAGGGAGGGAGAAAAATAAGGAAAGAAGAACTGACTTTAAGTAGATACTGAACAAGGAGTTCAGTGTAGAGAGGGCAAGAACTTGGTTGTCAGCAGACCTGCACTTAAGCCCTGGCTGTAGCTGCATGATCTCGAGGAACGGCTGTGCCCTTTCCGAGCCTCGGTGTTTCATCTTTAACAGAAAGCATGATGTACTCTTTGCAAAGCTGCAGGTGGATTCGTGAGCATGGCGTGGCAGTTGTTCTGATTGCTGCTTGTGAAGGACGTGGGAACGGTGGAGAGTGCTCAGAGCTGGGGCGCTGGCATGTGAGGAGAGTTACACCCCTGCTGAATGCAAGCCATGGGGGGAACTGCTGAGGTCTGGCTCAGAGCCAATCATGGTGCATTTGGACTCAGCTGGGAGATTCTTTCTAAGAATTGGATCTTTCCCCTCAAAGAACAAGTTGCCAGGGAAGGCAGGGAGCACATTGAGTCTGCATGTGTGTGAGGAGAGGCCAAGATTGGGGCTTAAGCCTGAATTTAACTTGAACTTGCTTCTCCCCAAAGTATATTCTGTCACCAAAAGATCAGATCCAGAGAGAAGTGTCCAGCCTACTGGACATCTCTAGCTCAATTCTTTCCACTCCACCAGAAAAGGCCCAGGCTCTCCCCGTGTCAGAGGTTCAGGACCATGGTGCTGGACAGGGTCGGGTGCTGGACAGGGTCGGGCCCAAGAGACCTCCATTACAAGAGACTCCCTGGTCGACATTCATGGAGAGGCTGAGCCTGAGGCATCATGGGGATCAAGGCCAGCAAAGACCAGGAGCACAGCAAGACACAATCCCCTTCCACCATCTTCCTTCTCAATGGAGAGGAGGAGGAGGACAGCTGGGGACAGGGAGGAGGAAGAAGGTGGCTGCCCTTCTCGGTCCCCCTCCCCACCCTGCATTCTCCATGTCATTACAAAGTGTAATCTGGTGTGGGGGGCAGAAGGGTTCTTATCAACGTCAGCCTGAAATATAGATATGGGCCAGGTTACAAATTGCAAAATGTTCAGGCGAGAGGCGAGGCTATCAATAAAGCAATTTCTAGTGTCATAACAGCTTCGCTTTCTGCAAACCACCTTTCAAAAATTTTCTTCTGGAAACGCTACAGCCTACCATTAGGGCTGGATTGTGAATTTAATGGATCCCGTACAAATAATATTCCACCATAATGGAAAAGGTTGAAGTCACTGAAGACAGATGAAGTCATAAACACGTATAATTGAGAATCAAAGACCGATAAATTTTAAACTGCTATTCATTTTCTCTTTTAGATGATGACTTATGCCGTTGGAGCGCCTGGAAAATGGAGGAGATTACTTGGGGAAAATTATAACAATAAATTTTCCAAACATACACCTTGATTATGCTTCGATTTTTTGGAGGCAAGGATTGCTGAAAGCTTGCAGGCTAAATGGCACCATAAAATAGGCTTCCTGCTCTTTGCCTCTGAAGCAGGCATGCCTGGAGGTGTGATTTTCTCTCTCTAAATGGAGGAAATGAATTGTGTAATTTATTGCAAACTGGAGCACAGTGAGATTAGATCAGCATATCCTATCAGAGGAACAACAATCAATCAACTTCTAGTTAACAGCTTGAAACGCATAAACCAGGCCTCCTAATGGCTTTCCAATTTAATAGATTGATAGACTTATCCATTCTCCAGGGATGAATTAAGGAAATCGACTAGTTTCACACACGTGGTGTACCTCTGACAGTTTTTTTGGGGAGGGGGAGCCTGGATATTGGTAAAGTACAGATGATCTTTTACAGACAATCCGTTTTAAGATTCGTCATTGAGAAAAGTAAGTAACCATGGAAGATGTGGAATAGGTTCATTTAAATAACGTGTTATCCAGGGACTTTCCAAGTAGGGGAATTGAGGACATTTAAAGGGGCTGACGCAGCCAGAGATAAAATAGAACTCGGCCTCCCTTTCCATCGCGGTTGGGCCTGTGTCTGCCCTCGCTGGGGCAGTCATGGCTGGCAGCTCTCAAAGTTTGGTGCTTAGCAGATAACCTTCAGAGAAGAAAGGCTGTTGTATTCAGGGGACCCTTCCACTCAGACCCTGGTGGAAGATGAACAGCTCCTTTGCCCCAGTGGTGCTTCAAGCTGGGAAAAGGCTCCCTGTACGCTTCCACCTACATCTTCCTGCAGAAAAGCATGTTGTTGTTGAGGCTGTGCTTAATGAGGTTGGGGACATGGGGTGTAGGTTGAGCCTCTGTCACCTACATGTAGGCTTTCAGTGTTTCCTGGAGGTGACTTGCTGAGAAATATCAGCCCACTCATTGTCTGAAAGCTCACCACTAGAAATGGATCCCTGAGGATAAGCTTTGACGCCTTCATAGAATAGAACCTGATAGTCGTACCTTAGCGTCATCTTGTCCAGCTTCTCAACTAGTGAGGAAATCCCTGACCCATGGCATCTGGCCTCTGCCTAAACACTTCCAGGGATGAGGATCTCATTACCTTCCAAGACAGCCCGTCCGCTGAGGAGTTCCAATTGCAAGAACAATCTTATACTGGACTGGGATCTGTTCCACCCGATAGATCCTGGTTCTGTTTCCTGGAGCTACCTAGAACAGGCCTACTCAGGCTGCCCCACAGGAGCCATGTCAGTGTTGGAAGGCATCAACAAAGCTCCCCAAGTCTTCTCTTCTCTAGACGAGACAACTAGACAATTCCTTCAATAATTTTCTCTTTTTTTGTGGGACTGGAAAGAGTGACATATGGAGTCACCAACATGTCGCAGTGATTTGTTGAGCATGTGATTTCCTCTCCAGCAATGGTCATTTGGGGAGAAGGTTGGAGAGGCGGTGGGTAGGATGAAGATAAGGGAATTGGGGGTCCATGCCCAGCAAAATCTGTCACAATAATAACCTGACCCTCACCTAGTGCTTCATGATAGAAAAGAGCTTCCAAAAACTGCATTCATTGGCCCCATTTTATTGACAAAGACATTGTACAACTTGGGGAAGCTGAACTTGAACCTCTGTCTTCCAGCTCCAAAGACTTTGCCTTTAATTTGAACTGGGCTGCAGAATAGTTTGTCCAGCAAATGAGAGTTTGGACCATATTCAGTGGAAGCAAACTCATGGAGGGGAATCCATCAGTCAAGCTTCTGTTTCCATAGAGGGAACGAGAGGAAAGTTTCTTTCCTTCATGTGGATTTTGCTCTGAAACTCTTGATTAATGAAATAGGCATTGATCTGATTGGTCATCAATTAGCACCTCACTGCAGGCCACAATTCTTGACTTTCTTAGCAGAGGATCAAAGAGACAACTTTGTCCAGTAGCTTAAGGTAAGCCAAAAAGAAAAATAAATAAATAAAGAGGGTGGGAAGCTGGAGGAGGTGAATATACAATAGCGCATTTAAAAACCTTATGCCCCTTTCTCAAGTGGAATACATAAGAATGTGGTGAAAATTTTAAGATAAATTATCTCTGATCACATTTCTCTATTGTACACTGGGTAAACATTTACAGTAAATCGTTTGTAAATTTCACCCTTGGAAAAACTACAATGCAATCATGTTCGTTATTTCCCAGCTTCTAATACAGTCTTTGGTGGCAGACTTATATTTCTCATATTACCTTGTTCCAAATGTGAGCTGGAGCAGCTGGCTCTTTTTCTTTCCTACATTTTCATGATTTATATAAATACTTTTGCCGCTGTATTGTATTTTATTTTTATCCTTTGCATTTTATTGGTACCAAACTACTCGTGCATTTCCAGGGCTCCCATGCGAATATTCCTATTTATTCCGTGATTATTTATTGAAAGCTATCTCATGCTCGGTTACTTTGCCACTTTCTTTTGCTTTAAACATTAAACAGATGCAGTATATTTTCAAATAATTTAAACAATACTTGATGAGTGAATTTTCCCTTTTGCCCTGGCAGGATTTTTTTCCTTCTGGTCAAAATTGGAACATTTCTGTCTTTGCTGTCAGATTGGATGCAGCTTGAGAAGCACTCCTATCTCCCAGTTGGCTGGTGCTGATGAAACAGGCTCTGCTTTGGACCCAAATAAAGTTTTTTGTACATGGAGAAAAAGGCAGAGCTGAGAGGAGAGATCAGCATCATCCAAGAGACCCTGCAGAGGTGATGCAAATGGGGCATTATCCAATGCGGTAGCCCCCAGCCACAAGTAGCTGGTGCAACTGAGGAGGGAATTTTTAATTTGATTTAATTTTAATTAAAAGTGGCCACACATAACAATAATTAGATTATTATTTAGCCCACTAATTGTCTGAAAGCTCACCACTGGAAATGGTTCCTTGAGGATAAGCTTTGATGTCTTCGTATCATAGAACCTGATAGTAGTACCTTAGCGTCATCTTGTCCAATTTCTCAACTAGTGGGGAAATACCTGACCCATGGCATCTGGCCTCTGCCTAAACACTTCCAGGGACAAGGATCTCATTACCTCCTCAGAGAGCTCATCCCCTGATGAGCTCTAATTGCAAGAACAATCTTATATTGGACTGGGATCCAGTATACTGACAGCATCATATTGACAGCACTGGTCTAGATGATCATGTTGATTGGTTTGCTGGGCTCTGGGGGTGGTTTGGTGGGGAAATGAAGTGCTGGTATGCATGAAAGATTCAAGGTGGTTCCGCTAGTGATGGGGGCTTCACGTGAGGATGTTGGGACTGTCTCCACCTCCACTTCCTGCTGCTCAGTGACCACAAGAAAGTCATGGGACCTCTCAGAGCACCAATTTCCTTACCAGTAAAATAGTCATAATAATTACAAACTTACAAAATTACCATGAGGATAAAATGTGATTAACATAAGTGCAAGTTATAAAAAAATATATTGAACACTTAGTGTTTGCTTGGTAATTGACACAGATGATCCCATTTAATCTTGATGATGACCCTATGATATAATTACCATTGTAATTATCATTATTGCTGTTCCTGTTTTAGAGATGACAGTGATGTCCCCAATCTCCCCCAGCTAGAAGAAGGTGGCAGTGCTGTCCCTCGGGTCTGTGTGCTTTGCCACTGTGCCAGATGACCTCAGGAGCAAAACCCTTTAGACGTCAGGAGTGATTAATCGCAACAATCATGTCTAGTTGCCATAGTGCCTTTTGTCTTGAGGGAATTGGGAACCAACTCTACCATGGGGGAAAGCTGCTGCTTCTGGAGCAGGAGATCTGGCAATGGCATCCACTGGCCGAGTACAGCAGCCAGGGCAGGAAACCCCTCAGCAGAACCCCCACCCCAGAGCCCACCCTGTCCATTCCATCTGCCCTCCTGATGGCAGGAGTAACTCTTGCTTTCAGCATCAAGGCTTCTCTCGGTGGGCCCTGGTCATATTCCAACAGCAGCATTTCCCCAGAGTGGCTCCCCAGAGTGTTCAACAGGACGATGGCCTGTGTCCCCTCATTGTTCCAGAAGGCCCCAGGCCCGTCTCATGGCATCTGAAGGGGGCTCTGGTAAGTTGTCTCACTCTCTGAACAAAAGTTATCTTTATTCACACCAAAGAATAAACAAGCGGCAGGTACTATCGAAAGAAAGCAGTGGAACATGTGTTTCTACAATCTGCCAGTATGCCCAGGTGACCATGGCTCCAGTATGACTCCAGATGGCGGGCACATGGGCACCCATAGATGGCAAAGATGGCTATGGCCTGTTCTGTGCCCTCCCCTTCTTTAAGGAAAGTGGCCCTGTCAATATGCATATGCATATTTAAACCCAAAACGCCCTGTCTGAGGCTGAGGATAAATCCGCACGGGCTGAGAATTCCATGACACATGGAGAATGGGCCAGTTGACAGAGTCCCCACTCAGGTATTCGGACTGCTTGCAGTGCAGACGCTGAGATCCTGCCTTCTTGCTTGAACAGAGACCAGGCTCAGGTTTAAGGAAGGAGGAGCCATTTGTAGAATTTGTAGTTTAAGATTTTCCAACCAAATCTCCATGGATACTCTCAAACTGTGTTTTTTAAATGCCTCCGGTCAATCATTTTATTTAAGAAATGTGGATCGAAGGCTTATATGACTATTTATTTATTTATTTATTTTCTAGACCCTGGGCAACCTGCTGAAATTATGCGATTATTTCATAAAAGAATTCACCAAAAACATTAGTGGTGGATTTCAAAGAATCACCCATTATGTGACTGAATTTTACCTTTAAGTAAAATTAAAGAAGCTTGCTAGTGCTGGTATTGGCCCCATGACCCATGCACTGGGCTTTCTGAAATATCCATTTTATGGCTCTCCAATTCCTAACAGGAGTGAAAATAGAGATGCCAGCTTGTTTGACCTTGGGGCCCTGAGGGTAGTGGGGGCCCCAAAATAGCAGCAGGAATGTTAGGTTTGTTTAGGGCCAAGGGCGGGACAGAGTGCCTGTGGTGGATGGAACAATCTGGCTTGGCTGGCAGGCAGCAGTTTTGGGTAAGAAGGCCTCCAGTTCCTCCGATTCATTCTTCAGGAGAGGCTGGGTCTCTGAGTAGTATATCTGGCCCTTCATAGTTTCTAAGGCATGTTTAGATCTATTATCTCATTGGACTCTCACAGCTTGCATTGCTATTTTCTCCGTTTTACAGATAAGAAATCCAAAGCTCAGGGAGAAAAGAACTCACCCAAGGCCACAGTTCTGGTTAAAAAGCAGAGCCAGAAGTCAAACATAGGTTTCCTGACTCCATCCCACACACATGGAGCCATGGGAGTTGCATTCTTCTGCTCCTTCTTGGGGACTGACTGAAGAGAAGGGATTGGTTGGATTCTAACACAGGTAGTTCTGAAGATTCATCGGAAGCTGCTAATTTTATTGCTTTTATGCAAGGTTTGCGTTTTCTGGGTGCAGTTCCGGTTGTGCTGAATTTAATTATTTGTAACAAAGCATCTTCACAGCCCCTAGTAAAAATATGCACAATTATGATGTATTACGATGTAGGAATCCCCAAAAACCCTCAGCAGCCCCTTCCTGGAGAAGGTGAAACTTCCAGAATGAAGCATCCCACTGCTTTACCAAAACATCCCCCATAATTAGGGCACATTAAGGATGCAATGCCCGTAAAATTGGATTGTTTAAAAATAATGAAACTTTAAGCAGCAACAACAACAACAAAAAGAATTTTAACAACTAAAGATTTTCAGAGGGTGATTAGCAAAGATTTCCTTCCAGTTTGAATGGATTAAAACGTCACTGAGAGAGTGGAATGTAGAGAAGAAATGAAAGGGGCACCTTCATGCCCCTGAGGTGGGTGGGACCGTGGGACATCTGGCTCCACGAGAGAGAGGGGGGCAGCCACGTGGAGCTGAGAGTGGGGTCTGCAGGCATCATCAGCTATGGTGGGATTATGGATTAAATAAGGCTCCCATTCTTTGAAAGAAGCCCAAGTCCTTGCCTTTGGGCTTTGATTTGAACACTGTGAGAAACCACTGAACCCCAGTCCCCCAGGGCCATCTCTCCCACCTCCACCTCCGTGACCCTGTCTGGCCCCCAGGCACGGCCATCACCATAACCTGCCTGTGGTACGATGGCAGCTGATGAGTCTCCCTGGCCCTGGACCTCAGGGTGGAGATCAGAGAGAGGAGGACAGGAACCTCCCTCACTCCTCTGAGCTCCCAGAGGCTCCGTGGAGCTTCTGGAATATCTGTGAATATCGGTGTGGGGGCTTGAGTGCCCCCTCTCATTCACTCATGCACTAATTTATCCATTCGCTCACTCATTCATTTATTCACTCAGTCACTCATTCACCCGTTCACTCACTCACTCACTCACTCACCCATTCACTCACTCACTCACACATTCACTCATTCATCCGTCCATTCACTAATTCATCCATTCACTCATTCATTGATCACTCATTAATTCATTCACGCATTCATCCACTCTCTCATTCATTTATTCAGTCACTCATTCATTCATCCATTCACCCACTCATTTATTCATCCATTCACTCACTCACTCACTCACTCATCCATTCTCTCACTCATTAATTCATCCATTCACTCACTCATTCACCCATTCGCTCATTCACCATTCGCTCATTCACCCATTCGGTCATTCACCCATCCATTCATTAATTCATCCATTCACTCACTTATTCACCCATTCACTTATTCATTTATCACTCAGTCACTCATTCATTCATTTGCTCATTCATCCATCATACACTCATTCATCCATTTGCTCACTCATCCATTCACTCATTCATGCGTCACTCTCTCATTCATTCATTCACTCACTCATTCATCAACTCATTCACTCACTCATTCACCCGTTCGTTCAATATTTCCTGAGTGAGTTCTCTGTGGCAGAGACGAGGCACTGAAGTCACAGCCTGGTCTATCCAGGAACTTAAAATTTTTTTTTTTTTTGAGACGGAGTCTCGCTCTGTCACCCAGGCTGGAGTGCAATGGCATGATCTTGGCACACTGCAACCTCTGCCTCCATGGTTCAAGTGATTTTCCTGCCTCAGCCTCCCAAGCAGCTGAGACTACAGGCATGCACCACCATGCTCAGCTAATTTTTGTATTTTTAGTAGAGACAGGGTTTCACCATGTTGGCCAGGATGGTCTCGATCTCTTGACCTCATGATTTGCCTACCTCGTCCTCCCAAAGTGCTGGGATTATAGGCAGGAGCCACCGTGCCTGGCCCAGGCACTTAAATTCTTATGAGGAGAGATCGACAATAAATCACGACAAAGTACACGATTTCAGACTGGGTTAGGAGCAGTGAAGAAGAGTGAGGATGATATCATAGAGGGTGACTTGGCAGTTAGTGAGATCAAGGAGGAGGGTGGCTGCGAGCCAGATGAGGACCCCAAGAGGATGTGCTGCCAGGAAGCACAGGTGTGTCTGTAGGAAGATTTCCCTGCACCTGGTTGCAACACCTGCATGTTTTCTGGCCAGGACCCATTCCCAGGCTTGCAGTAAGGGCTCCAGAGCAGCCTGCTCCCCTGAGCAGGTGGCATCTGGACGTTCCCTTCAAACATGAAGCCTCCCCATCTCCTGGCAAACCCACCCAGATGTACACGTTTCCTACCCCTAGCCCCACTTCCACTTTCCCTTTCTTTTTCAGTGACTTGGCCCCCATCACTGCTGCCCATTGCTGTGGGTGAAACCAGGGGCAATGGCCTCTGGGATTACTGCTGGTGGACACCTCCCAGGCACACACTGGGGCTCCCTGGCTATGGCTCATTCAAGAAGGCCTAGGCCTTTTGGAGGGAAAATGCCATTTCCTTTCTTTCCTCTTGCCTCAGCTACATCTCTCAGTTTTCAGGGCCTTTCCAGGCCAGTGTTCCTGGGGTCTCCACGTTTATCATCAGATTGGGTGCAACAAATGGGAACGTCGAGGCGAACACCCATGATCTGGGCTGCTCAGACTCTCAGATAGCAAGGCCGAAGTTCATGATATTCTGCTGCGTGTGGGGCAACGCTGCAGTTGCCAGGCCTGGTTAGAGTGCTGTGGGTGCCCCTTGACCTGGATGCATATGCAGGCAGGCCAGGATTGGCTGTCACAATGGCAATGATGCATTACACAATGGGAGCTCAGGGGAGGAAACTGAGATCGGAGAAAGCATAAAGTGCCTGGAACCAGCAGGTGTCAGAGCCCCACCTGGATCCCTGGCCTGCCATTCTGCATGAGCTTCCTGTGCTGCTGTAACAGAAGACCAGGAATGTGGTGGCTTAAAACAGGATTATTCTCTCACCATTACCAAGGCCAGAAGTTTGAAATGAGTATCAAATCAAGGTGTGGGTAAGGCCTTGTTCCCTCGGAGACTCTGGGGAGAAGTCTTCCTTGCCGCTCCCAGCTTCTCGTAGCTGCTGGCTTTCCTCGGTTTGTGGCTGCATCACACTGTCTTCAAGGCCAGCATCTTCAAGTCTCTTGGCTCTGTCTTCCCAGTGCCTTCTCCTCTGTGTGTATAAAATCTCCCTCTCCCTCCCTCCTATAAGGATACATGTGATTGCATTTAGGGCCCACTGTGAGAATCCAGGATAATCCCACATGTCAAGATCACATCTGCAAAGATTCTCTGTATATGAAAATTTTATAGGTTCCAGGGATTAGGGCCTGATATTTTTGAGGGGCCATTATTCAGCCTACCACATTCTCCCACACCACAGAGGCTGCAATGTCAGCTGAGAGTTTCCAAAACATCTTCCAGCTGGCCGTGGCTTTGAGTTGAGTGGTTTCCCTCAGCAGCCATCTACTAGGGGAGATCTGGGAAGCTCCTAGGGTGGAAAGCTAGCAAGCCAAGGGTGTTGGAAGAGAGCAGGCAACCCTGAACTCACACAGGTGTCTGTTGGCTCCGTCCTCCACAAACATGTGGGAGGCACGTGGTTGCCACTGGGGAGACCCCAGGGAAGGAGTTGGAGATTCTGAGCTGGAAGCTGCCTTTAAGTTTGCACTAAAGCAAAGCAAAGGATATGAGTGCCCACCTTCCCCTGGGAGACAGGAGTGGAGCAGGGCACAGCCAGGAAAGGCTGCCGTGGCACTCCCATGAGGACAACGGTTGGTAATGAGTCAAGAACTCTGGCGTCCTGGTGCCTCCAGCAAGCACGTTCTGTCCCCTTCTGGCCACCTGGACTCCTCAAAGCACCGCCATGCTTTAAACACTCAGACACATTCCCACTCCCAGAACTGTGCCCGGCTCTTTGCTTTCCTGGTGTTATTAGTTTGCTAGGGTGGCTGTAAAACATAACTGCCAACTAGGTGTCCTAAATGACAGAAATTTATTCCCTCACAGTTCTGGAGGCTGGAAGTCCAAGATCAAGGTGTCAGCAGGGTTGTTCCTTCTGAGGCCTCCTTCCTTGGCTTGTAGGTGGCCGTCTTCTCTGGGTCTTCACAAGGTCTTTCCTATGTACCCATCTGTGTTCTAATCTTCTGTTTTGATAAGGACATCAGTCAGATTATCTTGGGGCCCACCCTAATGACCTCATTTTAATTTTATCACCTCTTTAAAGACCCTACCTCCCAATACAGTCATATTCTGAGGTTCTGGGGGTAACGGCTTCAACATATGAATTTTGAGGGGACACAGCCTATAGCACCTGGCATGCCATTTCCTTTCCCATATGGGATTTTCCCACTTTTCCTTCAAGCTTAGTTCTTTTGGGACACCTGCTCTGTGAAGCCTTCCTAGAATTCCTTTCCTGTGGTAGAGATCTTCATGGCAGAATGGTGTCTACACTACTGACACAGTTCTCACATTGCATCTCACAATTAGTCACATACTTGCCTGTCCTCCACCTGAAGCTCAGGGACTGGGGTCACTTCACTCTGTCCCCACTCTGGTGCTCCTGGTCTGGGGTCTGGCTTGGGGGACATAATACCAGACATTTGATAAGCGGAATTGAATGGCAGAATCCTCTCTTTTAGACTCCAGCTCTGAAGTCTTCCTTCTTTCTTGCCTGTGGTTCTGAGCTCTGTACAGCTCCCAATCTGTGTTGCACCCCTAAGACCCTCAAGCTTGAATTGAGTCATGGGGAATCTAAGGACTAACAGAGGGCAGAGCATTTAGGAGAACTCTCCATCCTGTCTACTGCCTGCTTTCTTATTGTGACATTCTGGCTTGTTGATAATTCTGCTTAACTGAGAATGAGTTGAGTATTTCCATCTAATTGTCTTTTCTGAAGGATGAGACACAGTGACATTTACTCCTTTATTTGGAATAAAGCACCACATCCTAATAATATGATGATTCTGAAGGTTGTTTCTGGCCTGACAGCCCTGCAGAGCTACCATAGTGCTCCCTGGTTGTCACTGAAGTGAGGACAAGTTAACTTTCATGCTAATATGCATTCCTGGTGGGTGGAAAGCTGGCTAAGTTTCATTTCTTTGCAGCACTTGGACTTCCTACCCACTGCTTTCTTTCCCTCTCTTCGTACATTTAGTGGACAGTGACCTGGTTCTGCACCTACACGCGGAGCGACCTCAGACTAACCTGACCTCTCTGTGCCCCGTATATCTTCCAAATGAGATAATCAAATTTGCTCTGAGTCTCTCCTGGGCTTCTTGTGAGGGCCAAATGAGCTAACGGAGGCAAAATAACTTTGAAAAGAGTTGCTTAAATATACGATTAAAAATCACCACGATCGTTGAAAAGGCCTACAGAGCAGGAGCCACTTCGTTGAGAAAGTGGACTGGGATGGTATGCACCAAAACCCCAAAGACCTGTGGACTGCGGGGGAGAATCCCACTCTCTGAGATGGGGGACAAAGCTACAGGAAGACACACTTCTTGCTTCCAATCCCCCTGGCCAGTTTGCTCAGGCAGTCCATCCCGAGACAGCAAGAGCCAGCTGGGCAAGCCGGGGGACTGTCACTAGCCCACAGGCCTGGAGCCAAGCTCCCGGGGAAGGGCATCTGCATGCAAGCTGGAGGACAGATGAGACATTTAAATTTTACCAGCTCTCAGTTATGGGCTTGACATAGAGAAATGGCTGCAATTCTTTTTATTAGCTGAGAGAACAGGCATTAAATGACAAAATATTAGCCAGGGCCTAGATTCACAAAACCTACAAGTTCTGAGTGTCTTCATGAAATCTAAACTTCAGGCGAGGTCGGAGGAAGACTGGGCTGGGCTCTGATTTCCAGGCCAGCTCTGGGAGCTCCTTATCCACTTTTATATTTATTGTTTCACCTAATCACTTTCTTCATCTGTCTGTTCATCTGTGTCAACCGATTTTTTAAAATTTTTAATTCTTATTTATAGACTGACCTTAATAAACTCTCCTCAAGTACTGCAGGTTTGTCATTGTCACAGATGCAAACGTTATTAATGGCAGGCTGGCTGACCAGGGACCATGGCTGCCCTTTAAACTCCTCTGCAGCTGCCTGGACAGCAGAACCTGGCTGGGGAGAGGGGCGGCGGTCGATGAGGTCGGGGGTCAGCCATGGTGGCCCATTACTAACGCGTTTCCCATCATCGTGGCCAGCCACACCCGCAGGTGGAGCGTTCTGCTCTCACATTCATGAATTGTCCCCAGCTCTCAAATGCATGGGAAAATCCATAGCAGAGGCCTTGGCCTATTTATTTAAAATAAAGACAAATCAACGAGAGAGGGAAAGAAGAGGCCCTGGGGTCGCCCCTGGGGGAGGCCTGGCAAACACTGTGTGCCGAGTTGGGGAAGTGGGATGCCTTTTGGCTGAGTCCCTCCATGAGGTGCCCTGGCCAGATTGTCCTGGCCTTGAAATAAACTCCCGGGGAAAGATTGGAAACTTCAATCCTGCAGCACAGGTCAGGGCAGCCATACCCATCAGGCACAGCAGGCACAGTGCCTAGGGCCCACAGAAATGTTTTCATTTTCATTTCTTTTAAAATCAGAAATTAAAAATGAATATAATAGTAATGTCTATATAATAATAAGTCCAGCCTAGATTATATCCATCTTTTTGTTTTATTTTTATTTTTGTATTTTTTATTTTTTTCTGTTCTCCCACTTGGAAAATATATCGTTTTTAAACAATAATTTTATTTTTTTAAAGAGACACGGTCTCGCTATGTTGTCCAGAGTGGTTTCAAACTCTTGGCCTCAGGTGATCCTCCTGCCTTGACCTCCTAAAGTGCTGGGATTTTAGGCATGAGCCACCATGCCCAATTGATTATATTTGTCTTGATACCCAAGAAGTTATAAAATATATATATTTTTTCTTATGGAGGAAGGGACCCACACAAGCAAAAGTACCTAGGACTCATTAACCTCCTAGCGCAGCCTCTAGTCCAGGCTCGCAGGCTGGCTTAAGCTACATTCCATACTCTTCCTGGATGGGGAATCCATAATCTCACTAAAAGATGCAACCTGGCTTTGTGGCTTTCTTGTTACCTAAAATAATAAACATTCCAAAGACATAGGCTTGGCAGGGTAGAAAAACATTGCGTCAAATTGTAAGTCAGAGCTGTTCCCATTAGCCTTAAAATTAAGACATTTCTGCATTAAGTCTTGGGCACATTCTTAACGGATAGTAGTCACCAGTCTAACTGGGAAACAAGTTATGAATGCTGTTTGTTGGTGGAAGACTAACCTGCTTGAAATTTGCAGTTTTCCCTTCATGACTTAAAACAAGCTTAGCAATTATTTGGCAGAGAATCTCAAGTACCTCTTATTTTCATCTCTGGAAAGACCTGCCATGGTCAGAGACACAATTTGGGTACTGAAGGCAGATTGGAAGGGCAGAGGTGACCAGGGCTTCCCTTCGCATGTGGCCACGTGGACGAAGGAGTCCTCCCTCACCACCGAGCCCAGAGCCCGAGAGGTAAATCACGCTACGTCCCCATTAACGCCTCATGTTGTTGCACGGTGGTAATTTTGACAGCAAAATAAGCCACAAAACTGCATATGCTATTGGGTGACATGTAATTTTAACTTCATTCAGGAGCAAGACTTTTGAGACATTGTTACCTGCGGGAGCAGGCAATAAAACAAGGATGTACAGGAATGTGTCAAATAGAGGGCCTTCCTAAATTACGCCGGGAGGCACAGATTAATACACTTAATATATTCTGGTCATGAGTGAGGTGCTCATAGCAGAACAACTGCTCCTTCAGCGATATCATTCATGGGAATGAACTACAGTCACACTGACAGGCTGGAAAAATGCCCCCACTTTTCAAACTGTACAAATGGTGGTTGGACACAGTAACTCAAAACTGGACACTTCATTTCAAGTTTAAAGCTAGTGGCCCAGCCACAAACTATTACTCCATCTTCTTTATTTGTGGTCCATGGTTTTGTACTCTTTAAGAATCAAATAAATACTGGTGTAATGGTTAGCAACTGCCAGTTCAACGAAAAATACTGCTAAGTTCACCAATAAGTCTTTTTTCCACACACACAAATTTATGCCCCAAGAACAGAGCCCATTCCTGCCACAGGGTCTGGATAGTTTTTTAATGTAGAAGGAGACTCACTTTAGTGATAAGAGTTTAAACCTGAACTCCTTTTTCCTTTCTCCTTGCTCATAGATCTAGCGTGGGGAACAGAGGGAGGTAAACGATCAATACATGTAAGTGGAGGCACATTAGCTCGAGTCATTCACCGCTGGCAGAAGCCACACAGGGCTCTTCCCCCAGCTCCCTACCCATGGTTCTAGCTGGACTTGGCTTCTGGAATTCCGGCTGCCGCTGGGAATTTTCCAGGTCGCTAGTGGCCACAGGGCCTCCTGGGCAACATATTGTTGCTATGGATATAAACATCTCCCATTTTTTAACTTTTATTATTTATTTATTTATTTGAGACAGGCTTTTGCTCTGTTGTCCAGGCTGGACTGCAGCAGTGTGACCATGGTTCAATGCAGCCTCCGCCTCCTGGGCTCTGGTGATCCTCCTACCTCAGCCTCCCAAGTACCTGAGACTACAGGTGTGCGTCACCACACCAGGCTAATTTTCATATTCTCTATAGAGACGAGGTTTCACCATGTTGCCCAGGCTGTCTCAAACTCCTGGGCTCAAGCAATGTGCCCACCTTGGCCTTCCTAACGTGTTGGGATTAGAGTTGTGAGCCACCATGCCAGGATTTTTTCATTTTAAAAAACTGCTTTATTGACTGGGCCTGGTGGCTCACACCTGTAATCCCAGCACTTTGGGAGGCCGAGGAGGGTGGATCACTTGAGGCCAGGAGTTGGAGACCAGCCTGGCCAGCATGGCGAAATCCTGTCTCTACTAAAAATACAAAAATTAGCCCAGTGTTTTGGGTGCACCTGTAGTCCCAGCTACTCAGGAAGCTGAGGCACGAGAATCGCTTGAACCCAAAAGGTGGAGATTGCAGTGAGCCAAGATCGTACCACTGCACTCCAGCCTGGGCAACAGAGCAAGACTCTGTCTCAAAAAAAAAAAAAAAAAAAAAAAAAAAAAAAAAGCTTTATTGAGCTCTAATTCACATACCATACAATTCACCTATGCAAGGTGTACAATTCAATTGGTTTTCATATATTTGCAGATATGTGCAACCATCCCCACAGTCAATTTCAGAATATTTTTATCACGCCAAAAAGAAACCCCATACCCATTAGCAATCACTCCCCATTTCTCCTCCATCCTGCAACTGACTCTAGGCAAGCGCTAATCTACTTTCTGTCTCTATAGATTTGCCCTTCTGGACATTTCATCTAAATGGAATCAAACAGTATGTGCTCCTTCGTGACTGACTCCTATCACTTAGCACGCTGTTTTCAAGGTTCATCTTTGTGTAGCATGAATCAGTACTTTATTCCTCTTTATGGCCGAGTAATATACCATTGCATGGATGTGCCACATTTCATCTATCCGTTCATCAGTCAGTTGACAGACCAGTGGACCTGCTCTCCCCACATATCTTCATAGCAGGCCTACTACGTGCCACATATGTAGAGTGCAATAACACGTATATGTATCCATGGCTTCAAGGTCTTCCTCTATACACTGAACACTACGCCAGGTACTATCAGTTTCCGGCAGGTGACAACTAGGGCATCAAGGCAGAAAGGAAAGCAAGTGGCATAGGCTGCCTCACCTGACACAGCAGCTCAGGATCTCTGTTCAAGGATTTTTCTCCCTGACAGTAGCCCCAGCCAGTAAGCTGGGAAATTAAACTCCATCTAATGAGGGAAGGAAGGGGCTGGGCTGTGTATTCTTTAGAGAGGTGATCACAGGGCTCCAAGGAGGTTAAATTACCCTGGCAAAGATCATACAGGGTACCTGTATGACACAGAGATCATACAAGCTGTACCATGCACAGACTGGGAGCTCAGCAAGTCTCCTCTCCCTGGGGTGAGGGGTTGGTTGTGCCTTAGTCACCGTACTAAGGGAAGAAATTCTCTAGGAGTTTGGGTGAGATCAGGAGGGGCTGGTTCCAACAAGGAAGGCAAGGCAGCGCTTCAGGCACCGTGGCCCCTGCTCCTCTGTGCAGAGGGGTTGAGAAATTGAGCCCTGGGCCGAGGCTGTGAGCTCCTGCCTGACAACCATTCTGCCCTTCCTCCTCACTGACTGAATGTTGATTGTATCAGGCATCAGTATACCCAGCCCAAAGACTTCCTTTCCCAGCCTCCCATTCTGTAAGGGAATGAGAAGAAATCAAATGTTGGGCAAGATTATGGGTAATCTGTCCTTTAAAAAACAAGAACAGGCTGGGCGAGGTGGCTCAACCCTGTAATCCCAGCACTTTGGGAGGCTGAGGTGGGTGGATCACCTGAGGACAGGAGTTCAAGACCAGCCTGACCAATAGGACGAAACCCCGTCTCTACTAAAAATACAAAAATTAGCTGGTCATGGTGGCATGTGCCTGTAATCCCAGCTACTCAGGGGGCTGAGGTGGGAGAATCGCTTGAACCCAGGAGGTGGAGGTTGCAGTGAGCCAAGATCGCACCACTGCACTCCAGCCTGGGTGACAGAGCAAGACTCTGTCTCAAAACATAAATAAATAAATAAATAAATAAATAAATAAATAAATAAATAAAATAATTTTTAAAAAGAACAAAACGAAAACTATTTTTTGTTTATTTTTGTTTTTTGTTTTTTTAAGAGTTGGAGTCTTCTTTTGTCTCCCAGGCTGGAGTGCAGTGGTGCGATTATAGCTCACTGTAGCTTGAAGTTCCGGGGCTCAAGTGATCCTCCCACCTTGTCCTCCCAAAGTGCAGGGATTACAGATGTGAGCCACTGTGCCCAGCTCAAAACTTTCTATTAGAGAATGTTTGGGAGGCTGAGGTGGGCGGATTGCTTGAGGTCAGGAGTTCGAGACCAGCCTGGCTAACATGGCAAAACCCCGTCTCTACTTAAAAAGATACAAAAATTAGCCAGGCGTGGTGGTGGACATCTGTAATCCCAGCTACTCTGGAGGCTGAGGCAGGAGAATCACTTGAACCGGGTGGCAGAGGTTGCAATGAGCCAAGATCGCACCAGTGCACTCCAGCCTGGGCAACAGAGTGAGACTACATCTAAAAAAAAACAAAAAACAAAAAACCCACAAAGAAAATTTTCAAGCATAAAAAAGGTCCAGAGACAAGGGTAATTGGCATCATATATACCCCTCATACAGATTTAATAGTTGTTAACTTTTTGCCATATTTGCTTCCTTTTTTCCGGAAAATAATTAAAAATACATTACAGACATCGTATCTTATCTTTAAATATTTTAGGATGCATCTCCAAAAAGGTAGAACATTTTCTCATATATCCATAATACCTTTTACATCTAACAAAATAAACAATAATTTCTTATTATTATCAAAGAACAAATCTAGCACAAACCCATATTTAGTGGAGGAAATCTCTTACAGAGAGCTGACTCAGATGGGAGAGAGGTGTCCTTTCGTCCCTTCTCCTTTTATCCTTCTGCTTTCCTAAATCGCAAGCATGAAGGCTGGCGCTCCAGCAGCCATCTTGTGACTCTGAGGTCACAGTCATACTGATGATAAAAGCCAGGGATGATTATGGCTAAGTGAAAAGAGGGAATGGTAGGTTGCCAGATTAGTAAAAAATAAACAAAGAAACAAACTTTAAAAATAAGATACAAAAAACAAATATGCAAATAAATAAAAACACCAAAAACATGAGTTTGAGTTTCAGAACACAATGAATAATTTTTTAATAAATACGTCCTGTGCAATATTTGGGACATAGTTATCAAAGACTTATTCATTATTGGTTGGATGCGGTGGCTCATGCCTGTAATCCCAGCATTTTGGGATGCTGAGGTGGGTGGATCACTTGAGCCCAGGAGTTCCAGACCAGCCTGGGCAACATGGCAAAACCCCATCTTTACAAAAAATACAAAAATTAGCCAGGAGTGGTGGTACATGCCTATAGTCCCAGCTACTTGGGGGGCTGAGGTGGGAGGATCGCTTGAACCTGGGAGGTCGAGGCTGCAGTGAGCCAAGATTGCGCCACTGCACTCCAGCCTGGGTGACAAAGCAAGACCCTGTCTCAAAACAAAAATGAAAACAAAACAAAAAAAAAAACAAAAAAGAAACACAACTTTTTATTGCTTATCTGAAATTCTAGTTTAACTGAGCATCCTGCCTTTCTTATAGCAACCCTTTAAGGGGCCCATCTGCTCATCACACCTGCTCACCACATATGCTTATCTCACTTCTTCCTCTCATTCATTAATTCATTCAGCAAAACTTGGTTAAGCACCTGCCGTGCCATGGGGTCTCTGATGGTTGTGGAGCTGCCATACGGGCCCTGTAGTTTCCATCTTTTTGCCCTCCTACCTTATCCAATTAATCCATTTAAGGATCACTTATTAAGTGCCTACTATGTGCTAGGTCACAGGCAAAACCCTGGGGATAGTCAGATGGGCTTATGGGACTCGCAGTCCAATGAATAATACAGATATTAAGGCAAATACCCAAGTACCTGTGAGATGAGGAACAAAATGGGGCATTAGGGTGTCCCCATGTTCATCAGTGCTGATTAATCCCAGGTCCCTGGACACTGAGTTGTTTCCCTCCACTGGCCTTTGCCTCCACTGCCCCTCCCCCTGGAATGTCATCTCCATGCCTCCTCATCTCACTTCTTCCCCTCATTCATTAATTCATTCCGCAAACCTTGATTAAGCACCTGCTATGCCAAGTGCTGGGGGACGGAAAGCCCTGCCTCCGGGGGTCTACAGACTCACTGTCATTCGTGAAGCCTTCCAAGTGCCACTGTAGAGGGATGGCCTGTGTGACGATGGTGGTTCAGGCAGGGGGAGGTGGGCCTCATTATTCCTGGGGATGGGCAGGGGGACAGCAGGGCAAAAACAGAGTGGAGTCTTGAGGGAAAAGCAGGAGCTCCCTGAGCGCGCAAGACGTGAATGCAGCCGTGGATGGATGGACAAGTAGATGAAATTAACTAAGCAATGAGGCTGCCCCTTCCTTGGCCTGCCTCAACCATGGGCCCCCTTCTCCTCCCTATAGAGAGAAGGTCAGATGTAGGGAGCCTTCAGCATCCCCACAGGGTGGACAGAGCTGCCTGGGAGCCAGATGGCGTTTCCTGGCCTCTGGTCAGGCTGCAGTCACACCCTCACTGTGACAGCCCCAAGCTGCTGGGCATTTGAATCACATGGCCCAGTTTCTTTAGTCCAAAACTTACCACTCTGCAAAACAAGGCTGGAAAGCCCCTGAGTTGGCACATTCTCCAGTCCCTTCCAGCATTTTTGGAGTCCTCTGGACGGTCAGGGCTGGGAAGTTTCGTAGCCACGATCTGGTACAACCACCCATTTAACCGATGAATGAACTGAGCTTTGAATTCTAGAAAGAACTTGTCCAAGGTGACATCCCACAGCGTGGTCCAGCCCAGCTCTGTTTGAGCCCTGGCCTTCCTGGCCCACCATGGGGCCTTTCTGTGCAATCTACAATAAAAAACCATACCCGGTAGATTTATAAAGAGCACCTTGCAACCAATTGTTTGGGGCACCCAGCAGTGGTCTAATGTCCTTTTGCACAGACCCCAGTCCTGTCCAGGGTGGGAGCCGCAGGTGGCTCAGTTTGCATTGTCAACAAACACCAGCCACCTTGCAGGATAGAGGCCACAGCTCCAGGAGCCAGCCAATGTCAGAAGGTGCCCTCTGGCAGACAGGGCATCCTAGGGACCCTGCCTTCTCTCAGCCTTATCTTCCTTTCCTTCCCCTGGAGATTCTGTCCTCCAACCCAGACTGCAGCTGTGGCCAGAAGCAAATACAGGGAAGAAGCCAGGGTCACTTTCTCCCACTGAGTGAACAGGGGAAGCTGCTGAAACTGAGCCAGAGAATGCAGCTAAGGGCAGGGGGAGCTGGGTCAGAGCCTGTGAGAGGCCAGAGGGGAGTTGATGGAGTCGTGGCTGGTTTTCCAGGACTGGGAGAAGGTGAGGACTGGGTTAAAAAAGGCTTCTAGGGAAGGCAGCCCTGGAGCTGGAGCTCAGAAGACCTCTCAGACCTGCCAGGAAGACCCCTGATTTACTGATGAGGCCAGGTAAGACAAGCAAACAGCCTGAGTCCCCCACAAACAGTGCATGGAACCAGCAGAGGCCAGGGCTCCTTCCTCAACCCCTTGCTCTTCGTGGAGTCCACCTGCTCCCTGGGCCTCAGACACAGATGTGGCCTGCATGGGCCCACGGAGGACGTTCCAGAGTCCCTCGATGTGGCCGTCACAGGGGAGTGCATCTACTCAGGAGTGTTTGGGGCATTACCCTTCATGGATTCAAAGGTTAGGTGCCGATTCCACCTTGCCACTGGTAATGAGGAGCACAGAAGACAGATGGAGGCAGCTCCCATGCACAGTATGCTAATTCTCTGACCAGTGGACCAGGAAATGGCCGGTCATTTGTGAGACCATCGAGACTCAGAGATGCCGCCTTAAAGCTCTCTTGTCTGTAATGCCGTGTCCCCATTGAGGCTCCTTAGAGCGATCTCAGCAGCCAATTTCCAGAGTTCCAGGCAGCATGAGGAATGGGAAGAGTGATGGATGTGTGGGGCTTTCCGGGGAGTACTTTGAGGAGCCCTCCATCTGTGCTCAGGCTGCCCTGGTTCTCTGCATGCACTGGGTACCCTTGGGCTGGTCCCAGCACCTCCACTTCTGCTTCTGAGAAATTGAGATTGCTGTGCTCCGGGGCCTCCTCCAGGGCTGTGGCCGGGACCAGGTGGCAGGTACACAGCTTCGAGGGCCAGAAGACTCCTGAGAGAACAGAATTGTGGATGCAAATGGGCATTTCTGGACTCTCTGCTGACTCTCAGCCCCATCACTCTCTCTATGACTCATGGGGCAGTGGGCGAGGGTGGGATTTGCGGAGGTTGGTCTTCATATTCTGTGATGTGCTCCTGGCCCCTTTCCTTCTGATCACTAGTCATAGAGTCCTGTGCTATGGGAAAGCCGCCTGAACTGGGAAAGCCCTCCCTACCAGGATAACACAGGCCTGGAGAGCCTGACTTCGTGTGGAATCTGCAGGTGAAGTGTGTGTGTGTGTGTGTGTGCGCGCGCGCGTGTGTGTGTCCTGCTCACACTGATCAAAGTATGTAAGGGATGGAGCTCTGCAGCATTGAGGCCTTAATGTAAAAGGGTGTGCACTGTCTCCTGCGGCTCCCAAGATATCACCTACGGTACATGAAGTCCTTGCTGAACTAGCAAATTGGTGCAGGAAAAATTCCACTTTAAACAAATCTCTTTAAAATATGGACCCTCTCGTAATAAATGGTGGAAACAAAAGAGGTTTGATGTAGAGTTCGTCTTGAAACTTACAATTTGCCTTAAAATTTATGAAAAAAGATGTATCTCATTTTTAGACTAAGGCTATAATTGCACCTATAATCTTAGACTGAACAAAGAATGAATCGAATGTTAATTGGGAGGGGGGCATACGTTTTTCAGTACAAAATTGTATGATGGCTCACTCTGTGGGCCATTCTTTGTGGTTGATTTTCACAGCATGGTCTTAGAGTGTCATTTTTGCAAAATTATCCAAAGGCTTCATGCATTTTCACAAGGGCATATCTTCACCCACAGCACTCAAATCATTCTCTTTTGAGTGTCGACTGTGTCATCCCTCTTGCCCATTTTTTTCTTTAACTCAAGAATGGCCAGATCCTCATTTGTCAATGGCTTTTCATAGAATTCTAATGGCTCTCCAGCGTCATTTTCACAACTCCAAGAAATCCTGCAACTGTGGCACAATTTGCAGTTTCGTTTTGCCATCAATTTATATGGGCTTTGCAAAGTATTGTTGGAACATCTGACAATTAGTGAGACAGATAGTAAAGATGATCAGGGTTGAGCAAAGACAGCTAGAGTTCAGCAGAAGGGGACATTCCGGTGGGTGCTACTTTCATAGGTACTCGGTTCTTTAGTGAGCATAGCTTTATGATGGCTTTCACTGCCCTAAGGAAATGATCTGGATGCAGGTAATGAATCCTAAGATAATGAGGAGCCAGGAGTGTGGTGTTTCTCTTTTTATGCATCCAGAGCCTCTTTCCTATGAGAAAGAGCAGTGCAGGTAGCCTGCTTCATTTGGCGTTTGCTCTGCTGATTCTCTCTGGACCATATCTGGCAGGAGCCTCTGAAAAGAATCAACTCACGTCTAATGCAGTAGAGCTTTACCAAAACAGCTCCAGACCTAACTGCGACCTCCTTAAATTGAGTTCTGGTAGCCTTCCCATTATTGGATAGACATAAGGTTCAATCCAAGATGACACTTCCCTTTTGCCATTTCCCCAGGCCTCAAGGAGACAGCGGGCAGTACTTTGGGAAATTCATTTCATCAAGCACCAGTGGTCTTCCAGGTCTTAAATAATAAGAGTAACAAGTAAAATTGATTGAATACTTCCTTCCTTGAATACTTCCTAGGTACTGGGTATTGTTGGAAACATTTTACAAGTATGCTTTTATTTAATTCTCACTGTCCTTTTGGTGTTAATTTCATTTTAAAGTTGAGGAAATATAATCAAATTAACATGGGAACAGAAAAGCAAACACCACATGTTTTCACTTACAAGTGGGAGCTAAATATTGGGTAAACATGGAGGTAGAGATGATAACAATAGGCCGTGTGCAGTGGCTCACACCTATAATCCCAGCACTTTGGGAGGCTGAGGTGGGTGGATCATGAGGTCAGGAGTTCAAGACCAGCCTGGTCAATATGGTGAAACCCCATCTCTACTGAAAATTAACCAGGTGTGGTGGCTTACACCTGTAGTCCCAGCTACTCGGGAGGCTGAGGCAGAAGAATTGCTTGAAACTGGAAGGCGGAGGTTGCAGTGAGCCAAGATTGTATCACCACACTCCAGCCTGGGTGACAGAGGAAGACTCCATCTCAAAAAAAGAAAAAAAAAAAGATGATAATAGTAGAAACTGAGGACTATTAGAGGGGAATGGGGGCAATGGGGCAAGGGTTGAAAAGCTAACTCTTGGATACTCTGCTCACTTCCTGTGTGATGGGATCAGTTGTACCCCAAACCTCAGCATCACACGACATACCCATGTGACAAACCTGCATATGTACTCCATGAATCTAAAAAAAAGTTGAGATACATATAAATAAATACAAACAATAAAGGAAACACCAAAAATAAATAAATAAAGTCAAGGAAATAAAGACATAGAAAGATGATTGTTTTCCAGGTCACACAGGAGGTAAATTATGAACTGAGATTTGAACCCAGGCTGTCTGACTCTAGACCTCATCCTCATAACTAATATTGTTTTGGGGACTAAGCTGGTTTTTTCCTTCTGGGTTTGAATAGTGCTGGGGGTAGAATGGGGACATTGTGGCAGTTGCACATTCAGGATCATCTCGCTCCCCTCTCACACTGGGTAAGTGAAAGAAATGAAGACCCAGGACATCATGCCCAACTTGCCTGATAACTTGCCCAATGCAGTCTCCCAAATGAATAGCAAAGCGCAATTAAAACCTAGGGTCTCCTAAGACAAGACTTTAACAAGCATACTTGCTGTTTAATCAGAATCCATTTTTAAAATTCTATTCCTAAGTCAAGAAACTGTCTTTTAGGAAAGGCCACCCCAGAAAAGCTGTTGCCACTGTCTCAACAGGCACAGAGGTATTTTCTCAGAGATGCCTCATTTCTTGAAGCTGATAAAATAACTGGGTTGAACAGGCTCAATGCAGACTTTCCCCTACCATGAGCTCTTTTATAGCCACTAAAAAGTCACTTTTTGGGGGGCTTATTATCCCTCAAGATCTTGTGCTGTCCATTTGCATATGAAAGAGGAAGTTCATAAAAGCCCTTTCTTATTTTCTAACACGGGTTCAAATCAGAGGCCATTATCATCCTATAGAAAGACCCAAATGGCATATGGATCATTCTGAAGAAGGGGGCGAGCGCCTTTTAAGAGAATTGTTTTAGTTTTTGCAGGAAATTAATCAGAGGGACGGGCTTTGTGGAGCGGGGAGCAAATCTAATCTGTCCTTTGTTCGAATTTGCCTTGCTCCAATTCCTAGCAATTGTAGACAACATGCTCTTTTGTTTGGGAGACACTTGTTACATGCATAATTAGAGACTGCAGTAGCTGTGTTTAAAGAAAAACTGTTTTCCAATGTAATGTGTGATCTTGATAATAGTATTTTCATCAAAGGTAGCAATTACATTCATTAAGCTGGGACTGGCGTGGCGGCAAGGAAATTAAGTGGAAAGTGAATAAAAAGCTCCCCTCCCCCCTTTTATCTCCTTCTCTTTATAAGTTGAAATGCACCATGGTGAGCTGTAACTGGGAAATACATAGTGAATATAAAAAAATAAAGTCCTCCTTAACCTTTCTGAATAATGACCCTGCAGATATCCTAGGGATGGCAACTATAGATGCACTTTTCAAATTAAAGGGCTTTATTCTACCTTAATTTCCTATGCAAGTTTTAAATGAGCTCAACATATGATTCAGGTCTTTAAAGGCTGCAGGGCTCTTTAGGATTAATTCACTGTTCTTTTCACACATAAATTAATAGTTTTGTGTTCTCAAAAAAAAAAAAACCACAACAAGGCATAAATCAACCAGTTTAGGAGAGAAACAAGGACAGTTGCCTATTTTTAATTACCCCTTTAACTATTCATTTAGGTTTCCTTGTGCTTTAATTTTGAGGATATTATAAATGAAGTTCACACATTAAAGTGGAAAAATAGCCCAGGAAAAGAGTACCCACAGATTCCTAACTGTCACTGTGCTGCTGTGAGAAACTTATTCTGGAAAGACAAACCTATGTGAATATATATGTATACGTAGGCATGTGTGTATGTGTGTGTGTATGCGTGTGTGTGTACGTGTGTGTATGTGTATGTATGTGTATGTGTGTGTATGTGTGTGTATGTGTGTGTGTGTGTATGTGTGTGTGTATGTGTGTGTATGTATGTGTATGTGTGTGTATGTGTGTGTGTATGTGTGTATCTCCTCCAGGCAGATGCTCTATGCTTATTCCCCCGCATTAAAAGTCCTGCTTTAAAATGTCCTTGTAATTCCTCAAAGGGCTTGATGATTCCAATTTTATTCCACAGAGCACAGTGAGAGCCAGACATTCCTGGGCAAAATTAGGTGGAGACACGCCACCTCCTCTCAGCACCCTAGCTTCACCATTGACCTGAAATGCTTTCCGAGAAAATGAAACCAGTTCACAAAAATCAATTGGGAACCCTTATTTTGTGTGTGTGATTGGACACACACAGCTCTGCAGCAGGAATCATTATCTCTAGATTGATTGACCCAAATGTCATGCAGATCATCTTGGAGTGGAAGCCAAAGTGCTTGGACGGTTTCGCATTTTCTGCTGGCTGCACAGCTAGACGCGGCAGTGGCCTTGATGGCAAACCTCTAACCAAGTGGGTCAGGGTATTTTACCCTTGGCTAAAGGAGTTGCTGTAATTTGAGAAAAAGTGGGACTTCAGAAGTTTTACAACTTTACTTTCTGATCTGCTCATTAGCAGTTGCTTTGACTTTATTATGAGGCAGGAATGTTGAATGAGGAGCCAGGAGAGCCAGCCTGTGGCCCCAGCTGGTAATTTATGGAACGACTCAGTAGTCTGCTGAGGCTCATACACACTGTGTAACTTATACCTTACAGCAGCCTTTCAAAGTGGGCATTAGTGTCATGATCATGTCCCATTCACCCTTAAGAAAACAAAACCTTACAGAGGTCAAATAACCACAATCTTGGTCAGAATGTTTTTGTCCCCCTCCTCCCAAATCCCTATGTTGAAACCTAATTCCCAATGTGGTGGTAGTAAGAGGTGGAGCCTCAGTGAGGAATCCACCCTCATCAATGGGACTGGTGTCTTTAGAAAAGAAGTCTGAGGGAGCTTGTGGGCCCCTTTGCCATGGGAGGAAGCAGTGAAAAAGTAGCATCTATGAAGCGGAGTGAGCCCCCACCAGATAGATTCCTATCTCCCTGCACCTTGGACTTCCCAGCCTCCAGAACTGTGAGCAATACATTTCTATTGCTTGTAAGTTGCCCAGTATAAGGTATTTTGTCATGGCAGCCATGAGACACCCACTGCAGGTTGTACACTTAAGAGGTGGTGGCGCAGACAGCCAAACTCCAGCAGTCTGATGTCAATGCCTAAGCTCTTAGTCATCTGCTGTGGGAACTTGGGAGCAAGGGCCTTTGCCTCTCTGGGCTCAGATGCCTTCTACACAAAATAAGAGGGTAGCAAGCAAATCTTAAGAATAACAGGCGGGGACTGTCCAAGGATACTAAGACTAAGGCCGCCTGATCCATAAGCAGCTCTGAACTCTAGCTCTAGTTCTGTGAAAGAGTAAAATTCACACCCTACATCCTTTTACACCCTCAATCAGTGTGGCACCAACTCTGAGCCCTCAACCCAATAATTCCATGGAATACCTAACTCTGTGAGGGCTCTTTCCCCCAGGAGTTCTATCTGGGTTCTGGGGCCTTGCCCAGGGCCATGGTGTAAAGGAGCCTCTTGAGCCTCCATCACCTCCTATGCTCCTTACCTCCTTGAGAGAGAGGTCCCTTCTCCTGGCCCAGATGCTTTCTTCAGGCGAGCTTCTCTGCTTTCTTTGGGATGTGCCTGAGGTCCAACATCTTTCGCGAGGCTGGAGGGCTCTGCCCAGGACCCAGCTTCCTGGTGTCCCCCATGCCATTCCCTCTTGCCCTCTGATGCACTTCCTTGGGGTGCTAGTCTAGGCTACTTATGGGACCTGATCATCTCTCTCTCTCTTTCCCCAACCTAGGGAAATTTCTCTTTAATTTGGGGAAAATTCTTCTCTCCTCAGGCCTTATTCTTCACATGGGACTTAATTTCCTCCTTTCCTTTCAAACCTTGTCCTTCTCTATGGATTTAGACTTTTAGACAAAAGTCAGGAGGTGCTGCCACCAACCTCAATGGAGGCAAGAATCGTTGGAGCCCGCTTGAATAGGGAGAAGAGAAAAGGGAAAAAAAAGTAGTAGCTCCCCAAATTAAGCTTGCCATACTCCTTCAAAGCCCAAAGTTCTTAGAGACCATACAGCTTGCTTGGTCAGGAGCTCTGGGCACCACCTACTACTTTGAGGGAGAAACTGCTGCATCTTCAAGAGCAGTACAGATGGACAGAACTTTCAGGTAAAACAAAAATGCTAGATGTCTGTGCTGCCCAACATGGTCGCCACTGGCCACATGTGACTAATGAGCACTTGAAACATGGCTAGTATAACCAAGGAAAGGATTGTTCATTTTTAAAAATTTTAACTCATTTAAATTTAGATAGGTATTTGAAATCATAAAAATATAGATAATTTCTCAAATTGTTTTATAAAGAAATACAATACAAAACCAACATCTGATTAAAAGCATAAAGAAGAAGAATAGATGACTCTCATTATGAATATATATGCAATAATCCTCCGAATAAAATAGCAAAAGACCAAAAAATAACTTAAATAGACACACATGGCTGGCTGGTGGCCATTGTATTGAACAGCACATTTCTAGAGAAATGATGGAAGAGGAGTATAATCCAGCTTACATTTGAAAGAATGTCTCAGGCTGTTAGATAGAAAGTGGATCGAACAGTGGGAATAGTGGAAGCTGGAAGCCAGTTGAGAGGCTTATTGTGCTGTTCTGAGTGAGAAGTCATATCTTAGATCAGACTATGGTGTTAGTGGAGAATAAAGACTGGACAGATTTAAAAATTACTTTGGAGGTGGAACCAGTGGTGGCAGCCCACTGGTGACTGGGACCCAGGTGCCACACTCCACTCTGAAACCACATTTGGAGTTAAACCGACTCACCCTCCTTACGAATTGTTTTGGACCACTCATTAATTTTCATGGATGCCCTTGATGGAGGACATGTCTTCTTCCAGTGTGGACACCGTTTCAAGCCACGTGAGGTACCTGAGACAAGGATGGCACCCCCTCTATCCAAGTGGTTTATCAAACTGCAAATCCACTAATATGAGCTGGCAAATACCAAAGGTTGATTTTCCAAATGATGTTTTAATGTCCCCAAGCAAATCTTAGCTGCCCCCACTCGAATAAAGACAATGAGTAAACGAAAAGAGAAATCATTATTATGCAGCTACTCTTTAAAGAAAAAGCACTAACCAAACAGGGCTTCCTATCTGGCCATCCGTCTGACAGATATGTTTTCTCAGCACCTACTCTCAGCCTTTTTGGAGGCTGCTCCAGAAAGGGGCTGGGGAAAGAGAAGGTTCTTTCTATTTTACCCCAAATTAGGTAATTCCACCAAAGCTCTTCAGGGTTTGGCTTCTCTTCCCTCCTTCTGTCTTTTTGTGTTCCAATGGTCAGTTCCAGAAGTTCCATGAGTTGGCTTGTCTTTCCAACAGTTTCACATGGTGCCTGAGCAACATTTTGCAATATTAGTAATTCCCATTACTCCTACATTATATTAACTCCATAGGTCTAGTTGTAACATGCATGGCACGTGATTGTAATTCTCTACATTAGCTGATGGACATTGAATGTAGAATTGTGAATAGTCTTATTTTTTACAAAAAATATTTAGTAACATTTAATTAAAATTTCAACTTGCCCATTGGTTAAGGGAAAGTTTGTTTCAGTCTCAAAATGCTCTTTATTACAAAATACACTTAAAATGCACTGAGCAACAATCAATAAACATATCCTTAGCCTTTGTCTACTTGGAAAAATCAATAGGGTTGGTACAATGGAGTATTAATGCGTAAAGGAACTGTATGTACATTTTACAGCGATGGGTTTCTGTTATAGACAGAATGTAAAATAAGGTAAGGCTCGAAGAGCTGTCCACTCAGCCAGATGTTCTCCCTTCAGACGTCCTGACCCTCCAAAGGCACCAAAACTTACATCCCTACTATGACTTCATCATTAGTTTGCATATCCAAAAGGAAAAAAAATCAATTTCTAAGAGAAATGGTTAGATTTCAAAACACCGCACCTAAGGTGATTTATCTTATCAGCAGTTTCTTCATTAACTCTTGAACTAATAAAGTAAAATCTCATTAAAGCAAGCCCCATGGAGGCTCCTATTTTGGGGTGGAGAACTGTGAACACATTGCCCTAAATTGCTTTTGGTTCCACCGAACTCGGAGAACAGTTGGTGCCTGGCTTCTCTGCCTCACACTGGGAGAGTGAATGGGGATCCGCAAGGACCTCTGACCTCAGGAGGATGGAGGGAAGGGGCTCGCCTGCTCCCCTTCTGCTTCTTCACTAAGCAGGTGGGTCTCTAGGGAGCTTGGGGTTTACCTCGTTGGTCCTGCTGGACTGGGGTGCTGGGGAGAAGTTGGAAAGGAACGTGGACTTTGGGGATGGAATCATTTTGAGCAACTACTCAAGTCTTAGTGTGCGATGAAAATCCCTTGGCAGGTTACTAAACATGCAGATTCCTAGGCCCCAGCCCCAAAGATAAGACTCATAGGTCAGGAAATGTGCCTTTCTACAGACATCTCAAGTGATCTGGGGGCAGAAAGCCCAGGAGATGACCAGTCCTTCCTGAGTACTTCATCTGACCTTTATACTACCAGACTTACGTAAGACTTCCTGATCTCTGTCTCCTACTCTCATCCTTCACCTGCATTTTAGACATAAATTTCCAAAGCCAGCCAGGTGCGGTGGCTCACGCCTGTAATCCCAGCACTTTGGGAGGCTGAGGCGGATGGATCATGAGGTCAGGAGTTCGAGACCAGCCTGACCAACATGGTGAAACTCCATCTCTACTAAAAATACAAAAATTAGCCAGGCGTGGTGGTGGGCACCTGTAATCCCAGCTACTCAGGAGGCTGAGGCAGGAGAATTGCTTGAACCTGGGAGGTGGGGGTTGCAGTGAGTCGAGATCGCACCACTGCACTCCAGCCTGGGCGACAGAGTGAGACTCCATCTCAAAAGTAAATAAATAAATAAATATAAATTTCCAAAGCCTGCTAGATAGATCTAAAAATAAACACTATAGCCAATGACTGGAACACTCTGGGAATAGTATTCCACAGTGTGCACTTTGAGGTCTCTTGGAGTTATTCTAAAAGCACAGTGAGGTTTAGAACCAATTGTATAGAGAATGAAGAGGCACAATAGCAGAGTCTTGATAAAAAAATTTCCATTTAAGGCCAAAGAAGCCAACGAAGAGTCAGTGAAAAAGAGGAGGTGCTTTGTCAAAGGAGCAGAGCCTGTAGGAAGATGAGGGGTGTCTGAAACTATATAAATTGGGACAAATATAATAGGCCACCAATTAAAGGTAAAAAGATGGCTTTTGAGAACATTGTTTTGGTTCTAAAGAGAAAGAGAAAAGTTATATGAACGTGGTCTCTCTCTTTCTCATTGTCTCATTGTCATACTCACCCTTCTTGTGATGGTGTGAGATGGTAAAATGTGTATGGGATAGGATGAAGTTGTGTGAATGGCGTAGGCACTGTGATGTGCCTACTAGTGATTCAGCCACTATCGACCTTCTGACAACGTCTCAGAAGATGGAGCCTCTGCTTTGTGTGATCCTAGATCACCAAGCATGACAATGAAGATGGCGGGATGTCAAGAGCAGACAGTGTTGATGACCAAGAAGGGGGTAGAGCAGACAACATGGATACGCTGGACAAAGGGATGATTCACGTTCTTATTGGGACGGAGCAGAATTGTGCAAGATTTCATCATGCTACTCAGAACGACGTGCAATTTAAAACTTGTATGTTGTTTGTTTCTGGAGTTTTGTTTAATATTTTCAGATCACAGTTGATGCAGGTAACTGAAACTGCGGGTAAGGGAAGACAATCATGTTTGTAGGTTGTAGCAGGGAGCCCATAGGGCTAGAAAGTCTACAAAGAAAATCAAGAGAGAATAATGGCTCAAGTTCCTAGGGGAAGTCTTCTCTCTTTCTCTTCTTTCGGTATGACATCAAGACAGACTGACCAACCTTTTCAGTCAAAATTTGATTTAGAGGCAATCATTTAATCAGGGGTTGGAAAACTTTTTCCTAAAGGTGCTAGAGAGTAAACATTTTAGGCTTTGTGGGAAAGTGGCAAAATTGAGGATACTGTACATAACTATATAACATTTAAAACATAAAAACACATTCTTAGCTTGTAGGCCATAACGAAAATAGGCAGTGGCTTGGATTTGGCCCATGGGCCATACTTTGTCCATCCAATTTAAACAAAGGACCTGTGTCCTTTGACTTGAGTAGAAGTTTTGAATTTTTCCTTTTTCCTTAATGCAAATGCTTCATGTTCAAGGAAATATTACATTTGAATACTCTGGGTCAAATCATAGAAAATCAAATCACAACTAAAGACAAGATCCCAATCCCAAGCCAGTGCAAATGGCCCAATTTATACCTGAAAGCAAAAAGCCCTCTCTGTGAAGTTCTGCTTGGCAAAGCAAGCCATGCATTGCTTTGCTTAGGACAAGCATTTAAACCTGAACAGTGCTATTTACCTAGGGAGGTCAAACCTTCATAGGTTTCAGATCTCTTTTCTGTGCTCTCTATGTCAGAGTCTACTCTCCCGTGAGGCTGAATAGAGCTGCCGATTTCACTGTGGCTATTTGAGAAAAGTAGAAAAATCAGTTAAAGGGAGAATGATGCACAAAAGTAAAAGATATCAGTAGCCTAGTAGGTTGTTTTAATTTTATATTTCCTATTACACAAGTAATACAAGAATATATTCCTAATATAAAAATTCAAATAGTATAGATGATGCTAATGACCTCCAGTGCCAGCACAGGCCCCCAGAGTTAAATGCAGTTATTGGTGTGGCAGTACACTTTCCACTTTTTTCTGTATTTTATTTTATTATATTTTAAGAGATGAGGTCTCACTCTCTTGCTCAGGCTAGAGTGTAGTGGCATGATCATAGCTCACTGCAGCCTTGAACTCCTTGGCTCAAGTGATCCTCCCGCCTTAGCCTCTGGAGTAGCTAGGACTACAGGTGTGCACCACTGTGCCTGGCTAATTTCCAAGTTTTTTTTCTAAGAATTTATACACCTTTGTATTTACAGAAATATATGTAGCTTTGTATTGTTCTGCACAAATACTGCGTGACTTATTATCTCCTTAAACAATATGACTTGATGATTTCATCTCCATACACGGATCTTCCTTATTTTTTTTAAACGGCTTTTGTGTGCGTTTTCGATGATTTACCTATTTATTCTCCTACTCAGCCATTTCTAACTTTTCACTACTACAAACCATGCTGCCCTGGATGTCCCTGACATGCCTTCTTGCACCCCCTCCCAGAAGCACTGAAGATTCAAGAGACCTGGGCTTGTCACATCATTGTCAATATTTGTTTTTTGTTTGTTTGTTTGTTTGTTTTTGAGATGGAGTCTTGCTCTTTCACTCAGGCTGGAGTGCAGTGCTGTGATCTCAACTCACTGCAACCTTTGCCTCCCAGGGTCAAGCAATCCTCCTGCGTCAGCCTCCTGAGTAGCTTGGATTACAGGCACGAGCCACCACGCCTGGCTAATTTTTGTATTTTACTTAGTAGAGGCAGGGTTTCGCCACCCAGGCTGGTCTCGAACTCATGATCTCAAAAGATCCACCCGCATTGGCCTCCCAAAGTGCTTGGATTACAGGCGTAAGCCACCATGCTCGGCCAACAATTTGTATTTTATATTTTTATTTATTAATTAATCCAGGTTATTTAAAGTCTAGGGTTAGTTTTTTGTTTGTTTTTGAGATGGAGTCTCGTTCGGTCGCCCAGGCTGGAATGCAGTGGTGCAATCTTGGCTCACTGCAACCTCCGCCTCCAGGTTCTCCTGCCTTAGCCTCCCGAGTAGCTAGCGGGATTACAGGGGCACGCCACCACGCCCAGCTAATTTTTGTATTTTTAGTAGGGACGGGGTTTCACCATGTTGGTCAGACTGGTCTCGAACTCCTGACCTCAGGCGATCCGCCCACCTCAGCCTCCCAAAGTGCTGGGATTACAGGCATGAGCCACCATGCCCGGCGTGGTTAGCTTTTTTATATCCTATCTTTTTTGTTTATATATTTACTTATCATTGTGTACAGTGAGTGCCGCCTGTAAAATTTATCTTTTTGGAATTTGTAGAAATTTTGAGACAAAATTCTAATGATCATTCATTTGCATTTGAAAAGAAACAAAAAAGTTCTATCAAACCTGTTAATTACGCCACCCAAATCCTCTACATCTGTTCTTACCTTCCACTTGACTTGGTGATTTCTAAGTCAGCAACTATGATTATGGCTTTGTCAATTTTTTTCATTGTATTTCTATTCGCTTTGCTCTATGTAGTTCCCAGTTATGTTGTTAGGGACATAAAGTTTGTGACTGCTGGACTTTTTTGGTGAACTCTTCCTTTTTATGACATATCCTTTAAAATTATTTTTGCCTTTAATTCCGTTTTGTTAGATATCAACATTGCTATTCATGCTTTCCTTTTTGTAGCATTTGTATGGCCTTTTTCCATCTCTTTATTTCAACTTTATTGTGCTGTTTTGTTTTAGGTGTTTCTAACTTTATGTAGCTGGGATTTAAATTTTTCGTTTGCACCATCTGAACATCTGAGTTTAACCCATTTGCAACTACAAATAATACTATGTTTGCCTATCTTCCCGTCTTATTTTCTACTTACCTTGATTTCTTTTAAAAAAAATAAGGTTTTTTCCTTATATTGTGAGCTATCTGTATAAATAATTGCGTAGCCACCACTCAGATTTCTATCATGATTTTTTGTCATTCTCCCCACCCTAGGGTAACTTTGAGTCTTTACTTTTTTTTTTTTCCTTTCTTTTTCTTTTTTTCTTGAGACAGGATCTCACTCTGTCTCCCAGGCTGGAATGCAATTACACCTAAATGTAACCTCGACTTCCCAGACTCAGGCGATCCTCTCACCTCAGCCTCCGAGTAGCAGCGGCTACAGGTATGTGCTACCATGCCTGGCTAATTTTTGTGTTTTTGTGTAGAAAAGGGGTCTTGCCACATTGCCCAGGCTGGTCTCAAATTTCCTGGGCTCAAGAAATTACTTATTTTTATCTTTTTAAGATCAAGAATCAAACATGGCACATAGCAAATCCCAGGCAAAACTCTAGAGTGAGATTATTTGGTATTTCCTTAGTTTTCTTTTCAGTGCTTTTCTCATCCTTCTAACTGCATCTTCCCATTGCTTTACCTACTCTGCCAGGTCTTCTCTCCAAACACACGTTTCCACCACACCCGTTCGTCTCGAAGGTCCCATTCTCAGCTAGTTTCTCTGCCTCAAAGTATCTGAAACTCATTCATGAAGAATTATTAATGAATAAAGGACTAGTTGGTGGTGGTATTTTACTGGAAGGCTCCTGAAGATAAACAAGACTTAGACCCAAAAGAATAAATCTAGGAGGGCCTTCATCAGCAAGACTGCTGGAGTTTGAGTTCCATTTCTGCCATCTATGAATAAGCATCTTATCTAACACCTCTATGCCTCAGTGTCCTTGCCTATGAAATGAGATAACAAAGAGCACCTCCCTCATAGGGCTGTTGTGAGTTAATATGTGTCAAGAGTCTAGAATCATGGCTAGCACATGGTAGGAGCTCAAGAGATGTCAGCGCTTACTGTTATCATTCTAATGGATGTAAAGAAATATTTCTTTATAGGGGTGACCTTGGTAGCTTTCTACTCAATCTTTCTGTGATGAATAGAAAAGACACCTGAATGGGCGCACATTTAAACAAGGAGCTGTTCTTATTCATGTTTGCATGGTGGCTCAGCGTCCACAGCACTTTGGACATAGCGACCACTCACTACATGTTGCTGAATGACAAAGGAAAAAAAAAAGGGACTAATACCTAGATTTCTAAAATGATGTAGAGGATAATGGGGAGAAGATAAGTTGAAATTTCCTATAGCCTTAGGCTACAGTGTACCACTGAGTAAAAAGTGCAATAATATACATTTTCTAAAAGTAACACTATAAAGCACAGGCATACATATCAGCCAGATAATATCTGTACAGCAAGGATACGCTCAAAAGAGGTGAACTCTCTACTGAAGAGCTGCTTATTTTGCCATTTAAAAAAAAGGGTCCTCTGGCAACATTTTCTTTAGTATCATGAATTTAAACTCAGTCTACATTATAAGACCTCTTCTCTGAAAACAAACAAAATTGGCTTATGTGAGAGGCAAGCTATTGGTTTGGTAAACAAAGATGTATATATCTTACAGAAAGATTACATTATTTTCTTATTTCATCTGTATGTATAACAAACAATTTTGCTTTATAAGAGTACCAAAAATCTCCAGTTAATTTAGTCCTTTATTTTTTTCATTCTCCATAGAATATTGGTTTTGTAACATCGAATACAATCCAATATATAACATTAAAACAATCCGATACATACCATTCTGCTTTATGAAAGATCAGCAAAAATACATAAACAAGGATATAACTAGTACATTTATAAAATACATCATAACAATGAAACCAAAGGATCCCACACAATAATCTTCACATTTGACATGCTGGTTACAGCTGAGGAGAGCCAGTGTCTTTGGCAAGTGATTCATATACATAAGCGATGACACTGACTAATCCTAACACTTCTGAAATGTTCATTCTTTACCAGTTAAACCTAAAATAAATCAGCAAGAGTACTGAAATATAACAAGAATGAAATCCAAAATTTGTCGAAAGGGGCAATGTTTAATACTAGGAAGAACACTGAATTTGGGGACTAATTCTTGTCCCCAAGTACATTTGGATTCTTGTCTTCGTTCCTGGATGATCTTAGGCAAGTAATCTGTGCTATGAATCCTTCACTTTTAAAATGAGAGAGTTGGTTGGCTGGTTCTCTAAGGTCTTTCTAGATTTTAACTTTCCATGATTTTAAAATCTTTGACACAGGCTTATTTTTGTGTTGTAAAATGAAATCTCTAACAATACTAACTTGGCAGTTGGGTGGAATCCAGTGCCACCCACACACATCTGCTCAAATAGTTCTTTATCTTCTGAGCCCCAAGACAGCCCAGTCCTCAAATTAACAATGATGGCAGGCTTCAGGAGGCTGATGGCTAGTTCTCCGCCAGACACAAATGCAAGATAGATAGTTTTAAAGCTCCTGAAGTCATGGTTATCAGAAGAAAAGCTATAAAGGAAGAACTACAGGGAAAACCTACAACACTCTCTTTGGAAAAATGACAAAATAACACATTTACTGATGCACTAACGGAAGAAGGTAGGTGCATATATTAACTATAACACATAATTAATTTTAACTGTTATTGGTGAATATGCACAAAATATACATACAAATTAGAACTTGATCAATAAATATAAATTCAAGGTCTAGATGCAAATGGGAAGCTCTCTGATGCTGGTAATTTGAACAAGAAGTTTATTGTACTTTCACATGTTTCTAATTCTATGGGAAGAAGTTGGGATTCCTTTTACTAATGTTGGCTTCTGCTCCATTATCTGTAAAGTCCACCTCTTTCACATAATCGCAGAAATTAAAGATGTCCAAGGCCCCTGTAGGGCATTTCATCCATGTCATACTCTTATCAGATGACTGTCTTTTTGTTCTGAAAGAGTGAATGAGTGGGTTTTCATCATCTCTCCATTTGAAAGTCAAGTAAGCTTTATCTCTTCGGATTCAAGGTCTAAATTTGTCCTTGTTTCTTCCTAATATTTTAATGTAATTCCTATGTCAATTGTATTTACACAATTTTTAATATTTAACTCTGATTTGCATTATAGAAATTAGTCCACTTCAATAAACATGAATGTGCAAAACAAAATTACTCTGGAAAAGTCAGGTTTTTTAAATAAACATTATCCTTTTATTAAATTACTAAAATGTTTCTCATATAACAGTAATGATTATTCTAAGCAACTGCATGAGCCTTGGAAGATTCTTCATCTCTAACACATGTTCCTCTTTCAGAAAATATCAAAACTCTCATTTCTCTGTTGTCCACCTTCCTCCTGAGGGGACTCAGGCCACACAGGGGGTCTCTTCTGACTGAGAATCCCTAATACTGAAGAAGTGGCATCACCAGTGATATGGTTTGGCTATGTCCCCACTGAAATTGCAACTTGAATTTATCTTCTGGAATTCCCACATGTTGTGGGAGGGACCCAGGGGGAGGTCATCGAATCAGGGGGGCCAGTCTTTCCTGTGCTATTCTCATGATAGTAAGTCTCATGAGATCTGATGGGTTTATCAGGGGTTTCCACTTTTGCTTCTTCTTCATTTTCTCTTGCCACCACCATGTACGAAGTGCTTTTCACCTCCCGCCATGATTCTGAGGCCTCCCCGGCCATGTGGAACTGTAAGTCCAATTAAACCTCTTTTTCTTCACAATCTTGAGGAATGTCTTTATCAGCAGTGTGAAAACAGACTAATACAGTAAACTGCTAACAGTAGAGTGGGGCATTGCTGAAAAGATAGCCAAAAATATGAAAGCAAGTTTGGAACTGGGTAACAGGCAGAGGTTGGAACAGTTTGAAGGGCTCAGAAGAAGACAGGAAAATGTGGGAAAGTTTGGAACTTCCTAGATACTTGCTGAATGGCTTTGCCCAAAATGCTGATAGCAATATTGACAATAAAATTCAGGCTGAGGTGGTCTCAGATGGAGATGAAAAACTTTTTGGGAACTGGAGTAAAGGTGACTCTTGCTGTGTTTTAGCAAAGAGACTGGCAGCATCTTTCCCTTGCCTTAGAGATTTGTGGAACTTCGAACTTGAGAGAGATGATTGTGAGACGTGGAGTCAAAGGTGATCATTTTGGAGGTTTAAAATTTGACTGCCCTGCTGAATTTTGGACTTGCATGGGCCCTGTTACCCTTTTGTGTTGGCCAATTTCTCCCATTTGGAATGGCTGTATTTACCCAATACCTGTACCCCCATTGTATCTAGGAAGTAACTAGTTTACTTTTGATTTTACAGGTTCATAAGTGGAAGGGACTTGCCTTGTCTCAGATGAAACTTTGGACTGCGGACTTTTGGGTTAATGCTGAAATGAGTTAAGACTTTGGGGGACTGTTGGGAAGGCATGATTGGTTTTGAAATGTGAGGACATGAGATTTGGAGGTGCCAGGGGTAGAATGATATGGTTTGGCTGTGTCCCCACTGAAATCTCAACTTAAATGGTATCTCTCAGAATTCCCATGTGTTGTGGGAGGGACCCGGGGGAGGTAATTGAATCATGGGGGCCAGTCTTTCCTGTGCTATTCTCGTGATAGTAAGTCTCACAAGATCTGATAGGTTTATTAGGGGTTTCCACTTTTGCTTCTTTCTCATTTTCTCTTGCTGCCGCCATGTAAGAAGTGCTTTTTGCCTCCCACCATGATTCTGAGGCCTCCCCAGTCATGTGGAACTGTAAGTCCAATTAAACCTCTTTTTCTTCCTGGTCTCAGGTATGTCTTTATCAGCAGCGTGAAAACAGACTAATACAACCAGATATATATTTTATTGCATTTTGCCTGTTTATAACCTATATTGCAAAACAATAGATTCATTTTTGCCTTCCCAAATATAAAACTATTTTAATATTGAATATGCTTTTTCAAACTCTACAGCCCCCTTCTCTCCCTCATTCCTTATGAGATTTTGATACACTTCTTAATGGGCAAGAGATCTTTTTCTTGAGAATCACTGAACCAAAACCCAATTTCTGAATTATTATTCAGGATAAAGTGCAATAACCATGACTGAAGAAACAGTATTCAATTAAAATACAGAAATTGTCAACTGAAAAATAGTGCATGACAGAATATCCAACACTGTATTGAATATTTTCTGATTATTAAACCAAATTACTTAAACCTTATACTTGAAAACTAATGCACATTGGTTTTTAAAATGACCTACTGAAACCACCATAAAATGTATCTTTTATACAGGTTAATTATAGTAACAAATCATATTGCTTTACATTGTTAAAATAATATTTTCTTCAATCATATGACCTACAAAATTATACCCTTATTTTCCACTGATTCTCATATTTAAAACCAGAATTTTTAGATTTTTCTAAATAAATTTTCATCAGTTTTGACTTCGCTTGCAACTTAGAGTTGAATCTATAAAGTACTGGATAAAAATTGCCTACTATGTAACAAATATTTCCCTGATGCCACAAGATTAAGATTTAATAGGAATATAAACTATTTCTATAAGTAATATTGTACTTCAGATGCCTTTATTTTTCCAAATGATGGGATGAAACTTCTGTATACTCTGAAACTAGAATGATAATATAAATACCCAGCCAGGCACGGTGGCTCATCCCTGTAATCCCAGCACTTTGGGAGGCCAAGGTGGGCGATATCCAGAAGCCAGAAGACCAGCCTGGGCAATATGGTAAAACCCCATCTCTACTAAAAACACAAAAATGAACCAGGCATGGTGGTGCACACCTGTAGTTCCAGCTACTTGGGAGGATGAGGCATGAGAATCACTGGAACCCAGGAGGTCAAGGCTGCAGTGAGCTGAGATCGCGCCACTGCACTCTAGCCTGGGTGACAGAGTAAGACAGAGTAAAAATATATATATGTATGCGTATACAGCTTTAAAAACAGTTTTGGAAAAAAATACAGGTGCTTATTTCCCAAGTTTAAAAGTGGATCTCCTGTGCCTAAGTTAAACAGCCTGAAAAGAGAAAACCAAAAAGGCCAACACCAGGACCCTGACTAAGGGCTTCATTAAAATATTCGAATGCTGTGGAAGTTTATTCCCACGCAAGGCACTTACTCCCAACAAGACACAACCGTTTAAAATTTTACAGCAGTGACACCAGGGAGGGGTCCCACTCCTATAGACGTCAGTATTCTGCATCGATATGCTTTGCAATGGTGTTCAACTGGATGTTGGAAGCTCCTTCATATATCGTACCTTAAGCAAAAGGAAGCAGAAGGAACAATGAGGAGTTGGCGCATGGTTAAGACAAGAAATAGCTCTATAAACATCACCTCTGCGCTTGCTATAAAACAGTTACTAGTCACATCACTTCATGTCCCCTGAATATGGTACTATTTCACAGTAATTTTGACTAAGAGATGACAATTTTCCATTTGGTTTCTCGATGTCCAGGATCAGTATTAAACTGACTAAAGGTGTAAACAAAAGTTGAAGATTTTGATTCTTCAACAATTGATGCATAAGCTCAGACTGTTATTTGTGGCAGTTTTACTAAAAAGCCTGTTGAGGCATTTAAAAAGGCAATTTGATATTTTTTAAAAATATAGAACAATTTTTTTTGAAGGACGAGGTAAGAAAAAAATCCAGCCACATAAATAGAGCCACCAAACATATACTGAAGAAATTAAAATTGCTTTTACCTAGGAAAAAAACGACAAATAAAACAGCCAAAATACCTACAGAGGCAAATAAAACAAAATAAAATGTAAAAAAAAAAAATCTATTTACCAATCTTTGCATCTCGGAAGTATTTCTCCACAGGGTAATCTTTGGTGTAGCCTACTCCCCCCATCCACTCGATACATTTACTCGTTGTTTGTCCTGCAATCTACCAAAAGCAAGTGCAAATCACACACTGAAACCACATAACTTATACATGATAAACACTTCTGGGTAACATTTTCAGCAACATGGATTTACTGTTAGTGGCACTGGAAGGACTAAAGTTATCTTCTAAACTAGCATTGTCTCTTCAGTCCCATTCTCCATACCATTTCTGTAAAACATCCTATTAATTCACAGAATCCCCATTTTCTTAAGAAATTAGAGCATTGTTCACATGAATCTGCATGCTGAGAGATATCATTTATTCAGGAAATGTTTACTGGGGGCCTAACGGACGAGCTAAGGGACATTTCAAGCTGAGGACCAACACGTCGAAATCCTCCAAGGGGAGAATGAGCTCTTCAACTTCCAGCCCCTGAGACAGCCAGTGGGCTGGGATCGGGGTGAAATGTGAAAAGAGAATGGAGGAGCGAGAGACCCTGCAGAATGGCCCCTCAAGGACGTCCACATCCTAGCCCTCAGAGCTGTGAATATGCTGCCTTCCATGGCAATAGGGACTCTGCAGATGTGGGTAAGGACACGAGATGGAGAGATTACCCTGAATTATCTGGGTGGCTGTGATATAATCACAGGGATCCTTATAAGGAAAAGGAGGAGGCAGGAGAGTTAGTCATGGAAGGTGACGTGACCATGGAGACAGGAAGCAGAGTCAGAGAGAGATCTGAACATGCCACATTGTTGGCTTTGAAGATGGAGGAAGGGGCTACGAGTCAAGGAATGTGAGCAGCCCCTAGAAGCTGGAAACAACTGTCTGCCAGAACCACAGAAAGGCAGCCCCTGTATTCCAGTGAGACCCATTTCAGATTTCTGACCTCTAGAAGTGACAGAAAATGAAACTGCGTTGTTTTAGGTCCCCGACTTTTTGGTAATTTGTTATAGCAGCAATTGGAATCTAGTACAGATAGAGCTCCATTTGTTGTGAGAAGCCACTGAAGGGTTAAAGCTGGAAGGTGACATGGCCTCACTGCCACTTTGAAAAAGGAGAGAGGCTGGATGGGAGGAAGCACCAGGGACCAGGAGGGCAGTGAGGTGACTGAAGTACAGAGGTGGCAGTGGAGAGGGAGACAAACACACCATTTAAGGAATCTTTTAGGGGTAGAATCATAGGAAATGATGCTGGACTCAATGTGGGGGGTGAGGGAAAGCAGGGTGCCAAGATGACGCTCAGGTTCTGATGGTGAAGCAGAAGTTGGACATGTTAGTCTGGAATTCAGAAAGAAGTTGAGGTAGGATATTTAATTTATGGGCTGGAGAGGTTAAATGAGAATTTAAAGCCATGGAATGAATAAGATACTGCTGAGGCTACGAAACAGCTGCCCAGTGATTTGGCTAAATTCTCTAGCCTCAGTCTAATGTGTTAGCTCTAGAAAGCAAATGTATGAGTAGAAAGTTTTAGACAATCTTTTCTTGGTGTTTTAAATCTGATTTGTTCACATGATGGACCCATCATCTTCCACGGCATTCACTTTGCCCGAACTTGACACCATAGGCATGACACCCTCATTCAGAGGAGGCTCAGCCATGGATTTGAGATGGGTGGTCTATCTGAGCTGGGCTACTCACGAAACATGGAGACCTCACAGAACTGAAGGTTTTCCTATGGCAGTTTGAGATGGGTGGTCTAGCTGAGCTGGGCTACTCAACGAAACATTGAGACCTCACAGAATTCAAGTGTTTTCCTATGGCAGTTTTCCTTTTTTGCTTTTCTATTATAAGAAATAAAAGTCCATGTTATCTTAACTTGAAAAACAACCAAAGTACAATCAACATTCCCAAGAGAAAATGTTAATAAGTATATATCTGAAAAAAAAAAGGCTGAATTACTTTTTCCTTTTTTTTTTTTTTTTTTTTTTTTACCTCTGATGCATAGTATTTGGCCATTGACGCTTCTTTTATGAATGGCTTTCCAGCTTCTAAAAGCCTAGCAGCATTGTATGTTAGTAATCTTGCAGCTTCCAGCTGGGTGGCCACGTGAGCCACTTGGTGTTGGAGGCCCTGTAACAGTCAGGCCCAAGTTAGAGAATTATGATTTCAAAAAAGCAAGCACCTCAACCTCAAAGTCCTGCCTAGATACACAACACTGACAGACTCAAAATACACCCCAAAGGAAATTTACATTCACGTCTTTTAAATACTTTAAAATGAGTAATCTAAAATGAAATGTGACACTATAAGTATTGTTAAATCCTCTTTTCCTAGAAAAACTTCAAAGTTCATGTAAGTCTTCATGATTTTCAAGATTTAAATAGTAAAGTATAACAAAGTTAGGTTTAAAAACTTGACTGTTATATTTAATAATTATTTCAACTCTCTTTTGATCAAAATTGAGCTTAAATGAAATCCTGGCACAGCAAAACTTTGAATATATTCTTTATTTGCTTGAGTTAAGAAAATTTTGATTTTTCATATGGCTTCCAGGCATTAAAAAATGTTAGCTACAAAGTAATGAAGAATATTTGAAGCACCAATTACTACCACCCTGAAATTTTAGAGGGTGATTAGGTCCATACTAAATGTTTGCCAATGAAAGAAACAACAGTTAACTTAGTGAGCCAGAATACAAACATTAACATTTATAAACAATTTCCTGCAAATAACAGGCACAGATGTTTACTACAAACTGAAATGTTTCTCATGCCTAACCTATCCATCCACCCAGATAGTTATTGGGCACCTCTGAGATGGCAGGCACCGCCCTGAGTGACAGAGGCAGCACACTGAACATTACAGCCAGAGTTCCTTGTTCTCATGATTTATAATACATAGTCCAGCAGGAAGAACAGACAATTAAATAATTATAATAATGTGTGATGAATATTAAGACAGTGAACCTTGATTAAGTCAATCACACACGAATCCCAGGAATGGCCTTTCTTAAACAAAAGGGAGGGAAAAGTTGGAGAAAAACAGCACTGTTTGTTAATACCCTACAGATTCTTCTCTTTCTCTTTCTGAAATATGTGATACACACAACAATTTCGTATGTACAAAAAGAGACGATGTTCCGTATATGTAGGCTATAAAGCATAATAGTAAGTTAAACACCCACAAACCTATGTGCAGAGTCAATATCTTCTCCCCTGTGATTTATCTTTTCACTTTATGGTATATTTCAAGGAAAAAAACTTACCAATCTTACCACCCATCTTATCTTTAGGATTAGTCCTTTTTGTGTCTGTTTACAAAAACCTTTCCTACCATGAGGTTATAAAGATATTCTCTGTTTTCTCCTAAAATCTTTAAAGTTTTGCTTTTAAGATCACGTCTTTACATCTGACATCTATTTTGTATGTATGGTGTGAGGTAGGAATACAGTTTCATTATTTTCTCACGTAGAAAGAATGTTCCCACTCAGTGATCTGTAATGCCATTTCTATCATACATCAAATCTGCTGCATGCATGGGTCTATTTCTGGCTTTTCTGTTTTGTTCCATCAGTGAATTTGTCTGTTTCTATACAAGTATCACTGTTCTAGGAATTTGGCTTTTTATGTGGAACTCAGAGATTCTGATTATTTTTGCAAACTACATTCAGTTCAATTAAACTTACAGTCACCATCCATGCTGTCTATTCCCTTTGCCACATTAAGTACTGAGAGAGGCAGGAAAGTGACTGAGGCATGTCTCCTCCTCTACAAGAACTCACCATTGCTGAATACTCGTTCCCTAACTACATTGTGAACACAAGGCCTGGCATGGAGAACATGCTAAATAAATCTATACTGAATAAACAATTGAAATTAATAAAGATGAATAGGCTGGTCTCTACCCTCAAGGACCATGTAGTCTTGAGGTCAGAAAGATATGAACGAATGCATGCAAAGCAAACATAAGATAATGTGTTAGAAAAAACTCCACTAACTTTAATCAAAGCATTATACAGCTATAATAATGTTGCTTTTTAAGATCAAAATTTCTTCTCCTTGATGTGCTTATTTCACATAGCATGTCTCTATCAAAACATCTCATGTACTTCATAAATGTTTATGGGTACCTGTGTACCCACAAAATTTTTAAAAAATAAATTAGGCTGGGCGCAGTGGCTCACGCCTGTAATCCCAGCACTTTGGGAGGCCGAAGCGGGCAGATCACGAGGTCAGGAGATCAAGACCACGGTTAAACCCCGTCTCTACTACAAATACAAAAAATTAGCTGGGCGTGGTGGCGGGTGCCTGTAGTCCCAGCTACTCAGGAGCCTGAGGCAGGAGAATGGTGTGAACCTGGGAGGCAGAGCTTGCAGTGAGCCAAGATAGCGCCCCTGCACTCCAGCCTGGGTGACAGAGCGAGACTCTGTCTCAAAATAAATAAATAAAAATAAATAAATAAATAAATACATAAATTTTAAAAATCTAAGTGTTCTTCTAACTATCCATACTAGGCATCTCTAAAGATGTCATTATGATTATACCTGTTAGTATACCTGACCCCTTCTGTCTATTGATCTATCTATCTATATGCACAAGAACATAGTTTCCTGTGCATAAAGAAGATCAAAAGCCTCCCTTCAAAACAACCTTTACATTCTGTCTCTTTCACTGCAATCTTTGTGGTAGCTGGCTGAGAAAGTACTCTAGTATAATGAAAATTCGACTAGAAGCCAAGACAAAAAAAAAACCTCTACTTTTGGCCCCATATTAGCTTTATGACCTTGGGAACTCAGCCTCCGTGTGCTTCAGGTTCCTAGGCATAAGATGGGAATGACAGCATGGGCTGTGGTAGGCACTGGCCAGGCCTGCCACTCTCAGTCCTTCTGGGTCTTGAACTGACTGTGCATGTCCACAGCCTCGTATCTCTACACATGTGCAATCTGAGTGTGCTCGTAGGATGCCTAGTCATTATTATAAACCTGAAGACAATGCAACATGCAGTTGGCAATGCAATCATAAATTGTACTTGGAGCCCAGAGCTGCTTAAGGGGAGGTTTTGCAACCATGTAAAGTAATTATTCTGGAATTTTAGGTGACATGCCTTCAGGTTGCCTAAAAGGTTTGGTAAGCTGCCACTCCAGGCTGCCCCCACCCTGGCAAGATCTCAAGGAGGGCAGGAAGAATACCACTGCCACCAAGGAATCCCCAGATTGCCTGGTGAGCTCTGAGAAGCCACAGCACTGGACCAAATCAGTATTACCCAAGTGCTTGGCTGACTGCACCTCATTTGTATTTAATGCAGCAAACTGTATCTTCCATGAGACGTAGGTGTCAAAGTACAGTCCTCTGAGGATTACCACATGGTTCTGGTCTGAATAGGGGACCCATAACAAGTGTTACCATTTACTGAGCACATGCTATACCAATGCAGTGTGTGAAACACTTTACACATACCTCATTTAAACCGGGGTAAGTAAGTAGTTTTACCTTTATTTTACAGATGAGGCAGTTTAAGACTAGAATGAGGTCACTTGCCTAAGGCCTAAAGCTGGTAAGTGAAAGAACCAGGATTTGAATCCAGGAAGTCTGACTCCAGACCCCCTGCCCTGAGCTTCTGAAGCAGTGAGGAGACAGCTTCACGGTGCTCACCGAGATATCCTGAATCATGCCATAGCTGGGCCTCAAGGACTACTGCTCTGCCCTTGGCAAAGATCAAGGCATTCACAAGTACACTCCCTGAGACCTATTCTTTCCTCCCCTACCCATCTCCCATTAAAATCCCCCTGAAGGGATTCCCTCCATGGATTTCAACACAGCCCTTCATTAACAGGAAGCTGGGGAAGTCTAACACAGCAGAAAGACCCTAATAATTACATACCTGAAAATCAAATAGTCTTTTGCCAAATTGTATCCTTTCTTTAATATATGGAATAGTGTAGTCAAAACATCCTTGCGCCAGTCCCAGCATCTGTTAAAACAAAAAAATAAGATCAGAATTTCTTATTTTGTTATAAGTTTAATTATCCAAGTTGTGAATTCCCTCTAAACATAAATTGAATGATTGGGGCAGGGGAAGAACTGGAGATGCTGAGGTGGTGAGGTGTGTGTTAATAACACATCCTCACCCACCGCATTTGTAGAACTGAACTTCCAATAATTGGGAGAAAATTTTGAGTGATTTCATGTGAATATGAGCACATTTAATTCTAGCAGAGGTAAATCTCCCAGCAAGGCTGTGTTCACACAACCTTTTTAGGTTAAGATTACTCTTTAGGAATCTTCCTTAAGCTTTGATTCTCCAGGTATAAAATGAGCCATAGAAGTTTTGCTCAGAACTGGCCTTGAAGGCTATAGAGGAAGGCCCTCCAGTTCTTCTAGAAGTAAAATATGGAAGGTCACTTCTTAACTTTCTACCTTTCCGTCTATTTTGTATATGATTAGGATTAATGAGAGCTTCAATGGGAGGGCATTAGAACATAAGAGAGCAGTGGTTCTGAATCCGAGCTGTACCATAGAATCATTTGGGGAATCTGATTTAAAACAATACTGATACCCAGGCCTAATGACTGAATCCAAATCTTGGGAGTAGAGTAGGTGAAGGAGTGTGACCTAAACCTCAACTCTGTAAAACTCCTTAGTGACTTAATACACAGCTAGGGTTGAGAACAATGGATAGAAAGCATCTAGTAAAAACATTAATTTACACAGGACGTGGTGACAATTTTAGCTGAACTGTCTCACTGCTAACCAACTTTCATATCTATTATATGATTCAAGCTTAGAAATCGTTTCTAAATTTCAACATTAGGTAGCCACTAAATCAGTAATTATGTCAAATTATGGTTTTAGAAAATCAATAGCTAAAGCTTTTGGGGGAAATGCCCAGCAGACTTATCAATTTATTTCATTAGTATTCATTCACATTTTCTTTTAGTCTTTTATTCTGAACTCTCTAGAGAACAGAATAATATGTTAAAAATTAAAGGCACAAGAAAACCACAAACCCCAAATTCAAATGAGGCAGCAGACTCACTGCACTCTTGGCTGTGAGATAAGATGATGTCACTATACCCTTACAGCTAAAATTTGTACATAAATAATACCCTATATTGACACGAAGACTGAAATAATCAGTTATCCATCAAAATGGGCTTTTCTACCTCAGTAAAATGTTTCTACTACAAACACTGAAAAACTGAATTCTCTCTGCCTGCAAGGTTTCGAGGACAGATGCCTTCAGTTCACTGTTATACTCCGTGTGCCTCTTCCTCTCAAAGGTATCCACTGAGATAGTAACTACCTGATCTTAACTTTTAATTAGGTTATTATATAACTTGGAGTAATTAAACTGAAGCCCAGGCTGTGTATTTTATTGCCAGAACATCTATATTATTTATATGTCTGAAAAAAATGAGCTCTAGTATTGCAGTTTCTAATGTCATGTCTAAGTTGAATCACAGAAAAACTTTTAAGAGAACTGATAAAACAATATTCTTTAGTGACACACTGTCAAGCATTGTAGGAAAACTAGACTAAGTTTTGGTCTAAAAATAGTTAGCAAAGTAACAGCAGCAGAAAAAAATCTAGAGTAATAATCTAATATTTATTCCAATAGCTTATATGTAACATCTTCAAAACTGAAAAGCTCTAAGTTCTTGAGTTTTGTATAATCACTGATTAAAAATATACTCTACAAACGCCGGGCGCGGTGGCTCACGCCTGTAATCCCAGCACTTTGGGAGGCCGAGGCGGGTGGATCACGAGGTCAGGAGATTGAGACCATCCTGGCTAACATGGTGAAACCTCATCTCTACTAAAAATACAAAAAAAATTGGCTGGGCGTGGTGGCGGGCGCCTGTAGTCCCAGCTACTCGGGAGGCTGAGGCAGGAGAATGGCATGAACCCAGGAGGCGGAGCTTGCAGTGAGCCGAGATCGCACCACTGCACTCCGGCCTGGGCAACAGAGCAAGACTCCATCTCAAAAAAAAAAAAAAAAAAAAAAAAATATATATATATATATATATATATATATATATATATATATACACTCTACAAAACTGACACTAAAGTAAAGCCAAAGACCTTATTCATTTTGTTAATCTGGAAAATAACTGATATTACTTAATAGAAAAATGCAATATGCATTATAAAAGCCAAATTTGGTAAAAAAAAATTTTGAATAGTTCTCATTTTATGTATCTACTTAACTGTGGCTATTTTATTTCATGTGCCGCCAAAAAACTTGCCCAGTTTTCACATGCAAAACAGTAAGCAACAAATCTTTTATTAACTATAGATATCTTTACTACACAGTGGAAGGAATATTATTTATTCTTAATGTAAAAAATTCCTTCCAGAATGAATTTCATGCTTTGAAAAGTTGATTTTTTTTAAAGTGCCATATTTAATTTACAATACATTTGAAAAGCTATCGGTTCAGGTATTAGATAATACTTTAATGTTCTCAAAGCAGAAACACTGTTACCACCAAGCCATTGTTTGGTTCTATGGACACTTACATAATTGACCAAAAGGGAATTTGAAAGAAATAATAAGCCATTCTATCCCTCATGTAAGGGAACGGTGCCATCTTGTGTCCATAAGCTTCCAAATATTCATTGGTCTCATTGCATTTTTTTCTTTTCACAGTTTAATTGACTCACATCATGGAAGAGTTTAAATCTGACTTACCTGTGCAGCAATTCCTATTCTACCTTCATTGAGACTCCCTATGGCATACTTATAGCCATGTCCAATTTGTCCCAAGATATTGGCTTCTGGAACCTGAAAATACAAATGTGCACTTATTTCTCAGTTTCATTTTCCATGATTCATTTTGATTATATATTTGTAAGTACACATAGACTCTCAATTCGTGTGCTAGCCCTCTCACAGAACTTGCCGGCATCTGTGTCTCCCTCTACGCTGTTTTTCCACAGCTCTCTGAGGAAAAGGACTCAAGTCCATGCTGTTCATGATTGCATCCTCCAGAGCCTTGCACAGGTATTGAATGGATGAGTGAATCTAGAGTAAGGGAATCTCATAGAATTCATCAATAACATAAATTAATACTTTTCCCCCCCAATTCTTATCTGTAGGCTACAGTGTGAGATAACATATTAGGAACTACAAAGATCTGCAAATACTTGCAAAAACAAGTGTAGTAAGCCTTTCTGCTGTTGAGACCATTCACCCTCATAAAAATCAACGGTGGGGTATATGTGTGTGTGCATGTGTGTACACAGGTGTATGCACAAGAAAGAGGAAGAGAGAAGAAACAGACTAAAATGCTTATTCATACTTTAAAAAAATAAAGAATTAAGAATAATAAAAAACTATACTTAGTTTTGTAATATGGGTAGTTGGGGGAGAGAGCAGGGAAGAATGGAGAAAGAAATGGGAAAGTAAGAATGAGGAAAACAGTTGGGGTGAAGTAATGAGGCCCCAGTGACATCTGTAAAGACATCCTCCCCCTCACTCCCCACAGCCATGCAAAAAAAAGATCAAGCTCTGTGATGAGTGGTGGAAAAGCCGACACCACCTGCCCCACCTACAGGGAGTTCTCCAGCATCAGCACTAACTATCTGGATCTTCTGCTGCTCACGTTTAATAGCCTGGCTGTTTCCGCTCTCACTGAGCAACACCCCCATCTTGTGGCCTTTAGTGCACTGACACCAGACTTCCTTCTCTGCGGCCCCATTTGGTTCACAAGTCTCAAGCTTATAAAGTATACGTGGTCAGAAGCACATAAGTTATAAAACATAAATGGGATGAATTCTTGGCACTTGCTTCCCAGGACAGCTTCTTGGCAGAAAGGTTTCCACTTTTGTGAAAAGTACATTTATCTGGTCATGACTAAAGAGCGCTGTTCAGGGTTTTACAAAATACTCTCCTGCGTGTGCTTATAGCCACTTAGTATTTTGACACCTGTCTTGCACACCTCCTGTGGTTCCATGCAAGGCTTATTTCGCATCAGTCTTTTACTGATTAGTCTACGATACCCACCTTGACATTTTCGAATGTTAACGGGCAGGTGGAAGAAGCTCTGAGCCCCAATTTGTTTTCAGGTTTCCCTATATGAAGGCCCGGAGTATCACGATCTACTAAGAAGGAGGTAATTCCCTTATATCCCTAAAAAGAAGAATTAAAACGCTATTACCACTTGGATTTATAAAACGCCTTGTTTCTGAAGAGTTTAAGTAAAAAGAAAACTAAAAATGGACTTTGGTAATAAATACTAATGGACTCAGAATTGCAACATGGGCATTATGAAACGAGAGCAGCTAGAGGACATTAGATCCAAACTATAGAACCTTACCATTTGTTTCACTTTTTCAGAGACCATCATAAATATTAAAATTATTATTACACTATTATATAATCATGAGAATGTCATGTTCTCAATTTAATTTTACTATATAAAGTTTTAGGCCAGGTGCGGTGGCTCATGCCTGTAATCCCAGCACTTTCGGAGGCTGAGTCGGGCGGATTACCTGAGGTCAGGGGTTTGAAACCAGCCTGGCCAACATGGTGAAAAAACGTCTCTACTAAAAATACAAAAATTAGCTGGGTGTGGTGGCAGGCACCCGTCAGGAGGCTGAAGCAGGAGAATTGCTTGAACCCAGAAGGCGGAGGTTGCAGTGAGCTGGGATCACAGCCTTGCACTCCAGTCTAGGCAACTAGAGCGAAACTCCGTCTCAAAAAAAAAAAAAAAAAAAAGTTTTAACAATTTAATTCAATTGTTACATTAGTGAAAATACTGTATTTACTGGTGAAAAAATGTATTTATTATTTTGCTATATGTCTATTTTCCAACTGAATAAAATATTCTTAAAAATAAATGTACTAAATAGGTACTTAAATTCTTCATTACTAAACAGAAATTGGAAATTCAACAAAATTAAAGATTAGGGCCAGGTGCAGTGGTTCACGCCTATAATCCCAGCAATTTGGGAGGCCGAGGCAGGCAGATCATCCGACGTCAGGAGTTTGAGACCAGCCTGGCCAACATGGCGAAACTCTGTCTCTACAAAAAATGCAAAAATTAGCTGTGCGTGGTGGTGCACACCTGTAGTCTCATATACTTGGGAGGCTGAGGCAGGAGAATCGCTTGAACTCAGGAGGAGGAGGTTGCAGTGAGGTGAGATCACACCACTGCACTCCAGCCTAGGAGATACAGCGAGACTCCATATTAAAAAAAAAAAAAAAAAGAAAAGAAAAAAGATTAGCTTCCTACATAACCCATTAGGAGCTAAGTAACAGTTGGTCCTCCACAAACAGTCATCCCTCCATATCTGTGGCGGAGTGGTTCCAGGACCCCCATGGATACCAAAATCTGACAGTGCTCAAGTACCTTACATAAAATGGTGTAATATTTGCATATAACCTATGCACATGCTCCGGTAGACTCTAAATCATCTCTAGATTATCTGATACCTAACATAATACATGCATGTCACTTTATTCACGTGAATTCAATATGGTAGTTGGCACAAAGCAAATTCAAGTTTTACTTTTTGGAACTTTGCAGAATTTTTTTTTAATCAAATATTTTCAATCCAGAGTTGGTTGAATCCACAGATATGGTGGGCCAATTCTAATTAATAATTTTGTCAACAATATTTACTTTAGGAGATTAACGAAGTGAAAAAATGCCAGCTCAAGTCTGACATTTTCAGTACTGAGAAGACTAAAGAGTTCAAGATGAAGTCCTAAAAAGGAAACAGAAGGAGGAAAAGATAAAGAAAGAGAAAAGAAGGGGTTTGGAAAAAGAAAGAAATTTCGTTTTCAAACTTACAATGGTAGGGTCTACATTTGCCATCACCAGAAAGAGCCCTGCGTGCTCAGCACTGCTGATCCACATCTTTGATCCATTGAGGACATAATAATCTCCCTCTTTATCAGCTCTGGTCTTCAAAGCAAATGAGTCACTACCTGCTCCAGCCTCTGAAAGGCAGAAACTTCCTACCTACATATGGGAGAAAAAAATGTCCAAATTAATAACTGTATTTATACTCTGTATAACAAATACTTATGGAAAAATGGACATTTGTAAATCAAATCTTTAGCTGCTTTTTTAAAAAGCCTATATTTATGAAAATAGCAATGGTATTCTGAAAGTATTATTTTCCAAAAAATATACCCTATTTGTCCAAGACAAATTTAAAGACTCACGAACACATACTCATTGAAATTGATTTGAATAATTACAGCAGAAAGACATCACAACGTAAATGAAACCATCAACAAACGTATTAGAAAATATAATCAGGACAAAAAGAAATAATTTTATTATCTGATGATTATTTTCTAAATTTCCAACTGGCAAATAAGAGGTAGAGTGTACTTTTCCAGCAGCATTAATTTATCAAGCATTGCTTGAATTAATGATACCGCATTGTGGTCTTGGATAGTAAAGTCGACATTGCAGCTACTTTTTTCCTGAAAATATTGTAAACTTACTAAAGATTAGATCCATTAGATCAACAATTCATCTCAACTCACTTTTTCTGTAGTGAGCTGAGGCAAATAGGTGGCCTTTTGTTCTTCTGTTCCATGTTTTCTAATCAGTGTGTTAATTAATGTGTTCTGGATCTCACAAAAGACAGCCACAGATGCATCAACTTTGGCTAATTCCTCTATCACGAGCACAGTGGATAAAAATGAAGCTCCTGTGCCTCCATATTCTGGGTCAACTTCAATACCCATCAACTAAAGAAAAAACAAGGCAACATAGATTAAGAAAGCTATTTTTATATGGGGAAATTTCTTGCATGAACAAGTTAAAAAATAAACTGTAACCATATTTATTATTATTATTTTTTTTTTGAGACAGTCTTGCTCCGTCTCCCAGGCTGGAGTGCAATGGCGCAATCTCAGCTCACTGCAACCTCCACCTCCTGGGTTCAAGCAATTCTCCTGCCTCAGCCTCCCAAGTCACTGGGATTACAGGTGCCCACCATCACACCCAGCTAATTTTTTTTTTTTTTTTTTAGTAGAGATGGGGTTTCGCCATGTTGGCCAGTCTGGTCTCGAACCCCTGACCTCAGGTGATCCACCCACCTCAACCTCTCAAAGTGTTGGGATTACAGGCGTGAGCGACTGTACCCAGCCACCATAATTATTCTTAATTTTAAAATTTTGTATTTATATTTTATTTTAATTTGGTATAGCAATTTTGCCATAAGTAACAAAAAAATCTGTAACAGAAACTGTATATTTGAAAAGGATAAAATTATATGCTATCATTTGCTTCCTTTTGGGATTCAAAAAATAATGAGAGGTAAAATGCTTTAAAGGGTAGCTTAATGGAATGAGAAAATATCTTATATACTTAGATGACCTTTCTTGCTAAGAACTGTTGTTGCCTGCTTAAAGCAGGTAGGTGGGGTTTTGATTTTTCAACATGCCCTACCCACCTTATGCTGATTTCAATGTAATAAGGAAACAGAAGAAAATAACCTACTCCTCAATGGGATGTCTATAGTTTCATTTGGCAAAGTTTCTTCTAGTCAGGCTCTTTCACCTTGACTTTTTCAGCCAAGTTAATAATTGAATGACCATTCCTTTTACGCCACTTCATAAGTTCAGGATGGTTAGCAGAGAACATGTGGTGGTGTTTGCTAGAGCCACACTAGCCAAAGCACGAGGGCCTGGTAAACACGACCAGTGCCAGCCAAGCCTTTCCAACGACCCAGTTCCATCGTTACTGAAACTCACATAGTACTCTCAATTTCACAAAGAGAATGTGTGCATGTGTAATTCAAAACCCACAGCTGCTAACAGAAGGATAATTCTCTTAGTCTCTCTCTAGACATTCCTGGAGTCACACTATGCTGCAGTCAGGGCTGTGGCTGTTACATTTTGGGCTACAACAGGAAAAGGGAACCAGAAATGCGAGCGACTGAATGGTGAGAAAACCAGAAACGAGGAAGAACGGAAGGATCTGGGTTTGCCTGAGAACTGAGGAGGGCACTCCGGAAACCTCATTACAATGACTCGAACAGATATCAGAGACATTGCTTCTCTAAAAAAGTCACTAATCTCTCCCAACGTGGAAATAGTGTTTTTGCAAGCCATTATGCCAAAAACCCAGGACAATGGGAGTGAGGAGGCAGGTGAGGCTGCATCTGCACAGGAGTGGTTTGTGGAGATGAGTAGCAGGGTGCAGGCAATGCATCACTCTGCAGACAGCCCCGCTGCAGGAACGACCACCGCGGGGGAGATCTCACACTGTGAAACCGTGAGACTGCTCCCAGAAGCCTAGAGGGTCTGCAAGCAATAGAAATAAAACCTGGCTGAGAAATGGACTCACAGAGTCCATCTGTTCTCCACATCGGCCTCCTGTTTGACCACTATGGTTCCACATAAGATTCCAGTTTCCTAAGAGTTTGACTGCTAAAAGAAAGATGGAAGAATCACTACTACACACGGTATAAAAAAGCTGGTTGCTTTAAAACAGAAATAAATAAAACTATCTAGCTAAGTGGCAATGGTTATTTTTCAAACCAGATGGCAGACAAGATTTAGGCCAATGGCTCTGAATAGCAGCCACTTGTTCTGGGACATCTTTAGTATTAAAAATTAAAAAAAATATATTTTATACCTCTGCGGAAGTGAGAAATGATGCGTGCAGTGATTTTTAAAATGTTCTTCTAGAAGCCCCTATGCTAATAGCCCCTCCCCCTACTCACAGTGAGAGCGGTTTTACTTGTATCTATTTCATACGTTGTATTTCCATTAAAGAGCTATGTGACTTGAGAAGATGGGAATCTGTTGCCCGGTTTATGTGGAATTCATGTATCACCTCTGCTTCTAAGTTTATCACTTATATAGAGCTTCAGGTAGAATATAAACTATGCTATGAAGTTTCACTATCTAAAGTAGGGTTTCTTCATGGTGGCATTGGGTTGGATAATTCTTTGTTGTGGCAGTTGTCCTGTGCACTACAGGATGTTGAGTGGCATCCCTTGTCTCTATCCCACTAGATGCCAGTAGCACGCCTTAGCTGTGGCAACCAAAGATGTCCCTAGACGTTGCCCAATGTCCCCTGGAGGGCAAAACTGCCCCCATTTGAGAACCGCTGGTCTAAAGATACAAATAAATTACCATCTTACTTCCAAACTTTTCCTTAAAATATACAGTATTTCAAATTAAAAAATGTTAATTCCATTTTTAAGAACTTTTAAGTACATAAATATCAAGTAGGATTTCAACCAAAAAAAGAAAACAGATAATTTTGACTGGGAAATGCAGGGTTCATTATGCTATCATTACAGTCCCTGAATTTAATTATAGAAGCTTGAAAGTGGAAGAATTATGAAATGTACCCCTTGTTGAAATAATCCTTGTATTACTGATTTCTCCATTTTCGAATTTTCATCCATGGTTGAAACCAAAGGTGCAATTTGTTCCTGAGCAAATTTTTTAACTGTAGGAAAAAGAATTACTGATAAGTCTATGTTAAAGTGACAGTCACATTAATAGTTTGCTGACAAAATTTTACATTTTAACTAAGTTAAAATATACACAGGTACCCTTCTTATATTTTTAAAATAGAATTTATAAAGTTTTCTTTTTAACATAGAAAGGTGTAGTTTCCCATATCCCTTTGTAACTCTTGATGACCTCACAAAATAAATGATATGTGTAGATGGTGCAAAAACACAAGCAATAAAGAAAGCACAAAATGAAAAATGAAAGCCATTTCCACTCTACCCAAAGGTGACTAATTTTAAATTTATTATGTATTCTTTCTGAAAACTTTTCTTTGAAAATCATCTATACTTAACTGTACACATACATGTTCACACAAAGGAATCATGAGATACACACTGGTGTGTGCCTTGCTTCCCCTCAACTATATCTTGATGATCTTTCTATGTCAGCATATCCCATCTAACCTGGTCGTTTTCATAGCTGCTTGGTCATACAGAACAGGGTTTCCCCACCTTGGCACTATTGACATTTTGGGGCAGGTGAGTCTTTGTTGTGGGGCTGTCCTGTGCATTGCAGGATGTTGAGCAGCAGCCCGGCCACGGCCCCACTAGCTGCCAGGAGCGTCCCCTACTTCTAAGTTGTGGCAATCAAAAATGTCTCTAAATGTTGCTAAATGTCCGCTGGGGGCAAACTTGCCCCCACTGAAAACCGCTGTTTCATTTTTTAATGTTTTTAAGACTTAGATGCATTTATAAATCATTTTGATGAAAACACCTTCTTAAGTTTACTACCAATGTAATACCAAGTCGGTAGAGAAGGCAACCGGGTTCAGTGCATGTGGCTTGCTTCAGTATTCCTTCGTTTCTGCACACGCGACTCTCATTATGTAGAATCTCTTCCCTTCCCTTGTCCAGCTGGCCAACTGCACTTTGTCCTTCATGGTACAGCTCAAGCTCCACACTCTCTGGGAAGCCTTTCCTGACTGCTTCCTTAGCCCACTTCTGCCACGCCTAGCAAAGTCTAGGTGTTCTCTGCTTTGTTCCCCAAATACCTCCATGACATTTACCATGTTATTCTGAAACTATTTCCTTTATTCGACTGTCTTTGCCACTAGATTCTGAGTTCCTTAAAAGCAGTGATTTTTTTCTTGCCCATCTTTATTGCTTCTGTGCTTAGACTAGGTGGATACTAAAGAAATAAATAAGACTGAAGACAGAGAATCAAGATACTCTAAGCAAATTCTTTGATTTATGTAAACTAACCACTCACTCTTGTTTTTCCTTAGCTATCCCAAACTCACTTCCCTGAGACCATATCTAAAAGGCGAGGGAGCAAAGGAAAAGAAATTTACTAGCTGGGCGCAGTGGCTCATGCCTGTAATCCCAACACTTTGAGAGGCCGAGGTTGGTGGATCACCTGAGGTCAGGAGTTCGAGACCAGCCTGGCTAACATGGTGAAACCCTATGTCTACTAAAAGTACAAAATTAGCTGGGCGTGGTGGCACACGCCTGTAATCTCAGCTACTTGGGAGGCTGAGGCAGGAGAATTGCTTGAACCCAGGAGGCAGAGGTTGCAGTGAGCCGAGATAGTGCCATTGCATTCCAACATGGGCAAAAAGAGCAAAACTCCCTTTCAAAAAAAAAAGAAAGAAAAGAAATTTACTTATTGTGACAGAGTTCTAAGACAGTGCCAAGATTCCCAGCCGCTGGTGTATACATGTCCTCTCTCAGTTATTCAAACATGAATCTAAGTGCTGCTGTGAAGGGATTTTACAATTAAGCTTCCAAATCAGCTGAACTTAAAACATGGAGATTGGTGGGCCTGACCTAATCAGGTGAGCCCTTAAAAAAGGTGGGGCTCTTTCTGGTGAAACAGGTTTTAAGGATGAGAGAGACTCGATGCTGGGAGGGAGAGTTACTGGTTTTGAAGATGGAGGGAGCCACATGGCAAGGAATACAGAGGCCTCCAGGAGTTGGGGACAACCTCTGGCTGACAGCCAGCTGGGCAACAAGACCTCAGCCCTGCAACAGCAAAGAACTGCGTACTGACACAACCACGGGAGCTTGGAAGGACCCTGAGCTCTGGACGAAAACACAGCCCAACTGACACACTGATGTTGACCTTCTGAGACCCTGCGCCTGGACTTGCTCCAGCTGGACTTCTGGCCTACAGAACTGTGAGCCACTACACCGGTGCTGTTTTAACTTGTTAAGTTTGTAGTGATTCAATACCAAGCAATAGAAAACGAATACACTTAACATCCATATTCTCTAAGAACAACATTCTGATGTTCTGCTATGGATTTTTAAATATATCATAATTTTACACCTATATCTATACCCATAAATAAATGAATGCAAACTGCTTTAAGGTTTAGTGGTATACAACTTCTGCTTCATTTGGGCTCCGTGTTTCAACCACAGGTGTTTCATAGATAAAGGTAAAATTGAAATTCCACGTAAAGTATGAAAACCCACTATCTAGGCTGGGCATGGTGGCTCACGCCTGTAATCCCAGCACTTTGGGAGGCCAAGGAGGGCAGATCATGAGGTCAGGAGATCGAGACCATCCTGACTAACACGGTGAAACCACGTCTGTACTAAAAAACAAAATACAAAAAAACTAGCCAGGCGTGGTGGCACGTGCCTGTAGTCCCAGCTACTCAGGAGGCTGAGGCAGGAGAATTGCTTGAACCCAGGAGGCAAAGGTTGCTGTGAGCCGAGATTGCGCCACTGCACTCCAGCCTGGGTGTCAGAGTGAGACTCCATCTCAAAAAAAAAAAGAAAAAAAAGAAAGAAAGAAAGAAAAAGAAAACCCACTATCTAAAGAAAAGTGGAATATAAATGTACTTCTAACTCTGCAAGGCTATATAAGAAACTGGTAACAAGGTGGCAAGAACTGGGGAACTAGAGAACATGGGTGGGAGAGTCTTCACTTTTAACTACATAGCCTTTTATTCTGTTGTTTTAATATTGGATATGCATTGCTTTTCTTCATCACAAATTTAGATGAACATATCTTTCAATCCTGTCATATGTGACTTCATATTGTAGACCCAATTCATGACCAGAGGAATAATAAGGTGATATTTTTCCAGCTATTCAGGAGGCTGAAGCAGGATAGCTTGAGCCCAGAGGTGGGGCTGCAGTGAGCCATGATTGCACCACTATGCTCCAGAGATCCTGTCTGGGGAGAAAAAGGTGACACTGATAAATTTACTTACCTGAACTCTTTATCATCATTTCCTCATCTGTAAATGTTTGCAGGGGAGCAAAGTGTATTCCATTATTTGTTATATTGAGTAGAGCTTCTGACTGGGAAGATTTTGAGACATGAGGAGGAATCTTCCAAGAAGACAAACAAGTCAGGAAATTTCTTCTTAGCTGTAGGGAACATACACACATGAAAGAAAGGTACTTGAATATCATTTTCTTTGGGAATGACTTTATAACCCATTCTTATATTTCATGTCACCAAAATAAGGAAACTTAACCTAGCGCATTTTTAAATTCAGTCTTTTAAACATAACACAAATTAGTTGTTAACATGATGTGATACCTTCTTTATCCAGCTATGAGCTGTTTTAAATAAACAAATTTCCCAGATAACTAACTTTTACCAATCAAGGAGACAGAACTTTCTCAAAAAATTTCATTCTCCAATGTATTTCACATTTCACTGACATTTTAGAAGGGGAAACTGGAACTATAGCACCACTGATGTCTAAAACTCACCATTATCAAGAGCCTTCTCTTGTGAGGGCACAGAGCTACCTGCCCTTCCCTGCCCTGAGTGGGCCCAGGGAGCTGGGGAGGACATAGAGCTACCTGCCCTGTGCTGAGAGAGCCCAGGCAGCTGGGCTTTTGTAATTTCCGTGGCTAATTTTTTTTTTCAGCATCTTACAGGCAGCATAAAAATTAAGAAAATAACCTCTGAAGTCTGAAAGAACTAGTTTCAAATCCTAGCTTCTGATATTTAATTTATGTGGTCTTGGGCAAGTGATTTTTAACCTCTCAGTTAAAACCTCTCAGAGTCTCAGTTTCCTTACCTGTAAAATGCAGGTACCAACCTCTTGGAGTTTTGTGAGGATTAGTAAGACCATCCATAAAAGGGCTGAGCATATAGTAAAGAGCTCAATACGCTGTAATGACTATTTCTACACAACTGCTAAGAACACAGAAGTGGAGGTTGTCATCACAGAAACAGCAGCAGTAACGATCTAGTTAAACTGCCAGCCATCATTGCTTGCCATGAGAGTGCCTTCCTGTTGTAGTGTCCCAAATCCTTTAACAAATGCAGTAAAATACTGAAATATGTTTTCTGAGTAGTTTTGATTACACGCTGAAAAGTCAAGAAAAAGAGAAACTGTGGACGAGTCACTACGTTTGAAACCACTGTCAATCTTTGCTGCATGTTGGTCACTCTTTGCAACTATGTGCCTAGGAGCAGACATACTCTGCTCTGGATTCACCCGGGAACAAGAAACACTGGCCAGTTAGAAGAAAAGTGGTATGCGTCTCAATTTTCCTAGCTAATTGTTTTGTTTTGTTTTCAGAAGTAGGAGTCAGTTTGGGGCAAAGTTGCACGGAACATTTTTTCTCATTAAAGACAGAGTTGGGACAGGAAAACTTTGGGCTAGAAAGGAGGACAAAGGGGACATAAGGTATTTTCTCCTTGATGAGATGGACAGGAAGAATTAAAAAGAAGGGTAAAGGAGAAGTGAGGTAAGAATCGAAGTGCAAAGGGGCTCAAGAAGGGGAAGAACGCTGCTAGCAGCAGCAGGAGAGAATGGTCAGTGGCAGCTGGCACGAAGAAAGAAGGAAGAAAGGGGGGAAAGAATGGAAATTGGAGGCCAGGCATGGTGGCTCACGCCTGTAATCCCAGCACTTTGGGAGGCCCAGGCGGGCGGATCATCTGAGGTCGGGAGTTCAAGGCCTGCCTGACCAACATGGAGAAACCCCATCTCTACTAAAAATACAAAATTAGCCGGGCATGGTGGCACATGCCTGTAATCCCAGCTACTCGGGAGGTGGAGGCAGGAGAATCACTTGAACCCAGGAGGCGGAGGTTGCGGTGAGCCTAGATTACATGACTGCACTCCAGCCTGGGCAACAAGAGCGAAACTCCGTCTCAAAAAAAAAAAAAAAAAAAAAAAGAATGGAAATTGGAGAAGGAAGAGAAGTAAGCATGGGGGCCAAGTCCGCTCACTGGCTGGTGGTGGAGCCTTGAATGGGGTTCTTGATATATATTTGAATGAATGAAAGAATGTGTCAACTAGGCTTCTTCACAAAATGCTCATGAAACTTACCTATTACATTTCAAAAACTATAATACATTGCCCACATTTCTTATTTCTAAGGGAGATTATTTACTTCACTAAACCTGTGACAGAATTCTATGTGTCTGTTAGTTAATATATCACCTTTGTACCTAAGTTTATCTTTAAAAGAAAGCTCACGAGGCCGGGTGCAGTGGCTCACACCTGTAGTCCGAGCACTTTGGGAGGCCGAGGCAGGTGGATCAATAGGTCAGGAGTTCAAGACCACCCTGGCCAAGATGGTGAAACCCCATCTCTGCTAAAAACTACAAAAATTAGCTAGGTGCGGTGGCAGGCAACTGTAATCCCAGCTACTCGGGAGGCTGAGGCAGGAGAATTGCTTGAACCCCAGCGGCAGAGGTTGCAGTGAGCCAAGATCACACCACTGCACTCCAGCCTGGGCGACAAAGTGAGACTCCATCTTAAAAAAAAAAGAAAAAGAAAAGAAAAGAAAGCTCACTACTGAGAAACTTAAAAGCCAGTGGATCTTACATTAATACCTATTTTTCCCACGGACACAACTGTGAGCCTCTTGATTTCAGTATTGCTACTGACAAAGTATAGGACCATTCAAAACATAGCAGTGATTTTAGATTCATAGACACAATAACAGAGACAATTGTACTTAAAAAGGTTAGAAATGGTATAGGATCACAGGGTAAAATTATTGAAGATGCTCTTCATAAAATACAGTGACATATGCTAAGTGAATGGAATCCATTTTTAACCAAAGCATTGAGAGATATTACCTAACATTTTTCGGCAGAAAAAATTTTCCATTTATTAATACTATGACAGTCTTTAATAAAAGAAGCTTTTCTTTTCCTGGCCTTTGACTGCACAGCCTGATGTTTTGATGTTGATTTTCTAATGTCCCCTGCCCTTCAGTGTTGACCTCAGCCTTTGCAGCTTTGGTGTCCTCTCCATCAAAATGATTTTCCACAGTTATAACCCATTGTACCACATCATCACATTTTTTTGTATAGAACAGCAATTGCTACTTGAATGGAATAATGGCTATTTATGCCTTGCCAAATACTTTCCAGAGCTTGAGTCTGATCTGTTTCTTACTCAACTGACCAGAGTTCTGTTGCACTTAGAAGTGTTGATGATCAAATCTGGGCCTCGTGGACAGAATAATAAAGTCCATGAACTTGGATGTGGGTAAAATTACATCCTCATTTCACTAACCTCTAACTAAAATACAGCATTTCCTTCTATTATGAATGTAAGCAACAAGTTACAGTAGTTTTAGCAGTATCTGTGACTCTGTCATCAAAAGAAATTACAGATACTTTTATATCACATTGATTTGGTGCAAATATCTTGAAATATTATTTGTGCTCTTCACTACTTCAAATTCACAGCAGTTATCTGTGAATAGAACTACTGCTATATCTTATTTAATTAACAAACACACATTACTATATCACAATTAAAAAGTATTTTTATATCTAGCGTCTTTGGGGAAAAAAATAGATTGATTTCCTTTGTAACCCTCTATATTTTATGCATTTTGAATCCTTGAGAAAAGGTCTATAAACTTTACTACATTGTTGTTTAATCTTGTGGTTTACTCTTCATTCAAGACACAAAGAAGGTTAAGAACTCCTGACTGTGGAATGTTCTGGTAAAGGCTCATTTGTGAAACCCAAAAGAATTGAGTTAGTTCCCTTCCTCCGCTATGCTCCAGCATAATGAAGTATTGCTCTAAACATTCTTAAAGTGCTTTAAACCTAGAAGCTTTCACAATATATGAAAGGCAAAGGAAGACATATCAGAGATATTGTGTTGTCTCCTGAAGCTTCTCCCCAACTACTTGACCCTTAAGAGTTAGGAAAGGTTGTGGGGAGAAAGAAGAAAATTTTTTTTCTTTTCTTTTTTTTTTTTTTTTTGAGACAGAGTCTCGCTCTGTCACCCAGGCTGGAGTGCAATGGTACGATCTCAGTTCACTGCTACCTCAGCCTCCCAGGTTCAAGCAATTCTCTTGCCTCAGCCTCCCAAATAGCTAGGATTACAGGTGTGCGCCACCATAGCTAGCTAATTTTTTCTATTTTTAGTAGAGATGGGGTTTCACTGTGTTGGCCAGGCTGGTCTTGAACTCCTGGCCTCAAGTGATCCGCCCATCTCGGCCTCCCAGAGTGCTGGGATTACTGGCGTGAGCCACCGTGCCCAGCTAGAAAGGAGAAATTCTTATACTCTGTGGGTTGAGTATATAAATCACTGTTGCAATCACTTTGGACAATTTAGTGATAGTAAAGATAAAGACATATGACATGGTTTGCATGTGTCCCCTCTAAAATTCAGATGTTGAAATTCAATGTCATAGTATTGAGTGGGGGGCCTTTAAGAGGTGATTAGGTTATGAGAGCTCCTCCTTGGGAATGAGACTAAGGCCCTTATAAAAGAGGTTTCACACAGCATCAACCCAGGCCCTTCCGTTCTGCCAAGTGAGGATGTGTGAAGAAAGTCTTCCCCAGACAACCGAACCTGTGAATGGATCTTGGAATTCCCATTCTCCAGAACTATGAGAAATAAATTTCTTTTCTTTATAAGCACCCAGTCTATGGTATTCTGTTACAGCAGCGCAAAGTGAATTAAAACAACATATTTACAGTAAGGCCCAGCAATTTTACCTCAGTTCATATGCACAAGTAGACATGTGCAAAAGATGCAGTGATTTTTGTAAAGGCAAAACACTAAAAATCCAATTACCTGTCAACAAAGCATGCATAAATTGTCATATATTGATGCAACAGAATATCTTATAGCAGTTAAAGGGAACTAGGGAGCTACGTGGATCAACATGGACAAATCTTGAAAATATAGTATAGAGTTAAAGATGCAGTTAGCGAGAGGATTTGTTCAGGATGACAGCATTTATGTACACTTTAAAACACCAAATGATAGTACATATTCTTATGAGGACATAAAGATATAGTAAAAGTTTAAAAACACAAACAGGAAGCATACAGATGAGCTTCAGGATGGAGGTTGTATCTGAGGAGAGGGTGGAAGTGTGAGTTCTGTGTTAGCATTGTTTTCTTTCTTTTTTTTTTTTCTTCTCTTTTTTTTTGAGACAGAATCTTGCTTTATCACCCAGGCTGGAGTGCAGTGTCGTGGTTTCAGCTCACTACAAACTGCACCTCCTGGGTTTAAGTGATTCTTGTGCCTCAGTCTCCAAGTAGCTGGGTCTACAGGTATATGCCACCATGCCCAGCTAATTTTTGTATTTTTAGTAGAGACGGGGTTTCACCATGTTAGCCAGGCTGATCTCGAACTCCTGGCCTCAAGCAATCTGCCCACCTTGGCCTCCCAAAGTGCTGGGATTACAAGCATGAGCCACCATGACTGGTCTGTTTTATTTCTTTTGAAAAAATATGTAATATTGCTTCACTTGACTAACCTTTAAAACAAATCTGTAGCAAAGGTGGGTTGTGTGTATATGGGTATCAGTTATATTAGTTTTTGGACTTTTCTGTATATTAGAAATATTTAACAAGAAAAAACTTTAATTAAGAAACTTTACATAGTTTTTTCTTTCTGTTTTAGAAATAGAGATGGGGTCTTGCTATGTTGCCCAGGCTGGCCTTGAACTCCTGGCCTCAAGTGATCCTCCTGTCTTAGCCTCCCAAAGTGCTGAGATTACAATTGTAAGCCATTATGCCCAGCAAAAATTTTAAGACTTAAAAGTATGTACAATTGCCTGAACCACGTATGCTTTGGGATTTCATTTTCATTTTATTATTTTATTTTTTTGAGATAGGGTCTTGCTTTGTCACTAAGGATGGAGTGCAATGGCAGGACCATGGCTCACTGTGGCCTCTACCTCCTAGGTTCAAGCAATCCTCCTGGCTCAGCTTTCTGACTAGCTATGACTCCAGGTGTGCGACACCACACCCAGATAATTTTTTAACTTTTTGTAGAGACAGTCTTGCTATGTTACCCAGGCTAGTTTCAAACTCTGGGCCTCAAGTGATCCTTCTGCCTTGGCTTCCCAAAGTGCTGGGATTATAGGCCTGAGCTACCATGCCCAGCCTGTTTTCAAAGGGATTCAAAGTAGGCTTGCTTTTAAAAGCTAGGAGTAGGTTTTAGATAATGTGTTTAGTATGACACAGAACAATTTTAAGGATAAGATCCTAACTGCTGAATATTGTTACAATAATTAAACTAGTTTATTACAGTAACATTTACCAACTAATCTATTAGTGTCTGAGAAAGAATGTCCCTGAGATTTAAATCAGTGTGTAGCCTCCCCAGGCCAATCTGATTCCATTTTTATGTAACAAAGTGGTGAGTTGTTTTTCAGTTGTCATGGACCTCAGGTTACATAAAACTGGGCATACCCAGATGAATCAAGCATGCAACCACAAAGAGAACCTAAGTGCTGGGACTGAGGAGTAAGGACTTAATTATTATAAGAAGTGGACACTTTATGGCAGGATCAAGGATCTAATCAGATGAGCTCCTGGGTCACACCCTGGCAGGATCTGGTCAGATCATGCCTCCTGGCATCAACTCATTGCAGGATCAAATCAGATCACACCTCATTACCCCATGCTTACAAAACCTGATCCAGCCCCAAGCTCAGGGAAGACACTGTTGTGGGAATAATCCCAGTGTTCTCCTTAACTTGTTACAAGTAATAAAATCCCCTTGCTAAATCCTCCCTAGTTGTGGACACTGGATTGATATCTGCCAAGGGGCCATACACACCCGTTGTATGGGAACAAGGGGTTACCATGTTGGCTGCTGTATTAGTCCATTTTCACACTGTGGATAAAGACATACCTGCGACTGGGAAGAAAAAGAGGTTTAACTGGACTTACAGTTCCATATGGCTGGGAGGGCCTCTGAACCATGGCAGGAGGCAAAAGGCACTTCTTACATAGCAGCAGCAGAAAATGAGAAAGAAGCAAAAGTGGAAACCCTGATAAACACATCAGATCTCATGAGACTTATTCATTATCACAAGAATAGCACGGGAAATACTGGCCCTCACAATTAAATTACTTCCCTGTGTCCCTCCCACAACATGCGAGAATTCTAGCAGATACAATTCAAGTTGAGATTTGGGTGGCGACACAGCCAAATCATATCAGCTGCATAGCTGTATCACTTGGAGAACTTAAAAAAGAGCTATCATAGCCACAACATCTAAGATTGTGATTCAAGAGTAGACTCTGCCCTGGGCATCCTTACTGCTAAAAAGCACCCCAGGTCATTCTGTTGTGCAGCTTGTGCTGGAATTTGTGGTTTACATGCCTGACTTTGGAGACTGAAAATTCAACCCATCTTATGATTTTCAAAAACCAAACCATTCACTTATGGCTTGGTTATTAGAGTTCAAGTAATAATCTTGAACTTATTAGAGTTCAAGTAATAATCTATGAACGTGCCCTACCCCATGACATCCCTTCTCCAGTTGGCTTTAATATTTTCTTCTGGTTTTAATAGGTAACATACAAACAAGGCTCAAAAAAGCTCTGTTATCACATCCTCATCCAGCCCACTTCTCAACCTCTCCCATAGGCAACCTGTTTCTTTTTTTTTTAAATTAGTTTCTTACGTATCCTTCTAGTGTTCTCTTAAAACAAATATAAGCAAATAGGAATACACGTTCTTATTTTTCTCCCTGTCCTTTCAAAAATGTAGCATACTATGTATCCTATTCTGTGCCTTCCTTTTTTTTTTTCATTTAGCAATATATTCAAGAGATATTTGCATATTAAGACTTAGAGAGCTTTTTCACTCCTTTTTAAAATTTAAATAGTTGCAAAATAGTCCACTGTGTACAAGTACCAAGGTTTTTGTTTTTAGAACTAGGCTCCACCTTAGACTGCATAGAAATCTAATAAAAGTCATTACCTCTGGGGGTAGGGTAGGCTGGGGAAGGTACAACAAAACTCCTTTTGTTGTAAGTAAACTGAAATGAGGGAGATCTTTGTGAGCATCTAGATGGTAGTGGTGGTTATGCAAATCTACACGTGATAAAATACCAAAGAATGATACATTTACATACTTCTCTAACCAACCAGGTTAAATGGTGATGATAGAGGGGCTCTGAACTAACTATAGACAGATTAACAATAGTAGAGACAAGGTTTATTTACACAGGCAGTTGTATTTTCAGAAGGCTCGGTTTAAGTTTAAATAATGTTTTTCCCTGTGGCTACTGATTGGATGTTTTCAGTTTAAAATTTTCATAATACTTTGGTGGACTATTATTAGTTCTGTTTTTCAGAGCCTTGGCCAAAACAGTATGCTGTTTTAATATTTAAATTTTTGTGCCCATCTGATAGGTGAAAAATTGTATCACAAGGCATTCTCTTTTTTGTTTGTTTTTTTGTTGTGAGACAGAGTCTCACTCTGTCTCCCAGGCTGGAGTGCAGTGGCGCCATCTTGGCTCACTGCAACCTCCCCCCAAGAACTGCTTGGGTTCAAGCAATTCTCCTGATTCAGCCTCCTGCGTAGCTGGGATTACAGGTGCACACCACCACGCCTGGCTAATTTTTGTATTTTTAGTAGAGACAGGGTTTCACCACGTTGGCCAGGCTGGTCTCCAACTCCTGACCTCAGGTGATCTGCCCGCCTCTGCCTCCAAAAGTGCTGGGATTACAGGCGTGAGCCACCACCACACTGGGCCAGGCATTCTTATATTTGTGCTTCTCTTCCTATGCATTTGAGCATGTTTTCATATGTCTACAAACCATTTGTATTTCTTTTTCTGCATACAGCTTATTCATGTTCTTTGCCCATTTTTCTATTCAATTTCTTTTTCTGTTCCCATTGATTTCCAGGAGCTTTATACAAATTAGGGAAATTAGCTCTTTGATGGCAGGAATTACAACTTTTAAAAAAGCCAGTTTGTGATTTGTCTTTTGACTTCGCTTATAGTTTTGGGTATTTTGCCATGCAAACACATTATTTTATTTATTTATTTATTTATTTATTTTTCGTGACAGGGTCTCACTTTGTCACCCAGGCTGGAGTGCAGTGATGTGATCACAGCTGACTGCAGTCTTGACCTCCCGGACTCAGATGATCCTCCCACCTCAGCCTTCCAAGTAGCTGGGACTATACGTGCACACCATTCCCAGCTAATTTTTTGTTGTTGTTCTTGTTGTTGCAGAGACGAGGTCTCGCTATGTTGCCCAGGCTGATGTCAAACTCCTAGATTCAAGCGATCCTTGTGGCTAGGCCCCCGCAAAGTGCAGTGATTGCAGACATGAGCGACTGTGCCTGGCCTAAAAGCCTTTTATTTTCATTAATTACTTTTTCTTCAGGGTGATCTGGTTTAACATTTGTTTTGTTTTCTTTTTGTTTTCATGACAGTCTCACTCTGTCGCCCAGGCATGAGGGCAGTGGCACGCCCACTGCTCACTGGAACCTCAACTTCCCAGGGTCAGGTGATCCTCCCACCTCAGCCTCCAGGATAGCTGGGACTGAGGCAGGAAATAGGGTCTGGAGGCAGGGAACCTAAGGGTTTCCTAGAACTAAATTAAATGGAAAGCCTCTAACCTTCTAAAGCCAAGTAAATAATTTTGTAACTATACTTCAGCTATGGCAGGAAACATCATATACCAAGTAACCAATGGGAAACCTCTAGAGTGTATTTGAACCCCAGAAAATTCTGTAACTGGGCCCTTGAGCTGCCTGCTTGGGCCCAGCCCCACGAGCTGCTTGCTTGGGCCCGGCCCCACCCTGTTAGGTGTGCTTTCATTTTCAATACATCTTTGCTTTTGTTGCTTCATTCTTTTCTTCCTTTGTTTGTGCATTTTGTCCAACTCTTTGTTCAAAATGCCAAGAACCTGGACACCCTACACTGGTAGCATAGTTTGGTTAGCCAGCCAGGTGGTAAGCCCAAAGTTTGGGGTTTATTTTTCACCTTTTCCTTTCTGCTCCATCCAGGGGAATCTCTCTCTCTTTTCCTTTCCAACTCAGGATCCTTGGTGGGCAGCACCTAAACACGGAGGCAACTGCAGGTTTCTGGCCAGGGCCACTCTCCAGTGTTGCCTGAAGGCCAAGGAGTGACTGAGGATAGCTGCCCTCCCTGGAAGAGGTAAGGACTCTTCTATCATTTCCGGCTATGGTCCCTAATCCCTACATGTGGCGCAGCTAATCTGGAGAGAACTCGAACATGTTTCAGTTAACTTAAACCTTCTTTTCTTATACTAAATTCTTCCCTTCCTCTATTTGACTGGCTAAGGACAAAAGAAACCCACTCAGCCTCCAGCTCCTATCATTACCATTCATGGCTATCACTTTAGTGGAATGGGAAGCATGGGAAAGCGTGGCCTTATCAAATTATGAGGATGCTAAAAGTTGGGGATTACATCCAGGAACCAAAGGAAAGCTCATAGTAGGCCATTGCCTCTGGAGGGAAAACATGCAAAGTGGGATTGGTGCCCACCTAAGGTCAGAGATGTCTGACACTCTAAGACTGGACCCCAAAGGGGGACACCTCAGGGGATCGAACTCCAGACTTCAACCTCTCCAAAGGGGACACCCTAGGCAGAGGTTCTGAGGTCCAGTACTAAGCCCTCCTTAGAATTTTCTTTCACAGATGACAATGGGAAATTTTGCAATACTGTTTGGTCCCAATATTGTTTGGAATCTGGAGTTTGCTGCTGAATGGGAAAGTGGGATGGAATTGCATGTACCCAGGCTTTTGTGCTGCTGTTCTAAGCAGGGGGCCTGGTTAGCGAGGGATGCTCTCCTTTAGTGCTGTTTGGCCCCAGTGTTCTTTGGAGCCTGGGGAGGTTTGGCCTTTAAAAACCAAACTGCCATGGAAACTGCTTTACCCGCAGTTTTGGTTCACAGCCTTCATTGGATTATCTATTGGGGCATACAAAGTAAAACTGGTGAGCCTGTATTGCTATCTCATGGCTAGAGTTCCAAGGTAAAAGCTACTGGATCTTTGTTTGTGTGTGTGTGTGTATACCTGTCTAGATGTGTTTATTTGTATGTATACTTACTATTATATGTTGTTTCTACCAAATTGGCTTTTAAGTAAAAGAGTGCTCATAAATTAAGTACATAAGTCTAAGCAAATTTCAAGTTCACATGACTTAAGTATAAACAAGCTGGTTTTAAAACTATTGATAAAACAAAAATAGAAATGCCTTCAGAATTGTCAACATACATTTTTGTCTGGATTTTATATTTGTCTCTGCTAGATATTTTGAGGTGTCAGGGTTTGGCATAGAAGGTTATAAAACTATAAACCCAGCCAAAACAAAATGATCTTCGTTTGCATGCCTTTTTGTTTGTTTGTTTTGACAAATGAGAGTAATTTAATGTTGTTAGCCAAGTCTTCTGAGTTATCGGTAAAAATATCTGTGTATTTAACTTTAAGGCTCTTACTTAGGTTTAGGTGAGCACTGGATGTTCACTGGCTATTAAAAACAATTATAGTGTCTAATATCTCAGTTTGCAGAAGTAATCTAGATAAACTGTTGAAAATGAAGGAATTGAGTACAGTAAATGGGATAAATGTTTTAGGTAAATTTTTTGTGTAAATTAAAATCTTAAAGTTAATTTTGATGCTCATTTACTATCTGACTCATTTTCAATTAAGAAAGGGTTGTGATATGGGGAAATATGTTTCTAAAATTGTCCAAATGTTCTTATGTATAAATGCCCATATCTGATACTTCAGGATTTCTTGTTCTTTATGGTTTCATTAAAGTTTTAGGTTACTAAGGATATCCTTGGGTTACTAAGGATAAGAATTCGAATTAACACATAATTCTGAATACAGAATATGCCAGAAAGGCTTGTGTTATTAGTGAGAAAAAGTATAATTTTGTGTAATTCAGAAGTTATCTAAAAGTTAGCTCAAATCACAGATTTGAAAAGGTTCCCTTATAACCACGTGCGGTACTTTCTCTTAGTCTCCACTACCCAGACCAGGAATTTTGGGGTTCATGTCATAGTTAGCTCTAAAATAATCTTAAGTAGTTGGAAGTCTTTGCAAGCTCAAAATTAACTACTCTAGACTCCTTCTGGGAGGGGCAGTGGAGATTGTCCAATGCAGTGGCTCAGTAGCTGTGGCTTCATCATTTTACAATGGTGTCATAGGTTCAATCTTGGCTTGGGGAATGAGTCCTTTCTGGTTTGATATCTGTGTGACATTTACCATTTGCTGATTCTCTTCCCCTCCATGAACTGTTTCAAATATTCCTTTCTCTGAGAACCTGGGAGGTTACCTTTGGTAAAGTTCAAAGCCAGAAATATTGGCCACTTGGCATGGCTAGAGTTGGGTAATAGGAGATTTAAAAGAATTTGTTTTTAAAGAGCATTATGGTTAAAAGCCTAATTAAAAGTGGATATCCAAGCTATATGTATACTTAAAAGGCCTTTATGTATTTTTTTTCTCTTCTTGAATCTTGTTTTGCTGGAAAGAAGCTTTTTTTAATTCTCTTCACAGTTGACTGAGTTATTTTTCTCCATTTTGTCTTGCCACTCTTAATGCACACATGAGAGGCCCTAAGATCACTTCTGAGAGCATGGGACTCTTTGGGAAAAACAGAAAAGTCACCAAGGACCCTATTTTGGGAGAAAAACCCTGTTTTCCTCAGAACCCCAAGAATTAAAAGTGCTATGATAGATCCCTCTCAAAATCTATTCTTGTCTTCCAGCTATATCTGCTTATTAAGTCATAGAAACTGCATGTTTTCCTGGCCCTGTTGCGTGAAGAGCTCCACCCTGAGGCCAGTAATCCAATTAGCAGATTGGCAAATGAAAAATCTTACAACTACTGCACGTTTTGTCTATCTGTGTAGTTATATATGTGTTATGCGTGTGATGTTTATATAAAAAAGACATGCAAGGTGTGTAAAGAAAGTAAAATATGTTTTTGGTAAAAGATTATAAGAAGCCATGGGAATGTAAATATTTGCCTAGTTTAGAGGGTTAAAGGATTGTTTTCAGTTAAGTAAGATAAAGCTAAAGGTTTGAACAAGTTGTGGAAGGTTTGTAAAAATTAATCTTGTAAAAGAAATTCTCTGTGTGAACATATTGACTACATTCAAAAGGGTATTATTTGATTTTTCCATAAATTGAGCATTGGAATAAAAGCACAAGGTTTTCTTAAGGCACTGATGTACTCTTTAACAAAAATTTGTAAAGGGATTATGAGAATCCCATCTTATAGTCAAACTGATTAAGATTGAATGGATTTGTCTATAAGGTTTCATTTTAAAAATAAAATACTGGGGTTAATATTAATGGTGGACTAATGCAGGGGTGAAATTTGGCTTTCTCTCCCTTGAACACAATTTTCATTTAATTGTAAAGGATAATGAAAGATGCTTGTTTGCCTTGCAAATAAACTACCAAATAGAAGAAGAAGACAGGAGACAGATTGTTTGGAAAGCTAAGTCTTCTTATGTATGTATTTATTTATTTATTTATTGAGACGGAGTTTTGCTCTGTCACCCAGGCTGGAGTGCAGTTGCACGATCTTGGCTCACTGCAACCTCTGCCTCCCGGGTTCAAGCGAGTCTCCTGCCTCAGCCTCCTGAGTAGCTAGGATTACAGCCGCGTGCCATCACACCCAGCTAATTTTTGTATTTTTAGTAGAGACGGGGTTTCACCATGTTGGTCAGCCTGGTCTGCTGGCACTATGGCAACCATTTCAAAATATGTCAAAGTACATTTTGGGGTAAAATATTTTGATTTGCTGCACTGGCAAGGGAGATGAGCAAATGGATCTCTCATACATTGTTTTTGAGAATGTAAAATGGTACAGTCACTCTGGAAAACAGTTTAGCTGTTTCTTATGCAATTATCATATGACCCAGCAGTTGTACTCTTTTATATTTATTCAAGAGAAGTAACAACAGAAGTTCAAAGATCTGCACACAAATGTCCACAGCAGCTTTAGCCACAGTAGTAAAAAACTGGAAACAATCCAGATGTCCTTCAGTGGGTGAATGGTTAAACATCTGTGGTACATCCCTATCATGGTGCAGCGACCCATTTGGAATCCCAGAGTTGGCATAATGCTTCTTTTAAGCTGAAGACATCTGAGATTCAACAAGTGGAGGAAAAGCCTTCTAGGAGCTTCCCTTAACTGACTAAAGCAGCAACCTCTGGGAAATGAGGCTATTAGAAATTCCCCCTCCTGGGGAGTTTTTGGCCCTGAAGATGAATAGGCAAATATCATTACACAATTTCTTACTACCTGTTTGTCTTTCCCAAAGAGACCTATTTGTTTTTCCTATAGAGGCCCTTTCTCCCCCTTCCTTTATATACCTAAGGTAGGTATATAAACAAAACCCTTTAACTATTTAATGAGCCAGGTACTTGCTCATTATGCATAGGAAATAAACCTTTTACTACTGTTAATCTGTCTTTTGTTATTTAATTTCCAAGCCCCAGTCACTGAACCTAAGAGGGTGGATGAAAATTTTTTTCCTTCCCTCACAATAAATTCTATTCAGCAAAAAAACAAAAAAAAGACTGGATGATTCTATTTATCTAATATTCTTGAAATGACAAATTTATAAAGCTAGAGACTAGTGTTTACCGAGGATTAGAGACCAGGACAGGAGGTTAGGGGTAGCGAGTGGTTATAAGAGGACAAACAACACAAGGGATCCTTATGCTGTTGGAACTGTCTTGTAGCTTGACTATAGCAGTGGATACACAAACATATGTGATAGAACTGCACAGTCCTACACACACATATACATGTAAAACTGGGAATATCTGAAAAAGCTTGCTGTATCATATTGTAAAAGTTGTCAGAATCAAAATGGAGTCAGTAATGTAAAACAAACAAACAAACCTTGACAAATAGAGCGAGGCAAGGCCATGAAAAAAGGGTTCTCATATTTGTAAGCCTGATAAAAAACTATCACCAAAGACTGCAAACACCAAAATATTGCACAAAGGCCATCACAATCTTACAGAAAAAATGCTTCTGCAAGGCCTATCTGCCCCAGTAACTGCCTGTTCAATCCTGGACTGGCGTCATCCTTGTTATTGATCTTGTAGCCAACTATAATTATTTTAAAACAATTATGTAATCCTATGGCACGTGTATTTCCATGGCAATGCTCTATTCCCAAAGAAGCATCTTTTCTTTCAGAGAGCCTCTCTCTGTTATTTAGGTTGACAGTATCAATGTCAATTTCCTGGTTGTGATATTGTACTATAGGTTGGTAAAGTGTTACACAGGGGCAAATCAGATAACAAGATGCAGGATCTATCTGTATTTCTTTTTATAACTGCATAAGAATCTACAATTATCTGAAATGAAGTTTAAACAAATTCTCTCACCACCCCCAAAGGAAAATTAAACTACTTTATGGGCTTTAAAATTACAGGAATTGATACGGCTTATGAGAATTGTGTCAACAATTTATTAGAATTTAATGAAAAAATACTTAACACTATATTCAGTTTTGATTTTGATTTCCTAAGCCAAATTGTTCATACCTGCTTGATATGGTTTGGCTGTGTCCCCACCCAAATCTCATCTTGAATTGTAGCTCCCATAATCCCCATGTGTCATGGGAGGGACCCAGTGGGAGGTAACTGAATCATGGGGGCGGGTTGTTCCTGTGTTGTTCTCGTGATAGTGAATAAGTCTCACAAGATCTGATCGTTTTATAAAGGGCAGTTCCCCTGCACTTCTCTCTTGCCTGCTGCTATGTAAGACGTGCCTTTGCTCCTCCCTCACCTTCCTCACCACAATTGTGGGGCCTCGTCAGCCACGTGGAACTGCGAATCCATTAAATCTCTTTTTCTTTATAAATTACCCAGTCTTGGGTATGCCTTTATTAGCAGTGTACCAATGGATTAGATTTTAAGTTGATCCCAATTTTATATCCCCAAGCCAAAACTTCTATACCAGAATCTGTCCAACCTCTGCTTGCTTTCTCCATAAATAATAGCTTCTGTTCTAGGTATTCTCCAAAACTGCTAAAAACGCAACCTTTCCCATCTACCAGTCTCTGATTCTTCATTCTAGTCTTTAGGAGTTCCTAACAATGCCTTGCCCTTTTAAGAATTATAGTGATTCCCTCAAAAGAGGGTTAAATAAGCCAAGACAAGACACAAGGCAAGGGAATCAACACAAAGGAAATGGGTTTGCCTGTAGTGTGACCTTGGCCAAGTCAACAATTTCTCTTTCCCAAATTACCAGTGGACAAAAATGAAACCAGACACTCACTTCTATTTTCAAAGAAATTTTAAAAGATAGGATTATTATGGAGCTAAAGTATTTTTTAATCATGTGTAAACCAAAAATAAGATTCTAAGGCCCCCCAAACCAGCTGAACAGACTTCCTCCCTAGCCAGGGGTCTTAAAATTTCACCTGAGAGACTGTTTCAGGCCATGATGGGAAGTGGGGGTCGAACATACCTCATTATACCTCACCAGCATGAACATCAACACAGAACTTTAGGCCTAATAAGAAGCATTTCAATCCATTCTCTCTGAAGTCGGCTACCTGGAGGCTTCATCTGCATGATTAAACTTTGGTCTCTACAACTTCTTATCACAACCCAGACATTCCTTTCTATTCACCCCAGGTTTTTAGCCCAACTCAACCAATTGTCAACCAGAAAATGTTTAAATTTACCTATAGCCTGGAAGCCACCCCCGACTTTCATTATGGGAGTTATTAAAAAATTATTTTAGGCCTATAGAGAGGAAAAGGTGTCCTTGGGAAGTTTTTGTTTCTTTTAAAGCAGCTCCAGGAACGTTTCTTGTCTAGCAGGAAAGCCCGGCTCTTCAAGCTGGGACAGCAAGCTTAGACATGCAAATGCCGGCCATTAGAAACTGTGTCCACCCGGTGAGGTGGCTCACACCTGTAATCCCAGCACTTAGGGAGGCCTAGGTGGATGGATCACGTGAGGTCAGGAGTTCCAGACCAGCCTGACCAAGATGGTAAAATCCTGTCTCTACTAAAAATACAAAAATTAGCCGGGCATGGTGGTAGGTGCCTATAATCCCAGCTGCTTGGGAGGCTGAGGCAGGAGAATCACTTGAACCCGGGAAGAGGAGGTTGCAGTGAGCTGAGATCACGCATTGCACTCCAGCCTAGGCAACAAGAATGAAACTCTGTCTCAAAAAAATAAATAAATAAATATAAGGTAAAGGAGTTGGGCTTGCCTTTATTGTGACCTTAGCCAAGTCAACAATTTCTCTTTCCCAAATTACCAGTGGACAAAAATGAAACAAGACACTCACTTCTATTTTCAAAGAAATTTTAAAAGATAGGACTATTATGGAGTTTAAATTTTTTTTTAATCACATAATTACTTGGGTCCAACAACTTAACAGGCATTGGGAATTTCTTCAACTCACCCTCTTTTTCAGGGAAGATAGTCAGAAGAAACACTTAAATAGATGCCAAAAGACCAGAGTTCCATATCAGGGGTTGCATATTCAACACTGGCTGGGGACAGGGGGTTACCAAATTGAGTGAAGGGAGCATGAACCACGTTCACAACCTCCTCAGTATGCATTCCACCAGCTCCATTAGCTGGCCCTGCCATGTCTTGCACTTCTCAAAACACACCGCTTCTGCTCTCACAGGTTTGTTTTTTTTATGTGACACAAATTCTGTATGTTTGCTTTTAAATATCCTTTTCCTTCTTTTGCTCCAATTCTGAATAAAACACATATGTCACAGAATTTCCTCTGATATCCTACTAAGTCTCCTTTTGCTTCTTTGCTTCTCAACATTTACCCAGGATGGTCTGAACTGTACCCCAAAGGCTGACTTGTCCACTCCTGTTTCTTCACTATCCTTCCGATGCCCCATACCCATTTATGGTTTTGGCTAGCATTTATAGCTCTTAAAGCAAACTAAATATTGCCTGAGAAGGACTCCGTATGTCTATATTTGAGTCCTTGTGGATGAACTGTAACCTAGCTTAATAGGTAGACAAGATTGAAAGCCTAACTTAGGAGTATGCGCCTGTAACAGTAGCTGCGTCTTGGGCAATCCCAGCAGCCATCCTTCAACCACTCATGGACTGCTGAGTGTTCTAACTGTGTTCAAATAAGACAATTGCAAATCTGTAACCAATCCAGCCACTGTGTACCTCACTTCCGATTTGTCACTTCCCTTCATTTGTCTATAAATTTGTTATGACCACAAGGCATCCCTGGAGTCTCTCCAAATCTGCTGTGGTTCTGGGGGCTGCCCAATTTGCTGCTCAATTAAACTCCTTTAAATTTAATTCAGATGAAGTTTTCCTTTTACCATAGCTTTAGCACTGGTCCACTTTCTAGACCCATTTCTGACCAGCTTCTAAGACACTTTCAGTTGTAAGTTTTATTAATACCTAAAACGTGTCTAAAACAGAATTACCTTTCTTCTGTCACCCTAAATTACTTTTTCTCCAGATGTCCCAATCTTTGCCTATCACTAAGCTATTTCATTTAGAAAATGTGTAGTCCATCTAATTCCTCCATTTCAAGATAATTCCCACATCTTCTCAAGTCTTCTTTTATTAACATGTCTTCCTTTCTGATCATCGGTGCTATCACCCTCATTGAGGGCCTTGTTACTCTAAAAGTGGACTTGTGAAATGGTCTAAGTGGGATGTGGCTTCAGAGTCTCACGTGATGAGTTCCTTTTGTGAGCTGCTGACTGTTTTATCTTGTAAACTCCTTTGCAAACAGCACCTTAAAATCTCAATGGCTGCTATTGAAATCTTTCAACAAAAATCTTTGAAACTGTAGATCAATTTCTATAGCCAACAAACTGAGTATGGCAAATAGTTTTAGAGAGAAAGTTCCCTACCAGGTTATAAGGAGAAAGGCCACCTTTCCCCTCCTTCATGGAGTACACTGTTACACAGGTCTACATCCGTGGTTCTCAGTCCAGTAATTTTGCCCCCACGGGACATTTGGCCATGGATGGAGACATTTTGGGTTGTCATAGCTCAGGCAAGCTATTGGCCTCTTATGAGTAGAGGCCAGGGATACTGCTTAGCATCCTACAAAACACAGAAAACCTGGTCTAGCCCTTACAGAGAATGAGTCAAGATAATGTGGGCCTTCTTAGACAAGGTGGCATGAGGAACAACAACAACAAAAACGACAATGTAGGCCCAAGACAGGGCAAGTGTGTGAGGATCCCGAGAGAAAGGAGAAAGACTCTTTGATGGTTGCCAGGGAGAGTGTCTTTATGGTTACTTAGTCTTCCTAGCACCAGAGAGAGATCAACGGAAGACAAAGATATATTTGCATGTGCAAAGTAACTGCCATTTCTGTGTTGAGTAGTAAACATTATAAATTCTTGTGTTTTGGTAAATAAAAGGGCTCTTCTCCAGGACTGTGGGCAACCCTGTCTGGGCAACACCCATGTAGGAACTGGCAGAAGAAATCCAGGCTTGCTTCACTCTGTGATTCTTTCTAGCTTCCTAGATTGGAGAAGCCAAAACTGCTTGGCAGCTATCAGCTCCTCACTGCTTTGAGATCAAGGATAAACTTAACCCTTAGGCAGTTACCATCTGAACCCATTCCACCCTTCTGCAAAACTGTTACATCACCTATAGTGGCATATTATTTCTTAAACAAGCTGAGCATATTCCTACCTCTACACCTTTGCGTGCACATTTCCTTGCCCTGGAATCCGCACCCCTCTGCTGCTTTACCTAAAACTGCTCCTTTGAATGGTCACTTGAAGCCCCATCTCCTATAAGCATATCTGCCCATATTATTTATTTAGCATTAGCAACATGCTATCTTCTACTGTTCTAAAATTCATTTTTAAAACAGATACCCTACCTCCCCAATTAAAAATGTAATTTTTTTTGATGTCAAGAACCCTGTTGTAAACCTACAGATCCCCAAAACTTACCTGTGTACTTTGCGTAAGGCAATGATACCCTAAAACATCCTATCAAAGTTATTGGTAATGTGTTCTGCCTACATTAATAGCTAGTGTTGTCCAGGCACAGTGGCTCATGCCTGCAATCCCAGCACTTTGGGAGGCCAAGGCGGGAGGATCACTTGAGTCCAGGATTTTGAAGCTTCAGTGAGCCATGATCTGTATCACTGCACTCCAGCCTGGGTGACAGAACAAGATCCTGTCTCTAAAAAACTAACTTAATTAATTAATTTTAAAAATAGCTAATGTTTACTGATTATTTATAATGAGTCAGCTGCTCTAAGTACTTAAGAACATTTATTATGAGTCAGCTGTTCCAAGTTCTCAGGTTAAGAGATGTGTCATTCCAAAGAGAAAGGCAAGAGGGTGAGAGAAGGTGAGAGTGAGAAATGAGGGGAGAGAAAGAGAGAGCAAGAGAAGGCCAAAGTTGTCCTTTAATGAGGAACTCATTCTCTCAAAAACAGCATTAATAATTTACGAGGCCAGTTCCCCTATTTAGAGGTGACAGCATGCTGGCAGCCCTCGCTTGCTCTCGGTGCCTCGCCTCCTCGGCCTCGGCGCCCATTCTGGCCACGCTTGAGGAGCCCTTCAGCCCACCGCTGCACCGTGGGAGCCCTTCTCTAGGCTGGCCAAGGCTGGAGCCAGCTCCCTCGGCTTGCGGGGAGGTGTGGAGGGAGAGGCATGGGCGGGAACCAGGGCTGCGTGGCGCTTGTGGGCCAGCTAGAGTTCCGGGTGGGCGTGGGCTTGGCAGGCCCTGCACTCGGAGCGGCCGGCAGGCCCTGCGGCCCCGGGCAGTGAGGGGCTTAGCACCCAGGCCAGCAGCTGTGGAGGGTGCGCCGGGTCCCCCAGCAGTGCTGGCCCACCGGCGCCGCGCTCGATTTCTAGCCAGGCCTTAGCTGCCTCTCCGCGGGGCAGGCCCCGGGACCTGCAGCCCACCATGCCTGAGTCTCCCCGCCACCGCCAGTGGGCTCCTGCACGGCCTGAGCCTCCCCGACGAGCGCCACCCCCTGCTCCACTGCACCCAGTCCCATCAACCGCCCAAGGGCTGAGGAGTGCAGGCACGAGGCGCGAGACTGGCAGGCAGCTCCACCTGCGGCACTGGTGCAAGATCCACTGGGTGAGGCCAGCTGGGCTCCTGAGTCTAGTGGGGACTTGGAGAACCTTTGTGTCTAGCTAAGGGATTGTGAGTGCACCAATCAGCACTCAGTGTCTAGCTCAAGGTTTGTGAACACACCAATCAGCACCCTGTGTCTAGCTCAGGGTTTGTGGATGCACCAATCGGTACTCTGTATCTAGCTAATCTGGTGGTGACTTGAAGAATCTTTATGTCTAGCTAAGGGATTGTAAATACACCAATCAGCACTCTGTATCAAGCTCAGGGTTTGTGGATGCACCAATCGGTACTCTGTATCTAGCTAATCTGGTGGGGACTTGAAGAATCTTTATGTCTAGCTAAGTGATTGTAAATACACCAATCAGCACTCTGTATCAAGCTCAAGGTTTGTAAATGCACCAATCCGCACTCTGTGTCTAGTTCAGGGTTTGTAAATACACCAATCAGCACTCTGTATCTAGCTAATCTAGTGGGGAGGTGGAGAACTTTTGTGTCTAGCTCAGGGATTGTAAATGCACCAATCAGCACCCTGTCAAAACAGACCAATCCAATCAGCTGTCTGTAAAACAGACCAATCAGGCTGCCGAGCCAGCAGTGGCAATCCAATCGGGTCCCCTTCCACACTGTGGAAGCTTTGTTCTTTAGCTCTTTGCAATAAATCTTGCCGCTGCTCAATCTTTGAGTCCACACTGCCTTTATGAGCTGTAACACTCACCGCGAAGGTCTGCAGCTTCACTCCTGAAGCCAGCGAGGCCACAAGCCCACCGGGAGGAGCGAACAACTCCAGATGTGCCGCCTTAAGAGCTGTAACACTCACCGTGAAGGTCTGCAGCTTCACTCCTGAGCCGGTGACACCACAAACCCACCAGAAGGAAGAAACTCCGAACACATCCGAACATCAGAAGGAACAAACTCCAGACACACCGCCTTTAAGAACTGTAGCACTCACCGCGAGGGTCCGTGGCTTCATTCTTGAAGTCAGTGAGACCAAGAACCCACCAATTCTGGACACACTATGACCCAAACACTTCCCATTAGGCCCCACCACTCAAAACCTCCGCACTGGGGATCAAGCTTCCAACACATGAATTTTGGGGGACACATTCAAACCATTTGTGTTCTCTCTACCTGGATGCCAAATATATGTCCAGAAAAAATACTTCTGGTTTTGTTGAAGAGCAAAAAGTTAAACAACAAGAATTATATGTATTTTGGCAGCTGCTGTCTGGCAGATGTCCAGAGAATTAACTGAACAAGAATTCACGTCAAGGATATTTGTCAAGAATCACCTCTTGGCTGGGTGCAATGGCTCATGCCTGTAATCCCAGCATTTTGGAGGGTGAGGTGGGAGGATCGCTTGAGGCCAGGAGTTCCAGACCAGCCTGGCCAACACAGTGAGACCTCATCTCTACAAAACACTTTAAAAATTAGCCAGGTGCAGTGACACATGCCTGTGGTCCTAGCTCCCGGGGAGCTGAGGTCAGAGAATCACTTGAGCCAGGAGTTCAAGGTTACGGTGAGCTATGATCACGCCACTACACTCCAGCCTGGGCAAGAGAGTGAAAACTTGTCTAAAAAAAAAAAAAATCATCTCTTAAAAGACATCAAGCGGCCTGGTGTGGTGGCTCACGCCTGTAATCCCAGCATTTTGGGAGGCCATGGCGGGTGGATCATGAAGTTAGGAGTTTGAGACCATTTCCATCTTGCTGACCAAGATGGTGAAACCCCATCTGTACTAAAACTACAAAAATTAGCCAGGCAAGGTGGCAGGCGCCTGTAATCCCAGTTACTCGGGAGGCTGAGGCAGGAGAATCGCTCGAATCCGGGTGGCATAGGTTACAGTGAACTGAGATCGCACCACAGCACTCCAACCTGGGCGACAGAGTAAGACTCCGTCTCAAAAAAAAAAAAAAAAAGATATCAAGCTACATTAAAATGCTTTGGAACCACAGGTTAACTACAAGGTCCAATTCTCCACTAATTGGGTTGCTTAGACCAAATGGGCAGGACAGTTCTAATCCATCTGCAGGACTAGGAGAGACCTTCTGAGAAGGCAGGGGTAGGCTGAAGGTCAGCATTGCAATCTGATTGTTATGTGACTTGGGAACACTGGTTATTGCCTCCGAGTTCCTCATTTGCAAGATGAAGCCACTAATATACCTACTTCAGAGGTTTACAGGAAGAGTAAATAGGGTAGTGGGTGTAAAATGCTGTCCCTGGTCTACAATAAGTGAGTAAATGCTAGCTTTCCATTTGCCTCTGGATAGAAACCAAAATTAGCCCTACCTTGCATTTCTCCCCACTCCATGCCACTTGTGTCCACAGCCATCTACCTACACTGTGGCATGAGGAAACTCCAAAGCTCTTGACCTTCAATGGCTCCTAACAATCCAAAAGGATCAACCCCCAATTCCCTAAAGTGGCCTCAGTCCCCTTTTGTTGCAGTTTTCTGACCACTCCTTTCCCCTCCTAAACTCTAACCCAGCTTCCAAAGAGCCTATCACTTCCCCAATGGTCCTAGTCATTTCTATCTTCTGAATCTGCACGCAGACTGTAGCCCCTTAGGATTTGTTCCACACCTACATGACATGGGGTTAGTTGCACATAGTTCTAACCTTTCCTCTAAAAGATAAACTTCTTGGAGGTAGAGTATTTTATTCATTATTACATCTGGCATAGCACACAATGCTTCGTGCATGGCAGTAAGAGCTGATATTTACCGAGAGCTGACTACATTCCGAGCACTATTCTAAGTGCCTTACATGAACATATGAGCTCATTTAATTTTCACAACAATTTTGGAATACGCACAATTATTCTCTCCATTTACAGACCAGGAAACTGAGACCCAAAGCATAACCTGTCCAAGGTTATACCACTAGGAAGTGAGAGGGCCTGGGTTCAGATCCAAGCAGCCTAGCTACAGAACCTACGTTCTTAACCACTATGCTACAGTCGATGTTCAATCAATTTAGCTAATTTATGTAAAAGAGCTTCAAAAACTATAAAGGACTATAAGCCACAATAAACCAAAAGTTCAAACAAAATAGGTTTTTGATATCTCTAAGGACGGGGAGACAGTAGTATATGAAGGTTAAGTTTAGAATCAGACCAGAGTTCGAATACCACCAGCTCTATCCCTTTCTATCTGTGGGCAAGCTATTATTCTTTTTCAGCATCTGCAAGATTAAACTACTTGTTAAGATGGTTGTGAGAATTGAGATGACTCAGGTAGAACGAGAACGTGCCTACCACAGAGTATGCGGTCAATAAATTTTGGCTCTAAAACAGAGTCAAATTGTAAAACCAAAGAAATTTTCTTTGCTAAGTTATTAACCAACAATTATAAACAGTATTAAACAATAATCACTTACTGTTTTTTATTGCACTTCAGGCCTGTAAAACAGTCAAATAACATTAATTATCTCTAATAAGAAAAAGGGTCAGAGTTCTGCCTCTGGGCATAAGACTGAAGCAGCAGTTGGAAAGCCTAACTCATTAAAGCAAATGCAAAGGAAACATTAAAAGCACACGTAAGCAGTGGGAAAATTCCCAGTGAAGTGTACTGACAAATACAAGTGTATCCAAATGTGTATGTTCTGAAAAGCATGCTATATAATAGGTCCAAGGGGTGAAGAGCATAGGATGTTAACACAGGGGCTGTTAACAGTTTGTGTGGGTGCACAGATAAGAATTAAGCACAACAAGAGGCTGGTTTCAGCTTAAGTTCATGGAAGAGGGACCGGCACCGGCTCCGGCTCCCCTGGGCGGCGGTGAGTCTATCCACGGAAGATACCCAGGCTCCAGACATGAGATAAGGGGCAGAGGGAACTCTGTCCCTGGCCGGGAAGCCCGAACAACTCCGAAGTCCCTTACTACCTTTGAGCGGGGCCGCGGAAGGAAGGACAGGGAGACACCTGCTCAGAATGAGACTGGGCCTATATTTTAACTATCTTTTTTGGGGGAGGGGGTGTGAAATGTAATCACTCGGGAAAGGTGCGTTAGGGCATCAGGGAGGTGACATCTGTGCAAAATGCATCCAGAGATCCAGAGATCCAGACTCGGTGGCTCTCAGGACGCAACGGCCTGCAAAGGACATCTTGCGGACGCGACCCTCCGACTCCACTCAAGGTACTTGCTCCGCCAAAGCAGCTTCTAGACAGCCCCGACCCCCTTGCCACCAGCTGCCTCCACCAGAGGCCTGAAGGGGGTCGGGGTCATAGACTGCCCGCGGGTAAAGAGTCTGGGGACCCAGGACGTGGAGCGGGGCTCAGGCCGGCGCCCCGAGGCCCGTTAGAAGGCTCTGCCAGCTGCGATTCCAGGGGCCAAGGTCGCCCTGGGCCCCCAGGACGCCAGCCTCGAACGCACTCACCAGCCTGCTGCCGCGCAGCAACCGCACTGCCAGGCCCTCCATCCTCGCCGCAGGCCTCTCCGCTCTGCGCCTCTGGGTCTCTAGCCAGCCCCTGGGAGTTACCCGAGCAAGGCCCCGCCCACTCAGTACCCGCCCCGCACACACCCCCCCTTAATCCCTGCCCCCTGCTGCCTACGGAACCCCAAGAGAGACAAACAGGCCCCTCCTCGCTTTCGCCCTCCATCCTGCTCACGCGAGACTTGAGCAAGGCAGGGGGGCGGGAAGGGAGTCGGAGACACAACAAAGATGGCGGCGGCGACTGTGACGGTGACGAAGACGGCGGCGGCGGCGACGGCATTTAACAAGGCGGTGTGGTTTACTCCATGCAGTTGTCAGGAGGTAAGTAGCAGGCTGCCGGCTCGGACGGCGGCGACGCGGCAGGACAGGGCGGATAAGAAGGAGCGGCCGGAGACTGGAGCTGGGTTCGTGGCGGGCCGGCTGATCCGGACGGAGACTCAGTTCAGTGGAGGGTCGGGCGTGGTCGGTAGGCGGGCAGGTGATGGCCCGGGACCTCTTTAGCCGGAGGGCAGTGGACTGCGGCGCCTATGGCCGCGAGAACCCCGAGGGAGCGGGGTCTCCTGCTGTCATTGCCTTCGAGCAGGAGCTCGGAGGCTCCGGGGCGGGGACTGTTGCTTGGCTCTGACAGGTGGTTCTGCGGGAGGCGTCCCGAGGTTTGCGTCTTCACGGGGTCCCAGGGGCTGGGAGTCAGCCGGGCGCGGGTCTCCTAGGTGTTTCGAATCCTGGCGAGGATGTCGCTCCGAATCTTGGTGAGGCTGCTGCCCCGACGCCGGTCCCAGGCTGATTGTTGGGAGAAGGACGTTTAAAGCCTTCGTATTTTATCTAATGATCCTGCCCGGATCCGTCTCTACTGCATGGGCACCCTTATTTTAGGAACATGTGAGATTTGAGAAAGACATTGTAGCAAATAACTATTCAGGTTCATTCGGGGTTTAGATCTTTGGATAAACTGTGTGGAGCGCGAGTAGCCAAGCCTAGCATGCTCGATGACTGGATCTGAAGCTAAACAAGTTCTAGCAAACACTAACCACGTGGCCTGCTTAGAGTCCCCTTGATGTGCTGGTCAGAACCCGAAAGACGTGTGACAAGCGGAAGAAGACATAAAGGCGTCTTAAATTGTGTGATCTGAGGAAATTCAGTTTTGAAAGAACAGAATGTATTTAAAACAACTTTTTTTTAAACGTAGGAACTAACAATTTTAAAAATTCAATTTAATTTTGATTTATGTCGTGTTGTCACAACAGCTAAAGGTTATTATTATTGATGAGAGTTCGTTACAGTGAATTGAAATGTCTGGTGTTATTTTCCCCTAGCGGTCCAGGATGTTTCCCAGAAAACCGTAGCTGTTTTGTGTTATGATAGGATAAGAAGGATGGGATTCAGATGTGCCCTTATCGGGTGTGCATGTTTTTTTTGTTTTTGTATTTAAAGCCCTTTCCCATTTCCCTACTTAGGACTATGCGTTGTTTTTATGCAACTACAGCTGTTCAGCAGTACTAAGCTTGACCGTTTTGGAAGTGTGCTGTGACTAAATGAAGTTAATCTTAATTTCTTTAAACTGAAGTTTAACTTAAATTTAGACATTAAAAATCTTGCCAAAAACTAATCCACCAGTGAGAAAACGGTAGTCACACCAGTTATTCTTTGGTGATCCTATGGAGCTTTTGCTGAAGTGAAGCTACTGCTTTGTTCTTTGATTAATCTGTCAGTTCGTTTTCTTTTCAGCTAATGTAATGATAAGATTGGCATAAGTTACTAGCTCATTCAACCTGTAGATGCTAATTAAGTTTTTATCTTAAAGGTTTTGATTTGTGGTGTGCTGTTTGTTTTTTATGCAGACCTCTGTATGGCTTTTCAATTTTAGTTGAAATTCTCTCTCCATGGCCTTTTGGAGTCCCTTGCTGTATCTCCGAAGTAAATTTCAATTACTCTACATTTCATCAATGTTGGAGTGGCAAGAAAAAGGAGGAACAGATTTGGGGTGAAAAGGTTAGATTGTATAATTTCTCTTCTGGATTTCTTTCAACATGGTTTTACTTATGTTTTATTTTTATGTTTTGATTTCTGATTTCTCAGAGCCTCATAATTTCTTTTTTTGCCTTCAAGAGTTTTTGACAGTTCTGAAATCAGGAATTGTGTTCCAATTATTTTGGAAGGCCCATGTTACTCCATAGAAACCAATCCTTATTTGTCAACGTTGTCTGTTTATATGTGTTCTATAGCAGAGTAAATCTCAGTGACCATAATTATTAGGCTATGGAGGGTAAACACATCTATTGAACTGTAATCACTTTATGTGTATAGGCCTGCCTTACCCATAAATTATTATGTAAGTAAATTAGTTGCTAATATTGTATTCTTCCTTATGGTTACCTATGAGAAGTAAGACTTCTCATGAATGCTAGGTGAACGAAACATATCCTGCTGTTCCCTAATCATGTTCTCAAAATTCTCCCACAGTTTATAAAAAAGATAGAAGGAAGAAGGAAGATAGGTTAGAGAGCTTCTTCTCTGGTTGTTTCATAGTTGTGAATGCCTTCTAATTTGCATTTCAGTGCCTGTGTTTTAAATTATTAGCTACTGGTTAAGAGGCTGGGGGGGGTGCACATATATACACACATGTAATTGTGTGTGTGTGCTTGTATATATGCTTGCATTGATCAACAGCTTCCCATTTATGAGACTGAAGAAGAAAGATCAGACGACTTCATACAAAATAAATCCTTTATCAGAAACCAAGGAAGATCGGAAATTAGCCTAAATTACCTACTTGAGGTAGAGGTTTTCCTGTTCTTTGGGATATCAAAGCTTAATTCTCTTATACCTCTTTTCCCCCTACCGGCTTGCATAGCCTCTGGTTGTTTTCTGAAAGCATTGATTTTGAGCCTTGAATAATAAATTGGGGGACGCTACTGGCATGACAATACTTTAGGTATACCCTAGCCAGTTTCTATATAGATATCCACCTACACCCCATGGAATTCCATACTATATTCAACTTAACTTTAATCAGAATAATCACAGGAAGGATTTGGGAATTTTGCTATATCATAAGGAACAATCATCATAAAGTATGGGGATATTGTTCTCTTTGGTTGATATGATTAGATATCTTAGTTCAGGTTGCTGTAACGAATTACCATAGACTGAGTGGTTTAAACAAACATTTATTTCTCACAGTTCTGGAGGCTGGGAAATCTTAATATGAAGGTGCCAGCAGATCAGGTATCTGGGGAGGGCTTGCTTTCTGATTGTATCCTCTCATGGCAAAGAGCAGAGAGGAAGCAAGATCTCTGGATCTCTTCACAAGGCACTAATCCCATTTAGAGGACTTCACCTTTACAACCCAATTATTTCTCAAAGGCCCCACTCCAGATGCCATCAAATTGGGGGTTAGAATTTCAACATATCAGCTTTTGGGGACATAAACATTCAGTCCATGACGATACCAGCAGAAAGAGTACATCTGAGTTGTAATAACACCACCCACATCTGTAATAATACTGGAGAATACTTAAGTATATTTCTTGTTCAGATGACATGATATCATACATTGAAATTTTGTGTTAAGTAAGTAATTTTTTGGCTAACAAACACCAAGGTATTGAGTTCATGTCCAGTATAGGAAAGATACCACTAAAAAAATTATAGCTTGTGGATTTTCTAAAGTATATTTTGTTATGTTTGCAAAGGTTTTAAAATTTATCAATGCCTTAGAGGCATCTCTGGGTATCAGTTAATTTGTGGAGTTCCTAGATTAAACTTTGAGACTTGAGACTGATGATAATTACATCAAAGACAGGAAAATGGCTCAGATAGAAAACCTTTATTTTCTTTCTATAAGAGGAAGTCTTTTGTAGTTCCAGAAATTTTTTTTTTCTTTTAAAAATTAGAGATGAGGTCTCGCTCTGTTGCCTGGACTGGTCTTGAACTCCTGAGCTCAGGCAGTCCTCCCACCTTAGCCTCTGAAAGTGCTGGGATTGTAGTCATAAGCCACCATGTCCAGCCCAGTTTCAGAATTATTACTATTTTTCAATTTATTATGCTTAGAAATATTGACTTGAGATGTAGAAAGCTGAGTTTTGAGCCGAAGACTCTACTTCACTTTAGGCACCTTTCATTCATATATGTCTCTACTATAGACTAGGGCTTTGCAAGCACCTGTCATACCCTGTGTATATGGATATATGGGATAGAGGCCATACAGGTCAAGTGGGCACAAAAATGCTTAGGGACGAAATGACACCTAATTTTTAAATCATGACAGGATGTTTAAGGTTATAAAGCATACTAATATATTTAAAATTCTAATTTAAGAAGAGTTTTTCTTCATGTTTGCAATGTTACAGTGTTCTCTATTTCATAGACATGCTTTTTTTTTTTTTAAGTTTATCATGCATTGTGGTTGAAAAGCAGCACACAATTTATGGCAAGGAACACAGTGAAGTTTATAATGTGACAATGTGATAATAGCCAAGACTGTCAAAATATGCCAGCCATCCTCTGTAATTAGGCTCATTTGTGTTCTTAAACTTGAGATGCATGTATAAAAATATCATTTTCTTCTGCTTGCTTTCTGGCAGTCTTGTGTGTTTTTACTGCACTGTCACGTTGTACTGTAGCAACGTTATGCTTTCTAATCAAGATTTGGTAAGGATTATCTTGCTTCCAGAAGCCTGTCAAAGTATATTCAGACATTTTCCAGGAGAAATGTATAGTTTTCATGTGAACTGATTGGCAAGAAGTGATGCTAAGTTACAATGTAAATACTGGGATTTCTTTCTTAATTATAGCTTTTATAATTAGAACGCAGACAATCTGTAGGGCTATACAGCTTTTACAAATTAAAAAAATATTTTCCCAGATCTTATTCTTGATAGTCTTTTTCACTGGAGCTGACTAGCTTACATTTTCCCACCAAGAGCAAATTTAAAGGACAGATAATCAGCACAATCAACTGTAGTCACAAAACAAATAGTAACACAATGATAAAGAAACAGAGAACTAGTTCAAATAAACATGATAAGATGGGGAAAAAAACAACGGAAACAAATGTGTTCAAAAGCCAACAATAATCCTTAAGATTCAGAAAGCTGAGCCAGACTAAAGCAAGTGATTTAAAGAGGTGGCCTATAAGTAAAATAAGCAAAGATCTGTTTGAGAAATTGCAAAGTGATTTGAAAAATTGCAAATTGGAATTACTTGAGACTAAGGTGGAACATGTTTGTTTCGTTGTAACTAAGAAACAGATGCTCAGTATATTTTTCAACCACGTTGATGAACCCATAGAAAAAGGGGAATAACGGAATCAGGGGTGGTGAGAATTTTAAAATCTAAGTTATAACCATTTTTTCTATTTGCTACAAAAATAATTATTAGAAAAATAGCCGCCATTTTCTGATAGCCTACCATATGTGATACATGTCACAATATGCTTTATGTATACTTACCTATAAAACTTAAGATAGCACTGCAAGTTGGATTATGATTCCATTTTACAAAATAGGAAACTAAGGCTGAGAGAGGTCCCTGTTCATAGTCTTAAAGTTGTCCCTCCATATCTGGTAGGTACTGGTTCCAGGACCCCTGTAGATAGCAAAATTTGCGGGTGCTCCAGTCCTTTATATAAAATGGCTTAGTATTTGCATATAACTCACAATCTCATCCTCTTGCATACTTTAAGCTCTAGATTATTTATAATACCTAATACAATGTAAATGCTATGTAAATAGTTACACTGTATTGTTTAGGGAATTATGACCCCCCCCCCCACAAAAGTCTGGTGAAACCCCCTCTCTACTAAAAATACAAAAAATATCAGCCGGGTGTGGTAGCGGGCACCTGTAATCCCAGCTACTCTGGAGGCTAAGGCAGGAGAATTGCTTGAACCTGGGAGGCAGAGGTTGCAGTGAGCCGAGATCACGCCATTGCACTCCAGCCTGGGCAACAAGAACGAAACTCCGTCTCAAAAAAAAAAAAAGAAAAGAAAAAGTCTGTACGTGTTTAATATAGATGCAACCATCCATTTTTTCCAAATAATCTTGTTTTGCAGTTGGTTGAATCAACAGATAACAGAACCTGTGGATATAGAGTTGACTATACTCTACTTGTCCAGAGGATAAACTTTCAGTAGTCTCAACTTCCTAGACAATTTTCTAAAAAATAGGCTTTTCTACCTGAAAAGGGGTAGTAATACTAATAATGTTTTGGTTTTTTTTTTTTTTTTTTAGACGGAGTCTTGCTCTGTCTTCCAGGCTGGAGTGCAGTGGCACAATCTCAGCTTACTGCAGCCTCCACCTCCTGGGTTCAATCAATTCTTCTGCCACCACGCCTGGCTAATTTTTTTGTATTTTTAGTAGAGACGGGGTTTCACCATGCTGGCCAGGCTGGTCTCGAACTCCTGACCTCGTGACCTGCCTGCCTCGGCCTCCCAAAGTGCTGGAATTACAGATATGAGCCACCGTGCCTGGCACTAATAATTTTTTTTTTTTTTTTGGAGACAGAATTTTGCTCTGTCGCCAGGCTGGAGTGCAGTGGTGCGATCTGGGCTCACTGCAACCTCTGCCTCCCGGGTTCAAGCGATTCTCCTGCCTCAGCCTACCGAAAAGCAGGGATTACAGGCGCCTGCTGCCATGCCCGGCTAATTTTTTTGGTATTTTTAGTAGAGATGGGGTTTCACCATGTTGGCCAGCATGGTCTCCATCTCTTGACCTCGTGATCCACCCACCTCGGCCTCCCAAAGTGCTGGGATTACAAGCGTGAGCCACTGCGCCCGGCCACTAATAATTTTTAAAAGCCCCTAGAACTACCGTAGCTTCTAAAAAGGGAGGAAAGGAACGATTCACAAGTATTGAATTAAGAAAAGAGAATTCAGTTACCTGTAAGTCCTTATTTGGCTAAATATGTTTGGAACAAAGAAGAGACTAGATGTGAAGAGAGAAGACAAGAAGTACGAAAATAAGATAGATCAGTCTGAAGCCAGGAAACAGGGAAAACAAAAACAGCCCTGTTACTGAGTGGTTGTAAAGTACAATAATTCATATTAATGGTATGTCAAATGTTGGTCTATTTCCAGTAGATTTCGAGTTAAGTCAAAGAAGAAGTTTTGATTCTTAAAAAGTTGGTCATATTTTTGTAAATTGGAAAATCTGCTTTTGCAGAACCCCCTCATTCCTCAACCCTACAGTTCTACTATTTAAAAACTTAGGCTGAAAAGGCCCAAGAACAGCCTATTCTTGAAGAAGAAAAACAAAGCAGGGGGACTTAAATTACTGTGATAGCAAGACTTATTATTAAGAGTATCTGGTATGGCAGCAAGGACAGATAGGCTAGTGGAACAGAACAGAGAATCCAGAAGCAGAGCCACATACGTGCATATAACCATTTGATTTAAAAAGAAGACATCAGAGCTTAGTAGAGAAAGGCCGATCTGTTAGGTACACATTGCTGGGACAGTTGGATATCTCTTTGGAAAAAAGTATGCTTTGACTCTTATCTCACACCATACACAAAACTCAAGTCCAGATAAAAATATGAAAGGTAAAATAAAAAGCATTTAGAAGAAAGTATAGGAGAACATCTTCAAGTAAGATGTAGGCAAGGATTTCTTAACTAGGACACAAACAACTCTAAATGTAAAGGATAAAAATGGGTAAATTGTACTATATTAAGAACTTCTGTTCATCAAAAATTACCATTAAGAAAGTGAAGGCCGGGCGCAGTGGCTCACGTCTGTAATCCCAGCCCTTTGGGAGGCCGAGGTGGGCAGATCACAAGGTCGGGAGATCGAGACCATCCTGGCTAACACGGTGAAACCACATCTCTACTAAAAATACAAAAAAATTAACTGGGCGTGGTGGCGGACACCTGTAGTCCCAGCTACTCGGGAGGCTGAGGCAGGTGGCGTGAACCTGGGAGGTGGAGCTTGCAGTGAGCCGAGATCACGGCACTGCACCCCAGCCTGGGCGACAGAGTGAGATTCTGTTTCAAAAAAAAAAAAAGAAAAGAAAAGAAGAGAAAACGAAAAGGCAACCACAGTGGGAGATACTTAAGATGCACATATCCTAATAAAGGACTCATTATAAAGCATTCTTCCATATTAGAAAAAGACAACACAATAGAAAAATAAGCAAAAGGTATGAGCAGACATTATACAACAGAGGGTATCTAAGTGGTTAATTAGTATATATTAAAAAGTTTACATCTTCATTAGTCACCAAGGAATGTAAATTAAAAGTAATGTGATACCACTAGACACCCACCAGAACGGCTAAAACGAAAAAGGCAAAACATGCCCAAGTATTGTCAAGGATGTGGAGCAGCAGCAGTTTTGTTTACTGCTAGTGGGAGTGTAAATTGCTATAATCACTTTGAAAACCTATTTGACATTATCTAAAACTGAATATATGCATGCCTTTGATCCAGCAGTTTCACTTCTATACAACCAACAGAAATATGTACGTAATCAAAAAACGTGTAGTAATATGTTCATAGAAACTTTATTCACAGCAGCCAATTACTGGAAATTACCCAAATGATCTAAAAACAGTATAAGAGATAAATGAGTTGTGGCATGGTCATACAACAGACTCCAGCAGTAAATTTGAGCAAACTTCAGTTGCATGCAACAATATGGATGAATCTTACAATTACAATGTTGAGTGACAGAAGCCAGACAAAGGTTCATAGTGTGTGATTCCATTTACATAAAGCTGAAGAACAGACAAAACTAATCTACAGAGTCAGAAGTCAGGATGGCTGTAACCCTTGTCAGGGCAGAGGGTCCTAGCATTGGAAGGGTACACGAGGGGGGTTTCTGGGATGCCGGCATCCTTCTGTTTCTTGATTGTGGTGCTGATTTTATGAATGTGTTCATTTTGTGACAATTCATTGAGCTCTGCTCTTATGATTTATGTGCTTTTCTATATATGTACAAGACTTCAACAAAAAGTTAAGCATATATGCTGAAAGTGAGTAATTTTTTGTCTACCACTGGCTACTAAAGATGGAAGCTTGTTTAGATGGAAAATTATTCATTAAATAGTTTGAGTTTAGAAAAAGAAGATTTTATAAGGTATATTTACCAGAGAATTGTACTTATTTGCATAAAAATTGTTTTTCCTGGAAGAAAAGACCTTTTTTATCCCAGGTGCTAGACTTCATCTTATTCTTACTAGAAAACTTTTTTGGCTATTTTATTTGTGAATTTGGGCCATAAACCTATGTGAAGACCAGCTTGTGATTGCAGAACACACAAGAGACTTTCCCTTTCTACACTACGGTCAGGGATTTTCTTTTACTTTTTTATTTTTCCCTAGTCTTGGAGTGGATAGGATGATAGGTAGTAGAGGTGGTGATTTGGATATTTCTAGAGCAGGGGTTGGGAAGCTAAGGCCTGTAGGCCAAATCTGGCTCAACGCCTGTTGTTATAAAGTCTAATTGGAACATAGCCCCACCCATTTGTTTACATACTGTCTGTGGCTGCCTATTGTCTGTGGCTTCTTACCGTGACACAGTTGAGTAATTGCAGCAAAGATGAGCATGGCTTGCAAAGCCTAAAATATTTACTAACTGGCCCTTCATAAAAACTTTGCAACCCCTAGTTCTAGACCACTTATTTGCAGACTACTCATTCATGTGAACACTATGTCTTAAGAGCCTTTGCTGGTAGTTACTAGCTGCATGCAGCTATTTCTATTTAAATTAATAACATTAAAAACTCAGGTCATATGTATTAGCCAAATTTCAAGTGCCTCAGTAGCTATATGTGGCTAGTAGCAACTGCGTAGGAATAGCACAGATAAGAAACATGTCCATCATCCAGAAAATAGTCTCCTTTTGTCAACCAGGTTGGAGTCCAGTGGTGCAATCACGGCTCACTGCAGCCTTGACCACTCAGACCCAAGCAATTCTCCTGCCTCAGCCTCCTGAGTAGCTGGGACCATCAGCATGTGCCACCACTCAGCTAATTAAAAACACTTTTTTTTGTAGGGACAAGTTCTCCCTATGTTGGTCTCCGGTCTCCTTGGTTTCTTGTCTTCTTCATCAATAATCTCTGCTTGTGTTCTTATTTATTTAATCTGAACTTGTTTTCTCTTTTTTTCTGCCTTTGAAATTTCTTCCCATCCTCTGTGACTAAGTTTGAATCCGTATTTATATTTAATTATTAAATATATTGATTTTTTACCATTTTGTGTATGTCTTTAGTTCACCAGTAAGATTATAAGATGCTGAAAGGCAGGCACTGTGTTTTCTCTTGCTTTATATAGTGTCTTGCACAAAATAGCTTTTGTCATTTGTTTGCTATGTACTAGATCTCCCTAAATAGTGTAAAATTGTTTCAGTTTTGTTTTCTAGGTCTAACAAACTGTAAATGTTAAAAAAGCAAAGATGGGTGAAAAAAAACCAGAGCCTTTGGACTTCGTGAAAGATTTTCAGGAATACCTGACTCAGCAGACCCATCACGTGAACATGATTTCTGGATCAGTTAGTGGGGACAAAGAAGCAGAGGCTCTTCAGGGAGGTAGACTCATTTTAATACTACTAAGTAATTCACTTTTTATACACGTACTATGATTGCGTGTAGCTGTTACTGTGAAGACCACTGCGCATTAATGTGAATCATTCTGTTTTTTCTAGAAAGATACAGGGCATTTTTTCCCCCTTTTTTAAACATATCAGACTTCTGCTGGAGAGTACTTAACATGGTCTGGAGATGCATTATGGTCTTGTTGGAAGGTTAGGGGCTCCAAATACCCTTCCTGTCCTCCAGTTTTTATGAGCTACCATTAGACACAAAGAACCCAAAGGGGATTGGAATATCAGCTTCACTATACAAACCATTAGGCCATCAGGAAATCTGGATTCGACCTGAGATAAAAATAGGGGTTTCAGTTTCTTCTCTCTTAAAATGAAGAAAGGGCTGACCATGTTTACCTATCCAAGAAGAGAAATGAAAATAGAGAAAGTGGTGACCTCCTTGAGCCTGCTAGAGGTAAATTTTGTCTAATTTGCTTGCCACAAAAAACTGGAATTTATTCCTAACCTAGCTCGGAGGTCAGCAAACTATAGCCCGTGGGCCCCATCTGGACTGCTGTTTTTGTATGGCCTGCAAGCTAAGAATGGTTTTTACATTTAAAGATGGTTTTAAAAGTGTCAAAAGGAGAATAATGTAATGATACATGAAAATTCTGTGAAGTTCAAACTTGAGTCCACATAAGTAAAATTTAATTGGAACACAGATATGCTCATTTGTTTACATATTTTCTGTAGCTGTTTTTGTTTGTTTTGCTAAAACAGCAGAGTTGAGCAGTTGTGGTAGAGACCATATGGCCCACAAAGCCTGAAGTATTTACTATTTCATGCCTATAGAAAAAGTTTGCTGACCCCTGACCTAGATAGTCTGGGTACGGCCTTATAATGCAGGGACTAGCAGCAGGGACCAGGCATCACCCGGGAGCTTGTTAAAAATACAAAACACCAGACACCACCCCAGATCTACTGAATTATAATCTGTGTTTTAATAAGATCCCCCAAGTAATTCACATACACATTAAAATGTGATAGTGACTGGCTTGGGAAAGCAGTGGGAGAGAGGAAGACACTGAGCCTTGTCCCTCGAATGCAGTGTAGCCCTCTTGGATATTGGTCTTGTCTCAACCAGCAGAATCACTTCTCCTAGTGAGGAGTGAGGAACCGGTGAAGCAGGGGGCTTGAATTGTGCATGCCAGGACTGTTACCTCCTGAAATGGAGTAGACCTTTTCCCATGAAGCTGTAGGAATGGAAATTTCCCTCCTAACGCACAGATTTCCAAACAGGATTCAAGAGACCAGGGTTGTAGTCCCAGCCATTTGCCGATTTTCCTGATTATGAGCATCAGGTCTCTTCAGTTTCTTTCTACAAAAAAGTAGTCAGATTAGATTAAAAGCAAACAGCCAAACATGTTTTATCTCTGAGATTCTTAAAACCTTAACCTTCAGAGGTATCAGGGACGATACTTTCCTTTATGGGCTTAATTAGAATTTTAAGATCCTAAATGGAACAGAGATCTAGAACGTACATATAAACACTGGGATGTGGAAAACTTATTCACTGCTTCAGACTAAAATAAATAGAGTTAGGGTTTTGGAGATTCTTTGACTGCCAGTTTCAGTTGTAGAAATAGCGAGGGTGCTAAACACCTGTGTGTAACTGTGCCATCACTCTCCAGTGAATCTCTTTATTCCCCTCCCTCCTCACCTGTTCACTTCTTCAAAAACATGTTAAGGACCAGTACAATGTGTGTGTAAGTAATTTTGTTTTCTTTGTTTTTGAGACACAGTCTTGCTCTGTCGCCCAGGCTGGAGTACAGTGGCACAATCTTGGCTCACTGCAACCTCTGCCTCCTGGATTCCAGCGATTCTCATGCCTCAGCCTCCTGAGTAGCTGGGACTACAGGTGTGCACCACCATGCCCAGCTAATTTTTGTAATTTTTTTTTTTTTTTTTAAGTAGAGACAGGGTTTTGCCATGTTGGCTAGGCTGGTCTCTAACTCCTGGCCTCAAGCTATCCCCCCACCTCTGCCTCCCAAAGTTCTGGGATTACAGGTATGAGCCACTGCACTGGCCTTGTGTAAATAATTTGAGATCCCCCAATAAAAGGTTCTCAGAATATAATACAGAATGTATTACTGCTTTTGTATAAAATTAGCCTCAGTTCAGAAAGTCTGTTATAAAATGGACTTAACTTTTGTGAGAAGTGAACTGTCAATTTATAAGATTTTTCAACCACTTAAAACTGAAATGCTAAATTGAGTTGATTCTGAGATGCATAATTTCTTTTGCGGTACTTTGTTTATAGCTGGAACAGATGGTGATCAAAATGGACTTGATCACCCATCTGTTGAAGTTTCCTTGGATGAAAACTCAGGAATGTTAGTAGACGGGTTTGAAAGGACCTTTGATGGGAAGCTTAAGTGTCGGTACTGCAACTATGCCAGCAAAGGAACAGCCCGGCTTATTGAACACATCAGAATCCACACAGGTAATGGAAAGACAGCTGGAAAAAGCATTTCTGTGAGGGCAGGAGAGGGGCCAAGGGGGGCAGGTTGGTTTGTCATAGAAATAGTTTTAATATTCAAAAATGAAGGTTTATGTAAAGTTCGAATAAATGGGAAAGTTACTCCATTTTTCAAAGCAACAACATAACAACATACAAACAGGTCAGAAGTGATGCCCTTTGTAGATCCTCTCCTTCCTTAGCCGTGTTTCCCTCTTGATCCAAATAATCTCTCAACATCTGCCTGCCTCTCAGATTGGGAAGGAATAATGCTAAAGCACTGCGATGTGATAAAATGTTTTAATCTTTATCCTATTACGTTTCATTTGCCGAAAGGGGGAAAGGTTTCAGAAAGTATACAGTTGCAGATGGTACTGCTAATCCCAGATCTCACTTTAGCTGTCCCTTCTGAGAAACTTTCCCAACTACATCTGCCCTCTGCCCAAGACCAGGTCAGACGTCCTTCCTGTGTGCTTCATGCATCCTGTGCTCATTCATCACATCATTGTAGCCTGAGAGCCTCTTGAGGACAGGGCAATTGTGACAAGACCATCTTTGTACCCCCAGAGCCTAGGAGGGCATGTGACACATACTTACTAGATGAATGACTCTAAATCTCATATTCCAAATGTTTATTTCACATAATTGGGCAGTCTTCAGTTAACAACATTAACTATAGTTGTTCCTTCTGGCAGCTGAAGAGTAGGAAGATGGAGGAGAAGCACTAGCAATTTTGAAGGGATGCTTTGCATAACTCAGACTAGCAAGCCCATTTCAATTCTGAGCTTTCTATTTCATATAAGGACTTTAAAAAAAGCTTTTTTTGTATTTTTTTTTCTGTGAGCAAAGGGTATGCATATGTGTGTGTGTGAATATGAATGTATATAAATGTATACATGAATATATAACTGAGACATACTTTTGATAAACTCATTATTATGTAAGACTATTACTAGAATATTTCAATTGTACTGTTTCTTCTCTCTAAATGCATTCGAAGCCATAACAGTTTTTATACTGTATTGACTAATACAACATCAATGCATATTTCAGGTTGTTGCTGATGAGTTCTTAAGCTTTATTTCAATTTGTGGGTTTATTTACAAATTTTAACAATCTCATATGCTATGCAAATATGACTTTCTGAAAGCATTTTCTTTTTGATCAATTTCCAGTTGTCCAATGAATGGACAAGCAAAACTTTCCATAAATGAACTACTCTTGTAGTTTCTCCATCATTTTTCTTTTGAAACAGGTGAAAAACCTCATCGATGTCATCTTTGTCCATTTGCATCTGCTTATGAGCGTCATCTGGAAGCCCATATGCGTTCTCATACTGGAGAAAAACCATACAAATGTGAATTATGTTCCTTCCGCTGCAGTGATCGAAGTAACTTGTCCCATCATCGAAGGCGCAAGCATAAAATGGTACCAATTAAAGGTACTAGGTCTTCCTTAAGCAGCAAGAAAATGTGGGGGGTTTTACAGAAGAAAACAAGCAATCTGGGCTATAGCAGAAGAGCACTAATCAACTTAAGTCCACCTTCCATGGTGGTTCAGAAACCAGACTACCTTAACGATTTTACCCACGAAATCCCAAATATCCAGACTGACTCCTATGAAAGTATGGCAAAAACCACACCAACTGGTGGCCTTCCAAGGGACCCCCAAGAACTCATGGTTGATAACCCTTTGAATCAGCTCTCGACTCTAGCAGGGCAGTTGTCCAGTCTGCCACCCGAAAACCAAAACCCTGCATCCCCTGATGTAGTTCCCTGCCCTGATGAAAAGCCTTTCATGATTCAGCAGCCCTCTACCCAAGCAGTAGTTTCTGCCGTATCAGCAAGTATTCCTCAGAGCTCCTCTCCCACAAGCCCAGAACCTCGGCCATCCCATAGTCAAAGGAACTATAGTCCAGTGGCAGGTCCAAGCAGTGAGCCAAGTGCCCACACGAGCACTCCCAGCATAGGAAACAGCCAGCCAAGCACCCCAGCCCCAGCCCTGCCGGTCCAGGACCCTCAGCTTCTGCACCACTGCCAGCACTGTGATATGTACTTTGCAGACAACATCCTTTACACTATTCATATGGGATGTCATGGGTATGAAAATCCTTTTCAGTGTAATATATGTGGATGCAAATGTAAAAACAAGTATGATTTTGCCTGTCATTTTGCAAGAGGGCAACATAACCAACATTGATTGAAAATAGTCATATTTTACTTAGTTTTGCTGTTTTTGTGGTTTGGTTTTTTTTGTTTTTTGTTTTGGTCATCCCTAATAAAGTGTCTGCTAATTCAAGGCTTATACATTATATTTATAGAATATAAATTTGTCAGTGGAATAAAATTTCCCCTTTTTTTCATAAAAATCTGGTCAGGGTCATTTATATATTAGAACAGTTAGACACATTGGTGTCTCTTTTTTCCTTTCCTTTCGACATTGGAGAATTGGAGTGCAGTCATAATCTTACAAGATGTTCATTTGAATTTCTCACATTTATGGTCCATAAAAACTTCAAGGCTTATCCATACTTTTGATGTTTCAATATGCATTGAACTGGATGTTATTTCTGCCATATTTCAAAATGGTAGAATAAATTACAGAATTTATTACTACTCATTTCAGTGTTTAGTACAGAAATTGCCTTAAAAATTGCTATTAATTGAAATATCATTTAGTTCACATTCCTTAAGTTGAATCGGTAGTTTCATTTCAACTGATAATAGTAAAGCTATTTCAGTTTAGTAAAAATTTTCTTTTTTCCACAAGAGGAAATGTAAAACAGTTAAGACTTGAAATTGAAAATTCTTTTAATATTTAAAATAACTTGTTTATTCAATGTCTAAACACATGTCAGTTTTCCACTGGATTTTTATTTTCACAGGTAAATACACTAGAGTGCTAGATGCCTTTTTCCCCTGTCAGTTTGACTTTCATTTAAATCCTTCATTCTGATATCATTACTGTTAGGTGAGGTGGATAACTATAATGAGAATCTCTTATTCTTCCTATTCCTTTGATGACCAAAGAGATAAAGTGAAGTCATCCTTATTATTAAAATGCAGCCTCCAAACAAATTTCTCAAGATTCCTTTTCCTTCCTTCTATCCATTTTCTGCCCATAATTTCCAAGAAAAGGTGGGTATGGAAACACATGAGAGAATGTGATAGTGAAGTCATATTTACAAAACTGAGAACATGTCCAAAATGGATTCTTGTCTCCTCTTCAGAATTAGCCATTTAAAATATTTTCTGTGACTTCAAATTGTAATTCTTATTTGCAGTTTTACCAGTCTTCATGTACAGTGACGAAACTGTGTAGAAACTAAATCATCGCTTTAGTAAGAAAGGATAAAAAGGTGTGGAAGTGAATATAAAATGCATCTAAACATGACATTTAATTTGTTTATAAAAATAAGACTTACTAAATATAGAGTAATTCATTTTGAATAGGAGGCTATTGTTTTTATATTGTGTAATAACTCACGTACTCTGAAGAGAGCTTGGTCAAACAATAAAATACATTGTTACTAACTTGGTTTCTTTTCTGTGTACTTTGCAAAAATTCTATTTTTAATTTTGTTCATATGTTGAATGTGCCCCTAATTGGCATCTTAAAGAGAATAGTAAGCATCTATTAACCAAAAAAGAACTCTAATAGTAAAGGAAAGGGAAATATTGGTGGTATGTACCCACAAAACCCCCAAGTGCCAAGTTAATGGAATCTCTGCTTTCCCTTTCAGATGCTAGAAAGCCACTGTAATGAGTTCTTGCAGTTTAGCATCCAGTCTAAGCTACTGCATTGTTTAAAGAGCAGCATCAAGGACACTTTCTCCAAACTGGAACTCTCTTCTTTGTCAAATCTTGTACTTTAAAATTCTACAATTCTGTTACATTGTTGTTTAAATCACAGACTGCTCAGATCCATTTTACTGCAGTAGTTTCCAAGTGTGTAACTTGGCTTTAGTATTTATCAGTTGCCAGAAAGAAACAGGTTGTCATTTGGAAGTTTTTGTGGTTATTTTTTCCCATTTTTATTCTTCAGATAAAAGCAGTACCCCAAAATAGAAAATGAAAATTTTCATGAAACAAAGAGAACTCCCTTGTTAAAACCAGCTTATTAACTCTGTATTCTGTCAAATGCATTTTTTTCTAACAACTGACCATGGATGTTGTGAAGGTGCATTTTAATTTAAACATGGAAAAGATTTTTTTCATAATTACATACTAGAATGTAAAATTATAATTTTGCCATGACTTAAAGAGCACAGTTGATATCCCAAAGGTTTTGATGCTAAGAAGCTACAGTTATTCTAAATGCACTAAAATGTTTGAGGCAAATCTACCTTAGAGGCTTTTTTGGTATGGTATTTTTTAAAATATTTAGATTTTATTTAAATTTCCTGTGAGTTATTCTGTATTTGAAAAGATGTTCGTGTCTTCCCCTCTGTATTGAATGTTTCACTCATTTTATTTTTAATCAAATATTTTATAGAAATGAGTTGTTGGGAAGAGTTTAACATGCACTATTTATAGTACTTTGCCGTTAACAGGCAATGTTCTGAAACTAAATTTATTTTTGTTCAGTGAACATAAGTTTAGATTTTTAAAGTTGGTAGATAATTTATCTCCACTAATATTTTTTTAAGAAACTGTGAAGAGATTAACTGGGAATAATTTTATTTCAGATTTTACTAATGTAGTATGTAGCTACAACTTCTTGAACTTCAAGTTAAGGCTAGACATTTACTTTGAAAAAATTCCACTGGGTGTTTCCAGGGCTATTTCATTTTAGAAATAAGTGTTTGCCATTCTTCTGCAAAAACTGGACAAGGGGAATACTACAAAAAATACTCAGAGATAAAATCCTCATTTCAAGTTCTACAAAATATTTATCAAATGAATGTTAATTTTTTTTTAATTCCCTGCTAAAGACGTTTTCATTAGTCTTAGAGGGTATATGCTTTCTAGAACTTGTTTTTGTTAACATGTGCTTTGATGTAAAGAACATATTTTGTATGCAAAACATAACTTGCATTATGGTTGTACAATACACTATATTGTTTAGGGATTCCGGAAAGCAGTTTAATGCAGAAATAACTATATCTAGTATGCAGTTCATATTGTGAATGAAGCTTTGCTTTTGTAATAAATAAATAAGACTTTCTAATGACCTTGGTTTTTCTTTTTTGGAAAATAAGATCAAATTAGTGTTTTAGTAATTTTCCACTAGTGAAATGTTAAGTTAATGAAAGAAATAGATTTTATGACTACACTGCTTTGAATTTCTAAAATACCTTACCTGAGAAGATTTATCACGAGTTAAAAAACAAAACAGCTCCATACATCCGCAACTTGTCCCCCTCCTAGTTTCTTCTCTTTATTCAAGATCCATTTAACTTGACTCCCGTCCCCCAAGCCCTACCCTAAGTGCCCTGGCACATGAGGAAGGCTGCCTCTGTGCTTAATTATCCACATCACATCTGACAAGTGACTGACTCACTCTGGCATTACTAGCCTAGAAAACATCGTAATACAACACCGTTGTTTTAACAAATTTGTAAAAGCTTACCAAAATGAGACATTTGATTGGCAGTTCAGAAATTTTAATGCTGCTTTGAAAAATACTTCTGTACAATATTATCTTTCTCATAATGAAAAAAAGAAATGACATCTGGTATGTCAATGGTTTGCTGAAAGCACAGATATTTTTTGTTTCCTTGTTTTAGGTCTTCCAAAAACTCTGCTTTGAGCTTGTTAAGTTCTTCTGCTAGAAGCTTCAAGTTGTGAGGAAGCACTTGTTCATCTAAAATAAAAAGATATTCTCAAATTACTGGTGTAAATTAAAGTAATCCGGGGTGTCTAATGACATTAGGAAATTAATTTGATTAAACAAACCAGTTAGATTCTATAAACAATCACAATTGAGTTAGTGTAATATATAGAAAAAAGGTCTCAATGTGATACTCAAAAATCATCTGAAACACGTCAAAGAATTTAAATAACTTGTTAGGAAACGTGTGAGCAGAAAAGACTAACCTGAAAGGGACTTTTTGTTGTTGTTGCCAAGAAAACTCAAGACAGCTGACTTACTACCTTACTGAATTAAGCAGAAAGGCAAAAAAGCAGAAATAGATGACAATTTAGTTTTGAACCTGATAAATAATATCTAGAACAGTAGTTGTCCAACATAACTTTCTGCAGTGATGGACCTGTTCTATATCTGCTTTATTCAATACAGCAGCCAATAGCCACACGTGGGCAGTGTTACTGAGAAGCTGAACTTTATTTTTCTGTTAGCTTTATTAGGACATAATTCACATACAGTTTACCCATTTAATCTGTATGATACAGTGTTTTTTTTATATACTCACAGATATGTGCAACCATCACCAGTTAATTTTAGAACATTTTCATCATCTCAAAAACCCATATCCTGGTGGCTCAAGCCTGTAATCCCAGCACTGTGGGTGGCCGAGGTGGGCGGATCACCTGAGGTCGGGCGTTCGAGACCAGACTGGCCAACATGGTGAAACCCCTCCTCTACTAAAAATACAAAAATTAGCGGGGCATGGTGGCACATCCCTGTAATCCCAGCTACTCGGGAGGCTGAGGCAGGAGAATCACTTGAACCCGGGAGGTGGAGGTTGCAGTGAGCCAAGATCGTGCCATTGTACTCCAGCCTGGGCAACAGAGCAAGACTCCATCTCAAAAACAAAGCAAAACAAAAACCCATATCCTTTAGCTATCATCCTCCTTACCACCTTCCCTTCTGCCCACCCCGCCCACCCCCCGCCCCCCATCTCTAAGCAACCACACATCCACTGTCTATCTCAAGATTTCCCTGTTCAGGACATTTCGTATGACTGGAAGTATACATACACTTGGTCTTTGGGACTGACTTCTTGCACTTTGCATCATGTTTTCAAGGTTATTCCACATTGTATAGCACATATCAGCATTTCATTCCTTTTTATGGCTGAATAATATTTTGTTGTATGGATACACCAAATTTTGTTGGTCAGCTGACGGACATGTGGGTTATTTTCATATTTTGGCTATTAGGAATAATGCTGCCATTAACATACATGTACAAGTTTTTATGTGAACATGTTTTCATCTCTCTTGGGTATACACCTGAGAATGGAATTGTTGGGTCATGTGCTAACGGTATGTTTGAGGGACTGCTAGCTGTTTTCCAAAGCAGCTGTACCATCTGACATTCCTAACATTTCTACACATCCTCAACACTTGGACGTTTTAATTCTAGACCTCCTAGTGGGTGTGAAGTGCTATCTTATGGTTTTGATTTGTATTTCCCCAATGACTAATCATGTTGAGCATGTCTACTCAGATCCTTTGCCCTTTTAAAAATTGGGTTGTGTTTATTATTGAGTGGTAAGAGTTCTTTATATATTTTGGATACAAGTCCCTTATGAGATATATGTCTGCAAATACTTTTTCCCATCTATGGGTTGTCTTTTCACTTTCCTGATGGTAGAGGAACTGAATTTTTAATTAAGCACAAATTAAAAACTACTACTACCTCCCCTGACCCCAAAAAATATATATAATATATGTATATATATATGGCTCTCTCTCTATCTGTATGTTTTTAAATAGGTGGGATATAAGAGTGATTTGGGCATAACCCTACCCCCCACAATCCCCCAGGACCTTGCTTCATTTTATAGACAGAAAAGAAGAAAGGCAAATGGTTGAGTGAGAACTCCTGGAACTATTTTTTGTCTTATTTTATTTATGATGCCATTTCTGTTCCGGTCCTCTGTTTCTCAAACTTATTAATGTTACCCATTAATAAGTGGCAATCGGTATTTTTCTAAAATGAAATCAAGTAGAACACAGAGTTCATTAAACATGTGAAGGTGTTTTGTGAAACTTGTTTCCACACATGAGTTCGTGTACTGGGTTATACCCTGGGTTACAATATAAAATCAACTGGTAGATCATAGTTTTATACAAATTCAAAAACAGTATGGCTGGTATATTGTTTCCTTTTCCAGTGTTCTAAGCTTTTGTAAAGGTAATAAATGATGGTGATGCAGGGGAGCAGAATGGGAAGCACAGACTGGAACTGGATGTAATTCTGGACCCCAGGTTACCCAAATATTTAGTAGCTGTTCAGTCTTGGACAAGTTACTTGTTCCTCTATGAACTTCCATTTCCCCATTTGTAAAATTACACCTACCTTATAGGACTGTGAAGATTAGAAACAGTATTTGTAAAGCGCTTAACGTATAGAAAGGTGCTCAAAAAATGTTCATTGCTGGTTTTTAAAGGTACAATTTTAAATATAGCAATACAGTATTCAAAACCTAATGGAATTACTGTGTAAAACTCTAGTTACCACATATTTCATCTATTATATAAATTCAGATTTATAATACATTGACTTTACTCAAATTCCATGCTGATCTTACACCTGGCCCCTGACTACCTTTCCCCCCTTCTTACCTCACCCCGTGCTCAATGGCCTCTTCTCGATTCTGCAACACTGCAACCAGCCAACCTTTGCGCTTCTGCACTTGATGTGTTCATTGCCTAGAATGATCCTCCAGATAGCTGCATGGTTCGCTCTTACCCATCTTTGCTTAAATGTCATCTCTGAGAAGGCTTCCTGATTACCTTTTTAAAAATAAATCCTCCCATCACTACACTGCCTTACCTTACTTAAATTTTCTTCAGAGCATGGGCATATACTCATGTAATCATGTTTTGTCTGTCTCCTCATTAGAATGTTCTGCTCCCTGCCGATTCCCCAGCATCTAGAGTAAGGCCTAGTACAGTAAGGCAACTCAGTAAAAATTTGTTGGATGGATGAACACTCAGTTCCAGAGGTAGAATTTTTAGTTACATTTAGTCAAATTGCATAATTAAATTGAAAACATGATGTGAACTTTTATGACTGAAAACTAATAAACTCTGAGTGTCGGGAATAACAGTAGCAGTAGAAAGTCACAATCATACCAACTCAACACATAACTGACACATCATACCTTTTGCTTCCTTCATTGTCTGAGATACAATCCTTCGGAGTGTCTGATCAGTTTTATGAAGAATGTTAGTTGAACAAATAATTCTGTCTGTGTCCTATGTTAATACAGACATTGTTATTAGAAGTCACATAGTTTTATAAAATAAATGGCTAAAGAATAGGTCACATGTATTTGAAAGGACTAAAAGAAAAGTTTAAGCGGCTTTTCTGTTTGTTATTCTTCCCTACAAGAGAGTCCAACCAAATCAGATCCAGTGGTAAACTGGGTTCCAGCTAGGCGGTGATATGCTGGTGAATGTCTAATAATTGACTCTCCCAGAAAAAAACCCCAGACCTATCTGTAGTGTTTGCCAATTTCTGTGATGTAAACATTCCTACCAACAAACCATCAACAGGCTCCAACACTTTTGAAAGTTTAACAATCGGCTTTGCCCAGCCGGCATGAGCTGTCAGCAGTGAGTGCTGGTGAGAGGCCAAGCCAATGACAACGCATCTCCCGTTTCACTCACATTTTATATTCGGCTCAAAAGATCTTCCTACAAAAAGTTGTTCCTTCTCATTTACATTAAATTTACACTGGAAGTTTACCTTTTGTTCCATATTGTCCTCAGCATATTTTACTGGATTTTCCAAAGCAGTGAGCAATAAATCAGTCACTTCCAGGCTACAGAGAAAATGGGATAAAATACAATAGATCCTTATATCCAACATCTGACTTTTTTTTTTTTTTTTTTTGAGATGGAGTCCTGGAGTCTTGCTCTGTCACCCAGGCTGGAGTGCAGCGGCGTGATCTCTGCTCACTGCAAGCTCTGCTTCCCGGATTTGCGCCATTCTCCTGCCTCAGCCTCCCGAGTAGCTGGGACTACAGGCGCCCACCACCACGCCCAGCTAATTTTTTGTATTTTTTAGTAGAGATGGGGTTTCACCGTGTTAGCCAGGATGGTCTAGATCTCCTGACCTCGTGATCCACCTGCCTCAGCCTCCCAAAGTGCTGGGATTACAGGCGTGAGCCACCATGCCCAGCCAACATCTGACTTTTAAGGAACTTGTATTTATGAATATTAAACTGAATTCTAGAGGAATGAAACTGCTATAACCCAAGATTCTTAACAAAAGGAAAAAAACTAAATGATTTAGAAGCTAGCTTCCATGTAGACAATCCAAATGCAGTAGCTCAAAACAAATGATAAGCTAAGGACCCCTCATTAAAAAATACCAATTTCCTAAGACTCATGTCAATAAGCTTTGAAAAGTCATTCTCTTTTCCCCTCTTAAGGCTGAACCGGGGGCCACAAGAGCTCAACTTTATTCTCTATGGAAAGATGCCTGGTCTTTACTTTCTGGCTCCCGCTTATTTACTGGATATGGATGAGCAAAGTTTCTCACTGAGCAAAGGTCCATGAAGGTTTCAGGTAGAATTCATTCATTGATTTAACAAATATGTATTGAACGTCTTATATGAAAAATACTGTACAACCACATGCTGAGCTGGGGGTGTAGCAAGATCCTTGCGTTTGCCAAGGCTGATAATGTAATAGAGACAGATAAACAGTTAAATAAAGCAAAAAATAATTTCAGATGGTGGTAAGTAGATAAGTGAGCAAAGACAATAAAGTGACAATGATAAGAGTGACAGGGTAGCCCAACTAATGTTCTTTGCTTTAGTTAGGATGGTCAGTGAAGGCAGTCAAGTATAAGAATGTGGGAAGGGCAGAGGGGCAGCAAGTACAAGGGCCCCAGGGCAAGAACATGCTCCTTGTGTTCGTGCAAGAGAAAGGCTGAAAAGAAGCCAGGAGGAGAGTGGCAGAATATGAAGTTGGAGAATTAATCTGGGTTAGATCACCTAAGTTAGGGTAAGGAGTTTGAATTTTACTCAGATTATGGGAGTGGCACTAAAAAGTTTTAAGCGAGTGAGCTCATCAAGTTAAAGCTCAACCTCAAGATGATCTTCCTCACACTGAAAAGAGCCCAGGTTCTGGAGTGAGTGCGATCTCACTGGGTCCAGATCTTGGCTCTGCCACTTCCTACCTGGGTATATTACTTTACTTATCTGGGCCTCAGTTATCCCATCTATAAAATGGGGATAGTAGTTTCTACCCTTAAAGGGTGGTTGTGAGGACTGAATGAGACCATATATATAAAGTGTTCAGAACTGGGAGAGAATTTGAGTTTTAGTGACTATTCAGCCAGTGATCACTAGCTAATTTTCATACCCATGCCCTTTTGTTCTATTTAGTCTGTTTGTTTAGAGACAGGGTTTCACTGTCACCCAGGCTGGAGTGCAGTGGCATTATCATAGCTCAACTGCAACCTCAAACTCTTGGGTTCAAGTGATCCTCCCTTCTTGGCCTCCCAAGTGCTGGGATCACAGGTGTGAGCCACTGCACCCAGTTTGTTTACAGTCTTAAAAGAGGTAAAGCATAGCAAATATTTTTTTAAGGGAACTATAACCTTAAGATAAGATTCCTAAAAAGAATTTCAAAAGGAATTATAGACACTGTTCCCAATGTAACCCAAAATTTAAGAAAATATTAGCCGGGGGTGATAGCTCATGCTCGTAATCCCAGCAATTTGGGAGGTCAAGTTGGAAGAATTGCTTGAGGCCACGAGTTTCAGACCAGCCTGGGCAACATAGTGAGACCCTGTCACTACAACAAATTAAAAAATTAGCTGGGCTTGGCAGTGTGGGCCTGTAGTTCCAGTTACTTAGGGGACTGAGACAGGAGAACTGCTTGAGCCCAGGAGGTCAAGCCTGCAGTGAGCTGATACCGATCCCTCGTGGACAATATGCAGGAACTAAGGAAGTGTGGGCAATATACCTCTGGAACTGCGCTGTCCAATAAATAGCCACTGGCCACATGAGGCTACTTAAGTTTAAATCAATAAGTTAAACAAAAAAATTCAGGTCATCAGTTACACTAGCTACTTTTAAGGGCTCAATAGTCAAATGTGGCTAGCAGCTACCATATTAGTGCAAATATAGAACATTTCCATCGCCAGCGAAGTTTCTGCTAGAAATATGCTGCTCTAGAACTCTCAAGACATACGTAATGAATGAAATGCATTAGACAGCATAGCCTACAAGCCTCACATATGCAAAAGCAGTGTAACTATGGTGAGCTCTAAGGCAAATAGGACCCAGTACCTGTTGCACTCTTTCACAGATCTCTTTCTATAAGAAAACTACCAGGCAACCTATTTAGACTATCTATTTTAGCAAGAGAATCAAAGATGTGTTCTCTGAATTCCCTGCTCCAACTACTGGAAGACAGTATAATCGTAACAGTTATGAGCAGACATTTGCAAATAAACTTGGGTTCAAATCTTTCTGGACAAACTAAATTTTCCCATTTCACTTTTAGCTTCCACACAAAGTGGGGAATAATGTCTCTCCAATGCCTGTGTGAGGACTAACTAAACCAACATAGACAAAGCACTGACCATGATACCTGGCACAGGGGAGCATCCAGGGAGGGATGATTGAGTGGAATACCTGGCCTCCGAAGCACATGCTGGACTCGGAATTGTGAGGCTGTTGTGTTCCCAAGCATTTTTCTCAGGGTTGGGCTTTTCTAGCTTTCTTCCCATCAGGTGGATGGTCTCAGGAGGCAGTGCCTGTGGCCTCTGGCCATTCCTCTGTAAACAGGTCTCAAGAGGACAATCTAAAAAGAGCTGGCAAAAGCCCAACGAATCTGAAAACAGTTTAAAATGATAGAATTACTGGTATACTCTTTTTCCAAAATATGAAATAAACATATATTAGACAAATTATGACAATTATAGTAGGAAAAACTCCGTTTGCAATACTGAACATCTAGCTTTTAAAATTAAGTAAATCTACATAACCTCCTAATCAAGTTAAATTCTCATTGAAGACAATAGTGTTTTTGATACGTGAATAAGTATCTCCATGTGTAAGAAAAAAAAAGTTTTAATTACATTTCCGAGCCAGCTGGTAGACTTCATATCTCATACTCTGATAATAAAAATTGTCATCCAAAACCAAAAACAAAGGTCTAGAAACAGCAGTTTTTGTTAAGAGGTAGCAAGACTGGGCCTCAAATGCTGCAGAAAATATCAGATCTTGATCCTTTAAGCAGGTTATAAAATCTTCCCACATGGCTTCAGTCCTGTTGGGTGGGACAGACATCTGACACCCATTAATGACAGCCATCAAGAAGTATTCCAGGTACTTCAACAGTTCCTGTCGAAGCAATTTCCATTGGGATGGCTACAAGAGACCAAAGAATTGCAATTCATATTAGGCCACTAGGGTGGTCAGTCATCTGGCCTCACTGCCACCCTGCCCCATATGAAAATTTCAGCTCACAATACGGAACCATCTGTAGTTCTCTAACACACCTGGTTTCACATGACTCCATATATACCATTCCTTCTGCCTGGAAAACTAATGTTACTAGTGCTGTGTAAAGCTTTCTCAGACTCAACCATGCAGAAGGCAGCTCAGCCTCTCCCTTGCCCATCATGAAACCCCATTCTATACATATATCTCCACTCTAGCAGTGCTTACACAGTTTAAGCATTTGTTTACACTTCTCTCTCTGCTAGATCACTGTCCATTGCATACTCAGCCTCCAGCAGAGGGTCGGTGCTCCAGAAATGTATATTAAATGGATGACTGACTGAATAAGTGAATAAATGAAAGAACTTATTTATCATCCAAGAGAAAGGTGGAGTCAAAATAGTCTGGCTAAGATATAATAATGCAGGTTTTCCCCTGAAATGGGAAAGGTAGTAGACAGCAAAAAGATCAGGTGAAAAGTCTCTGGGTCAAGAAGAAAAGACCTCAGGCTAACAAATGAGTTGATATGGGATGGGGAAAGATGGAGGAAACAAACTGAGGGGAATAAACAGCTTGAGAATACAAGTAATCTTGTGCTGGTCAAGGGCTGTGGAGAATCCTGACATAGTTAAGAAATCTAAGCTGGAGGGAAAACACGAGGACAGGGGAGTGAGAACTCTCACTTGCCTGCCCATGCCTTACCACCACTGAGATTACACTACATACAACAAACACATCAGCTAAACCCACTAAATTGGAAACACATATCACTTCCTAAGTGAGCAGATGAGTCCCACAGTCTTTGTCCATAGGAAAAGCGTGGAAAAAACAACATAATACAAGTGAAGGGAAAGCCAGCAAATACAACAATCCCTATCGACAACTTTCAGCTTTCTCCGAAGTGTTGAAAATACTATCATCCAGGTCAATCCTGCGCTATCCTGACACTGCACTTACTTCACAATTAACCAAGAATGAGAAAGTAGATACACCTTGCTGGAGAGCCCATGCACCAAATGTACTGTATTTTTGTATATATACTTAGAAAGTAGAGTCACATAACATTTGCATTTGATTTCTGTAAATTCATCTACATTAGGCATTAAACAACAAAAATAATAATGTTAACATTTCAGAATATTTCAAAGAGTATTTACTCAAGAGTGAGCATGAGAAACACGAATGTAATCTACTCTTCCCCCAGTGGTCTCAGTTTCCACATGCTTCTCCAAGAGGATGTATCTCACTGTGCTGAGTGTGAGATGAGGAGGGCTTAAAGAGATGTATTTGGAACATACAAGTTTTTCCGTAAATACAAACCCATTACTTCCTCTGGTGGTCAACTAAGAAACAGCCATCCTTCCCAAAGCTGGCAGAGGCAGATTTACTTTGAGATGAACAAAGATTAAGCTTCATAGGTCTGATAATGCATTTGTACAGCCTCTTTCTATCGTTCTGAGGGACCCCAGAAATTTTGTTACTTATAGTTTTTATTCCTTTTCTTAAAGAGGATTCCTCAAATTACAAAACCTGAATCCACCCGTAGCTAGACGTTCAAGTTTTAGAACTTCTTTCCCTCTCCTAAGGAGAAACTTCCTAAGGGATTTTCGACAGTGCATTTGACTATAGGGGCTTTCCACCTTGCACGCTGACTTGAGAACCTGACCCTGTCTGAAGACTCAACTGTATAGAATATACAACATATACATGCATCAAATATACAGATAAGCATCTAAAATGCATCGTTCTAACAGTTGGCTTTGTAACCACTTTCTACAGCCAACGCATTCACCCTCTGCAGTAACTATGTTAACCCAGCTCCACTTTTCTCGAACTTCACCTCCCACACCAAGCAATGGGCGCTCATGGCAAATCACCCAGGACCGCGTGGACGCGAGTGTCCCCGCCCCGCCCCGCCCCGCCCCGCCCCGCCCCGCGGCCCAGGCCCCGCCCCTCCGTGCTGACCGCCGGTCGCGCTCTTGCCCCGGCGAGAAACGCGTCGGGCATGACGTCATCATACGCGACAACACCGATGGCCCAACCCTGCTCCTGCTGCAGCCGGTGGGCGAGGGCGCGCGCGAAAGTCGATTTTCCTGCCGCGGGGAGGCCACAGAGGACGCAGAGGCCTCGTTTCCGCGGCCCGTCGCTGCCGGTTCCTCTGATGTTCTCGGCGGTCTTCATGCTGCCCGGGGAGACCGGAGGAGTCTGGGAGCGTCGTCTCCGCTCTACCGTCTGCCCTGCGCGCACGCGCAGCGTCTCCGCCGCCTACCGGCGCAGTGGAGGAACTGGCCTAGCTGGGTTTCCGTGCGGCCCCAGAGGCACCTGCTCCACCGGTGCCCTGCTTGCTCCCAGGGACCAGAGGCTGGAGAGACCGCGGCGCTGCGTTCCTAGCTCCTGGACATTCCCAAGGGGTCCCAGAGTTAGGATTGATCTTCAAATAGAATCACCCTCCCTGCCGAAAGTTGCCAGCCAGTAGGATTGGCGCCTCAGTTTTGTTAGGATGAGGTCTTTCTGCTTAGGAAAATCCCAAAAGAGACGTTGAGCCTTTCCCTCCAGCAATCTTTCGAAAATAAGTTACTGGAAATCAAAGAATAGAAGGCGAGGCTGACAGTCCGACCACCGCGCTCCTTTGCGGTTCCCAGATGTGAAGAGTGCAAGGGCAAAGTAAACATTCGTTATTGTGCCCTCACAGCACCAGTGGGCAGCAAGCGTGAAGAAATATTGTCAGGAAAGGCACATCCACAGACCTCAATTCCAGTGCATGCAGACAGAGAACAATAGGTGTTTGTGTTAAAAAGTAATACTAAGCTATGGAGAGGTACAAAACAAGTTTTTGTTTTTTGTTTGTTTTTAAGACGGAGTCTCGCTCTGTCGCCCAGGCTGGAGTGCAGTGGCGCAATCTCGGCTCACTGCAACCTCTGCAACCTCCGCCTCCTGGGTTCACGCCATTCTCCTGCCTCAGCCTCCGAGTAGCTGGGAATACAGGCGCTTGCCACCAGGCCCAGCTAACTTTTTGTATTTTTAGTGGAGACGGGGTTTCACCATGTTAGCCAGGATGGTCTCGATTTCCTGACCTTGTGATCCGCCCGCCTCGGCCTCCCAAAGATTACAGGCGCAAGCCACCGCGGCTGGCCAAGTTTTTTTTGTCTGGGGGTGTGTTGTAGAAAAATTGAATTCAGATTACAGTTTTTTGTTTTTTGAGACAGCGTCTCACTCTCTCGCCCGGACTGGAGTGCAGTGGTCCGATCTCGGCTCACCGCAACCTCCGCCTCTCAGGCTCGAGGGATTCTCCTGCCTCAGCCTCCCGAGTAGCTGGGATTACAGGCGAACACCACTACTGCCCAATTAATTTTTGTATTTTCAGTAAGAACGGGGTTTCCTCATGTTGGACAGGCTGGTCTTGAACTGACCGCAAATGATCCACCCGCCTCGGCTTCCCAAAGTGCTGGTATTACAGGCGTGAGCCACCGCGTCGGGCCTAGATTCCAGATTCTTTTATCCTTATATTTTAGGGGATAATTCCTTCTTACCTGTAAAGGGTATGTTCAAAATGTGAAGACGTAAGGACAAAATCAGTGTATACTGTGTCAAAATATGACGAGTAACCTGCTAAAGCTGATATAATTTGTATGAAGCACTTACAAATAATCTCATTTTCCTTTGGACTGAAAGTGAAGAGCAATGAGTTAAACTCTTTATTTCATGACATTTTATCATTATTGGTCCAGTATAAGGTCCCTCTCCTTAATTTGCCCCTCCCCCACTTTTTTAAGAGACAGGGTTTTGCTTTGTCACCCAAGCTGGAGTGGAACCATAGCTCATTGTAACCTCGAATTTCTAGGCTCAAGCAATCCTCCTATCTCAGCCTCCTGAGTAGCTGGGACTATAGGCATGTGCCATTGAGCCTGGCTCCACTGTCTTTTATCTCCCATCCTCCACATCCACACCCATTTAACCCCTGCAGGCAACCGGTTTTTTTTTTCTTTTTATCATAGTTATTTTTGTTTTGGTTATGTATTTTTTTTAAATAGGCTTTATTTTTTAAAGCAGTTTTAGGTTCACAGCTAAACTGAGCAGAAAGTAGAGTTCTCATATACTCCTTCCCCTCCTCATTCATAACCTCCCCCACTATCAACATCCTTCACCAGAGTGATACATTTGTTACAATCAATAATCAATGAACCTACATTGACACATCATTATCACCTAAAGGCCATAGTTTACTATTGGTGTAAAATAGTTTACTATTGGTATTGGGGTTTACTCTTGGTGTACATTCTGTAGGTTTTGGCTATGTATAATGACACATATCCATCAGTACAGAATAGTTTCACAGCCCAAACATCCTCAGAGCACAGAGCACAAACATCCTCTGTGCTCCATCTGTTTATCCTCCCTCTCCTCTAACCCCTGACACCATTGATTTTTGTGTGTGTGTCTCTGTAGTTTTGCCTTGTCCGGAATAACATACAATTATATAATTGTAATCACACAATTTTAATTTGCTTCTTTTACTTAGTAATATGCATTTAAGGCTCCTCTATGTCTTTTTATGGCTTGACAGTGCATTTCTTTTTAGCCATGAATAATATTCCAATGTCTAGAGGTACCACAGTTTAGTTTTCCACTCACCTACTGAAGGACATCTTGGTTGCTTCCAAGATTTGGCAATTATGAATAAAGCTGCTATAAACATCCATGTGCAGGTTTTTGTGTGGACGTAAATTTTCAACTCATTTGGGTAAATATCATACCAAGAAGCGTGACTGCTATATCATACAGTAAGAGTGTTTAGTTTTGTAAGAAACTGCCAAACTGTCTTCCAAAGTGGCTGTACCATTTTGCATTCCAGTCAGCAATGAATGAGACTTCTTACTGCTCCACATCCTCCCTCATATTTGGTGTTGTCAATGTTTTGGATTTTCGTCATTCTAGTAAGTGTGTAGTGGTATCTCACTGTTCTTTTAGTTTGCATTTCCTTACTGACATATGATGTTAAACATCTTTTTTCTTTTTTTTTTTTTTTTGTGAGACAGAATCTTGCTCTGTCACTCAGGCTGGAGGCAGATCATGGTTCACTACAGCCTCAACCTCCCAGGCTCAAAGCAATCCTGCTGCTTCAGCCTCGTGAGCAGCTGGGACTACAGGCATGCACCACCATGCCTGGCTAATTTTTATTTTTATTTTTGTAGAGATGAGGTCTCCCTATGTTGCCCAGGCTGGTCTCAAACTGCTGGGCTCAAACAAACCTCTGCACCACCATGCCTGGCTAATTTTCATTTTTGTAGAGATGAGGTCTCCCTATGTTGCCCAGGCTGGTCTCAAACTCCTGGGCTCAAACCTCATGCCTCAGCCTTCCAAAGTGCTAGGATTACAGGCGTGAGCCACTATGCACAGCCAAACATCTTTTCATATGCTTATTTGCCATCTGTACATCTTCTTTGGTGAGGTGCCTGTTCAGATCTTTTTGCCTATTTTATTTACCATTTTTGAGATGGGGTCTCACTACATTGCCCATGCTGGTCCCAAACTCCTGGGCTTGAGCAGTCCCCCACCTGAGTAGCTGGGGTTACAGGCATGCACCATTATGCCTAGCTTCTTTTTGCCCATATTTAAATTGGGTTGTTTTCTTGTTGTTCAGTTTTAAGCGTTGTTTGTATATATTGGACAACAGTCCTTTTTACAAGATCCCTTTGGCAAACATTTTCTCCCAGTCTGTGGTTTATCTTTTCATTCTTGTCACAGTGTCTTTTGGAGAGAAGTTTTTAATTTTAATGAAGCCCAGTTTACCAATGACTTCTTTCATGCATCATACCTTTGGTGTTTTATCAAAAATATCGTCACCAAGCCCAGTCTTCTAGATTCTCTGTTATCCTTTAGTCTTATAGTTTTGGGATTTACATTTTGTTCTATGATCCATTTTGAGTTAATTCTTGTGAAGGAGGTAAAGTCTGTGTGTAGATATCTAGTTTCAGCACCAGTTGTTGAAAAGACTATTTTTTTGTCCATAGCATTGCCTTTGCTCCTTTGTCAAAGATCAGTTGACTGTATTTATGTGGGCTCTCTATTCTGTTCATTGATCTATTTGTCTATTCTTTTGCCAATATGACACTATCTTTATTATTATAGCTTTATAGTAAGTCTTGCAGTTGGCTACTGTCAGTCTTCTAGTTTTGCTCCTTCTTTAATATTGTGCTGGCTAGCCTAGATCCTTTGCCTTGCCACATAAACTTTAGAATCACTTTGTTGATATCCACAAAACAGCTTGCTGGGGTTGAGACTGTGTTGAATCTATAGATCAAGTTGGGAAGAAATGACATCTTGACAATATTATTTCTATTCATGAACACGAAATATTTTAGTTTATTTCTTTCAACAGAGTTTTGTAGTTATCATCATGTAGATTTCATGCATATTTTAAAAATTTTATACCCAATAAAAAGAAGCTTTAAATTTAAGTATTTCATTTTGGGGGGTGTTCATGTAATGGTATTGTGTTTCTAATTTGAAATTTCACTTGTTCATTGCTGGAATTAAGAAAGTGGTTGATTTTTATGTCTTGACCTTGTATCCTAAAACTTTGCAATAATCATGTATTAGTTCCAGATTTTTTGTTATGGATTCTTTTGGATTTCTACATAGACAATCATGTCATCTGCAGACAGTCTTATTTCTTCCTTCCCAACATGTATACCTTTTATTTTCTGTGTCTTATTATATTAGCTAGGACTTCCAGTATAATGTGGAAAAAGTGGTGAGAGAGGACATTCTTGCCTTGTTACTGATCTTAATGGAAAAGTCTCTAGTTGGTCACCATTAAGTATAATGTAAGCTATAGGTGTTTTGTAGATAGTTATCAGGTTGAGGAAGCACTCCTCTATTCCTACTTTGCTGAGGGTTTGTATCATGAATGTCTGTGGAATTTTGTCAAATGCTTTTTTTGCATCGATTGATATGATTATGTGATTTAATTAATGTCTTGATATGATGGATTACATTAACTGGTTTTCAAACATTGAACCAGCTTTGCATGCTTGGAATAAAACCCACTTGGTTGTTGTGTATAATTTTTATACATTTTAAAATTCAATTTGCTAATATTTTGTTAAGGATTTTGGCATCTATATAGATACAAAACAGATAGTTCTAGGTCCAAGAGAAGTATTGGTCTGTAGTGTTCTTTTCTTGTAATGTCTTTGTTTTTGACATCTGGGTCATGTTGGACTCATAAAACAAGTTAGAAAGTATTCCTTTTGCTTCTACCATCTGGAAGAGATTGTAGAGAATTGGTATAATTTCCTCAAATGTTTTGTAGAATTTGCCAGGTTATCAATCTAACCTCAATTAACTTTCCAATAATCTATTTTGGAAAAACCATTTTTAAAGTTTTTTGTAAAAACATAATGCTTTGTATTTCAGAATTCCAAAATGAACTATTGTAACTTCAAAGTTAGGTGTCTACTATCTAAAAAGACATGCTTCCCAATAATAGGTTCAAATATAAGCATGTGACATTGACATATAGCCTTAATTATAGTTTGCTCTTAAATTTGTAAAGCTTTCCTTTACAGACCTCAATCTCACCTGAGGCTCAGAAAAGGACAATAGTGTGATTACATATTTACTGGATATATGATTCTCTTAAATCAGCAGGGTGTAGCCAGGCATGGTGGCTCATGCCTGTAATCCTAGCACTTTGGGAGGCCGAGGTGTGAGGATCACTTCAGGCCAGGAGCTCTAGAACAGCTTGGGCAACAAAGCGAGACCCCACCTCTACAAAAATAATTAGCAACATGACATCATCACATTACTACTGGAGATTGATACAGGGTCTAGGTGGGTGGATGTGGGACCAACAATGGGGCCCAGAGCAATTGGGGATGTGAACTTAGGTCCCATTTTGCATACTCCCTCCTTCTCTTAGCCCCAGGGTTGCCCACTTCCCCCTTCTGGAAGGGGAGCTACTCTTGGCTGCATTTCAAGCTCCTTTCACTCTAGCTTGGGATGCCCCAGAAATCATCCTTCTGCATATTCAGCGTGGCTGCCTTCTGTAGTCTACTCACTTGTCCCTGCATGCACTGGGGTCAAGGCTGGGTGTTCTGTGTAGTTTAGGATGAGAAGAGTTATATGGGAAAAATTCTTCTTTATCATGTAAAAATGGTCATCCCCATTATTGTTTGGATATTTGTTCTCTCCAAATCTCATGTTGAAATTTGATCCCCAATGTTGGAGATGTGGCCTAGTGAGAGGTATCTGAGTCGGGCGTTGTTAGGCCATTCTTTCATTGCTACAAAGAAATACCAGAGAATGGGTAATTTATAAAGAAAAGAGGTTTAATTGGCTCACAGTTCTGCAGGCTGTACGGGAAGCATGGCACCGGCATGTGTTCAGCTTCTGGGAGCTTTTACTCATGGCAGACAGCCAAGCAGGAGCAGGCATGTCACATGGTGAAAGCAGGAGCATGAGAGAGTTGAGCGGGAAGTGAAACACACTTAAACAACTAGATCTTGTGAGAACTCATTATCATGAGGACAGCACCAAGTCATGAGTGATCTGCACCCATGACCCAAACACCTCCCACCAGGCCCCACATCCAACATTGAGGATTACAATTCAACATGAGATTTAGTGGGGACATATATTCAAACTACATCAAGGATGAATCCTTCAGGAATAGAGTAATTCCCTTCCTGGGGAGGGAGAAGTGAGTTCTTGCTCTATTAGTTCCCATGAGACCTGGTTGTTAGGGGCCTGGTGTCTCCCCTCTTGCTTCCTCTCTCACCATATGATCTCTGCACATGCAGGCTCTCCACTTTCCATGACAAGTAGAAGCAGCCTGAGGCCATTAACAGGAGCAAATGCTGGCTCTATGCTTCTTGCACAATCCACAGAATCATGAGCCATATAAGCCTCTTTGTAAACTAACCAGCCTCAGGTATTGTCTATAGCAAAATTAAATGGGTCAAGACATCTCCATCACCCCTTGTTGGCAGAGGTCTTTTTCCCAGGCCAGCAACTGTCGTAGCTTCCATTGTTCCCTCTGAGCTCAGTATATGTTTGGTGGACTGACACTTCCAAAAAACCTTTATGTCAGAAGAAAGCCTGGTGGGAAAATTAAGTGAAAACAACAGAAATTGAGTGACTGTGGAAGAGGCTAGTGACAACCTACTCCCTACCAAGAGAGCCTGTGTGGAACAAAAGAATCAACTGAGCCAGGAATTAGAAACTCTATTTATCCACAGAGGGAAAATGGACCAGAGATTGACAGCCATCTCCCAGAGTCAGGGCAGCTGAGAAGGAATGTACAGGGAAATAGTATTTGAAAATTACATCAAGGTCAGTCAAACTGCAACTGTTACGGATTTAAGCATTTATTAATACCAGATCAATGTGATTACCCTCCCAAACCTATGTAGTCCACATTCCCATTCCCCATTTCAAGAAAGGACACTACCTTTAGCCCAGCTAACCTAGCAGTCATCCTCGATCCTTCCCTCTTCTTCACCCCCAAATCAAGTTTATCTGCAAGTCTCCTCCATTTTATCTTCAAAATATATCTCCATTTCTGCCTTTCATTCCAGGCCTCTACAGATTCACAAGCTCTTAACTGAAACCACTGTATCCAGATGTAGTTTGAAATTAGTAATATTTTGGAGTTTAGTAGGCAATACATATAATACATTACATGCTCAGTGGGTGTCTAATAAAAATACATTAATACATAATACATATATTAGTAATCAAATAAATTAATATTTCTGCAATGAAATTTATGCATTTTCATCCACCCCAAATAACCATCATTTGAAATCCCATGTTCATCCTCTTTTTGTACTTATAGTCCTGAAAAATTTTATGTTTAAAACAAATTACAAAAATGGTATGCTATTTGTAACCTTTTAGGATGTAACTTTTTTCACTTTTATTAATGGGAGTCACCCATAGTACTGTATATTGATGTAGTTCATTAATTTTGACTGCTGAATATTTCATTATGTAAATATATCATAATTTATTCATCTTGTTGGTGGGCATTATGGTTGTTTCAAGATTTTGCTATTGTGAATGGTGCTACAATAAACATTCTTGTGTATGTCCCCAGTTGTATGTATGCATCAATTACTATTGTGTATATGTTTAGGTGTAAAACTGCTAGACTTGAAGTTTTGGAGATAATATCAAACTATTTTTCAAAATGATTCCATCAATCTACATTCCTATTAACATTTTAAAAATCCAGTAGACCTACATCTTCTTTAACATTTGATTTTTATTTTTACCAATCTAATGGACATAAAGTATCATTGTGGTCTTGCTTTGCATTTCCCTAATCACTAACAATGTTGAACACCTCTTCACTTGTTCCTTCAGTTTTTTGGCTGTGTATATTTACTCTCCTGTGAAATGCTCAATGTATTTCAATGTATTTTGCACACTCTCACTGTAACTAACCCACTTCCATGATAAAAGCATTCATCCATTCATAAGGGAAGAGCCCTCATGTCTTAATCACCTCTTAAAAGCCCCATTCCTAATACTGTTACATCGAAGATTAATTGTTTTCAACATATGAACTTCTGGGGCATACATACAAACTGTAGCATTTTTCCCCAACCCCCAAAATTTATGTCTTCACAATGTAAAATACAGTGATTACATCCCAATAGCCTCAGAGTCTTAACTTGTTCCAGCATCAACTCAAAAGTCTGAAGTCTCATCTAAATCAGATATGGTTGAGACTCAAGGCCTGATTCACCTGGGGCAAACTCCCTCCAGCTCTAAGTTTGTGAAATCAAAACAAGTTATCTACTTCCAAAACACAATAGTGGGACAGACACAGGATAGACATTCCCATTCCAAAATAGAGATATAAGCAAAAAGAAAGGGGTAACTGGTCCTAAGTTCAAAACTCAACAGTAAAAACAGCATTAAATCTTAAAACCAGAGAATAATCTCCTTTGACTCCATGTCCTGTATGCTGGACACAGCTTATAACTTGTTGGGGGTGAGGGGTTGGGCCCCCAAAACCTTGGGCAGGTCTGTTCCTATGGCTTTGCAGGGCTCAGTCCATGCTTCAGTTCTCTTGGGCTGGAGTTGCAGACTGGTGTCCCTAAAGTTCCAGGATCTTAGGGGTGGCCCCACTTCCACAGCTCCACTAGGCACTGCCCTGGTGAGCCTCTGAGTGGCTCCACCCTGGTGATACATCTCTGCCTGGGCACCCAGGCTGTCCATGCCTTCCTTTGAGGTCTTGGTGAAGGAAGACATGTCTCCACAGTTCTTACATTCTGTGTACCTGCAGAATTAGTACCATGTAGATGCCACCAAAGTTTACAGTTTGTAACCTCCAGAATGGTATCATGAGCCACACCTGGGCCTGCTTGAGCCACAGCTGGGGTGGCCAAGAGGTGCTGCAATGAAATGTGGGGAGCAGGGGCCCAAGGCAGCTCTGAAGAGTGAGCCTGTGGAAGATGTCCCAGGTCTGCCTCCAGAAACATCCTTCCCTCCTAGAGCTCTGGGACTGTGGTAGAAGGGGAAGCCTCAAAGATCTCTGAAATACCTTTGAGTCTTTTCCCCCATGATCTTGATGAATATCTGGCTCCCTTATAGCAGTCATCTCTTTAGCAAACAGCACTTGGCCCACACGCTTAGTAATCTCTCCCAAAGTTTTCCAGTCTGTGAAGTTCACTCTGTAATAGCTGGACTCTGAGTTTTCCAAATCTTTCTGCTTTACTTTCCTTTTAATTGTAAATTCTGTCTTTAATCATGGCTTTGCTCTCACATCTCACTGAATGCAGTTAAAAGTAGCCACACAGCAGGCTGAGTGCTTTGCTGCTTAGATGTTTCTTCTGCCAGATATCCTAATTCATTGCTTTTAAATTCTCCATTTCATAAAGCCCTAGGGTATGGACATAACCTAGTCAAGGTCTTTGCAACTTTGTAACAGGATGGCCTTTACTCCAGTTTTCAATACCTTCTCATTTCTGTCTGAGACCTCATCAGAATGGCCTCTACAGTCCACATTTCTACCAACATGCCAGTCACAACCATGTAAGTAATCTAAAAGAAGATTCAGACTTCCCCTATAGCTTGCCTCTTTTAAACAATCATTACAATTGCCCCTAATGCTCCATTCATGGCAATACGGTCATTTTTCTAGGCTGCTCTTCCAAACTCTTCCAGCCTCTGCCTATTACTTTAGTTTCAAAGCCACTTCCACATATTCAGGTATTTGTTACAGCAAGAGCCCCATTTCTAGGTACCATTTTTTTGTCACAAAAAAATTATTTACTTAAATGGAGAAGAGATCTTGCTACATTGCCTAGGCTGAAGTGCAGTGGTTATTCATAAGCAAGAACATGACACACTAGAGCCTCGAACTCCAGGGCCTCAAGCCTACTGAGCCTCCCAAGTAGCTGGGACTACAGGCTTGACCAATGATGCCCAGTTCTTTGTGCCAATTTTCTGTCTTAGTCTATTTTCTGCTGCTATAACAGAAAACCACAGACTTGGTAACTTTTTATTTTATTATTTATTTTTTTGAGAAGGAGTTTCACTCTGTTGCCCAGGCTGGAGTACAGTGACGCGATCTCAGCTCACTGCAACCTCCACCCCCCAGGTTCAAGTGATTCTCCTGCCTCAGCCTCCTGAGAAGCTGGGATTACAGGCGCCTGCCACCACACCGGGCTAATTTTTTTTTTTTTTTTGTATTTTTAGTAGAGACCATATTGGCCAGGCTGGTCTTGAACTCCTGACCTTGTGATCCACCTGCCTTGGACTCCCAAAGTGCTGGGATTACAGGCGTGAGCCACTCGCACCCGGCCAACCTTTTATATTTTTTTAAAAAAACTTTTAAGTTCAGAGGTATGTGTGCAGGTTTGTACATAGATAAACTTGTGTCATGGAGGTTTGTTGTACAGATTATTTAATCAGCTAGTTATTAAGCCTACTACCCATTAGTTATTTTTCCTGATCCTCTTCCTCCTCCCACCTTCCACCTTCTGATAGGACCCTTCTGATAGTGTGTGTTGTTCTTCTCTATGTGTCCATGTGTTCTCATTTAGCTCCCACTTACAAGTGAGAACAAGCAGTAATTGGTTTTCTATTCATGCATTAGTTTGCTAAGGATAATGGCTTCCAGCTCCATCCATGTCCTGCAAGAAAAAGAATGATCTTGTTCTTTTTTATGGCTGCATAGTATTCCATGGTGTATATGTACATTTTCTTTATTCAGTCTATAATTAAAGGGCCTTTAAGTTGATTCCATGTGTTTGCTCTTGTGAATAGTGCTGCAACAAACATGCATGCATGTTTCTCTACAGTAGAACAATTTATATTCCTTTGGCTATATACCCAGTAATGAGATTGCTCAGTCAAATGGTATTTCTGTCTCTAGGTCTTTGAGGAATTTTCACACTGTCTACCACAATGGTTGAACTAATTACACTCCCATTAACAGTGTATAAACATTCCTTTCTCTCTGCAGCCTCACCAGCATGTTATTTCTAGTAGCAGCCATTCTGACTGGTGTGAGATGGTATTTCACTATGGTTTTGATTTGCATTTCTCTAATGATGAGTGATGTTGACCTTGTTTTCATATGATTGTTGGCTGCATGTATATCTTTTTTTGAAAAGTGTTCATGTCTGATATGGTTTAGCTCTATGTCCCAACCCAAATCTCATGTCGTTGTAATCCTCATTGTTGGAGGAGGGGCCTGATGAGAGGTGACTGGATCATGCAGGTGGACTTCCCCTTGCTGTACTCATGACAGTGACTTCTCACGAGATCTGGTTGTTTTAAAGTGTGTAGCACTTCCCTTTTCTCCCATTCTGTAGATTGTCTGTTTACTCCGTTGATAGTTTCTTTTGCTGTGAAGAAGCTCTTTTAGTTTAATTAGATCCCATTTGTCCATTTTTGCCTTTGTTGCAATTGCCTTTGGTGTCTGTCAAAAATCTTTGTCATGCCTATGTCCTGAATGGTATTGCCTAGGTTGTCTTCCAGAATCTTTATAGCTTTGGGTTTTACATTTAAATCTTTACTCCATATTAATTTTTGTATATGGTATAAGAAAGGGGTCCAGTATTGATCTTCTGCATATGGCCAGCCAGTTATCCCAGCACCATTTATTGAATAGGGGAACCTTTTCCCATTGCTTGTTTTTGTCAGGTTTGTTGAGGATCAGATAGTTGTAGGTGTGCAGTCTTATTGCTGGGTTCTCTATTCTGTTCCATTGGTCTGCATGTCTGTTTTTGTACCAGAACCATTCTGTTTTGGTTACTGTAGACCTGTAGTATATTTTAAAGTAAGGTAGTGTGATGCCTCCAGCTTTGTTCTTTTTGCTTAGAATTGCATTGGCTATTCGAGCTTTTTGGTTCCATATGAATTTTAAAATAGTTTTTGTCCAGTTCTGTGAAGAATTTCAATGGTAATTTAAAAGGAATAGCATTGAATGTATAAATTGCTTTTGGCAGTATGGCCATTTTCATGACACTGATTCTTTGTATACATAAACATGGAATGTTTTTTCATGTTTGTGTCATCTCTGATTTCTTTGAGCAGCGGTTTGCAGTTCTTGTAGAGCTCTTTCACCTCCCTGGTTGGCTGTATTCCTATGTATTTTATTCTTTTTGTGGCAGTTGTGAATGGGAGTTCATTTCTGATTTGGCTCTAGGCTTGCCTGCTGTTGGTGCATAGAAATGCTAGTTATTTTTACACATCGGTTTTGCATCCTGAGACTGAGCTTGAGTTATCAGTTTAAGAAGCTTTTGGGCTGAGACTATGGGGGTTTCTAGATACAGGACCAAGTTGTCGGCAAATAGGGATAGTTTGACTTCCTCTCTTCCTGCCTTTTCTTTCTTTCTTTTACCTGACTGCCCTGGCTAGGAATTCCAATACAATTTCATTATTCACCCAAAGGTCATTCAAGTGCAGGTTATTCAATTTCCACATAATTGTATGGTTTTGAGTGAATTTCCTAGTCCTGATTTCTCATTTAATTGCACTGTGGTCCAAGAGACTGTTATGATTTCAGTTCTTTGCATTTGCTGAGGAGTGTTTTGCTAACGTTTATGTGATCAATTTTAGAGTATGTGCCATGCATCGATGAGAAGAATGTATATTCTACTGTTTTGGTGCGGAGAGTTCTGTAGATATCCATCAGGAGCACTTGATCTAGTGCTGAGTTCAGGTCCTGAATATCTTTGTTAATTTTCTGTCTCGATCTAATATTGTCAGTAGGGTGTTAAAGTCTCCCACTATTATTGTGTGGGAGTCTATGTCTCTTTGAAGGCCTCCAAGAACTTGCTTTATGAATCTGGGTGCTTCTGTGTTGGGTGCATATGTATTTCAGATAGTTAGGTCTCCTTGTTATATTGAACCCTTTAACATTATATAATGCCCTTCTCTTTTTTTTTAATCTTTGTTGGTTTAAAGTCTGTTTTGTCAGAAACTAGGATTGAAACCCCTGCTTTTTCCTGTTTTGCATTTGCCTGGTAGATTTTTCTTCATCCCTTTATTTTGAGCCTGTGTGTGTCACTGCATGTGAGATGGGTATCTTGAAGTCAGCATACCAGTGGGTCTTGGCTCTTTATCCAGCTTGCCACTCTGTGTCCTTTAATTGGGGGCATTTAGTCAATTTACATTTAAGGTTAGTGTTGATATGTGTGGACTTCATCTTGTCATCATGATGTTAGCTGGATATTTTGCAGACTTTTTACATGTGGCTCCTTTATAGTGTCACTGGTCTGTGTACTTCAGCATGTTTTTGAAGTGGCTGGTAAATAGTCTTTCCTTTCAATATTTAGTGCTTCCTTTAGGAGCTCTTGTAAGGCAGGTCTGGTGGTAACAAATTCCCTGAGCATTTGCTTGTCTGAAAAGGATCTTATTTCTCCTTTGCTTATGAAACTTAGTTTGGCCAGATATGAAATTCTGGGTTGGCATTTAAGAATGTTGAATATTGGCCCCCAATATCTTCTGGGTTGTAGGGTTTCAGTTGAGAAGTCCACCATTAGTAAGATGGGCTTCCCTTCATATGTGACCTGGCCTTTCTTCTCTGCCTTTAACATTTTTTCTTTCATCTTGACCTTGGAGAATCTGATGATTATATGTCCTTGGGATGATCTTCTTGTGAAGTATCTTACTGGGGCTTCTCTGCATTTCCTGAATTTGAATGTTGGCCTCTCTAGCTAGGTTAAGGAAGTCCTCATGAATGCCATCCTGAAATATGTTTTCCAAGTTGGTTTTATTCATATCTCTTTCAGGTGCACCAATTGGTTATAGATTTGGTCTCTTTCCATAATCCCATATTTTTTGAAGGTTTTGTCATTTCCTTTTTATTCTTTTTTCTCTATTCTTGTCTGCCTTATTTCATAAAGCTAGTCCCTAAGCTCTGAGATTCTTTCCTCTGCTTGGTCTATTCTACTATTAATATTTGTGACTGCATTATGAAATTCTTGTAATGTGTTTTTCAGCTCTATCAGCTAAGTTATGTTCTTCTCTATACTGGCTATTTTGTCTGTCAGCTCCTACAATGTTTTATTATGATTTTTAGCTTCCTTGTATTGGGTTACAACATATACCTGTAGTTCAATGAACTCTGTACCTATCCATACTCTGAATTCTACTTCTGTCATTTCAGCCTTCTCAGCTTCAGCCCAGTTCTGAACCTTTACTGGAGGTGATGCAGTCCTTTGGAGGGAAGAAGGCACTCTGGCTTTTTGAGTTTTCATCATTCTTGCGCTGATCTTCAATCTTTGAGGTTGCTGACCTTTGGTTTTTTTGTTTGTTTGTTTTATCCTATTTGATGACCTTGAGGGTTTGATTGTGGTATAAGGTGAATTCTGTCAACTGGCTTCATTTTTGAGAGATTTTAGGGGGCCAAAGCTCAGATTCCAACTCCTGGACTGCGTTCTCTAACTCTGGGGGACTCATATTGAACCCTGCCATTGTCCCGTGGCTCCTCGTGGTTTACGGTCCACTGTGCTGGGAAGTGCTGTGGCGTGGCAGCTGCAGCAGAGTGCTAGTGGATATGGGGGTGCCTGTCTCCCTGCAGGTGTTCATGGCCAGAGAACGCCAGCAGGGGTGGCTGGAGGCCCCAGTTGGGAGGTCCTGCCCCATGAGGAAGAACAGAATCAGAGACCTACTTAAAGAAGCAGTCTGGCCACATTTTCATACAGCAGCTGTGCTCTGCTTGGGTACCGCTTCTACCCTGTGGTTGGCATGAAGGCTGGAATGGCTAAGTCACCTAAACAGCAAAGATGGCAGCTTGCCCTTCCTTCTGGAAGCTTAGTCCCAGGGAGGTTTCAAAACTCTGACTGGCAGGGGTGGCTGGAGACCCCAGCTGGGAGGTCCCACCCAGAAAGGAGAAACAGGATTGGAAACCCACACTTCTCTCACAGATCTTTGCAAAAAGTCTGGCCATGTTTTTGTAGAGCAGCTGTGCTATGCTGGGGAATCCCTTCCACCCCTGGTTGGCTTGGACTTTCCAAAGCCCAAAGGCTGGTATGGTTAAGTTGCCCAAACAGCAAAGATGGTGCCCTTCCCCTCCCCCAGGAGCTCCAACTTGGCTACCGGTGGCTGGCTGGAATTCCAAGCCAGTGGGTCTTATCCTGTGAGGTGCCTTGGAAGTGGGGCCTGTAGACTGTTGCTGCTCAGCCCTCTGGATTCAGCCTCTTTCCTAGGGGTATGTACGGGGTGGGGTGTCTCATCTCCCAGTTTGCTGGAGTTGCATCTGCTTTTGCTGGGATGCCCAGAAAGCCATCTAGTATCTAAGGCTCCCAAGTCTCCATGTGTCCCTTTGTGGGGCCTCTGCTGAGACTCCCTGTAGCTCTGTGTGTCAGTCAGACTGAAAGCCCTGGTGAAATGGGTTCACGACAGGATCTCCCAACCCAAGGGTTGCAAAGATCTGTGAGAGAAGTGTGGGTTCCCGGGGTGACACACTCATTCACCACTTCCCTGGGCAGGGGAGGCTCCCTTGGCTCTGTGCTGCTTCCAGATGGGCCATTTTCCTGCCTTGCTTTTCTCTGTTCTTTGTGGGTTGTTTCCTTGATTATTCCCAAAGTGACTACCGGCATGTTTCAGTTGAAGGTGCTGTTATTTACTCTCTCCTTCCATTTGTTTCTGTGAGAGCCACAAACACTAGCTACTTCTAGTTGACCATCTTGGCCACCTCCTGTTAATTCTTTAAATTTTTTTTCTCACAGTTCTAGGAGGCTGGGAAGTCCAAGAGCATGGCACCAGCATCTGGAGAGGGTAATCCTATGGCAGAAGGAGGAAGCAAACATGTGAGACAGAGAATAGTGGGCCAAACATTCTTTCAGTAGGAGCCCATTCCTGTGATAGCTCACTCTTGCAATAATAACATTAATTCATTCATGAGGGATCTGCCTCACGAATCATATCTTAAAGACCCCATCTCTTAATAGTGTCACATTGGGGATCATGTTTTCAACACATGAACTTTGGGGAACACATTCAAACCACAGCCCTTGTCTTCTCACTTTTCTCCATTGATTGTCTTTTTGCTTAAGAATGGGCCACATTTTCTTGCATTTTGTGTACCAAGTAATTTTGGATTATGTTCTCAACATTGTGGATGATATGCTGTAGAGATTCTGGACTTTTTAAATTGATTTTTTTTTTTAAAGATAACAGTTAACCTGGCAGAAATAAAACTAAAAACTCACTCTGTCTTACCTGCAATGAGCAGTTGTTCAAATTTCAGTTAATTTATTTTGGCTGAAATGTCTCCCCCATGCATGCATGGCTTGATGCTCAAAACAGTGCCTTCAGAAGTTCCCTGGGCTATTTTTTCTCCTTATATTTGTTGATTTTTATTATATTTGAGTACACAAAACATTAACATGGTTACCTTCCATCTTATCTGTGCCATTCCTACCCAATTCTTGTAGGTAACCAATCACATTTGATTTTCATTTCTTTCCTGTATTTCTTTTTGCAAATATAGGCATGTGAGGCCAGGTGTGGTGACTCACACCTATAATCACAGCACTTTGGGAGGTCAAAGCAGGAGGACTGGTTGAGCCCAAGAGTTTGAGACCAACTCTGAAATCACAGCAAGACCCCTGTCTCTACAATTTTTTTTTTAAATATATAGACATGACGGTACATCCCTGTAGTCCCAGCAACTTGGGAGGCTAAAGTGGGAGGATCACTTGAGCCTGAAAGTCAAGGCTGCAATGAGCTGTGATTGTGCCACTGCACTCCAGCCTTGGCAACAGAGCGAGATCCTATCTCAAAAACAAAACAAAATAGGCATGTGTATTTAACCTTCCCTTTCCTTTTTATACAAAGGTAGCATTACATAAATTTTTTTCACTTTACTTTTTTTTCCCCTTCATAAAGTATATCCTGAAAATCACTCTGTATCACTTCATAGAAATCTTCATTCTTTTTTGTGGCAGCATAGTACTCTATTGTGTGGACGTACAATATTTAATTCAACCACTCTCCTATGTCTGGACATTTAGGTTTCCAACATTTTAAAATGATTCTGAAATAAAAAATATTGAGTGTTTATATTTCTGTATTACTTAACCCATATCTTCAGGTTAAAATCTTAAGAAATAGGAGCAGAGTCAAAAGGCCAATGCATATGTAGTTTTGTTAGATATTGCCAAATTCCCCTCCATTAAAGATTATACCTGCTGATTGAAGCAATTTTCCATGTGCCCTTGGTGTCCCTTTGCCCTTAGTGTCCCTTTGCCCATAGTATGGCAATAATAAAATGCTGACTGCTCTTTACCTAAGTTATTTCTTAGGATTATGTTTCAATCAGCAATCTTGAAAGATGAAGTGCAGTGAGCAATTTTCAGAAATGAAATCATGTCTTCCTCCAGACAGAAAGCAAGCTTGCTTCTGTTTGCTACAAACGCAGTGGATCTTGCAAAAAAACAGTGTTCCTGTTTTGCAGTACAACTCCCTGAGTGTATAGGTACCCATCACTGGCCCCGTGTGTCATCACTGTGGGAGTAAAGGAATGGGAAATAGAAAAAGCCGACATGAAGCTGTGGTTATTGCTTTGCTGTGAGTAATAAAGTCCTTAGTCTCTGACCCAGGAGTCTTTTATCTTCTGCCACTAATCATGAAAGAGTAACAGCTTCTAGCTGATTAGCTTGTGAGTAAGCTAAGTATATAGGGTAAAATCTCAGAGCTTATATAGTTCATGACAGTTTTGGTGATGATGATGATGAAGACAGAATGCAGTTGCTTTCTAGAAAAGAAAGAACAAAAGGTCCTGAGGGCCAAGCTAGAAGATTCAAAACTACCCAAGACCTAGAAGCAAATGCTTTTGTCCAAGTCGTAGGTAGGTGAAGGGTAAAAGTCCACCAGCATGCTATCTGTTAAATTTATATTGGCTGAGTGGTAAGAGGCAGGATTGAAACAAGGTGCCTAAATGGCAACTTGGTTGTTGCTTCTTTGAGTGGGAAGAGGAAGGAATGTTATCAGGACAAAGGGACAGCAATCCCTATTTACCCCAGCTGATAGGCAATGTGGTTGTGGCTACTGTGCCATGGAGTGCCCAAAGCTCAAATAAGTGGTGTTATCAATGAAGATATACAGCTTGGGCAGAGGTAAAGCAGTTCATTTTGTGTGCCTGAGCAGGCAGTTGCTTGCTGCTTTTTTTTTTTTTTTTTTTTTTTTTTTCAGACACGGTTTCACTGTGTCACTCAGGCTGAAGTGCTGTGGAACGATCTTGGCTTACCACAACCTCCACCTGGGCTTAAGAGATCCTCCTAGCTGGGACCACAGGCACACACCACCATGCCGGCTAATTTTTGTATTTTTGGAGAGATGAGGTTTCACCATGTTGCACAGGCTGGTCTCCAACTCCTGGGTTCAAGCAATCTGCCTGGCTCAGCCTCCCAAAGTGATGGAACTACAGGTATGAGCCACCATGCCCAGCCTGAATCTTAAAGTAAATCTTGCTTCCTGGCACTGAGTGACTCTGCCCCTTTGTGCAGCCTTTTGCCTCTCCCTTTACCTAAACCTCAGCTGCTTTAAGGAAAAAATTGAGTATGCTAAGGAACTTTGCAGAGAAAAGGGATTCAAACTTTTATCACTCTGTTGGGTACAAGTACTCATGTTTGGACTAACCTGGTCTTTGGTGTCATTGCCATTAATTATAGGGGGCAATAAATGAGCCAAAAAGCAATCCTCATCCCCAGTGGAGATGAGGCCAACTTTCCTCACATACAAACATATAACCTGAAGGGGCACAGATCACTCCTATTAAAGATTTGTTGTTAAAGTTGATTTAAATCACAATTATATTAGATTGGTTAAGTCACATAGGCATTGTCACTGAATAAGTTCAGCTTCAGTTGTCATCACTCTGTCCCTTCTGATCCTCAGAGAAGCAATGATGTTGGTAGTAATGCTTCATGCTGGAATAGTCATTCTGCTTTGAACTCAGGGTAGGGCTACTTGACCCACCTCACCTTACTGGCTGTTCTTTCAGTGCTGTCACTTAGAGCCCTGGGCAATGCATGAGGTTCTTGCCTTACCTATTAGGTCTTCTGACTACCGCATACGCTGCAGGAAGTACCCAGCACCTACTTCCAATTTCAGCCTCAGCTAAATTTTCCCATGCTGTTCCTAAGACAGCTTTCAATTCACTTTGATCCAGATTCCTGTTCCAAACATGTTAATTGTCCTTAAGGGGAATTGTATTCATCCGGGAATAAGTGAGCAGAAACAGCAAGGTGACAGACAACTCTGAGTCTAAATACCCTGATATCTATAATGAATGACATCCTCAAAAGGACACTCAGACATCTTAGAAAATCTGAGATTCCACCTCTGCCATCCCCAGTATCTTTAGAAGAAGGCTTTCTCCTCTAGTTTCTTTCATAGTATTCTACCAACTCAGCAATTGGGTTCTGTAATTGGTAACAGAAATTGCTAACAGTCTAGCTGCCGAAGCCCAGATTTTCTTAATCACAGCAATGGCAAGTAAAACTCCACCCCTCACTACTTTTGCCCATCTTTTCCCTTCTTTACTAATTTATAGAGCTAAGCTTTCTGAAACTCTAGTTACAAAAAGAATTTCACCTTTAAAGATACCTTGGATGGCCAGGCACAGTGGCTCACGCCTGTAATCCAGGCACTGTGGAAGGCCCAGGTGGGTGGATCACTTGAGGCCAGGAGTTTGAGACCAGCCTGGGCAACATGGCAAAACCCCATCTCTACTAAAAATACAAAAATTAGCCAGGAATGGTAGTGCATGCCTGTAGCCCCAGCTACTCGGGAGGCTGAGGCACGAGAATCACTGGAACCCAGCAGGCAGAGGTTGCAATGAACCAAGATCGCGCCACTGCACTCTAGCCTGGGCGACAGAGCTAGACTCTGTTTAAAAAAAAAAAAAAATTACCTCGAACTGTTTCACCTTTGCTTTGCCAGCACGACTTATTCACAACCTCTGCAAAAATCTCACTTCTAGTTGCTGAGATGGTCTAAAACATGTTATTTATACCTTAGTAGACATTTAATAAATGTTTGTCCCCTTGGCCGCCAAAAATTCACGGGCCTGTGAAAATGAACTTTCCTATTTTACTCTCCAGTGAGGTATTGTTTACACCCATTTCAACAACTCCTCCTACAAAATACAGGTCCATATAAAATTTATAAGCCAATTGGCTCCTTTTTTTTAAAACTCAACATCAATGTCATTTTCAAGTCACCAGTCTGATCTTCTTATTGAATTTTTATAAAAACGTAATAAAGGTATCCTAAAATGTGAGCCAGATACTCAAACATTACTATATCTTTAACTAATCTGACAATATCTAGTGTTTATTTCCCCAAGATTACTCTGTTCCTGGTATTGTGAGGTTAAAAGCAATTATGAAATCCGCTGAAAGCGGGTAGACCTAGAAGAATCATCAATCTCAGTAACCCTAAGAACCACCAAAATGTCTGAGGAAAGAACAAAGCTACAAGATCCATCTCTGCTAATGGAGGATCTGCATATTATCAATCCCTGCTATTTAGAAACAATGATGAAATAGGTTTCAATTCCTTGGTTTCTGAAGCTTTCAACACAACTTTGGAAAAAAGCAGTTCCCACAGATTTCCACTGGTCTTCCTCACTGTGTTCTTACTTCCTACCACTGTTATATGTTTAAAGTAATTATAAAGATAAATGTATAATTATAAATTATTATAATTTATAAAGTAATTATAAACAATTTAACAGTTTAATAAGAGGGCCTTGTATTTTAAGGCTGTTACTTATTCAATATTCACTTTATATTTGTGTACCAGACAATGCATTAAATGCTGGGGATTCACATGTAACTAAAGACAGCTGCTGCTATTTAAAAAGCTCATACTTGATTTGAAGAGAGAAAGTGAGGAAAGTAAAATGTCCACAATAAGTAAAGAAAAATATAATTAAAAATTAATAAAACTTACATTTGGCTGTTCATATGTTGTGCAGAAGCCCCATTAACCTCACTAGAGAAGGCATCAGGTTCAAGAAGCTAAAGAAGAAACCGAGAGCCAGCAAACGAGACATGGGTTTTATTAGGGGCTTACAAATGGGAGAGTCCAGTGGCGGCAGACTAGACAACATAATTGCACAGCCCAGTGGCAGGGGCTGGGCATGAAAACTACAACTGCCTGCAAAGAGCATGCAGTTTATATAGCATTTTCACTTAACAATCTCCCCATAATGACCTCTACCTGGCAACCTTCATCTAACTCAAAACTCAGGGCCTCAATCTCCTGTGCTGCCCAAGTTCTACGGGAAAGTCTGGGGCATCAGATGTTTATCATAGATAAGAAACGAATCCCCAAGATGGCCATGCCCTGGATTCCCTAGCTCAGAACACACATTCAGGTACATCTGCCATAGAGGGTCATTCTAAGGGTATGCTTAAGTTATTGCTGTCAGGTGTATTTACACTACATCATAGTATGTTGTATACAAAAGCACGGCTATCAAAAGTAAAACTGGTAAAAAGGATTCTGTGGCTTCCCCTTAACCTGCAACCCAACAGTACAACATATTCCTGAAGGGATGTTAATAAACTTACCTCAAAATTCTATCATTCTGCACAAAGATGGATTATTTCTGTAGGAAACGTGCAATATTACAAATGAGTTGACAGCATATTATGCAGAATTTTTGATGAGTTACTTCTTCTGAAGGTGCAAGTGCCATGAATGCATAACGAAACATAACAAATCCTACAGCTGATTTAGCTTGGATGCTATTTTCCTTTGTTAACATAAAAAAAGAGTTTATTCACCCAGACCTTCCTTTAAGACTCTAAAACCCTCTAAGTTATTGCCAAGTTCCCAAGGAAACAGGATAAAACCATTTTTACGAAATGGGTCCATTAAGAAAGTTTATTTTAAGCCAGGTGTCCTGAAGCTGGAGTGGATTTTTCCTTTTTCCCTTTTAAATAAACCATAAAATATAGTTGGTGATATGGTTTGGCTATGTCCCCACCCAAATGTCATCTTGAATTGTAGCTCCCATAATTCCCACTTGTTGTGGGAGGGACCCAGTGGTTATCTTTTCAATCCATTCTTTAAGTACTCATTCCTATTAGTGTACGTTACTACAGACTCAAGAACAATGTTGTTGATTTTTTAATTAGAAAGCTATAAAGGTGTAAAAGGGTTCTGAAACCGAAGTGTTAAGGAACTCTGTTATAAAGCCCACAGTTAGCAGCAAGATATGGTTATGTGATTCCCACCTACCTCACCCTGAAAAACCTTTCTTTGTATCTAGATAGGTATAGAGTATTATTTATTTAATTTTAAATAATTATTTAAAATTGAGCTCCAGAGATCAAACTGACAGAGTGTGTCTCAAGTGTGGCCTTACTATATAAATCACACTGTTGATATAAGCTAGCTAGGTATACAAAGACACTCTTATCAGGCAGGACATTCCAATAGGTTAGCGGTCATCTTCCCAGAGCTGGTCAAGAGCCAACTTCTTTGGAAGCTGCAGGGTTTGAACCTCCCAGACTTCCTGAGTTAACCCTTTATTGCATAACAGTTTTAGACAAGATTGGGCATGTTCAGGGTGGTATGGCCATCGACTATTGCATAAGAGTTTTAGGATAAGAAAGCGTCATACAGGTGATAATCATGGATGCGGGCACAGATTCAGCTCTAGTTCGAGAGCTTCTGCAGCATTTCTACATTTCCTCAGAAAGGTTGTATTGAAAATGATATACAGTCTAACAATGTTTCTAACTAGAACAGAGGTTCTAGTTAAAATGAGGTAGAAAGCAGCTATAAATGAAGTTGGGAGAAAAAGATAGGAAGGTTGTTCTTTTCCACTCTGTTAAAATTGCAGGCCCTGTATTGAGGCAGGGTGAGAAGGAATTCCTGGCAACTGTGGGACCTGCAAGGACCAGAAGAGAGGGAAAGGAGGAGAGAAGGTACAACTCAAGTGGTCCTGAGAAGGAAGTTAAGTTCCTATAACCACCTTGCTGGGAAGTATACTCCTGTGTAAAAGGCAGGGCATATATAGTAAGAACTCAATCTACTTAAGATAGTCAAAACATCTAAACTGTGGCATTACTAAATGAATGTGCTCAAGAAAATTAGTATCCTAAGTTACTTTTTTCTAAAATGTACCTTTCAAATGTGCGTTGGCTCATATTCTGAAAACAGATTTGAAATATGCTCCTAAATATTGAGTTCTTGCATATCATTACTGGTGGGAAATTTCCAACTGTATTAGCCATCTTCACGCTGCTGATAAAGACATACCTGATACTGGGTAATTTATAAAGACAAGGTTTAATGGACTCACAGTTCCATGTGGTTGGTTGGGGAGGCCTCACAATCATGGCAGAAGAGCAAGGCAGAGGAAAGAGAGAATGAGAGCGAAGCGAAAGGCGCTTCCCCTTATAAAACCATCAGATCTCCCAAGACTTATTCACTACCACGAGAACAGTATGGGGGAAACTGCCCCCACCATTCAGTTATCTCCCACGGGGTCCCTCCCACAACAAGTGGGAATTATGGGAGCCACAATTCAAGATGACATTTGGGTGGGGACACAGCCAACCATATCACCAACTATATTTTCTGATTTACTTCAAAGAGAAAAGTAAAGCAAAAAACTCACTTGTAATTCATGACAAGAATAATGTATCATATTAAGATTGAAGTCAGCTTTGAACCATAACCATCCTGGCTTTGGAAAAAAGCTTAAGATTGAATGTACTAATTTTCCTTTTTCTGCTGCTCTTAGTTTATGTGATAAAAGCTGTCACCAACCTATCAATTCCATACAACAAACCTGTACTCAACATAATGTCTATCTCAGCAAGCATGCAGATAGTAGGGAACACAGATATATAAACAGGCAAAGTCTGACATCAAAGGAGAATTATACTACCTAAAAAAGTGGTAATTGTAGCACAGAGGAATTTGTTTAATTCTGTAGCAGGATGAAGTAAGCTTGGTTTCGCATGATAAATAGGATTTTTCCTACTATTGAAAAAAATGGCATTCTAGGTAGAGGAAACTGGAAGGTAGGCAGGGTTCAAAGTACAAAGGACTCTGCATGCTATGCTAAGGAGTGAAGGTGTTGATTCAGTCAGGAACATTGATCACCAGAAGGAGAAGAGGGCAGTGCAAAGACTGAAATGGAAGGAATCAAAATGAAAGCTACTGACAAACTCCTGGAATTGTTCAGATAAAGCTAGTGCTTGGAAACAGAAGAAGCAGAGATAGGAAAATTTTTCTTTAAGAAAATGAAGACTTGGTGGTTTATTGGCTGTATGGAAATAAAGGAAAGGATAGACCATAGGAATCTTTTGTTTTCTGATTCCTGGACATTCAGCTTTATTTAAGGAAGTCAAAATCCAGTTTATAATATTGCTATTGCTCATGAAATTGCAGATTAGTTTCTGAAGAGCCTATTTTCCTTCGGATTGTCCACATGTATTAATGTGGATCAAAGTTAACTTACAACCACAGGAAGCAGGACATACAGGACAAAAATAATGACAAGGACAACTTAGAATGAGTCTGAAATATTAAAAAAATCTTTGCAAACGAGGACTTTACAATTCTGCTATGATAGACCTTTGGTGACATTTCTCTCTTTCAATCTTGGTGAATTCACCTACCATACGTACATTCTGGTGATTACTTATAGAAAAATACATTTGGTCATCATTTTTCTTGCTTTGACACAGGTAAACAGAATGCAAAGTTTATTCTCATTTTTAGCTAGAGGGCACAAGTCCTAGTACATAAACTCAAACGAAAACATAAGCAAAAAGATTAAAGTAATGCGCACTGAGTCATGAACCCAGAATAGACAGCTCTGAAAGAAAATTAGAGTATGGGTGAGCAAAAACGTTATTTCCTAGAGAGGATACCACCTTAAACACAACTTTGGAACTCTAGATTATAGACAAGTGGAATTTCAGAGTTTGCTTTTTTCAAAAGACAGAAAAATAATCTGCACAAGCCTCTACAGGAGGAGGATGAGGGGGCACACTATATACAGTCCCATCCCGTGGGGCATCTAGAAAGTTCCATCTGCTCCCACTGTTCTGCATCCGTAGCCTTAAGTTCCTTCAAGACTGAGTTCATATTCTACTTCAACAGAGTTCTGAGACCCCCCCTTTCCACTCGCTGTTTCCAGTGCCATGAGGAGCGATCTCATGGGGCAGCCCCTGCCTTCGGTGTCTGGGTCTTTCTTGCATTTCAAATTTCTGTCACCTAGAGCGTCCAGCCCTGGATGCCCGGGTTCCTGCGGCCTGAGGGTTGCACATGGGGTCAGGGGGCGTCAGCTGAGACAGCACCCGGCGAAGGCCAGCGTGGCTCAATGCCCATCACAGATGCCCTTCAACCCCAAAACCCCATCATCCGCTTCAGCCCCCCTCTAAAGCGAGAATATGTGTGAGGGAGGCTAGGAGAATTCGAAGTAAAAATAACCCGAATCGGCAGCGCGTCCGCCGCGCTAGCTGCCACAAATGCTGCAGATCCGACGGAATGGAAGCAGAAAAGGCCCTGGCGTCCCCTTGGGAAAGAACGAGGTCAGGAGTCGGTCTTGCACGCAGCGTAGAGCGACGAGACTACACCTACCTGATCACAGACGTTCCACACCAGCTCAGCAACGGTCGTCCACGCCGCTTGCTGTTTCCCCACAGCCAACGTCGAAAACACCCTCGTGCCGGCGCGCAGTGCACCGCGCCTGCGCATAGTCTCCAGCGAAAGAGCAAGGGTCTGCCAGTGCGCATGCTCCGCTCTCGACCTCCTCCCCGCACACTTTGAACGCCGCGCCTGAGGCCAGCTGGCACATGCGCATGCGTGTCTCTGGTGCCTGCTCTCCCCACCAAAGCAAGAAGCGGCGGGTACTTGAAGCGGAGTGAGCCGGAAGTCGCTTTGCCTGCCCATTTCCACGCTGTACCGGCGGAAATTCAAGCACTGGAAGAGAGGTTCCGGGGCTGGGCTGGCCTGACTGAAGGCGGCGGAATGGAGACGCGGACCGAGGACGGGGGCCTCACCCGCCGCCCCACGCTGGCCTCTTCTTGGGATGTTGCAGGCGGGGCCCTGACCCACAGCCTCCTCCTCACCCGGGCCGGTCTCGGCCCCGGTGACTTCGACTGGGAGGAGCTGCTGGCACCGCCTGCTCCAGGGTGCGCCGGGCCGACGGGGACGGGGTCGCTATGCTCGGCAACTGCCGCGCTTCTAGGGGAGCTGTGAGGGGAGGCGAGAGGGTCTGAGCCCGGGATCCGGGAGAGCAGTTGGTACCAGGTCTCTAGTTGGGGAGGGGAGCTGCGAGGTCGTCCGGGGTGGGCGGAGGGGGGTGGGTCCGGCCGGGAAGGGGCCGAGGCTCCTGGGCGTGAGAGGGGGAAGGTGACCCGGACTCGGAATTTCATATAACGTCCCCATCAGGCGTGATAGCCCCTCAGGGCTGCTGTCAAAGTCAGTCCGCCCCTCTACCCTCAAACAAGACACCTCCTGTCCACCAAAACAGGCTGTGTAAAAAGTCCAGCTATAGATGATCGCTGTCGACTTAATTTCGAAAAAGATACACTTTTGTCTTTCATTGTGCCCTGCACCCAGTAGGTGCCCAGTGATTTATGTAATTATCCGAGAGTCAATTGCAGGGGATTGAGTAGAATGTTGATTGAGGAAAAAATAGAGTTTGGGAAAGCCCTGATGTGTGACACCTTCATTTCCGTATGAATTCTGTGTTGAGCGCTTCTTGGATGCTTGGGAAGGTGCTTGGACCTCAAGGGCAAGTGGAAGTGAGTTAGAAGAAAGAAGCCCCGGCCGGGCACGGTGGCTCACACCTGTAATCCCAGCACTTTGGGAGGCCGAGGCGGGCGGATCACGACGTCAGGAGATCAAGACCATCCTGGCTAACACGGCGAAACCCCGTCTCTACGAAAAATACAAAAAATTAGCCGGGCGCGGTGGCGGGTGCCTGTAGTCCCAGCTGCTTGGGAGGCTGAGGCAGGAGAATGGCGTGAACCCGGAAGGCGGAGCGTGCAGTGAGCCGAGATGGAGCCACTGCATTCCAGCCTGGGCGACAGAGCCAGACTCCGTCTCAAAAAAGAAGAGTCATGTTCAGAGAACTATACTGTGTGATGTTTTCACCAATTTTCTTCTCAGTCAGGATCTGGTGATTTTGAAGAGAAACCACAACAACAAAGATGAAAACCCCTGCTTCCTTTACCTGAGGTGTGGCCCTGATGGAGGTGAAGAAATCGCTTCTATTGGCATTTTAAGTTCAGCAAGAAATATGGAAGTGTACTTAGGAGAGGAGTACTGTGGAACCAGTAGGGGCAAGAATGTTTGTACTGTCCTGGATGACAGGTGTGTGACTTGTACACGGGAAAGTGTTCTTCTGAAGTAGTGTTTTGATTTTTCTCACTTTTTGCAATAATTATTGATTCTCTGATATTGATACCATATGTTATGGGAGAGAAGATAAAAATGTGCCAGTAGGCATAGAAGTTTACAACTTTAGAGATCTTAAAAGACAGTGTAGATCAGCCTAGTTATTTTTATAAATGTTGAAATTTAGAACTAACAATCAAGGTGAATTGGTAGGAGGTCATAGCTAGTTAGTGGAAGAGTTTTATTAGAATGAAATTTTGAGAAGTGTGTCTCTTTCCTTAAACTCACAGCAGTCTGTCTTCCGAAAGTTAATTTGGTAGTCAGTCTGGAACTTTGAATACATTTTCTTCTTGGAAGCCTATTAGAAATGGTGGAGGGATCTAAGACTGTGCTACATAAACCTATTTATTAACCTGTAACGCAACTTGTGATTTTTTTTCTTACGAAGATTTTTCTCCAATCTGTCTTTAACACAAAATATGAACTGTTTTATATCCTGCATGTTGGAAACAATTGCTGTGTTTATTGAGCTTTAAAATACAGTCTGGCTACATGGTTGTACATATGTTATATAATGTAATTTTCTCATTGAGCCTAGTAAGTGGTAGATGTAATCATAGGCAGTGTGCTTCAGTTATGGAGCCCAACTCTTCATGCCTCACCAGGAAAACTGAATCTTAGGATTTCAATATTGTTCTGGAAACATTTATTTTTAAGTGTAACTATTAAAAGTGACAATATATGTAAGTAAAAAAAATTAATTCTTTTTTATTTTTAGTGAACATGAAAAGATCATTTTGTATAAAAAAAATCTAAAATTGGAGTCCTCCACACATGCTTGTAAAATAAAGGTAAGTTGTCAGTTGTAAACTAATTTGACAACTAAGTTGTTTTTGTACTCTGTGTATGCTTGTTTTCTTTTGGATTAGTAATACAATTAGTCCAACTTGCTTGCTTGCTTTTTTTTTTCTTTTCAAGACAGTATCTTGCTCTGTTGCCCAGGCTGGAGTGCAGTGGGACAATCATGGCTCACTGCAACGTCATCTCCCAGCTCAAGCTAACTTCCTACCTCAGCCTCCCAAGTAGCTGGGACTACAGGCATACACCACCATGCCTGGCAAATTTTTTAAATTTTTAGTAGAGATGAGGCTCAGAAATACTTAGTAAACATGTACAAAGAAATTACTTTTCTAAAAAATTATCAGCCCTTTTTAACATTGAATTAAGAAATTTTTTTTTTTTTAAATTTTTCACCCGGTGACCAGTGAGTAGACTTTTTCTCTTAAAATTTAACCATGAGCCACGTGCAGTGGTACATGTTTATAATCCCAGTTACTCAGGAGGCTGAGGTGGGAGGATTGCTCAAGCCCAGGAGTTCAAGACCAACCTGGGCAACAGAGTGAAACCCCATCTCACTAAAAAAATAATAAAAATAAAATTTGACTATTTATTAACCTTGGATAATGTATTGTTAATATGGTAGTGCTGTGTATTTTGAAGTGTTGGGAAATTGAGCAAAAAACATTTTTAAAAACTATATAAACTGTGATGGCAAAAACCCATTTATAAAAGAACAAAATTAGAGAAGTTTCAAGCAAGAGAACCAATAAGTTAAAGGGATTGGACTGTTGTCTTCAGCATGAAAAATATTGTTAAGGTAACTGTTAGTTATGTCTTCAGAGTCTAGGGATAAGGTAATGGATTGGAAGTCTTAAGCCCTGAATGCTAATTCAGTTCTGTCCTGACTAGTGGATTAGTCTTGGGCAGATTTTGGACCTATCTCATGGGTAAAATTAGAGAGCTGAAGAAAATTCTTGGATTCTTTTTATCTCTAAACTTCTGTACTTATTATCATTACTTATAGAAGATTGAAACCTATTTTTACAATAAGAAAAAATAAGTGATTTTTACAGGCAGATAGCAAACTCACAGGACTGATTATCCCAAGATGTTGTTTTGGATAGTATATATTAAATAGCTTCTAAAACCATTTGAATAAAGTAATTTCTTCATTCAACAAAGATTTGAGTGCCTCTTAATGTCAGGTACTATACCAGTCATTTAGGAATTAGCAATAAGAAAATAAACTGAAATGCCTGAACTTATGTTGCTTGTATTCTAGTGGGCAAGACAGACAATAAGGAGACTCAATGAGTAAAATAAATACTATATTTAATGGTGAAAAAGGCTATGGGGTTAAAAAGAGAAAGGGGGATAATAGAGAGGTTGAGAGGTAGGAGGTTAATAAGAGTGTTTCCTTAAAATGTTGAAGACAGTCACATCTTTGGTTCAACACTTAAGAGTTCTTGGATCATGAGTCTGTATTGACCTATGTCCTTGTTTGACATGTGGACCTGTGTGTCTCTCTGAAGGTGAATGTTTTTTTAACTGTTCAATGGAGGTACATGGGAGTGCAAAGGGTTATTTCAGGGAAGCTCTAGGATTGATATGAAAGCTTGTTCTGAGGCAATAGTATATGGAAGTTCAAATAAAAAAATGGTTACTTATACAGGTTTTTGAGCACTTACTTACTGGTAGCTACTGGAAATTTTAACATATAATCCTCGCAACAACTATGTGAAATCATTGCTACTGTCTTCTCTCATTTTTATCCTGACTCAGATTTAGCATTTGCCCAGGGTCACACAGGTTGTTAAGTACCAGAGTCGTAAGTTAAACTTAGGTTTGTCTGATTCTAAAGTCCGTTCCCTTTCCATTTTGCTACTCTGTTGTCTGTACCATACATGAAATGTCTCGTTTCAGAAATATGGACAGGATAAAATGTTGGATAAACTACAGGGATAGAAGCCAGAAGAGATAGGTTTCAAGCTGGTTCTTTACTAATTGAGTGTCCTTTAACAAGTTAGAAAAATCACCCTTGAAGTCATCATTTCTATGTGTAATCCAGCAAGCTATATTACATCATTTTGATATTCTCTTATAGTTCTGAATTTGAAAGGATTGCATTTTACTTATTTCAGTAAACGTTTTACATGAGCATTTGGACAGACTTATTTTGTGTTAAGTAGCAAGTTGTGGTGTGTTAAGGTCTCAGATTGGTATATAGCAGTTCTCCTTTATCTGCAGTTTCACTTTCCACAGTTTCCATTACCCACAGTCAACTGAGGTCCAAAAATATTAAATGGAAAATTTCAGAAATAAACAATTCATAAGTTTTAAATTGTGCTTCATTCAGCGTAGTGTGATCGAATCTCCTGCCATCCTGCTCAGTCCTGTCTGGAACATGAATCATCCTTTTGTCTAGTATGTCCCTGCTGTATATGTTACTGCCCATTAGCCACTTACTAGCCAAATGTATCATCAGAAGGTCAGTAGTAGCCTAATCCTGTATTACAATGCCTGTGTCATTCACCTCACTTCATCTCATTATGTAGGCATTTTATCATGTCACGTCATTACAGGAAGGGTAAGTATTGCACAGTAAGATTTAGAGAGAGGAGACCATATTCACATAACTTTTATTATGTTGTCAAAATTACTCTATTGTTAAACTCTTACTATACCTAATTTATAAATTAAACTTTATCATAGGTATGTATGTATAGGAAAAAATATAGGGGTTGGTACTATATGCAATTTCAGGGAGCCACTGGAGGTCTTAGAACACATTCTCCACAGATAAAGAGGAACTACTATAGTTTATTTTTAGTTCTTTAAATAGGTAAACATTTATTTAATCACCTCATTTGTTATTTTACATGAAGTCTTAATTTTTGAAAGGACTCTTATTTAAATAGTTCATCTGAGCCTCATGATAAATTGGAATTTTTCCTGACTATTGCTGTTCTAGAGAAAAGTTTAAAATATACTTGAAGTTAATTTTTAGATTCTTGAATACTTCACTCTTGTTTAGGTCATACCAAGAAGTTACATTAAATGATTATTGTTTTTAATATCATTCTTTTCTGGAACTTTTGTTTTATAATAGTTGCTCTCCTTTGGCGAAAGGCAGTGTGTGTTCATCAGTAAAGTTGTGGTACACATGAGATCAGTTTTTGCAAATTCTTCAACAAGCTCTCCTGCTCTAGGATCAAGGATAGACCTTGACAAGGTCCAAACCATAATGGAGTCCATGGGGTCAAAGTTATCTCCTGGAGCTCAGCAGTTGATGGATATGGTTAGGTGTCAGCAGCGGGTAAGTAGAAATGGATTTCTTTCCAGATAACATTAATGATTTCAAAACCATTGCTTTTAGTAAAGAAATGTAGTGACTTAAAATTTTTCTTTCATACTGATTTAACTGTTATCTTTTAGTTTTGTAGAAGTTAACATTTGTTAGATTTGCCCTTCTACAAAGTGTTTTGACTACACATTTTCACACTTTTTATGAATGCATTCATTCATTCAGCAAGATTTTTTTCTTGCAGTAAACAAGGCACTGGTTTGAGCAATTTTGAGTGTGCGAAGATGGTCAGTTAATCTGTAGTCTTTAAGAATTTTTACATTCTGGAGCATGTAAGTGGGGAATGATGAAAACACTAAGGAAAGGCTCACTAAAAGAAGTGGTATTTTATCTAGGCCTTTAAAATGTAGGGTGGGATTAGACAAGTAAATTTGGAAGAAGGCCATTTCAGACAAAAAATAAGGTGAATAAAATCTTCAATGCTAGAAGAATTTGATATAGCTGGGAAATGAATGGTAGTTCATTTCTCTGAAGCAAAAAAGTAATAGGCAAAGTTTAAAGTAGATTTCAGCTAGATCATAAACAGCTTGGGATGCTGGTTTAAATTTGTAGATGTTTTTGACTTATGTTTCAAGAAATTTTAAGCCACTGTCAAGTGTAAGGTGAATCTGAAGAAAGTGAGACTACAAGGAGAAGATGAGCTGCACGTCATTCCCCTCGTCCAGATGAGAGTGAATGAGGTCTAAGATTGGACGTAGTAACATAATGCTGGATGCTAAATGATGCTAAAATGATGGAGCCATTGGGACTTGACAGCTAACTTAATATTGGTATTATGATAGAAAAATCAAGTTAAACATGAAATTGAGGCTTTGAAGATGGTGATACTAATAATATAAATGCAGCCCAAAGGAGGAGGATGCTTGGAGGAAAAAGGAATTTAATTTTGGGAACATTGACTTTTAGCTGTGAATAAGACATTCCCTGGAAGGATGTTGCAAACATCTGGAAACAGAGGATTAGGAGAAATGGAATGAACCTTCAGTGGCTGGAAGGGAAGTTTAGGGGTGTACCCACAGTAGCTGACGGAGGGTGGTGAAGGGAGAGGAAAAAGGAACCAGAAACATAGAAGGCAGCAGTGTGATAGAGTAGCAAGAGAAACGATTTGATGTCAGGTAAAGTGACTTCAAACTCTTGTCCTGCCTCTTCTTAGTTCTGCATCCTATGGCAAGTTAATTAATATTTTTTTCAATATGAATTCCTCATGTACAAAATCTAAATGATAACACTGTAAGGATCACAGAATTGATGTGAAAATTTAAAATAAGTAATGCAAGTAAAGAACTCCTTGTAGATGTTGTGTGGTTCACAAATATTAATGTAGTACCAGTATTATAATATGGGCTGAGTTAAGAGAACCAGGAGAGCTGAAGATTATGGAAACCACAGAAAGAAGAATTTCAAAAAAGATGGAAATGTATACTTTTCTTCCTCCCACACCATGTTCTCACCTGGATACCTCAGGAGATTCCTAACTGGCCCACCTGTCCTGCTACAATCTGTTTTCCACAATGTACCGAGAATGACCTCAAAGGATAATTGGATCTCATCCTTCTCCTGTGCAAAGCCCCCTGACTGCTTGCCTCCCTTTGTACTTAGAATTAATCCTGATTCCTTACCTTAATCTCTAAAATGTAGGCCCTGCTTGCCTTCTCAACCTCATCTCCTGCCATGTTTCCTTGGGCAGCTTGCTCCAGACATTCTGATATGTGTATTCCGTAAATATCTAGATATGTTCCCACCTCCAGACCTTTGCACTCATAACTGTTCTCTGTGGCCAGAACTCCCTCCCTGTGATACTTCTGTATCTGCATTTTTCTTATTCAGATCTCATTTTAATGTTACATCTTTAATGACACCTTTCTTAGCCAACCAGTGTAAAGTAGCATGTACCTCCAAATCCGTATCAGTTTCATCAGTGCCCTTTTGACCACTTTGTTGTTGTTTTTGTATTGGTTGCATGTTTATCTCACTAAAAGACAAGCTTCATGTAAACAAGACTTATCTGTCTTGTTTATGGCTCCAAGTATTATACACAGTCATGCATCAATTCACAGTGGGGATATGTTCTGAGAACAAAGGTGATTAGGGGATTTCATGGTTATGAAACCATCATGGTATGTACTTGCAGAATCCTAGATCATATAGCCTACTACGTACCTAGGTTACGAACCTGTATAGCATGTTACTTTACAGAATACTCTAGGCAGTTATAATGGTAAGGATTTGTGTATCTAAACATAGAAGAGGTACTGTAAAAATATAGTATACAAGATGAAAAATGGCACGCCTGTATAGGGCACTTACCATGAACTGAACTTGCAGGACTAGAAGTTACTCTAGGTAAGTCAGTAACTGAATATGAAGGCCTAGAACATTACTGTACACTACTGTAGACTTTATAAACACTGCACATTTAGGCTATGCTAAATTTCTTTAAACATTTTTTATTTTTCAATAATAAATTAAGCTTAGCTTATTGTAACTTTTTTTTTTTTATTTTTTGCGACAGAGTCTTCCTCTGTCATCTGGGCTGGAGTGCAGTGGTATGATCTCAGCTCACTGCAACCTCTGCCTCCTGGGTTCAAGCAATTCTCCTACCTCAGGCCCCTGAGTAGCTGGATTACAGGCGCATGCCACCACACCAGACTAATTTTTTTATTTTTAGTAGATACGGTGTTTCACCATGTTGGCCAGGCTGGTCTCGAACTCCAGGTTCTCAGGTGATCACCTGCCTTGGCCTCCCAAAGTACTGGGTGGGATTACAGGCGTGAACCACCATGCCCAGCCTATCGTAACTTTTTAACTTTATATACTTAAATTTTAAAAAACTTTTTGACTCTTTTGTAGTAAAGAGCTTAAAACACAAACTCATTGTATAGCTGTACAAATATATTTGGTTTCTTTATATCCTTTTTCTATTAAGCTTTTTTTGTATTTAATTTTTTTTTAAGTTTTAAACTTTTTTGCTTAAAACAAAGACACAAACATACACATTACCCTAGGCCTACAGAGGGTCAGGATCATAAGTATCACTGTCTCCCACCTCCATATCTTGTCCCACTGGAAGGTCTTCAGGGACAGTAATACCCATGGAGCTGTCATCTTGTATAATAATAATGCCTTCTTCTGGAAGACCTCCTGAAGGACCTGCCTGAGGTGGTTTTACAGTTAACTTTTAAAACATATAAGCAGAAGGAATATACTTTAAGACTAAAAATATGGTATAGTAAATACATAAACCAGCAACATAGTCATTGATTATTATTACTAAGTAGTATACAGTATACATAATTGTACATGCTATACTTTTATATGACTGGCAGTGTGCAATCGGTTGGTTTACACCAACATTGCCACAAACATGTGAGTAATGTGTTACTATGATACCACTTGGGGACTGGAATTTTTTAGCTCCATTGTAATCTTATGGGACCACTGTCATATGTGGGTCCATTGTGGACCAAAACATTGTAATGTGACACATACATATATCTATCTATACATACATATATATATACGTATATATACATGCATATATCTATATACATATATATATACACATATATACACGCATATATCTATATACATATATATATATACACATATATATACACACACACCTATTGGATTGATCAGCTATTTCTTGGAGATCCTCAGGGAGTAAGTTTGAATAGTGATGAGATGTAAACCAAATTGTGAGGGATTAGGTAGTAACTGGGTATTTGGGATGTGGAGTTACTAAGTGCACACAGGTTTTTTTTTTTCAAGTTTAGAGATAAAGAGGAAATTAGATACTTGTGTAAAGGAATATTGAAGATAAATAAGGAATTTGAAAAGCTTGTGAGATTTGAGCTTTATTAAGAATTTATTTAGGGCAGTGTATTTTTTCAAGTACACTCCATTGAACACCTGTGTCAGAATCCTTTGGAAGGTCTTCAAAATGCAGATTCCTGGCCCTCACTATCTACTCAATCCCAGAGGGTGGGGTCCAGGAATCAGTGTTTTAAACAGTCATGTCTAAGTGAGTTTTATGTACATTGTGATTTGATAATAACTCTTTTTTTTAATTATTATTATACTTTAAGTTTTAGGGTACATGTGCACAATGTGCAGGTTTGTTACATATGTATACATGTGCCATGCTGGTGCGCTGCACCCACTAACTCGTTATCTAGCATTAGGTATATCTCCCAATGCTATCCCTCCCCCCTCCCCCCACCCCACAACAGTCCCCAGAGTGTGATGTTCCCCTTCCTGTGTCCATGTGTTCTCATTGTTCAATTCCCACCTATGAGTGAGAATATGCGGTGTTTGGTTTTTTGTTCTTGTGAGAGTTTACTGAGAATGATGGTTTCCAATTTCATCCATGTCCCTACAAAGGACATGAACTCACCATTTTTTATGGCTGCATAGTATTCCATGGTGTATATGTGCCACATTTTCTTAATCCAGTCTATCATTGTTGGACATTTGGGTTGGTTCCAAGTCTTTGCTATTGTGAATAATGCCACAATAAATATATGTGTGCATGTGTCTTTAGAGCAGCATGATTTATAATCCTTTGGGTATATACCCAGTAATGGGATGGCTGGGTCAAATGGTATTTCTAGTTCTAGATCCCTGAGGAATCGCCACACTGACTTCCACAATGGTTGAACTAGTTTACAGTCCCACCAACAGTGTAAAAGTGTTCCTATTTCTCCACATTCTCTCCAGCACCTGCTGTTTCCTGACTTTTTAATGATTGCCATTCTAACTGGTGTGAAATGGTATCTCATTGTGGTTTTGATTTGCGTTTCTCTGATGGCCAGTGATGGTGAGCATTTTTTCATGTGTTTTTTGGCTGCATAAATGTCTTCTTTTGAGAAGTGTCTGTTCATGTCCTTTGCCTACTTTTTGATGGGGTTGTTTGTTTTTTTCTTGTAAATTTGTTTGAGTTCATTGCAGATTCTGGATATTAGCCCTTTGTCAGATGAGTAGGTTGCAAAAATTTTCTCCCATTCTGTAGGTTGCCTGTTCACTCTGATGGTAGTTTCTTTTGCTGTGCAGAAGCTGTTTAGTTTAATTAGATCCCATTTGTCAATTTTGGCTTTTGTTGCCATTGCTTTTGGTGTTTTAGACATGAAGTCCTTGCCCATGCCTATGTCCTGAATGGTAATGCCTAGGTTTTCTTCTAGGGTTTTTATGGTTTTAGGTCTAACGTTTAAGTCTTTAATCCATCTTGAGTTGATTTTTGTATAAGGTGTAAGGAAGGGATCCAGTTTCAGCTTTCTACATATGGCTAGCCAGTTTTCCCAGCACCATTTATTAAATAGGGAATCCTTTCCCCATTGCTTGTTTTTCTCAGGTTTGTCAAAGATCAGATAGTTGTAGATATGCGGCGTTATTTCTGAGGGCTCTGTTCTGTTCCATTGATCTATATCTCTGTTTTGGTACCAGTACCATGCTGTTTTGGTTACTGTAGCCTTGTAGTATAGTTTGAAGTCAGGCAGTGTGATGCCTCCAGCTTTGTTCTTTTGGCTTAGGATTGACTTGGCGATGCGGGCTCTTTTTTGGTTCCATATGAACTTTAAAATAGTTTTTCCAATTCTGTGAAGAAAGTCATTGGTAGCTTGATGGGGATGGCATTGAATCTGTAAATTACCTTGGGCAGTATGGCCATTTTCACGATATTGATTCTTCCTACCCATGAGCATGGAATGTTCTTCCATTTGTTTGTATCCTCTTTTATTTCCTTGAGCAGTGGTTTGTAGTTCTCCTTGAAGAGGTCCTTCACATCCCTTGTAAGCTGGATTCCTAGGTATTTTATTCTCTTTGAAGCAATTGTGAATGGGAGTTCACTCATGATTTGGCTCTCTGTTTGTCTGTTGTTAGTGTATAAGAATGCTTGTGATTTTTGTACATTGATTTTGTATCCTGAGACTTTGCTGAAGTTGCTTATCAGCTTAAGGAGATTTTGGGCTGAGACGATGGGGTTTTCTAGATATACAATCATGTCATCTGCAAACAGGGACAATTTGACTTCCTCTTTTCCTAATTGAATACCCTTTATTTCCTTCTCCTGCCTAATTGCCCTGGCCAGAACTTCCAACACTATGTTGAATAGGAGTGGTGAGAGAGGGCATCCCTATCTTGTGCCAGTTTTCAAAGGGAATGCTTCCAGTTTTTGTCCATTCAGTATGATATTGGCTGTGGGTTTGTCATAGATAGCTCTTATTATTTTGAGATATGTCCTATCAATACCTAATTTATTGAGAGTTTTTAGCATGAAGGGTTGTTGAATTTTGTCAAAGGCCTTTTCTGCATCTATTGAGATAATCATGTGGTTTTTGTCTTTGGTTCTGTTTATGTGCTGGATTACATGATAATAACTCTTTTAATGGAAGATTTTAAAAAGGAAGCAATTGTTTGTGAACAAATTTTGGTAACGATTAGAGGATATTAATTAGTTTACTGTCTGATTATTTTAAAATCTTGACACTAGGAAAAAATGAAACTAGATATATTTTTATTTTGGCTGTGTCTTTAAATTTTTATAGTTTTATTTATAAATAATTTTTCTTTGCCATGAATTTTAACCAATACAGAAGTGTTAGGTAAAAATTAAAAATGTTTTCCAGCTGTCATTCTATACCCCAGAGGATACACAGCTAACAGTTTGGCGTGTATCCTTGTAGAGTTTTTTTATGCATGTAGCAACACAGAAGGCTCTCCCCCATGCCACCCCACCCTCAGCCAACACTCATGGGTTACTGCTATGTACACTGTACAATAACTTACTTTCTTCTCACCACTAATGCAGGGACATTTCTGGGACACCCTGGGGAAGAAAGAAGGTGATAAACAGTTCTGTGTCCTTTTAAACATGCTAATGGAAGACTTCCTTCCTAGTAAGAAAAGTCCTTATTTATGGAGTGATTCTTACAGGATGTACCTGGTTCTCTAGGATTGCTTATTGATGACAAACTAGGCATCTATACATTCTAAGGCATAGAGAATGTCATATAAGCTGTGTAACTTTCTGCACATAAAATGGGAATGTTTCATGACCAAATCAACTCCTTCCGTGTAAGTGGTGTGATCACACATGTTGTTTGGGCAGGACTTCTCTTGGGGGAAAGGAAGGACCTCAGAAGTTTTGGCTTCTCTCTGGCTTACCTGTGCCTTGGAATTACTTGTTTTCTCGAAAGTTTGATTAAAGTTCAACACGCCAAGTTTTGTGAGTCTGAAATGCAATCCAAACCTTTGTGATTTCTCAATAAGTATTAAGATTATTTTTTATTTCCTTCTATTTGAAGTTCAGTTTGCTGGCTTTGATTTGCTTTTGCTTTAGCAATTTAGAATTCTTGAATAGGAATTCTATATCAAAGGGTGTAGCATATGATTGTCATTTAATGTTATCTGAATGAAAGGATATGACCCATTTTCTCAAAGAAAACATATTCAGTTATTTAGGAGTTATACTCTTGCTTTTTTCTCCTTCAAAATAAAAATGACTTTATTATTTAATTTCTTTCTGATTATTAAAGGTGATACAAAAAAATTAAAAAGCAAAAAGGTATAGGAAATTCATACTTTCCTAAATCCTACAATATATTTAAAGATAAACTATTATTTTTTCAGAAATCTCTATTGTGTGTATACAGAATATATGTAGTTATACATATACACATACACATATCTTTGTAAGTATATGGACACAGTTCTCTCTAAATGCTTTCATACTGCATATGTTGCTCAGGAACATTTTTCACTTGAAAGGATATCAATAAATACAGCTTTCTATGGTTTTATGAATATTATGCAGTTACCTATTCATGGATATTTAAGTTTCTTCAAAATTTTTAATAGCATGTTAACAGTGGAGGCTCACATAAAGAGAAATAAAGGATTAGCTACCAGGCACCTGAGATTTCTTCATTTCCTATAGTGGCATGTAGACATATCTGAATTTCTTGATATTTATTCCAAAGAGAAAAGATCATCTAAAGAGCTCTCATCTCAGAAAATGTGACCTTTTTTAAATTGTGGTAAGAATACTTAACATGAGATCTACCCTCTTAACAAATTTTTAAATGTACAATATGGTGTTGTTAACTATAGACACTGTTGTACAGAAGATCTCTAAAACAGATTCATCTTGTAAAGCTGTAACTTTATACCTATTGAATAGCAATTCATTTCTCCTTCCCCCCATCTCCTAGCAACCACCATTCTACTCTCTGTTTCTGAGTTTAACTATTTTAGATATGTCATGTTAATGGAATCATCCATTATTTATTCTTCTGTGCCTGGCTTATTTCACTTAGCATGTCTTCCAGATTGATCATATTGTCACATGACAAAATATCCTTCTTCTCAAAGGCTGAATGGTATTTCATTGTATGATATTCATTCAATGATATTTCATTTCATTTTCTTTATCAATACATCAGTCAATGGACATTTAGGTTGTTTCTGTATCTTGGCGGTTGTGAGTACTGCTGCAGTGAACATGGGAGTGCAGATAATCTTTTTGAGATCCCAGTTTCAGTTATTTTGGATATATGCCCAGAAGTGGGATTGTTAGATCATATGGTAGTTCTATTTTTAATTTTTTGAGGAGCCTCCATACTGTTTTTCATCACTGCTATACTATTTTACATTCTTAACCAATGACTAATTTTCATAATCAGTGAATTCTTATAAACAGAATATTATATGTCAGAAAGGAAAAATTTACATAGCAAATACCTTTACATTTAGATTTTTCTGTTTAAATGTTCTGCCTACTTAATGTTCACCCATACTTTTGACATTGACTGTAGTGTAAATATTATTACTCTTAATGTAGTTTTCCACTGTACATTTTGTTTTGAAATGTCATAGAGAAATAAATGGGCTTTCCTGTTATGACTGAGTAACTTTCTTTGAGCTTATGGGGAGTTGTCCAATGTTAACATTTTATAAATATAATTTTACATAATTCATCTTATTCCAGGAATATTTAAATATTCAAGTTTATTCAAAACTTGCATTTTATAAAACAAGATAAACTTACAGTAGGTTAACATTTCTCTATAAAGAGCACTTTTCCAAAGTGCAGTTTGGTAAAAAGTTAGATGGGGACATGACATTACAAATCTTCCCCCAGCTTCCCTGGCCCTTATTATTCTCCTTTCTCACTTTATTTTTCCCTAAAGTATTTATCACCATCTCCATTTCATGATACATTTTTTCCTTTCTTTTCTTTTCTTGACTTTTTTCTCTTCTTCCTTCTTCACTTCTTTTCTCTTTCCCTTACTTTCTCTTTTTCTTTTCTTTCCCCTTTTTCCTTCTTTTCTTTTGTAGTTTGTGTCTCCTTGCTCCCCTGTCATATAGGCTCTGTGAGGTCAGGGATTTTAATTTATTTTGTTCGCTGCTGTATTTCCAGTGCTTGAAACAATACTAGCACAGAGTAGATTCCTGGTAAATATTTGTTGAATAAATTAATGTTGTTCCGGCTTAGTCTAGTAATAACTTTTTAGAATATCTATAAGTATATGAACTGAGTTTCTTCAGCTAATTTACATATTGCTTTTTCAGTCTGTTTCACCAGCTGTTGAACAGCAATAAGTGTGGGATGATAACCCCTGATAAGAATCTATAGTAGACTTTTATGTTTTGAATTTAGAGTGGAGCCATATGCCTTAAGACTTAGGCTAGAGATATTTTCTTTTATCCAATGGAAAAATTAAAGAGCATAAAAGGGAGATACTGTAATCATCCCTTCAAGGTAAGCCAGAATCTTCTCAGGAAATAATACTGCATAACCAGTTGAATTGAGGCTGCAAAACAACTCTCATTATCCTGGAAATTCTTAGAGCAAACACAGCCAGAAGTAGCTAATTTCAGTCATTGAAAATGTCACAAATGTACCCATAGAGCATCTAACTTTAAATAGCATACCTATCTGTGTAGTTTCCAGGAAAAATTCATTGCAAAAGATATTACTAGATGAAAGTGAGTAACTTACCGTATTTTGACAGTTGGGAATGATATAATTGAATTTTAAGAAACTTACCGGTTCTTGTGACTCAGTTGAGAGTAGTACATTTTATTATCATAAAGAGACATTTGTAGTGGAAACATTAGTGTCAGTGCAGTTTGACTATTCATGCTAGTATTTATTTAATTTCTTTTGGGAAAAACTACAATGAAATGATTGAAAGTCATGACTGTGGAGTTAAGTGACCTGCGTTCATGTTCCAGTTCTGCCACTTACTGGCTGGTTACCTTGGCTAGGTACCTTTAGCCTTGGTCTCCTCAGCTTAATATTGGGATAGTATTAGTGGCCTACTTTATAAGGATGTTTTGAGGATTGGATGAAACAATGCACAGTGCCTGACTCATAGTAATTACTCCAAAAGTTAGCTGTCAGTGTTATTAATATTAACATTTACTTGTTTACCTTGTTTAGAATTGTATTCCCATTGGAGAGCAGCTTCAGTCGGTGTTGGGCAATTCTGGATACAAGCATATGATTGGACTACAATCCTCATCTACCTTAGGAACCTTAAACAAGTCGTCCTCCACACCTTTTCCTTTTAGAACTGGATTGACATCTGGGAACGTGACTGAAAACTTACAAACTTACATTGATAAAAGTACACAACTGCCTGGTGGAGAGAATTCTACCAAGCTTGATGAGTGTAAAGTTATGCCTCAAAACCATTCCTTTCTTGAAAATGATCTTAAAAATGCAATGGCCTCTTTCTTACCAAAGAAAGTAAGTGACAACTCAAATATACCCAACTCCGAGTTGCTGCCTTTTCTCCAGAATTTATGTAGTCAAGTTAATCATCTCCATGTGGGAAATAAGACCGAGTGTCAGGAAAACATCACCAAGCATGGTGAACGCATTCTTGGTGTTGGGTAAGTATTATTTTAAGACATACGAGTTTCGATTTGGTAGGTGGAAGAATCAGATGAAAGGAAACAGATTTGTCTCAATGAGTACTGCCTAAAATTTGTTTCCAGAGAAAATTTTAGCAACTTTTACATTTTACCATTAATACACTTAAAGGGGATAACTGCAGAGTAGAATGGATTACTTTGAAAGAAGTCCCTATAACTGGAGGTTTTGCACACTTCCCAGGCATTTTGTGGAAGGGTCACAAGTATTAGTTCACAGTTGGAATAGAAAGTGATTTGCATGAATGGAAAGGAGCTGTGGGAATTATAATCTTTATGTTGTTTTTATATATTTGTACTATTTTGTGCCTGGGTATGTTAAGCATGTCATTGTGACATTTTCCTTGAAGATTATGTTTGGTCTAGGCAAATTCCTGATTATTAAAAAACTATATTAGGATAATAATCACTTGTAGTTTACAAGCTATTATCCCCAGTCTCTTAATCCCTTATTTTGGCAGTACATATTTGATTAAGAGATAGCTAAGTATTATGTTCCTAATTGCTTAAGTAGATATAGTATGTCAAAATGGTGTTCTAGACTAGAATTCAGGACTCTAGGTGTGGTTTTGGCTTAAACATGTTGCCACACTGTTTAGTATTCTTTAGCCTAAGAGATTTTATTTGAAAATGAGGTAGTTGGATGATTTTGTAACTAAACGCCACCACCAACCAACAGGATTGAGTTGACATTTATAGAGAACTCTACCAACAATAGCAGAATATACACTTTTTTCAAGCATCTATGGAAGATTTGCAAAGATAGATTATATCTTGAGTCACAAAGCAAATCTGACCAAATTCAAGAGGATTGAAATAATACAATGTGTGTTTTCTGACCATAAATGAATCTAACTAGAAACCAATAAAAGACAACAAAATTTCCAGATTTTTGGGAATTACACAGCATTCTTAAATTTATGGTTCAAGAAAAAGTCTTGACAGAAATTAAACCTATTACACAGAAATGAATGAAAATACAACACATCAAAATTTGTGGGATGCAGTTAAAGAAGTATTGATAAGGATATTTATAGCACTAAATGATTACATTAGAAAAGAGGATTGTTCTTAAATCAGTAGCGTAAAGCTACAGCTCAACCAAAATAAAATAATCTGAATAGTCCTATAACCATTAAAGAAATTGAATTTACAATTTTAAAGCCAAGCAAACTGATCTTAAAGCAAGCAGAAAGAAGGAAATAATAACAGAAATCAGTGTAACTGAAAACAAGCAAACAAAATCAATGAAGCCAAAAGCCAGTTCTTTGAAAATTTCAATAAAATTGATACACTTCAAACAAGACTATCAAAAGATAAAAAGAAGATGCAATCATCAGTATCCGGAATGTAATGAGATGTCACTACTGATCCTAAGGCCGTTAAAAGATAACAAGGGAGGGAATATTACAAACAAATTTATGCTCATAAATTTGACAACTTAGGAGAAATGGATTAATTTCCCCAAAACCACAAACTACCAACCAAACTCAGCCAACATGAAATAAGTAATAAAATAGTCCTATAACCACTAAAAATATTTGATTAATGATTGGAAAGCTCATGAAAAAGAAATATCCAGGCCCAGATGGCTACACTGAAGGTTTCCACTGAACATTTAAAGAACATCAATTTTACATGCTTTTAAAAACTAGAAGAGGAGGGAAGATGTTCCAACTCATTCTGTGAAGTCAGTATTAGCCTGACACCAAACTAGATTGCCCCCCAAAATTAAAATACACAAAAATGCATGTAAATATATGTAAAATATGTAAATCTATAAAAAATACTTATAAAATATATGAAAAAATTTATAAACCTAACAAAATATATAAGGATATGTGAAATGAAAATTATAAAATACTGACAAAGGAAAAGAAAAGCCCTAAAAACTGGAGAGACATACCATATTCATGGATTTGAAGACACAGCATAGTAAAAACGTCAATTCTCTCCTAGTTGATATATAAATTTAATGTAATTCCTATGAAAAATCGAGCATGATTTTTTATAAATATGAATGAGATGATTCTAAAATTTAGAAATGGAGAATTTTTTAAAATGGAAAAATAAAGGAACTATAAAAAATTTTGAAAAAGTGTAAGAGAAATCACTACTTGATTTCAAGACATAGCCACAGTATTCAAGACTGTGTTATTGTCAGAGGCATAGACTTATAGATGGATAGCACAGAAATAACTCTGCACAAGTACACCAACTGACGTTTGACAATGCAAAAATAATTCAATACAGGTAGAATTGTCTTTTTAACCTGTGCTGGAACAGTTGGATATCCACAGGCAAAAAATGAATTGTGACTTAAATCTTATACTTTATGCAAAAATTAACACAAAATTACTTATAGATTAAAATGTAAAATATAAAACTATAAAGCTTTTCTACAGGAGAAACTCTAGGGACCTAGGACTAGGAAATGAGTTCTCAGATATGACATCAAAAGCGTGATCCATAAAATAAAAAACTGATTTATTGGGCCCCATCAAAATGTAAAACTTTTGTTTATGAAAGACACTGTTAGGGGAATTAAAATACAGACTGGGAGAAATTCTTTGCAAATTACAAATCCAGCAAATGACCTGTCTCTGAAGTACATAAAGAACTCTCAAAACTCTATGTTAAAAGCAAATAAAAATAAAACCTAACAATCCAATTTAAACCATGGGCAAAAGAATAGTCATTTCAACAGACAGGATATACAAATAGCAAATAAGCACAAGGAAAGTTGATCAACATTGACTTAGTGACTATTAGGGAAATGCATATTAAAACCACAATATATCACTACATATTTGGATGGCTAAAATTTAAAAATGGTAACAATACCAAATGCTGACAAAGATGTTTGGGAACTGGATCTCTCATACATTGTTGGTAGGAATATAAAATGGTACAGTCACTCTAAAAAATATTTTGGCAATATCTTAAAAACTAAACATACAGTTACCGTACAACCCAGCAATTATACTCCTGGACATCCCAGAGAAATGAAAGCTCAGGTCCACACAGAAACTTGTACACAGTTATTAATAAAAGCTTTCTTTGTAATATCCCAGAAGTCCCAACTAAAATGTCTTAGCAATAGGTGAATGGTTAAACTATGGTACCTCCATATCACGCAGTGCTGATGAGCAGTAAAAAACAACTTGGACATCTCTCAAAGGCATTTTGCTGAGTGACAAAAGAGAATCTCAAAAGGTCACATACTGTATGATCTCACTTTATAATATTTTCAAAATAATAAAACTGTAGAGATGAACAACATATTGATGGTTACCAGGTATTAGGGAAAGAAGACTTTAGGGGAGTAGGTATGACAATAGAGGGGTAGCAGGGAGGAGATCATTGCAGTTAAAGAATGGTTCTGCCTTTTGATTATGGTGGTGTTTAAATAAATATGTGTACATATGATAAAATGGCATAGAACTATACACACACATCATATTAATATCAATTTCCTGGTTTTGATATTGGATTATAGGTAGATAAGATGTGACCATTGGGAGGATTGGATAAAGGGCACTGAGAAACTAATATCTTTGCAACTTCCTGTGAATCCATAATTATTTCAAAATACAGAGTTTCTTAAAAACTGTCTTTGGTGTATTCTAGAGTAGTGGCTCTCAGACTTTTGGTCTTTACACTCTTAATTGAGGACTCCAATAAACTTATGTAGGCTACATAAAAATATTTGTTTAAAAATAACAATAAACCCACTGTATATTAACATAAATAACAGTCTTTATGAAAAAAAGCCAGATTTTCTTTTAAAATTTTATTGAGAATAGTATTATTTTAAATGTACATGAATCTATACATAATAGCTTTTGGCTGCATTATCATGTATATTGAATTATAGCATGTATAGTGAAATATAGCTAGTAAGAGCACAGTAGGAATACTGAGAACAGAGTGGATTAATCTCTGAAAAAGCATATATTTATACACTAAATCTCTACTACCTTGAAATTTTAGGAAAGAAGAATACACAACTACAGATTCTGTTAGTCATCAGGGCAATAACATAGATTTTGTAGCCTCTGGAAAATTCATGAGTATGAGGATGAGAAAGTCGAATAACATCTTAGTATAAACATACTTCTGACCTCAGTGAATTCCCAAAAGAATCATGGAGACCCCAAGGTTCTGTGGACCACATTCTGAGAGTTACTGTTCTTGTTTTGAGACGGAGTCTTATCACCCAGGCTGGAGTGCAGTTGCGCAATCTCAGCTCACTGCAGCCTCTGTCTCCCGGGTTCAAGCAATCCTCCCAGGTAGCTGGGACTACAGGCGCCCACCACCATACCCAGCTAATTTTTGTACTTTTAGTAAGAGACAAGAGTTTCACCATGTTGGCCAGGCTGGTCTCGAACTCCTGACCTCAAGTGATCCACTCACCTCAGCCTCCCAAAGTGCTGGGATTACAGGCGTGAGCCACCGTGCCTGCCCTGAGACTTACTGTTCTAATGTTCATTGTGAACGTTAGAAATTGGTGTGCTTTTTATTTATTTTGTTAGTTTGCCCATTCTAGTTAAATTCTGAAGTGTTTTTATACCAGGTTAAAAAAAAGAACCTTCTAGTAGTTTAGTAAGGTTGTTTGTATGAAGGAAGAAAAACTTTATAGAGTTGGTTGGGGAAGTATTTGAAAATATGCATGTTGACTTTAGAAGAAAATTGGGCCAGATCAGTTTTGATTTGGACCTCAAAATCAAAAAGACCCTTTCTAAAGACTTGCTCTTTGAGGGTTCCTTTTCACTTTTACATTTCTGTTCAATTGTATACTAAAAAAGAATTAATAATGTGTTGGGCATTTAGGGCTGTGGTTGCCTATTGTGGATGTGTATTAGGACCTAGAAATGCATTGTAAGAAGACAGAGCACAGTTGTGGAGACAAATCTCAGCAATATATGTTGGCTGCTTGTTTTATAAGCTTGGTTGTTTTTGTTATTAGGGAAAATTTACACATTTTTAAAAATGTATTTTTAGAATGGAAGAGCAATCTATTTGCTCCTACTTGGAAAAGATTCTTTCTAAAAATATGGAACTGATGGAAAAGAAACTTATGGATTACATTGATCAGCGAATACATGAACTCCAGGAGCACATTGATGATAAGATTGCTTTGTTACTGGATTTGCTGCAAAATCCTAACTCCCCGCCCACTGGGATACCTCTAAGACATTATGACTCTGGAGAAAGACTTTCAAATGGAGAAAGATAAGCTCTCAACATAAACAGTGTACTGCAGATATTTATTACATATTTATTACAAAGCCAAAACCCAAAAATATTTATAAAAAGCAAGTATTTAATGTCCTTTGAGGGATCATTGTCTTACACAAAGTGACCTCAGTTTTCGTTTTTACTACACTTGTTATTTTAAATCCAGTACTGTACACTGAGTTAATATGATACAGTCAAATTATTTTTGCTCACGATATTTTTCAGTCTTACAGAAATGTATGTATATTTGTGTTAAGAGTTTAAAATGCTTGAGGATTTCTAATACAGTTCATTAGTTTGTATTGTATATGTGTTTAAGTATAATTTTTATTTATACAAAGATCTTATAGTCTTAGAAGTATGAAAAATAATGCTTAAGAGTATTTGATTTTTTTCTTTTTCTAATTATCTTGGAAAATTGGATACTTAAGACTTGGAGCCTTTACTTCAGATTACCAGTTTACATTTTGTATTGCTTGTGTGAGATAATGAATAAGATGTGATATTTGGCATGTGTAAACTTAGTTCACTCTGGGGTTGTTAATATTATTTGTTTCATTACAGAGTAGCTGTAGGTAGGAAAGTAAACATCAGAACTAGCCTAGTCCTTGTTACGATTAGTACTTTGGATTTGATTTTTCCTGTAAAACAGATGCAGTCATCTTGTTTGACCTCAGTAACCCCAGACAGTTTAAGAAAACCTCTCCTTTTGAGCTGATACAGGTTTTTTCCCCAGAATCCTTTTCTGGCATGTTTATTGTATGAAATAATGAGGCTCTCCATGGAAGGATGAACACATATGAGTCAAGGGATTGCAATTCTCTCTGATAGACTTAGTTTTCAGACCTTATAACTATTGTATATGCATTGAAGGGTGATATATTTGCATATAAAAATAAATGCACCTGCTCTGGGAACTACTTGTCTTTAGTTAGTAGAACTGTTTTATTTCAACTAATCTTTACTTCAAATGTCTTATTTTTTAGAAAAAGGGTATCTCATACTCATTTAATATTTTGGCAAATTTCTTCTTTAAAAATGTTACCTGATGTAATTCCTGCGTGACATAGCTGAATTTTTACCCTGCCCTAACTCTGCTTATCTTTAAGAAACAGGATGCCTGTGATGAAAAGTTCCTTTTGTAACCAGTCCAGAGGAGACTGGTTACAACCACGATAGCTGACCAAACGACTTTAAAAAGACCTCAGCCTTTTTATAATCTTATTTCTGTGCTAAATAACGCTCCTGCTAGCTCCATGACAGTTGACAATCGCCATGACAGTGACCAGAAGAAGCCATGAAAGGACAAAAAGGAAGGCAGCACTCTGGTTTTAGGAAGTTCACTGCCCATTTCTGAAAAATCCAGGAATATTCCTCCCTTTGCTTGAATGTGAAACACCTTTATTAGAAAAATTATATTTTAACCCCCTCACTCCTCATTAGTTGAAAAGTTGATTTGTGAGCCATACTCCTGCTTCTCAATTCAGTGGCGATTGAATAAAACCTGCAGTGTTTGTCACTCTTTTTTGGTTTCACGTATTGGCTTTGTGACACCCATCAGGGAAAGACCCCATCTTTTGGAGGACCAGCTTTGTTGGTAACAAAAGGAGGGCTAATTTATATGTTGTTTGTTCATTTTTATCATACTACAAAGGTGACACAGTATATGGAACAAACTGTGACCATAGTAATGTCAGGATTTGCATATCCCTTTTGATAGTCCTTGAAGGGCCATTATTTATGGGACATTCATAACATATATTAGATAGTATCTCTGTTCTCATTGAGAAGTCTGTCTCAAGTTTGAATCTGTTAGTTAATAGTCCTGCATTAGTTAATAGTCCTGCATCTTCTGGTAGTTGTGGTCTGTTCATTGATTCACAAAGTGCCTCACTATGATGTGGTAGCAATTACTGTATTCCAAGCAAGGATGATGAATGAAGTTAGGGGCAGACAGTACAAAGGCCAATTCTGAGTTCCTTCTGCATGTATCTGATGATGAAGTAATTGGGAAGCAAGATCACAATCATCTTAAAGAGTAATATTTGGCAATTTGAAATTTGATAAATATGTGATTTCTCTACATACTCTGCATTTGTTATTTGGAACAGTGCCAGCATAACAGAGGAACTGTTATTGGAATTAGCTTAGTGTTTATGTTAAAAATCAAAGACAAAATATCCCTGAAAGTATTTGTTTTTATTTATTTATTTATTTATTTATTTTGAGACAGAGTTTCACTCTGTAGCCCAGGCTGGAGTGCAGTGGTGCGATCTCATCTCACTTCAACCTCTGCCTCCTGGTTCAAGCAATTCTCCTACCTCAGCCTCCCGAGTAGCTGGGATTACAGGTGCAGACCACCATGCCTGGCTAATTTTTGTATTTTTAGTACAAAATACTGTTGGTCAATCTGGTCTTGAACTCCTGACCTCAAATGATCCACCCACCTCAGCCCCCAAAAGTGCTGGGGTTACAGGCGTGAACCACTGCGCCCGGCCCCTAAAAGTATTTCTATTTCAAGTGGCTAATTTAGTTTGGCTTCCCAGTGTGAGGTAGAAAACTTGTGAAATTAAAGTATCATAGTCTGGCTGGACATGGTGGCTCACGCTTATAATCTTAACACTTTGGGAGGCTGAGGCAGAAAGATCACTTGAGGCAGGGAGTTTGAGTCCAGCCTGGGTAAACATAGTGAGGCCCTGTCTTTACAGAAAAAAAGGTGTTAGAGTTAAGGAGCCATGCAGGGTCATTTATTAAGGGTCAGTATTTTTCATAGTTGTCAAAACATTTGATTAACAGGGAAATTAGTGTCCTTCTTTGAAACTGGAAAACAGTATTTTACTAGGATGTTTGCATATTGACATTCACAAATGTTCAACTGTTTTCAAACTTAAAGATGCATTATGCAAGTCTTTGTAGTGAATGTGTTTATAGAAGTTAATACGTTTAATTTCTTGATTTAAGACTTAAAAAGCCATTTTAGGTTCATAGCAAAATTGAGAGAAGTTACAGAGATTTCTCATATATTCCCTATCCTTACGTGTGCATAACCTCCTCTACTATCAACATCCTCACTAGAGTGGTACATTTGTTACAATTGACGAGCCTACATTGACATCTTTATCACCTGAAGTCTATAGTTCATATTAGGATTCACTCTTGGTGTTGTACAGTCTATGGATTTGGACAAATGTATAATGACATGTATCCACCATTATCGTATCATATAGACTAGTTTCACTGCCCTAAAAATCCTCTATGCTCCACTTATTCATCCCTCTGGCAGCCACTGCTCTCTTTACCATCTCCATGTTTTTCCTGTTTCCTGAATTCCATATAGTTGGAATCATGGTCTGTAGCCTTTTCAGTTTGGCCTTTTACTTAGCAATATGCATTTAAGTTTCCTCCATGTCTTCTCATGGCTTTTTTCTTTTTGTTTTGTTTTGACATAAAAATAGTTGGTTATAAACCAGAATTATAATTCTTCGTAGTCCATATAAATAATGATATAAAGCTAGGCATCACAGGACTTCTTGTATACCAGGATCATTTTCACCTAAGATAAATTATTAAACAGTTTCTATTTAATTGTGACTTATCCTTAAAAACAAAACATCTATCAAGCTCAGTACATTCAGTATCAGATATTAAGTAATGTGGAGAAAATGACTCAATGTAGCCAACATACAGTTATCACTGAGTGCATTTGCCATTCCCTCTGTCCCATGCAATGTCAGAATTCAGATTCCTGACCTTTAAAACTAAGGATTCTTCTGTGTTAAGATAGTATTTCTCCATTTAAAAAAACCCCATGTCTCATTTGCTGGCTCTGGGTCTCTTAGGCCTCTTGAACCTGGTACCATCTCCACAGGAGTCTATAGGGGTTTGGCACAACAGACCACCATCATATATGCAGTCCGTCATTGACTGGAGCATCCTTATGTGGTGCATAACTAGTTTTGAAACAATACCATGGGAAGACTTTGAAAGCTGCTTCTCCTGGTGCCAGGGAATCACTGAAGAACTACGCATGATGTTTAAGAAAGAGAGTGACATCATCGGCTCTGGGCCTTGGAAAGAAAACTGGAGTGGAAGTCTCCTCATCATCCTGATACAGGTGAAATCCCAAATGGGGGCTTAGCTTGGGAGGGTTCTTGGCTTCAGCTGAAAGAATTCACACACTGGGGCCTGTTGTGGGGTGGGGGTAGGGGGGAGGGATAGCATTAGGAGATATACCTAATGCTAAATGATGAGTTAATGGGTGCAGCACACCAACATGGCACATGTATACATATGTAAATAACCTGCATGTTGTGCACATGTACCCTAAAACTTAAAGTATAATAAAAAATTCAAGAGTGAGCCAACAGTGAAAGACAGCACATTTATGGGAGCAACAATGTACAGTGAAATGGCTGCTCCATAGACCCAGCAGAGCTATCCCATAGGCAGAGTGGCACTTGTGGACTGCTGGCTAGCTATATTAATGCCTGTGCCTAATTATATGCTAAGTAAGGGGTGAGTTATTCTTGAACTTTCTGAAGAAGTGGCAGCCGACTCTGGTGGATGAAGTCAGTCCAGGGCAGGGCGTGGTTGGCCTGAGCTTGAGCATCCCTCTCTGCTCCCAGGCTGGGAATCAGGAAGCTCTGGCTCTTGCAGCCCATGTGTAAGTCCTAGGTATTTTATTTGTAGCTATTATAAATCAGATTACTTTCTTGATTTCTTTTTCAGACTGTTTACTATTGGCATATAGAAATGCCACTGATTTTTGTATGTTGATATTGTATCCTAAAACTTAACTTGTTTTTCAGTTCTAGTAGTTTTTTGGTGATGTCTTTAGGTTTTTTCCAAATATAAGATCGTATCATCTGCAAACAAGGATAATTTCATTTCTTCCTCTCCAACTTGAATGCCCTTTATTTCTTTCTCTTGTCTGATTACTCTAGTTAGGACTTATAGTACCTATTCTAGTACCTCTTCAATAGTACTTCTATTCAATTATTGTTGAATAACAGTAGTGATAGTAGGCACCCTTGTTGTGTTCCAGATCTTAGAGGAAAGGCATTCTGTTTTTCCCCATTCAGTATGATAACTAGCTGTGGGTCTGTCATATTTGGCTTTTATTGTGTCAAAGTATTTTCCTTCTATACTCAGTTTTTTAAAGTGTTTTTATCATGAAGGAATGTTGAATTTTATCAAATGCCTTTTCAGCATCAATTGAAATGATTATATGATTTTTGTCTTTTATTTTGTTGATATGATGTATCACATTGATTGATTTAAGTGCATGGAGCCATCCTTGTATTCGTAGGATAAATCCCACTTGGTCATGATGAATAATCTTTTTAATGTGTTGTTGAAGTCAGTTTGCTAGTATTTCGTTGAGAATTTTTGCATCAATATTCATCAGTGATACTGGCCTGTAGTTTGTTCGTTCTCTTTCTCTTTCTTTCCTTCTTTCCTTCTTTCTTTCTTTCTTTCTTTCTTTCTTTCTTTCTTTCTTTCTTTCTTTCTTTCTTTCTTTCTTTCTTTCTTTCTGTGTCTTTGTCTGGTTTTGGTATCAGGGTATTACTGGCCTCATAGAAAGAGTTTGGAAGTATTCCTTCCTCCTTTATCTTTTGAAATAGTTCAAGTAAGATTGGTATTAGTTCTTCTTTAAATGTTTGGTAAAATTCAGCAGTGAAACCATCATATCCTGGAATTTGTTTTGCTAGGAGACCTTTTAGTACAGCTTTGATCTCATTACTTTTACCAGTCTGTTCAGACATTTTCAGGTTTTGGATTTCTTTCAAGTTTAATCTTGGTAGGTTGTATGTGTCTAGGAATTTATCCATTTCTTCTAGGCTTTCCAATTTATTGGTGTATATTTGCTCATAGTAGCCCCTAATAATCCTTTGAATTTTTGCAGTGCCAGTTGTAATATTTCCTTTTTCATATCTGATTTTATTTATCTGTTCTTCTCTCTTTTTTTCGGTTAATCTGGCTAAAGTTTTGGTGATTTTGTTTATCTTTTAAAAAAACCAGCTTTTCATTTTGTTGATTTTTTTTGTTTTCCTCATTTCAAGTTCATTAATTTTTGCTCTTATCTTAATTATTTCTTTTCTTCTAATTTTGGGTTTGGTTTACTCTTGCTTGTCTAATTCTTTAACTTGCATGGTTAGGTTGTCTATTTGAAGATTTTCTACTTTTTTGATGTAGGCTTAAAGATATACGCTTTCCTCTTAGTACTGCTTTTACTATATTCCATAGGCTTTAATATGTTGTGTTTTCATTATTTGTTTGAAGAAAATTTTCACTTTCCTTCTTAATCTCTTCATTGACCCACTGGTCATTTAGAAGCATATTGTTTAATTTCCATGTGTTTGTATAGTTTCCCAAAATCCCCTTGTTATTGACTTATAGTTTTATTCCATTGTGGTCAGAGAAGTTACTTTGATATTATTTCAAGTGTTTTGAATTTTTAAAGACTTGCTTTGTAGTATAACATAAGGTCTATCCTTGAGAATTATCTATGTGTTGAGGAGAAGAATGTATATTCTGAAGCCATTGGATGAAATGTTTTGTAAATATCTATTATGTCCATTTGGTCTATAGTGCAGATTAAGTCCAATGTTCATTGATTTTTTTTTTTTTTTTTTGGTCTGGGTGATCTGTTCAGTGCTGAAACTGGGATGTTGAAGTCTCTAGCTATTATTCCGTATTGGGGTCTATCTCTCTCTTTACCTCTAATAATATTTGCTTTGTATATCTCAGTGGTCCAGTGTGAGGTGCATTTACAGTAGTTATAGCCTCTTGCTGAATGTATCCATGTATAATTATATAATGACCTTCTTTGTCTCTTTTTATAGTTTTTGTCTTGAAATATATTTTTTGCATCAATCTATTCTGCTCTTTTTTGTTTCCATTTGCATGGAATATCTTTTTCCATCCCTGTATTTTCAGTCTATGTTGTGTCTTTATAGGTGAAGTGTGTTTCATGTAGGCAACAGATCATTTGGTCTTGTTTTTGTTTTTGTTTTTGTTTTTTAATCCATCAGCCACTCTATGTTTTTTGATTGGAGAGTTTAGTCCATTTACATTCAATGTTATTATTGGTAAGTAAGGACTTACTCCTGCCATTTTATTTGTTTTTGGGTTGTTTTGTGGTCTTCTCTTCCTTCTTTTCTTACTAATGTCTTCATTTTAATGAAGGTGATTTTCTCTGGTGGCACATTTTAATTCTTTGCTTTTTATTTTTTGTGTATCTGTTGTGTGTTCTTTGATTTGAGGTTACCATGAGGCTTTCAAATAATATAATATCTCGTTATTTTAAACTGATGTCAACACTGATTGCATAAACAAAGAGAAAACTAATAAAACTCTACACTTTAACATTGTTCCCTGCTTTTAAATTTTTTGTTGTTTCTATTTTTATCTTATTGTACTGCCTGTCTTGAAAACTTGTTGTAATTATTATTTTTGATCAGTTCATATTTTAGCATTTCTACTCTAGATATGAGTAGTTTACATGTCACAGTTATGGTGTTGTAATATTCTGTGTTTTTCTATGTATTCACTATTGCCAGTGAGTTTTGTACTTTCACATGACTTTTTATTGCTCATTAATGTTCTTTTCTTTCAGACTGAAGAACTCCCTTTAGCATTTTTTATAGGACAGGTTTCATGTTTAAATTTCTCAGCTTTTTTTCTTGTCTGGGAAAGTCTTTCTCCTTCATGTTTGAAGGATATTTTTGCTTGATATACTATTCTGGAATAAAAGTTTTTTTTTCCTTCAGCATTTTAAATACACTGTCTCCTGGCCTGTAATATTTTTACGGAGAAGCTTGCTGCCAGATATACTGGAAGTCCATTGTATGTTGTTTCTTTTCTTTTGCTGCTTTTTAGGATCCTTTCTTTATCCTTGACCTTTGGGAATTTGATTATTAAATTCCTTGAGGTAGTCTTATTTGTGTTAAATATGCTTGATGTTCTGTAACCTTCTTCTACTTGAATATTGATATCTTTCTCTAGGTTTGGGAAGTTCTTTTTTATTATCCCTTTGAATACACTTTCTATCCCTGTCTGTCTACCTGTTCTTTAAGGCCAATAACTCTTGGATTTTCCCTTTTGAAGCTATTTTCAAGATTTTGTAGGCATGCTTCATTCTTTTTGCTTTTGTCTCCTCTCTCTTTGTATTTTCAAACAGCCTGTCTTTAAGCTCACTAATTCTTTATTTTGCTTGATCAATTCTGTTGTTAAGAAACTCTGATGCATTCTTCAGTATGTCAATTGAATTTTTCAACTACAGAATTTCTTCTTGATTCTTTAAAATAATTTCAATCTCTTTGCTAAATTTATCAATAGGATTCTGAATTCCTTCTCTGTGTTATATTGAATTTCATTGTATTTCCTCAAAACAGCTATTTTGGATTCTCTGTCTGAAAGTCACATATCTCTGTCTCTCCATGATTGATTCCTTGTGCCTTACTTAGTTCATTTGCTGAGGTCATGTTTTCCTGGATGGTCTTGATGCTTGTGGATGTTTGTTTGTGTCTGAGTATTCAAGAGTTAGGTATTGATTGTAGTCTTCACAGTCTGGTCTTGTTTGTGTCTGTCCTTCTTGGGAAGGCTTTCTAGATGCTTGAAGGCAAGTGCCTATTGTGATCTAAGTTTTTGGTCACTGCAACCGTATCTGCATTAGGAGATACCCCAAGCGCATTAAGGCTATGGCTCTTGCAGACTCATAGAGGTACTGCCTTGGTGGTCTTTGACAAGATCCAGAAGAATGAAATGGATTACCAGGTAGAGACTCTTAGTCTCTTTCCCTACTTCCACCCAAACAAATGGAGTCTCTCTCTCTCTCTGCTGAGCTGTCTGGAGTTGGGATGAAGTGACACAAGCACCCCCGTGGCCACCAGCAGTGGGACTGTGCTCAGTAAGAACTAAAGCCAGCATAGTATTGGATCTCACCCAAGGCCCACAGTAGCCACTGTCTGGCTACTGTCCATGTTTGCTCAAGACCCTAGGGCTCTACCAACAGGTGGTAAAGCCAGCCAGGATGGCATCCTTCTTTTCAGAGCAACAACTTCCCCCAAGTCCTCAGCAGGTTCAGAGATGCTGTCTGGGAGCCAGGGCCTAGAGTCAGAAATCTTAGGAATTTACTTGGTATTCTATTCTACTGCAGCTGATCTGGCACCCAAGCCACGAAACAAATATCTCTTCTTTTCATAAGCAGAGGAATCTCTCTCTATGGCCACCACTGCCCTAGGCCAATGGTAGTCAGTCAGACTACTGCCAATGTTCATTCAAGGCCCAAGGGCTCCTAAGTCATCTTGTAGTGACTGCTGCCAGGCCTGGGACTCTCTCTACAGAGCAGCAGGCTCCCCTCTGGCCCAGGGCAGGCACAGAAATGCCATCCAAGAGGCAAGCCCTAGAACTGGGGACCCCAAGATCCCACTTAATGCTCTACCCCACTGTGGCCGAGCTCGTACCTAAGCTGCAAGACAAAGTCCCCCTACTCTTCTTTCTCCTTTTCTCAAGCAGAAGGAGTCCATCCCCATAGCCACCACAGCTGGGAATGTGCTGGGTCACACCTGAAGCCAGCATGTCTCTTGAGTTTCACCCAAGGCCCATGGCAAGTACTGCTTTGGTACCACGGGCTCTTTAGTCAGTAAGTGATGAATTTTTCTGGGACTAGGTCCTATCCGTCAAAGCAGCAGACTCCTTTGTGGCCCAGATTGTGTCTAGAAATGTCATCTTGGAGTTAGGGCCTGGATTGGGTGCCTCAGGACTCTCCCTGGTACCTTATCCTATTGTGGCTGAGCTAGTATCCAACATGCAAGACAAAGTCCTCTACACTCTTCCCTCTCCTCTACTCAAACAAAGGGAAGGAGTCTCTCCCAGAGCTGTGAGCTGTGCTGCCTGGGGTTGGGGGAGGCATGGTGCAAGCAGATCACCCCAGCTGGTATCTTACTGGGTCACATGCCCCCCAAGACCACTGGCTGCAAACCCAGCACAGCACCAGGACTTGCCCAGGAATTGCAGTCATTGTGGTTTAGACACCCATTCAAGTTTATTTAGGACCCAGAGCACTTTAGCCTGCAGTGTCCAGGCTTGCCAGAACCCAGGTTCCAATCACTGGGAGGGGTGATTCCCCTCTGGCTGTGGCTGGTCTAAATGCTCCCTCCATGGGCACCGGCTGAACTCTGCCTGGTGTTGCTTCCTGCTGTGACAGAGAAGCACTGAGTTTCAATGCAAAGTCCCACAATCACTGCACTCTCCCTCCCACCAAGTGCACAGATTTTTTTTCTCCATACCATGTAGCCACTGCAAGGGGATAGGGGAGGGAGTGGTGTTGGCAATTCAAGACTGTCTTTCCCATCCTCTTCGGTGCCTCTTTCAGTGATATGAAGTTAAAAACAGGTACTGTGATTACTCACCTGATTTTTGGTTTTTCTTAAGGTGCTTTTTTGGTGTAGCTATTTACTCAGTTTAGTGTTCCTGTTGGGAGGATGATTGATGGAGGCTTCTATTCTGCCATCTTTCTCTGTTTCCTCCTCCTGGATCAGTGTCCTTTAAAAACTAAAATCCACGCAGTGTTCTTTGTATGTATTTACCATAAGATTCATAATAAATGGAGATTTTTGTTGTTTCTTACATTTATTAATATAGTATAATGAACATGCTTGTACATACATCTTTGGACACTATTATAGTTGTTTCCTAAAGCTAAGTGTTTAGAAATAAAATTATCTGGTTAAATTCCCTGTGCTTTTTATATTTTATATGTATTGCAGTATCACCATGAATGAACCTGATACTAACTTAATCTCCCACCAATAATATTTAAGAGTAATTTTTTTCCACACTGGGGCCAGCAGAGGAATCAAAAAGTTCTAAAATCTCTGGCAGGGACCTTTTGAATGACAGTATTTTGACTAAAAAAAAAAATGTATTTTACGTTCAGCCTCCATCAACATCAACTCTGCCAATCAGGAGACAATTAAAAAGGCCAGAGGCATGAGCCTCCTTACAAGCTCCATCTTCGCCAGGGGCTGCGCAGCCTTAAGGACCGACAGCTTTTATAGGCTCTCTGTTTCATCAGCTGTCTGGACACCTCCAGGGAAACGTCAGTTCCATCCATACAAGAGGTAGATTTGTGTGAGAGCAGCTGTGTGACTGTTTTTTGTTGTTGTTGTTTTTTAATTTTATTATTATTATACTTTAAGTTTTAGGGTACATGTGCACAATGTGCAGGTTTGTTACATATGTATACATGTGCCATGTTGGTGTGCTGCACGCATTAACTCGTCATTTGGCATTAGGTATATCTCCTAATGCTATCCCTCCCCTCTCACCCCACCCCACAACAGTCCCCGGTGTGTGATGTTCCCCTTCCTGTGTCCATATATTCTCATTGTTCAATTCCCACCTATGAGTGAGAACATGTGGTGTTTGGTTTTTTGTCCTTGCGATAGTTTGCTGAGAATGACAGTTGCCAGTTTCATCCATGTCTCTACAAAGGACATGAACTCATCCTTTTTTATGACTGCATAGTATTCCATGGTGTATATGTGCCATATTTTCTTAATCCAGTCTATGGTTGTTGGACATTTAGGTTGGTTCCAAGTCCTTGCTATTGTGAATAGTGCCACAATAAACATACGTGTGCATGTGTCTTTATACCAGCATGATTTATAATCCTTCGAGTATATACCCAGTAATGGGATGGCTGGGTCAAATGATATTTCTAGTTCTAGATCCCTGAGGAATCGCCACACTGTCTTCCACAATGGTTGAACTAGTTTACAGTCCCACCAACAGTGTAAAAGTGTTCCTATTTCTCCACATCCTCTCCAGCACCTGTTGTTTCCTGACTTTTTAATGATTGCCATTCTAACTGGTGTGAGATGGTATCTCATTGTGGTTTTGATTTGCATTTCTCTGATGGCCAGTAACGATGAGCATTTTTTCATGTGTTTTTTAGCTGCATAAATATCTTCTTTTGAGAAGTGTCTGTTCATATCCTTTGCCTACTTTTTGATGGGGTTGTTTGTTTTTTTCTTGTAAATTTGTTTGAGTTCATTATAGATTCCGGATATTAGCCCTTTGTCAGATGAGTAGGTTGCAAAAATTTTCTCCCATTCTGTAGGTTGCCTGTTCACTCTGATGGTGGTTTCTTTTGCTGTGCAGAAGCTGTTTAGTTTAATTAGATCCCATTTGTCAATTTTGGCTTTTGTTGCCATTGCTTTTGGTGTTTTAGACATGAAGTCCTTGCCCATGCCTGTGTCCTAAATGGTATTGCCTAGGTTTTTTTCTAGGGTTTTTATGATTTTAGGTCTAACATTTAAGTCTTTAATCCATCTTGAATTAATTTTTGTATAAGGTATAAGGAAGGGATCCAGTTTCAGCTTTCTACATATGGCTAGCCAGTTTTCCCAGCACCATTTATTAAATAGGGAATCCTTTCCCCATTTCTTCTTTTTGTCAGGTTTGTCAAACATCAGATAGTTGTAGATATGCGGCATTATTTCTGAGGGCTCTGTTCTGTTCCATTGGTCTATATCTCTGTTTTGGTACCAGTACCATGCTGTTTTGGTTACTGTAGCCTTGTAGTATAGTTTGAAGTCAGGTAGCATGATGCCTCCAGCTTTGTTCTTTTGGCTTAGGATTGACTTGGAAATGCGGGCTCTTTTTTGGTTCCATATGAACTTTAAAGTAGTTTTTTCCAATTCTGTAAAGAAAGTCATTGGTAGCTTGATGGGGATGGCATTGAATCTATAAATTACCTTGGGCAGTATGGCCATTTTCACGATATTGATTCTTCCTACCCATGAGCATGGAATGTTCTTCCATTTGTTTGTATCCTCTTTTATTTAAAGCACTCCTCAGCAAATGTAAAAGAACAGAAATTATAACAAACTGTCTCTCAGACCACAGTGCAATCAAACTAGAACTCAGGATTAAGAAACTCACTCAAAACCGCTCAACTACATGGAAACTGAACAACCTGCTCCTGAATGACTACTGGGTACATAACGAAATGAAGGCAGAAATAAAGAGGTTCTTTGAAACCAACCAGAACAAAGACGCAACATACAAGAATCTCTGGGACACATTCAAAGCAGTGTGTAGAGGGAAATTTATAGCACTAAATGCCCACAAGAGAAAGCAGGAAAGATCTAAAATTGACACCCTAACATCACAATTAAAAGAACTAGAAAAGCAAGAGCAAACACATTCAAAGCTAGCAGAAGGAGAGAAATAACTAAGATCAGAGCAGAACTGAAGGAAATAGAGACAGAAAAAACCCTTCAAAAAATTAATGAATCCAGGAGCTGTTTTTTTGAAAAGATCAACAAAATTGATAGACCGCTAGCAAGACTAATAAAGAAGAAAAGAGAGAAGAATCAAATAGACTCAATAAAAAATGATAAAGGAGTTATCACCACTGATCCCACAGAAATACAAACTACCATCAGAGAATACTATAAACACCTCTACGCAAATAAACTAGAAAATCTAGAAGAAATGGATAAATTCCTCGACACATACACTCTCCCAAGACTAAACCAGGAAGAAGTTGAATCTCTGAATAGACCAATAACAGGCTCTGAAATTGAGGCTATAATCAATAGCTTACCAACCAAAAAAAGTCCAGGACCAGATGGATTCACAGCTGAATTCTACCAGAGGTACAAGGAGGAGCTGGTACCATTCCTTCTGAAACTGTTCCAATCAATAGAAAAAGAGGGAATCCTCCCTAACTCATTTTATGAGGCCTGCATCATTCTGATACCAAAGCCTGGCAGAGACACAACCAAAAAAGAGAATTTTAGACCAATATCCTTGATGAACATTGATGCAAAAATCTTCAATAAAATACTGGCACACTGAATCCAGCAGCACATCAAATAGCTTATCCACCATGATCAAGTGGGCTTCATCCCTAGGATGCAAGGCTGGTTCAACATACGCAAATCAATAAATGTAATCCAGCATATAAACAGAACCAAAGACAAAAACCACACGATTATCTCCATAGATGCAGAAAAGGCCTTTGACAAAATTCAACAACACTTCATGCTAAAAACTCAATAAATTAGGTATTGATGGGACGTATCTCAAAATAATAAGAGCTATCTATGACAAACCCACAGCCAATATCATACTGAATGTGCAAAAACTGGAAGCATTCCCTTTGAAAACTGGCACAAGAGAGGGATGCCCTCTCTCACCACTCCTATTCAACATAGTGTTGGAAGTTCTGGCCAGGGCAATCAGGCAGGAGAAGTAAATAAAGGGTATTCAGTTAGGAAAAGGGGAAGTCTAATTGTCCCTGTTTGCAGAGGACATGATTGTGTATCTAGAAAACCCCATTGTCTCAGCCCAAAATCTCCTTAAGCTGATAAGCAACTTCAACAAAGTCTCAGGATTCAAAATCAATGTGCAAAAATCACATTCTTATACACCAATAACAAACAGAGAGCCAAATCATGAGTGAACTCCCATTCACAATTGCTTCAAAGAGAATAAAATACCTAGGAATCCAACTTACAAGGGATGTGAAGGACCTCTTCAAGGAGAACTACAAACCACTGCTCAGTGACTGGTTTTTTATCAGCAGTCCCCACAGTGAGGGTTCTCTCTCCCCAACTCCTTTCTGGAAGGGTTGCCCCCCAGTGGAAGATCTTCGTGGGGATCTCTAGCAGCTGGCACCCAGGAGTCAATGAGAAACTTGCTGTGGAGATGACAGGAAGCTGGACCTTTACACTGTTCCTGCAAATCATGAACTGGCATTTGAGGCCTTTGACATTTGAGGCCTCAGTGACATCTGAGGCCTTAGGGGCTCTGGCCTGGGAAGGGAAGCCTGTGGGAGGCCAGAGGATCAGTAGGGCAAGGTGGGGGTGTGGCACCTGGGCACACTCTGGGTCCAGCTGGGTCACTGTCCTGCCGAACACCTATCAACTCCAATGGAGATGACACTAGGTTCAAGAGGCCAAAGAAGAGACTCAGCCAGAAAATGAGACATGGGATTTTATTAGGGGCTACATACAGGGGACAGAGTTCAGCATGGGCTGGACAGAATAATTGCATGGCTCAGTGGAGATGGGCTGGGAAGGAAAATCGCAGCTGCTGGCAAAGAGCATGCAGTTTATATGGCATTTTCACTTAACACCCTCCCCCTAACAGTCTCCACCTGGCAACCTTCACTTAACCCAAAACTCAGGGCCTTGGACTCCTGGTTGGCCTGCAATTCCATGGGATGGGATGGGGGCTCAGATGTTCCCGACAGACAAGAAATGAATCTCAGGGCTGACCACTCCTAGATTCGCCATCTCTGAACATACATTCAGTTGCATCTGCCACACAGGGTCATTCTCAGGGTATGCTTCAATTATTGATGTCAGGTGTGTTTACCTTACAGTCACTCAGATGCCCTGCCAGACAACTGAGGGGTGGAAAGAGGGGGCAGAGCATTGTGAGGAAAAGGGACAGCAGATCCAGGTTCCCCTGCAAGGATTTCTAACAGGTTATGTCTGGAGAGGCTGCAGCAGTTAGCTTAGTCCCTTGGGCACTGTGTTTTGCGGCCAAGAGAAGGAAATCCTGGTGTCCATGAAGAGACTAGGAATGGCAAATGTGTGTGTACTAGGGAGGGTGGGGGCTGCCCTCTTTTCATTTTCATTCATTTATTCATTTATTTAGCAAATATTATGTAACGTTCTAGGTCCTGAGCAATACAGAATTGAACATGAGAGACACAGTCCTGCCCTCATGGAACTTGAATTCTAGGCGGGGAATTAAACAAAAATAAATGAAGAATTCAAATAGTGAGAGGAGCTCTGACTGCAATGAAACAGGGTGACCCGTTTTATTAATAGACAGTGGCTCCCTTGGGGTGGGGAGGACATATGAGGGTGGGAGGGAAGGTGTCTTGAGAGATGAAATCTGAGCAAAGACAGAAAGATAAGAGGGAGGCATTCATGTGTGATCTGAGCTTGGGGGTTGCATTTTAGGCAAAAGAGAGGGCAAGTGCAAAGGCCCTGAGGCAGGGACCAGATGGGCACACCTACAATAGTAGAGATGAAAGAACAGCTTGGCTGGACATGAGTGGGAGGAGCGAGCTGGGAGGGAAGGATAGAGAGGAGCAGGTAAAGGTCAGATGTGGAAAGGACCTGTAGGGCAAATGAAGAGTCTGAGTTTCACTCTAAGTTCAGGTGGAATATTTTGAGTGGACAATGCCAGAACTGGCTACTTTTTGAAGAAACTCTGTACAGCTCTGTGGAGGTCTGATGCTGGTATAGGCTGCGTCTCCTGGGGTGAAACCTTCTGGCTACCGCCAACTCCTCTTTATTGTTCTGACTGTACTGCAGCCCAGGATGCCTCCCTGGGGAGGCATGCTGTGACCCAGGGGATCCATTCCTTGTTGGGCCCACACCTATTGCTGCAGGGGAAAAGCAGCACCTGAGATGCTGGGATGTGGTGCTCAGGAGGAGCTTAGACACTCTCCAAGGCCCCTGCCCAGCTCTGCTCCATTCCTGTCTGCTCAGGCTGGCTGCGGATGAGGTGGGACTGGGTGTCCTGGGGTGAGTGAGCAGGGTGCAGGCATTTGAGAGGGGACCCTTCTGGTTACTAAGTGCTGCTCACTCACAGCTGTGTCCATTAACGCCCACCCCCACCCTGGGCTCTCCCTCTGAACCCCTCTCTCTCTTCCATGGCCAGGATCTCAAACATCCCTGATCCATCCCCACTGAGCACAAGAGTTTCGTGACCACACTCTGTTGTGGGGTAGGTTGCCTGATAAATGATCCAGGCTTCCGGGTTCAGTCAGGAGGGAAGCCACCTTCAGGCCCTTGGCAACTTTCTGTGGATCATGGGGTGCTGTGAGGTCACCTGGCCTCATCTCACTGCCTCTTCCCTGTCACCTGTGCTAGTCCCCACTTCACATCAAGGACACAGAGGCTCAGATGGGTCAAGGGACTTCCCCTAGTGAAGGCCGAATTGGGATGGGAACCGAGTCCATAGGGCTCCAAAGCCCATGTGTGGTGTTCTGCCCTCCTGCTAATGGGGGCATCCTGAAGACCCTTGTCCCACCTGCCTCCCTCATGGCCCCTGCGATGCCTGCACCAGGCATAGTTGCCCATATAGGGAGGCCCTGGCACAGGCCTTCTGGATCCAGGCACTGGGCTGCCCACTGGGTGGGGTAAGAGAGGACTCGTGGGTGCTCTGTCAGCTCAGAGCTTGCTGGTGACAAGAGTAAATCGGTGTCAAAGGATGGAAACAGTGCCCAGAAACTCGAGGGTGAGAGATCACTTCCAGGACGAGGGTCTCAGGGCAGCCTCCAGGGAGTTGCTCGGCTCCAACGGCAGCCCCTCCAGAGCTGCTAGGCCTGCCTGCCTCTGGCCTGTTTCCCCAGCACTAAGGTTGGGGGAATCCTGAATATTCCCAAGACTCCCACACACTCTGCCCAGATCCCTGGAGTTCAGCCAGCAGGCAGCCCCCCAGATGCTTATTTCCACCCTTGTTCACCCATCACCTGGAAGCCACAGCTGTTTCTTTCATTTGCTATTCCTGTTTTCCTGTTTACCCCTTTAGTAGGTAACCAACTGTTACTAGTTAATAATTATTATTTATTATTTTTATTTTTTGGAGACAGAGTCTTACTCTGTTACTCAGACTGGAGTGCAGTGGTGAGACCACGGCTCACTGAAGCCTCCACCCCAGGGCTCAGATTATCCACCTCAATGCCTGCGGAGCTGGGACTACAGGTGTGGGACACCACATCCAGCTAATTTTTTTATTTTTATTTTTGGTGGAGACGGGGCCTCACTGTGTTACCCAGGCTAGAATAATTCTTTATATTGTCTACATGTGATGTTCACAAGCAAGGGTTTAGTTCATGAGAGGAGTATACATGACGGTTATGCCTTTCTCGTGCTCGAAAGCAGTTCCAGGAGGCTTAGGGGAAGGAGCCGGAACAGAAGGCAACTGGGAGCAGAAGAAGCGAGGGAGGGCTTCCTGCTACCTGTTGCTGTCCTTGACCTAAGGAAAGAAACTGAAACAAAATTAACATAGAGAGGTTATTTGGCCCAAGGTTGAGGACCGTGGCCGGGACGCACTTCCAGGTTGCTTTGGGAAGTGCTCTGCTTGGCCTGTTAGTAGTAGGTTCTTAAAGGCAAAGGGGGCAGGCACAGTGGTTCATGCCTGTAATCCCAGCACTTTGGGAGGCCGAGGTGGGTGGATCATTTGAGGTCAGGAGTCTGAGACCAGCCTGGCCAACATGGTGAAACCCTGTCTCTACTAAAAATACAGAATTTAGCCGGGCATGGTGGCACATGCCTATAACCCCAGCTACTCAGGAGGCTGAGGCAGGAGAATAGCTTGAACCCAGGAGGTGGAGGTTGCAGTGAGCCAAGGTCACGCCACCGCACACCAGCCTGGGGGACAGAGCAAGACTGTGTCTCAAAAAAAAAAAAAAAAAGGCAAAGGTGATCAGGAGTGGCTAATACAGGAATTCTCACTGGTTTACAGAGATGACATTGGTTAGTGATTGGTTCTACAGGGTTGGATTATAAGGTATGAGTTTTGGTGTCCAGCGTATGGATTTTTATGGCTTCTTGGCATCAGTTAGTCCAGAGCCCATATAGCAAGTGGCTTCAGGAGGTAATTATTTAGCTCAAGGGGGCAGTGAGACATGACTGCTGTTTCATTTCAGTTCCTCTCTGGGAATGATAATTAAAGGGGGCTCACATTCCTCATGTTTACCTGCTATCCTCAGATAAAATTTCTTTGCTTTCTCACTGTGGTCCAGAAAGTCTGGGCTTTGGTGGAAGTCCCTATTATAGTTGAAGCTGGATCAACGCACATCAGTGTTATCGTGATCCACAAAGGAGGCACCTGCTCTGACGATCTGGGGGTGGCAGCAGGAGAAATCTGGTTTTCCAAATGTGCCCCTTGAGGCCACTGAGCTCAGGACTTCTTTTACACAGATCAGATGACTTTAATGCAAGGGAGGTCCTGCCTGGCTCCTCTCACTGTCTTAGATGAATGGACCATTATCCGTGGTGGAGGAACTAGGTGCCAGCGACCACAGCTCTCAGGAGAGCCGAACGAGCTACTCCAGCTGGGTGAGGTCAGCTGGGACTGACATTGGAAATGTCCTAATATCAATGTGTGTTTTCCTTGTAGGGTGGGAGATGTGCTGGACACTTTGATTTTCTAACTTTCTTTTACCGCAATGTAATATTACCAGCTAGTGACCCCAAATCCCAAAGTAGGTAATACACATATTTAAATAAGCGATGTTTATAACTAACAAAAATACTGGAGGCAGAGGATTATTTCCAATATTGCACATTTATTCAGAAGTACAGAAAATAACACTGTACATTATATAATAGTATGTAAACACTCTAGAACTTGACTTGAATAATAAAACATTCTATTAAGAAAGAAATATTGCTCATGAAGATTTTTGTGCCCAGCTTTCCCAAGTCAGAGGCCCTCATTTATGTCACAACAGCAAGGTGGCAGGGAATCAGAACTGGCATGCATTCTACAACCTTCACAGCACTGGAGAGATGGACAAGACTCCATGGTGGTGGCTTTGGCCTGGCTGTTCGTGGCCCAACACACCTTGTCTGGGTTGTGATTTTTTACAGCCACAGCATCAGGGTCCTTTGCAGCTCTTAAGAAAAGACACACAAAGCTCAGGCTTAGAATTTTTCTTCTCAGTCCATTTGTTAGAATTGTTGGGGGTATCTGGGAAGTTTAGTGCTGAAGCCAATCAAACATGAACACCAGCCCTACATTAAGGCTCTCTCCCTTGTCTCAAATTCCTCTTGAATCCCTTCCTCTCCTACGACTGCTATAAATGTAAACTCAGGTTACAAAAGTAAGGGTAAGTGAATTGCAAGCAATCACCCAGCTGGTGACTGCAGGCCCCCGAGATGCAGGAATGATGGGAAGGTGCTGCATTCAGCTGTGCCCCAGGCTCCGGGATGTGTCTCTGTGAACCCCTTAGAATGGACTGTGTCTGACAACCAACCTCTCTGGTACTTGAAGAGTCTTCTCCCCAAACTGTAATTGTCTTTTGTTCAACCTACATTCCCTTTTCTTTCTGCTGTCTCCCAGGATATTCACACATGTCAGCTGTCCCAGAGTCCTAAAGATCCACCTCTTTGTTCTCAAGGCCACCAGAAATAAATGAAGGAACACTCTGAGAGCTCCCAACTCAGGCAAGAGGAGATCAATCCAGCCCATCCTCCGCATGAGCACAAGGCAGAGGCTCATTAATGCAGTCTCCCTACGGAGTCTTCAGCCTACGGTGCCCAGGGGAGGTACTGGCCAAGGTGCTGAACAGAGTGGGGCACTGGCCAAGGTGCTGAACAAAGGGAGGCTTGGCCAAGGTGCTGAATTAAACACCTGATGGTAAACTCATTGAGGTCCAGTGACAGCCAAGCACCACTGACACTCACAGCCTTAAACTGAGAACATTCTACAAACCCCCGGCAGAAGGGTAAAAGATTTTACACTCAGCTGCCATTTCTGCCTTTTCAAAACTGCTTCTTGTTCTTGTCCTCACTCACTCAGGGGTATGGCCACAGCAGAAAGGAATGACCTTGCTCAAATAGGGAGTCCAGGTATCCCATTTGAGGAGGTGTAATTCATTTTCCCCCACATGACTCACTTTAGTGCCTTAGCTACTTTGAAGTAAAGACAGAACACAACACTTAGGAGCACCATCGCGGCAACCAGTAAGCTGCTTCCGATGCCGATCATGATCTTCGTCCTGAGATCAAACATCTTTGCCATGCCTAAGGAGAAAGTGCAGGGAAGCAGAACGTGGCCTTCCTCCCCACACAGCCACTAAACAACCTTCCGTTAGTAGAGGAAGAGTGAACCCCAGACACATGTAAACTGCAAGCAAATCTTTCCAGAGAGTCCTAGGATCCTAAGCTGGTCCAGGGGCAGACAAAAGGACTTATTTATGGGTAAAAATGGACTTAAATGCAAACTCCAGAGGGAAGGAAATCATAATGACAGACAGTGGGAAGAATCTTTCCCTCTCACAGGCATGATGTGCAGCTGGAAATGACCACAGGCCTGCCTTGGAGCTGATGACTTCACTCCCCACCACCTGGGCCCTGAAATATGTTCACTCAGAGGGTCAGAAGTCACCCCTCACTGTATATTAGGTTTAAAATTATTTTATGAAACTAAGAGAATTAGTTTAAAAAGTATTGTCCAACAATACTGAGAATATGAAAATCTATTTTGTAAGTGATAAGTATTTTGGGAAAAACAGTTTTCAATTTTCCCACCAACAACTGGGTTATCTCAGGGTTTAAGGAGATTCCTGACACTTCCAGCCAAACCTTTGCCAGGGCTCAGAAATGGGACGTGGTCTGCAGAGACCAGGAGCCAGCTTATTCAGGAGCCCCTGTCCCTCATTCTGTCTTCCTAGTAGACCATAGGCCTACCTCTGCCATTTTTCCTAGTAAATACTAAATTCTCCCAGGAAACCCAATTTGTTTGGAATAAGTAATTTGCTTAATCTAACACTGTGAAACTGAGGAACAGTGAGCCAGGAGAGAAGAATAACCAATCTGATAGCTAAGCATACTTACTACAGTTCAACCATCCAGAGCTAGATGAAGGCCAATTGTAACAATAAAATTAAGGGAAAAAAACCTCTAGGGCATCGGATATTTGGAACTTCTCAAACCTGTAATCTGAGAAAGAGGGACCTAATTATCCCTGCTAGGAGTAATTAAGATCCAAGGTTGAACAGCTCAGCTCACTTTTGGAAGCTCAGGCTCAGCCAGAGCTGGTAGAATGGGCCTATTCTGACATTCATGCCACAGGCTGTGTGACATCAGCTCTCGGGACACCAGCTGTCTTTCATGGAGTTCTGAATTCTATTCCATAGGTATATTTTTGCTTTTGTGAAATATAAATACTATTTTGAATCACTTAATTCTAAGTCTTTCACCTTTTCAGGTCTTATTTCCCTTCCATTAATTTTTGGAGTTTGACTGCTAATCAAAATCAAGTTTGAGATTTCAATTTAGCAAATAAAAGAAAAAGAAATGTGGGAAGGGTAAAATAACCTCACATTTAAATTTCAATTATAGAAGACTGGTTAGACTTTAGATTTTAGTTGCACAATGAAATAATATGGAGCCGTTTACTAGGATTCAAGCACACTTCCATTGACATGGGAAGATTTTAATGCTTTATAGTTAAAAAAAGTACAAAAATGAAAGTTGAACAGGATATCTGTTCTAGTCTGGTTTGTATGATTTTAAGGTACTTATATCCAGCCAGTGTAGTAAAATTAAATGAAGAGACACCAGGTTCAAGGAAGATTGTGTAGACATGTTTCTCCCTGCTAAGCATAACTATTATTCCTGGAAATAACACAAATCAAACAAAGGAGAACTCTGAAATTGGAAAGGAGAAAGCAAACTACTAGGGACCCCAGGCCTGGGTAAGCTCCATAGCAGTAGAACAGGGGAGGTAGACAGGCCTGGTGTTTTCCAATGCTCAATCTAGCTTATTCCATTCCCGGATTTAATGTGAGTCCTGCTGACAACCCCAGGCTTTCCCAGCAGCAGTGGCAAGTTGGGTGGATTGTGAACCCCATTGGCAATAAGCCTGCAGGGGAAGTGCTCATCTTCCTTGCTAGTCATGAGACTCCCCTCCTCAGACCCTGCAGGGATCTGACCACATTCAGTGACCTAGCCCAGGAAGCACTCTGTTCCCATGTGCTAGAGACCCCCCTGGACTCCAGGTGGCTCCAGCTTGGGGACCCTCCTTCTGTCCCTCAGGCAGCACTTTCGGGGACCTAGAAGCCCCAGTGACACCAGATAAATGAAGTAGACCAAAATATCACCACGAAACCTCTGAAAATTAAATTGGAATTGGAATCTAATCCCACAAAAGTAAGCCAGGATCTGCATGCTAAACCTAGTCAGTGACTAACTAATAAAATAAAATATTTAAATAGGACCTAGAGTCTCCTAGCATAAAGTCAAAATGTCCATGATTCAATGAAAATGGTATTACGGGTATTATCGCCCGTAATACCAATAACCAGAAAAGTCACGCCCGAATGAGAAGAGACAATGAATTGATGTCCTGAGCATGGAATAAGTTTGGTGTGGTCAAGGAACAAGAAAAAGGCCATTTGACTGGAGATGCATAAAAGCGAAGATGGCAGGAGAGGACTTGGAAAAAATTGGCCAAGGATACCAACATGCAGGGCTTCGAGCTCTAGTATAATCTTAGATTTTTTTTCTGCCTGTTACAGAACATCCTTGGAAGATGTTGATTGGGATTTTAGTAAGAAACTCATGCAACCTGGCTGGGGAGGCTGTGCTTTTAAACATAGACCAGTGGTTACAGAAGAGAAAACTGAGGTCAAGTAAGGTCAAATACTTTCTCCAAAGTTACATAACAAGTAAGTGACTAAGGTGGAAGGAGAATTCAGGTTTCTTTACCTAGTGTTTTTTCCTATAAGCCATCTTGAGCATGTATCTTCTGAGGGTATTTGGAGAGATGATCTCAGAATGGGCAGAAAACTAAAATCCTAGGCTTCCTTGCTTGATGAAGGCATGGGACTGTCTTTCAGTATGAGGAAGTAGGGACATGGGAAAAGGAAGGGGCAACTGGGCAGATGCTAACATTTGCTTTACCTTGAGAGGCAGCCATGGAGGAAGAGTTGCTTCACCTTTCCATAGATTTCAAATGTGAAAGAGAATCAATTCTAAATAAGAAGGTTCTACACCAAAACCCAAATGGGCATGGGGAACAGGAGAGATGAAAATAGGGAGAAGGAAAGGGGTCCTGGATTTCAAGCCCATCCTCACCATCTATTGATACCAAGACTAATAAAGCAATTCACCTCCCTAAGCCTGCTGCTGCTTTTCTGAAGTGAAGGGATAATGAATGGTGTGAGGTTTGACAATGATGGCGGTGGCAGCCTTTAGTGTCTCAGAGGTTTCTACAAGGACACATGTGTCACAGTTTGGAAAATTGTGATGCCAATGTGAGTAATTAACTCTTCTGCTGTGGCTCTTCTCCAGCCACAGGTGTGTTCTGCCCACAGGCTGGATCCAGGCAAAAGGTGTGAAAGTGAGGACAAGATTTTGAGGGAATCTTTACCAATGGGTCTCTGCTAGAAAAAGTCTGCAAATGACTGTTTAATTGGAATCATCACTTGGTTTCATCAGGTTTTAAGATTTCTGACTCCTCAACAAGTCAAAGAGCTTTACTACTTCTCTTCTGGATCCCACAGTTCTCATTTAAACAGCAACTTTCAGGAGCATCTCCTGAACACACAGGTTGCACAGACACCGACTCTGAGTTTTTGGAATCTTGAGTCTACTTCTTCTGAGACTTATCCATTTATTGAAGCAGCGTTTCTCTAACTTGCGTGTGCGTAAGAATCATCTAGAGAGCTTGTTAAATCACAGATTCTGGGCCTAACCATAGAGATCCGATTCATTGGTTTGGTGGGGGGAGCCCATGAACTTGCCTTTCTAAGCATCTCCCAGGGGAGACAGAGGCACAGGTTGAGGGGGACTGTGTTAGAGCCTGTGTTGGTCAGGGTTCTCTAACAGGACAGAACTAATAGGATAGATGAATACATAAAGGGGAGTTCATTAGGAGAATTGACTCACACAATCACCAGGTGAAGTCCCACAATAGGCGATCTGCAAGGTGAGAAGCCAGGAAGCCAGTCTGAGTCCCAAAACCTCAAATGTAGGGAAGCCAATAGTGCAGACTTCAGACTCCAGTCTGTATCGAAGGTCCAAGAGTCCAAAATCTGAAGAACTTGGAGTATGATGTTGGAAGGCAGAAAGCATCCCACACAGGAAAAAGATGTAGGCTGGAAGACTCAGCCAGTCTAGTCCTTCCAAGTTCCTCTGCCTGCTTTTATTCTGGATGCTATGGCAGCTGATTACATGGTGCACACCCAGATTGAGGGTAGGTCTGCTTCTCCCAGTCCACTGACTCAACTGTTAATCTCTTTTGGCAACACCTTCACAGACATGCCCAGGAACAATATTTTGCATCCTTTAATCGAATCAAGTTGACACTCAATATTAACCATCACAGAGCCCAAAACAGGGACTCCATGTTCAGCCTGTTGAATAATAGCCCTGGAATCTCCTGCAATGGTTCTTCAGGGACCACACCTCATTCTGCTCTGATTCCTTAGATCTGGGTTAGGGCTGTGGAACCTTCATGTTTAACAAGTCCCCCAGGTGATTCTGACAAAGAAGACTGTCTGGGGAGTGCGTGCTGGGAGTCTCTGGCCTCATTTCTGAAATTTAAGGCTGTCAGGCAGTTGGTCAGAGGCTACATGTACAGGGTTCTGCATTCACAGCACCTACATTCCATTATGACCAATAACTTCTGCAAGTGGGTTCATGAGGAGAGCTCCAGTCTGTTTTTTTTTTCCTTTAACGTTTATTTTTTTAATAATTTCTCAAAGTTTTTTTATTATTTTTTATTTTTAAAAAATGATGAGTTCATGTCCTTTGTAGGGACATGGATGAAATTGGAAATCATCATTCTCAGTAAACTATCGCAAGAACAAAAAACCAAACACCGCATATTCTCACTCATAGGTGGGAATTGAACAATGAGAACACATGGACACAGGAAGGGGAACATCACACTCTGGGGACTGTTGTGAGGTGGGGGGAGGGGGGAGGGATAGCATTAGGAGATACACCTAATGCTAAATGACGAGTTAATGGGTGCAGCACACCAGCATGGCACATGTATACATATGTAACTAACCTGCACATTGTGCACATGTACCCTAAAACTTAAAGTATAATAATAATAAAATAAAATTAAAAAATAATTTCTGAAAGTTTTCATCACATGGTTTATCTTTTTATTAACAAAGTATTTTAATTTTTCTCAATAGGTTTTTGGGGAACAGGTGGTGTTTGGTTACATGGGTAAGTTCTTTAGTGGTGATTTCTGAGATTTTGGTGCAGCCATCACCCAAGTAGTGTACACTGTACCCAATGTGTAGTCTTTTATCCCTCATCCCCCTACCACCCTTCTCCCTGCGTCCCCAAACTCCATTGTATCATTCTTATGCCTTGGTGCCCTCATGGCTTAGCTCCCACTTATAAGTGAGAATATAAGATGTTTGGTTTTCCATTCCTGGGTTACTTCACTAAGAATTATGGTCTCCACCTCCATCCAGGTTGCTGCCAATGCCATTATTTCGTTCCTTTTTATGGGTGAGTAGTATGAATAAACCACATTTTCTTTATCCACTCGTTGACTGAAGGGCATTTGGGCTCATTCCATATTTTTGCAATTGTGAACTGGGTACTGTAAACATGCATGTGCAAGTATCTTTTTCATATATTCCTCTGGGTAGATACCTAGTAGTGGGATTGCTGGATCAAATGGTGGATCTGCTTTTCATTATTTAAGGAATCTCTATACTGTTTTCCATCCCACCAGCAGGGTAGAAGCATTCCCCTTTTCACCACATCCATGCCAACATCTATTATTTTTCAATTTTTTCATTATGGTCATTCTTGTAGGAGTAAGGTGTAATCACATTGTGATTTTGATTTGCATTTCCCTGATAATTAGTGATGTTGAGCATTTTTTCATATGTTTGTTGGCCATTTGTATATCTTCTTTTGAGAATTGTCTGTTCATGTCCCTAGCCCACTTTTTGATGGGATTATGTTTTTTTTCTTTTGTTTCAGTTCCTTGTAGATTCTGGATATTAGTGCTTTGATGGATGCATAGTTTGCAAATACTTTTTCCCACGCTGTGGGTTGCGTGTTTACTCTGCTGATAATTTCTTTTGCTATGCAGCAACTTTTTAGTTTAAGTCCTATTCTATTTATCTTTGTTTTTGTTACATTTGCTTTTGGGTTCTTGGTCTTGAAGTCTTTGCCTAAGCCAATGTCTAGAAGGGTTTTTCCGATATTATCTTCTAGAATTTTTATGGTTTCAAATCTTAAAGTTTTTGATCCATCTTGAGTTGATTAGTTGATTTTTATATAGAGTGAGAGATAAGAATTCAGTCTCATTCTTCTACATGTGGCTTGCCAATGATCCCAGCATCATTTGTTGAATAGGGTGTCCTTTCCCCACTTGAAATTTTTGTTTGCTTTGTTGAAGATGAGTTGGCTATAAGTATTTGGCTTTATTTCTGGGTTCTCTATTCTGTTCCATTGGTTTATGTGACTATTTTTGTACCAGTATCATATTATACCAGTACCATATTTTGGTGACTATGGCTTTATAGAAGTTTGAAGTTGGGTAATGTGATGCCTCCAGATTTGTTCTTTTTGCTTAGTCTTGCTTTGGCTATGTGGGCTCTTTTTTTGGTTCCTTATTAATTTTAGGATTGTTTTTGCTAATTCTGTGAAGAATGGTGATGGTATTTTGATGGGAATTGCATTAAATTTGTAGACTGCTTTTGGCAGTATGGTCATTTACACAATATTGATTCTACCCATCTATGAGCATGGAATGGGTTTCCATTTGTTTATGTTGTTTATTATTTCTTTCAGCAGTGTTTTGTAGTTTTCCTTGTAGAGGTCTTTCACTTTCTTGGTCATGTATATTCCTAAGTATGTGTGTATGTATGTGTGTGTGTGTGTGCGTGTGTGTGTGTATATATATACGTATATATATACATATATATACACATATATATACACACGTATATATATACACATATATGCGTATATATACGTATATATATACACGTGTGTATATATGTACATATATATGTGTATATATACGTATATATATATACGTGTATATATATATGTGTGTGTATATATATATATACACACACACACACATATATATATTTCCAGCTATTGTAAAAGGTGTCGAGTTCTTGATTTCATTTTTGGCTTGGCCACTGTTGGTGTATAGCAGTGTTACTAATTTGTGTACATTGATTTTGTATCCTGAAACTTTATTAATTCATTTATCTGATATAGGAGCTTTTTGGATGAATCTTTAGGGTTTTCTAGGTATGCAATCATATCATCAGCACACAACAACAGTTTGACTTCCTCTTTACCGGTTAGTATGCCCTTAATTTATTTCTCTTGTCTGCTTGCTCTGGCTAGGACTTCCAGTACTATGTTGAATAAAAGTGGTGAAAGTAGGCATCCTTGTCTTGTTCCAGTTCTCAAAGGGAATACTTTCAACTTTTCCCCGTTCAGTATAATGTTGGCTGTGGGTTTGTCATAGATGGCTTTTACTACCTTAAGGTGTTTCCCTTCTATGCCAATTTTGCTGAGGGTTTTAATCATAAAGGGATGCTGGATTTTTGTCAAATGCTTTTTCTCCATCTATTGAGATGATCACGTGATTTGCAACAGACGACGTGGTGAGTGATTATCCATTCTGCCATTCTGTATCTTTTAAGTGGTGCATTTAGGCCATTTACCTTGATTTTACATTTTGTTTTTAATTCTGTTTATGTGGTGTATCACATTTATTGACTTTTTATGTTAAACCATCCCTGCATCCTTGGTATGAAACTCATCTGATCATGGTAGATTATGTTTGATATGCTGTTGGATTTGGTTCGCTAGTATTTTGTTGAATATTTTTGCATCTATGTTCATCAGGGTTATTGGTCTGTAGTTTTCTTTTACTGTTATGTTCTTTCCTGGTTTTGGTATTAGGGTGATACTGGCTTCATAGAATGATTTAGGGAGGATTCCCTCTCTCTCTACCTTTTGCAATCGTTTCAATAAAATTGGTACCAATTCTTCATTGAATGTCTGATAGAATTCAGCTCTGAATCCATCTGTTCCTGGACCTTTTTCTGTTGGCAATTTTTAAATTAAAATTTCAATCTCACCACTTGCTATTGGTCTGCTCAGAGTTTCTATTTCTTCCTGGTTTAATCTAGGAGGGTTGTATATTTCTAGGAATTTATCCATCCCCACTAGGTTTTCTAGTTCGTGCACATGAAGGTGTTTATAGTAGCCTTGAATGCTCTTTTGTATTTCTGTGGTATTTGTTGTAATATCCCGTTTTGTTTCTACTTGAGCTTACTTGGGTCTTCTCTCTTCTTTTCTTGGCACTCTAGCTAATGGTCTATCAATTTTGTTTATGTTTTCAAAGAACCAACTTTTTGTTTCACTTACCTTTTTTGATTGTTTTTTGTTTGTTTCAATTTCATTTAATTCTGCTCTGATCTTTGTTATTTGTTTTCTTCTGCTGGATTTGGGTTTGATTTGTTCTTGTTTCTCTAGTTCTTGAGGTGTGGCCTTAGATTGTCTATTTGGGCTCTTTCAGACTTTTTGATATAGGCATTTAATGCTATGAACTTTCCTCTTAGCACTGCTTTTGCTGTACCCCAGAAGTGTTGACAGGTTGTGTCACTATTATCATTCAGATCAAAGCATTTTTAAATTTCCATCCTGATTTCACTGTTGACCCAAAGATTGTTCAGGAGCAGATTATTTAATTTCTATGTATTTGCATGGTTTTGTGGATTCCTTTTGGAGTTGATTTCCAACTTTATTCCACTGTGGTCTGAAAGAGTACTTGACATAATTTCGATTTTCTTAAATTTATTGAGGCTTGTTTTGTGGCCTGTTATCTGGTCTGTCTTGGAGAATGTTCCATGTGCTGATGAACAGAATGTATATTCTGAAGTTGTTGGGTAGAATGTTCTGTAAATATCTGTTAAGTCCATTTGTTCTAGGGTATAGTTTAAGTCCATTGTTTCTTTGTTGACTTTCTGTCTTGATGACCTGTTTAGTGCTGTCAGTAGGGTGTTGAAATCTTCTACTATTATTGTGTTGCTGTCTATCTCATTTTTTAGGTCTAGTAATAATCGTTTTATAAGTTTGGGACTTCCAGTGTTAGGCACATATATATTTAGGATTGTGATATTTACCTGTTGGACTAATCCTTTTATTATATAATGTCTCTGTTTGTCTTTTATAACTGTTGTTGCTTTAAAGCCTGTTTTGTCTGATGTAAGAATAGCTACTCTGGCTTGCTTTTGGTGTCCACTTGCATGGAACATCTTTCTCCATCCCTTTACCTCAAGGTTATGTGAGTCCTTATGTGTTAGGTGAGTCTCTTGAAGACATAAGATACTTGGTTGATGAATTCTCATCCCTTCTGCCATTCTGTATCTTTTACATGGAACATTTAGGCCATTTACATTCAATGTTAGTATTGAGATGTGAGGTAGTAGTCTATTCATCATGCTAGTTGTTACCCGAATACCTTTTTTTTCACTGTGTAATTGCTTTATAGGCCCTGTGAGATTTTATGCTTTAAGGAGGTTCTATTTTGGTGCATTTCGAGGTTTTGTTTCAAGATTTAGAACTCCTTTTAGCAGTTTTTGTAGTGCTGGCTTGGCAGTGGCAAATTCTCTCAGCATTTGTTTGTCTGAAAAAGACCTTATCTTTCCCTCATTTATGAAGCTTAGTTTTGCTGGATACAAAATTCTTTGCTGATAGTTGTCTTGTTTAAGGAGACTAAAGGTAGAACCCCAATCCCTTGCAGGGTTTCTGCTGAGAAATCTGCTGTTAATGGGTTTTCTTTTATAGGTTACCTGATGCTTTTGCCTCGTAGCTCTTAAGCTTCTTTCCTTCTTGACTTTAGATAACGTGATGACTATATGCCTAGGTGATAGTCTTTTCGTGATGACTTTCCTGGGTGTTCTTTGAGCTTTTTGTATTTGGATGTCTAGATCTCCAGCAAGGCCAATGAAATTTTTCTTGATTATTCCCTCAAATAAGTTTTCCAAACTTTTAGATTTCTCTTCTTCCTTGGGAGCACAAATTATTCTTAGGTTTGGTCATTTAACATAATCCCAAACTTCTTGGAGGTTTTGTTCATTTTTTAAAAGAATTCGTTCTTCTCTGTTTTTGTCAAACTGGGTTAATTTGAAAGCCTTTTCTTTGAGCTCTGAAGTTCTTTCTTCTACTTGTTCGATTTTATTATTGAAACTTTACAGTGTATTTTGCATTTCTCTAAGTGTGTCTTTCATTTGCAGAAGTTATGATTGTTTTAATTTATGCTATTTCTTTGGGGATTCTTTTTGGTCCATATCCTATATTATTATTATTTTTTAATTTCTTTAAGTTGGTTTTCACCTTTCTCTGGTGCCCCTTTGAGTCGTTTAATAATCAACCTTCTGAATTCTTTTTCTGGCAATTCAGATTTCTTCTTGGTTTGGACCCATTGCTGGTGGGCTAGTGTGATCTTCTGGGAGTGTTAAAGAACCTTGCTTTGTCATATTACCAGAATTGTTTTTCTGTTTCCTTCTCATTTAGGTAGACTATGTCAGAGGAAAAATCTGGGGCTCAAGCGCTGCTGTTCAGATTCTTTTGTCCCCTGGGGTGATCCCTTGAGGTAGTACTCTCCTCCTTCTCCTAGAGAGGCGGCTTCCTGAGAGCTGAACTGGAGTGATTGTTATTGCTCATCTGGGTCTAGCCACACAACATGAAACCCCGGTAGGGCTCCAGGCTGGTACTGGGGAGTGTTCTACTCTGGTTTTCTTTCCAAGGCCCAGAGCTGACCATGTCACTCTCCTGCTTAAACCACTTACTTCTTGGTGCCAGCAAATCTCTAGAGTGCAGCCATCAAGATTTTCCCAAGCTGGACCCAGGCAACCTTTTCAAGCCTTGCCCCAGGTGCTGCCCAATGTGCATCTTATGCTTCAGTCAATTTAAACTGTTTTACATCTCCAAAAAGAGCTCTAGGTATTGTTTCTCCATGTTTCATCTGTCCAGCTGCTTGCTCATGTACTTACTGGGGAAGGGAGGGACCAACGGTTACCTCATGAAAGTTGCATCTGAGCTGAGCTTTAGTGTGACAAGGGTAGGGAATTAGGGGAGGAGGAGTCACCTCTGCTGGAGCCAAGAGCCCAAGGAGACATGGGGAAAAAGGGCGAGTGAAACAGCAGGCCATGCGGTAATGATGATGAGACTGGAAAGCCAGGCAGGAGCTCAGTGATGAAGAGCCTCAAATTATAGTCTCTACAGTTGGGACAGATCTTATCAGCCATACTTTAAGATGAGTTATATGGCAGCAGCATGCAAACTCAATCTCTGCCCTGTATCAAGTAGACTGAAAATCCAGTGGTGAAAGCCTCAGTATGACACTTGTGGGGAAGAGGAAGATAGAATCATACTCAAGGGGGAGGCAATGCAGAAATTAAAATCATACACTGTGTCTTGATTTAATTTCTTGATCACCCACACATCCTTTTCAGCCATTTCAAACTGCAGTGGTTACCTTGACACTTTTGAAGGTGCATTTGTCAGTCCTAACTTCCCAGCATCCAGACTTGGCTTATTGGGTGTGGCACACACAAATAGAGAAAAGTTATAAGAAAAAAAGACTGAATAAAAATTTTTAAGTGCTGTGCTCTACTTTGCCTAGTTGAGCAAATTCAGGCAGAGTTTTCTTAGGACTAATAATTTTAGCAAAGCAATTACATATAAATATGTATAGCACTTATATAAACACAAGAAAATCAACATCTATGAATTTCTAATATAAATAAAATATAATTTAGGTCTTCATTAACCTGTAAAAATCAAGAAATTGAAGATCAGGAATTAAAACTCATTGGAATTATTTTTAGTACTACAACCATGACTATTTTAATTATTTTATAAAATATAGCTTATGTGTTCTAGTTATAATTATATTGGAGCATTTTGTGAATCAAAAAACAGACTGCAACTATCAGACACTAAAGAGTTCATTCATCCTTAACTGAGACACATTTCTCCCAAATGCTGAAGGAACTGCTTCCTCATGGCTACATATGTTATAAGAAAATTAGGATGCCATCCTGGCTAACACAGTGAAACCCCATCTGTACTAAAAATACAAAAAATTAGGCGGGTGTGGTGGCACGTGCCTGTAGTCCCAGTTACTCAGGAGGCTGAGGCAGGAGAATCGCTTGAACCCGGAAGGCGGAGGTTGCAGTGAGCCAAGATCACACCACTGCATTCCAGCCTGGACAACAGAGCGAGACTCAGTCTCAAAAAAAAAAAAAAAAAATTAGGATGAGTCTGATAAAAATAACATACACTTTCTCACATCACTGAGGTCCGAGTGAGAGTCATAAATGAACAAACATTATATGTTAGTTCTCATGTAAAAGAAGTAAATTCACCAAAATACTAAATGAGAGTAAGACATCCTTTTACACAAAAATAAATATCTTCACAAAGATGCGAACAGTAAACACTAGGGATTCCAAAAGGGGGAGGATGGGAGAGAGGGGAGGGTTGAAAAAACTACCTATCAGGTCCTATGTTCACTACTTGGGTGATGGGATCACTAGAAGCCAGTCTCAGTATCATGTAGTATACCCATGTAACAAACCTGCATATGTACCCCCTGAATCTAAAAAACCCCAAAACGTAACAAATATTAGATAAAAAGACAATGTTTCTATTTATTTCAGACAAGTAGTTTCCAGGGTGGATGCATTTATTTTTTGGATGCAAATATATCACTCTTCAACACACACAAAACAGTTACAATCTCTGAAAATGAAGTCTGCCAGAGAGAACTGCAATCTCCTTGATTCATATACCTTAATCCTTCAGTGGGGAGCCTCGGCATTTCACACTTTAAATGTGTCAGGAAAGGGTTTGGAAAGAAGAATCTACATCAGCTCAAAAAAATTAAAAAAACCCAACAACAAACAAAACAGACTTCCTTACACTTTCTGGGTTTATTGAGATAAAATGAGATCAGTTCTCCCATTTTACATCATACACTAAATCCAAAGTAACAATCCTAACAAGGAATAGACCAGTTCTGATAATCACTTTCTTATCTACTGTTACAATGTGACAGAATGTACAATTAATGGCCCCAATGTGAACTGATTTTACACATGCCAAACATCACATCTAATTTTTTATCTGAAATAAACAATATAAAATTCAAGTTGGTGATCTAAAATAAAGGTTCCAGGTTAAGTACCCAGTTTTCTAAGAGTCAATTAGGAAAAAAAAATCAAATACTCTAAGCATTCCTTTTATATCCCTGAAACTATAAAATAAGGTCTTCATATAAATTAAAACAGTACTTCAATCAAACATATACTATATCAACTAATGAATTATATTAGAACTCCTTAAACATTTAGAACATATAACACAGAAGTACATATACACTTATGAGTGAAAAATATTACTAGCAAAAATAAAATACTGTATCATGTTAAGTCTTAGTATACAGTACAAGTGTAGTAATAATGAACACTGAGGTCACTTCAGTAAGTAAGATGATGATCCTTAAAAGGACATTAAATCCTTGCTTTTTATAAATATTTTTGGGTTTTGGCTTTGTAATAAATATGTAACAAATATCTGCAGTACACTGTTTATGTTGAGAGCTCATCTTTCTCCATTTGAAAGTCCTTCTCCAGAGTCATAATGTCTTAGAGGCAGCCTACTGGGCGGGGAGTTGGGATTTTGCAGCAAATCAATCAACAAAGCAATCTTATCATCAATGTGCTCCTGGAGTTTATATATTCGCTGATCAATGTAGTCTATAAGTTTCTTTTCTATCAGTTCCATATTTTTAGAAAGAATCTATTCCAAGTAGGAGCAAACAGGCTGCTCTTCCATTCTGGAAATACATTTTAAAAATATATCAATTTTCTTTAATATTTTAACAAAACAACTGAACTATACAACAAGCAGCCAACATATATTGCTGAAATGTGTCTTTATAAACTGTGCTGTCTTCTTACAGTGTATTTCCAGGTTCTAATATACATCCACAACAGATGACCGCAGTCATGAACACATACTTATTTCTTTAAACATTTACTAAATATACAATTGAAATGGGAATATAAAAGTGAAGATGATTCCTTAAAGACCAAGTCCTTAGAAAGGGTCTTTTTGATATGGAGCTCCAAATCAAAACTGATCTTGCCGAATTTATTTTAAGGTCAACATGTATATTTTCCAAGTACTTCCCCAAGCAACCCTACAATTTAAACAGTTTTGTCTTCTTTCTTTCATACAAACCTTACTAAAGTACTAGAAAGTTCTTTGCTAACCTAATGTGAAACTGAGGAAGAATTTAACTGGAATGGGCAAATTAAAGATTAAAAAAAAAAAGCACACCAGTTTCTAAAACAAAACTCATATTGCACTCTAGGGCAGTGATTCTTAGAGTATGGTTCATAGAACACTATAGAATCCTTTTAAAGGTTCCAGGAGGACAAAGTGTTTTTGTAGTAACAAGGAGGTAATATATGCCTTTTTCACCCTCATTCTCTCATGAATGCACTGTGGTATTTTCCAGAGGCTAAACAACCTGTTATTGATATAATGATTAATCAAATGTGTGACAGTATATTTTTGTGTTTTCTAGAATTTCCTAAGGTACTAGGTTTAGGGTATAAATATTTGCTTTTTAAAAGATAATTCAGTTTGTTTTGAGTAGTTATACTGTGCTTTTATGCTATATTGGACTATATGTACTATAATGCAGAAGCAGACATGAGCAAGTTAATACAGATTTGTGTAAATTTAATACAATGTCATTCTTTTCACTGATTTTTTGAAAACAAGATTGTTTTTAATAAAAGCTACTGTTTATATGTATATGCAAATAATTACTATTTAAAAATAAATACAAATTTTAATATAGTCTATATAAACAGATATTCTTTGAGTTCTTCATTTTTGAGATTAGAGATCCTGAGATGAAAACATTTGAGAACTACAACTCTAGAAATTGCCAAGCAGGTTAAAAATTATTAAATTAAAAAAATTGAAATACAAAATTATAGATTCACCAAAAGTTGCAAAGATACTGTGGAGAGTTATCCAGTACCCTTCACCAATGATCTCAATGGTTACATCTTACATAGCTATGGTACAATATTAAAACTAGGAATTGACATTGGTACAATGTATGCATATAGTTCTACTTCACATGTGTAGATTCATGTAACTACCATTACAATCAAGACAGAGAACTATTCCTTAGCCACAAAGATTATCCTTGTGCTAACCCTTTACCATCACAGTCACCCCTCTTTTCCCTATCATCCTTATTCCACGGCAGCCATGATGTTCTCCATTTCTATTTTATTTTGAGAATGTCATATATGTTGGATACTATAGTATGTAATCTTTTGATTTGTTTTCCACTTGTCATAGTTCACTTGAGATTCATCCAAGTTGTTGGATGTTTCAATAGTTCACATTTTTTTATGAGTGTATTCCATGTTCTTACATTCACACAGAAATCTCATGTATGTAATTGTTCATAGCAGCTTTAACGTAAAGCCCAAAACTGGAAATAAGTAAAATGCCCTATATTAGCTGTGTGTTAAAGGGTGATACATCCATAAGTTTCCATTTCTGTGGGATACCATGCTAAGGAGTATGATTGCTGGCTTGTATGGTAAGTGTATGTTTAGTTTTTTGAGAAACTGGCACTGTTTTCCAGAGTGGCTGTACATTTTACATTCTCACTAGCAATGTATGAAAGATCTAGTTTCTCTGCATCTTTGCTAGCATTGGGCATTCTCAGATTTTTTTTCTTTCATAATGGAGATTGTATTGGTTGTGTTGAGGATCACTACACAGACATTTCAATTTCTGCACATCTCAAATGTACGTACTGAAAACCTAAAAAGCCATGCATCGTCATTCTTTTTTGAAGTTATTTCAGTGACTTTTTAGCTTAAAATTTAGAGACAAAATTTCCTTGAGGATATTAAGTGCCCATATTGTTAAATGTTGTAAGCTGTTATAAAGTCCCACCAATTCACAATTTAATATTATATATATAACATAGTCAGATTTTCAGTCTTTCACAACACATTAACAAAGTTATTAAGAAAACTGGACTACTACATGACCAAAGACACTACAGAGTACACATGATTCTGACAGGGACAGGCAAGATCGAGGAGTAGTTTTTAGTAAACAATTCTGCTAAAAAACATAGGAATAGAAGTTAAAATGATCAAGACATATTAAATACACAACTGTGATTCAAATTGTCAATTATGCCTTGTATTATAAGATACAACCTACACCCTCATGGAATGTTAAGCTAACACTCAAAAAAGTCAAATCTTCCCATAATTCAATATCCCACTATTTTCTGGTTTTACCAAAAATACAACCAGAAAGTGATTTCTCCTCTTAAAAAGAGCATTTAGGCCAGGCACAGTGGTTCATGCTTGTAATCCCAGCACTTTGGGAGGCTGAGGCAGGGGGGTCACTTGAGCTCAGGAGTTCGAGACCAGCCTGGCCAACATGATGAAACCCCATCTCTACTAAAAATACAAAAACTAGCTGGATGTGGTGGCAGGTGTCTGTAATCCCAGCTACAAGAATCCCTTGAACCTGAGAGGCAGAAGTTGCAGGGAGCCGAGATTGCCCCACTGCACTCCAACCTGGGCCAACACAGTGAGACTCTGTCTCAAAAAAAAAAAAAAAAAAAAAAAAAGAGCATTTACACTTTAAAAAGTGGGATAAGGTGGTATTCCCTCCTTTTCAATGTTTCCTAGAGCTACTAAAAAAAGTGTAGTTACAAACTAGTAACTTGAAAAAAAAAAAGTGTAGTTACAAACTAGTAACAAGAAGGGAGACAGGGACCACTGATAAGACATGGTACCGGACATGAATCAGACGTGGCTTCTTTCTTTCCTGCTTCATCAGATGCTGGACTCTTCTCATTTTCGGTCTGTCTGTTTTCTGCAGGTAAATCTTTAAATCTTTAGTTTCTTGTTTATCCACTTTGAATCTGCTTTCCCTTTGCTCCCCTTTTCCCTTTTATTTGCACTTTTTTTGTCTGAGGATGATTCTTCCTTGCTGCCTCTTTTGGTTTTGTTTTCACTTTTGCTGGAGCAGGTTTATCTGACAACCTCATGGGCCTCCTCTTGGGCCCTTCCTTCACTGCCCCTTCAGCTGGGCTGAGCTTCCTCTGGTGCCTGAGGGCTGAAGTGCACCATGAGCCTTCATGAAGCTGGGCTGCTGGACTGCCTGCACACTGCCACTTGTCCTGCCACCTGAGCTTTTATTTTAGCTGTTCAAATAGGTGTGCTGCGATATCTCATCACGGTCTTATTTTGAATTTCCTAATGGATAGTAATGTTGAATATCTTTTCATGTTCATATGCTGTTTGCATATTCTCTTTGGTGAAATATCTCCTGTCTCGCCCATGTTCTAAATTGATTTTTTTTTAACTGTTGAGTTTTGAGAGTTCTTAATATATCCTAGGTATGAGTCATCTGTCATACCTAGGTTTGCAAATAATATATTCTCCCATCTGTAGCTTGTATTTTCATCCTCTTAACTGAGTCAGAGGGCAGAATTTTTTATCTTTAATGAAGTCAAATTTATTAATTTTATTTTATCGATTGTACTTTTGGTGTCATGTTTAAGTACTTTTCTGCAATTCTTAGTTGCTAAAGATTTTCTCCAGTTTCCATCCAAAAGATCATTTAAATCTATGACCCATGTTGAGTTAATTTTTGTGTTGGATGTGAAGTTTAGGTGAAAGAATTTGGATATCTAATTGCTCTAGCACCATTTTTGGAAAGTGCTATCCTTTCTGCACCACCCCCCCACTCCTTTTTTTTGTAACAGACTCTCACTCTGTTGCTGAGGCTGAAGGGCAGTGGTACGATCTCAGCTCACCACAGCCTCGACTTCTTGGGCTCAAGTGATCCTCCCACCTCAGCTTCCCAAATAGCTGGGACTACAGGCATGCGCCGCCATGCCTGGCTAATTTTCATATTTTTTTGTAGAGACAGGGCTTTGCCATGTTGCCCAGAGTAGTCTTGAAATGCTAGGCTCAAGTGATCTGCCCGCCTTGGCCTCCCAAAGTGCTGGGATTATAGGTGTGAGCCACCACCCCTGGCCAGTTTTGCACCTTTATCAAAAATCAATTGAGCATATTTGTGAGGGTCTATTTCTGGCCCTCTATTATGTTCCATTGATTTATATTTCAATCCCCACATAATACTAAACAGTATTGGATACTCTACACTGGGAAGAGTGATTCCCAATCATTTAATTCTTTTTTTGAAAGTTGTTTTAGGCTGAGCGTTTAATCCCAGTACTTTGGGAGGCCAAGGCAGGCGGATTACTTGAGGCCAGGAATTCAAGACCAGCCTGGCCAACATGGTGAAACCCCATCTCTACAAAAAATGCAAAAAATAGTCAGGCGTTGTGGCGGGCGCCTATAGTCCCAGCTACTCGGGAGGCTAAGGCATGAGAATTGCTTGAACCCAGGAGGTGGAGGTTGCAGGAAGCCGAGATTGCACCATTGCACTCCAGTCTGGGTGACAGAGCAAGACTCCATCTCAAAAAAAAAAAAAAAAAGAAAAGAAAAAAGAAAAACAAGTTGTTTTAGCCATTCTACTACTTTTGCCTTCTCATATAATTTTAAAAAGCCTTGTTTTTGTCTACAAAAAGTCTTGGTGGGATTTTGATACAAATTACATTAAGCCTGCATATCAATAGGGAGAACTAACAATTTTACTATGTTGAGTCACCAAGCCATAAACAGGGTATGTCCCTCAATTAGATCTTCTCCGATTTCTTTCATCAGCATTTTACAATTTTCAGCATATATATCCTGTACATGTTTTGTTAGATTCATACCTAAGTATTTAGTTTTCTTTGGAGCAACTATAAATAGTATAGTGAGTGTGTCTCTTTTAAGTTGAAAAGCTTACTTTTATTCTTACAATTTTCTACTAGGAAGCCAACATTTAATTTAATAATTCATTGTTGACAGGTGAGTTATAAAAAGAAATTGTTTTTAATTTTGGTTTCCACACATCATCATTTGTACAGTTAAGCCTCAGTATTTGTGGGAGACTGGTTCCAGGACCTCCCTCCCCAAACCCACCCTTGTGGATACCAAAATCTGCAGATGCTTAAGTCCCTTATATAAGATGACAATACTTAATAAAAGTAAATTCTATGTAAATACTTGTTATACTGTATTACTTAGACAATAAGGACAGGAAAAAAGTCTACATGTTCAGCACAGACACAATTATTTTTTCTCTATTTCTGATCCACAGTGGGTTTAATCCATGATGCAAAAGCCATGGATATGGAGGGCCAACTGAATATAGATAAGCAACTAATTTTGATCTTTCATCCTGTGACTTTTGCTGAACTCATTTATCAGTTCTAAACCTTTTTTAAAAAAATATTCCTTGGGATATTCTACATAGACCATCTTGTCATCTGTAAATAAGGACAGTTTTCTTTCATTGCAATCTATATTTAATTTTTGTTGTCTTACTGCAGTGGCTATAACTTCCAGTACTATGTTGAGTAAGAGTGGTGACGGCTGGGTACGGTGGCTCATGACTGTAATTCCAGCAATTTGGGAGGCTGAGGCAGGTGGATCACGAGGTCAGGAGATCAAGACCATCCTGCCTAACATGGTGAAACCCTGTCTCTACTAAAAATACAAAAAAATTAGCCAGGCATGGTGGCGGGCACCTGTAGTCCCAGCTACTCAGGAGACTGAGGCAGGAAAATGGCATGAACCCAGGAGGCAGAGCTTGCAGTGAGCCGAGATCATGCCATCGCACTCCAGCCTGGGCGACAGAGCAAGACTCTGTCTCAAAAAAAAAACAAAAACAAAAACAAAAACAAAATAAACCCAGTGGTGGGAAAGGACATCCTTGCCTTATTTTTCACTTAGGAGGGACGCATTCAGTCTTTCACCATTAAGTATTATGTTAGCTATAGGTTTCTTGTAGATATCCTTTATGAAGTTGAGGCAGCTCCTCTCAATTTCTAGTTTTCTGAGTTTCTTTCATCATAGATTGGTGTTAGAATTTTAAAAATACTTTTCTGTGTTAATTTATATAGTCATATGAATTTTCTTCTAGTCCGCTGAAATGGTAGATTACATTAACTTTCGAAATGGCTGAAATGGAGTGTTTTACAAATGTCAAATAGATCCTGATGACTGATAGTGTGCTATTCAGTTCTATATCTTTCCTATAATTTTGTCTAACAGTTCTATCAATAACTGAGCGTGGGGTGTTAGGTATTCAACTATAATTATGGTTATGTCCATTGATCCTTTTGTATCTATCAGTTTTCTGCTTCATGTAGTTTGAACCTCTGTTTACTGCATACCCATTTAGGATCACTATGTCATTGTCTTTTTATTATTATGTAATGTCCCTCTTTTTATCTAGTGAATTTCTTTGCTCTGAAGCCTGCTTCACCTGATACTAATATACGACTTCTGCTTTTTAAAAAATTAATGTTTTCATGGCATATCTTCCTACTTTTGACCTACCTACGTCATTATATTTGAAAAGTGTGTTTTGTCAACTGCATATAGTTGGGTTGTATTTTATAACCCATTCTATACATTTCTTTTAATTGGTGAATCTAGCCATTTATATTTATAGTAATTATTAAAATATAATTATCTTAGATACTTCCTCTACATATATTAAGTACCACATCATATGGTGTTATAACTTTTACTTCAACCATCAAATATGATTTAAGAGACTTATGAGAAGGATAGCCTGTCATATTTACCTCTGTTTTTATCCATTCCATTGATCTTTCTTCCTTTCTGAAGTTCTAAGCATTCTTTTGTCATCATTTCCTTGGATAACTTGCTTTATCCATTCTTTAAGGGTAGGCCTGCCAGTGCAAAATAATCTGTTTTCATTTATTTGAGACTGTCTTTACTTGCTGTTTGTTCCTAACGGATATTTTTGCTGGATATACAATTTGTGACTCACAGTTCTTTTACAGCACTTGAAAAATGTGCCTCTTCTTATTGGCCACCATAATTTCAGATGAGAAATCAGCTGTCAACAAACTTGGTATTTCTCTATGAGAATATGTTGTTTCTCTCCAGCTTTCTTTTAGAATTTATTTTTTATTTTTTCATTTTCAAAAAATTATGATATGACTTGGCATAGACGTATTTGAATTTATCCTGTGTAGGACTTACTCAGCTTCTTGAATCTGTGAGTTCACGCCTTTCCCCATTTCAGCTTTGGGGAAACTTCAACCATTATTTCTTCAGATATTTTTTCAGCTCCAAACTCTCCCTTCCTCTCCTTATAACACCCCAGCTAGAAAATTAAAGTATCGTCTGATTTTGTGGGGCAGTGGTGACATCACCCTGGTAGAACTGAAGTACTGCTTGTTTCAGCTGAGCAGGGGCTGGAAGTTTAGCTTCTACTCGGCTCTGTTGATACCACCCAGTAGCAGAATTGGAATGCTGCCCACTTCTTCTGACTGAGAGATGGAAGAACAGCTCACCATTTAGCTTGCTGATACCACCCCAGTAGAGAAACCAGAGTACAACTGCCTCATTCAACAGGGCAGGCAGGAGGGCAGTATTTCCATTGGTGTTTGACTGGAGTAGACAAGTATTATTGAAAGGTTTTGTTTTGTTAGGACTCCCTTTTCCTGGTCCTTTGGTTAGAAGGAATAGGCTTTTCTTGAAGCTCTTAATTTTTGTCCCCACTGGTTGTCCCAGGTTGCAGACTTCTTTGGCACCCCATCCAAGATATATGGAAGGCAGAAAAACTCAACATTGCATTGCTCCTCAAATCCCACAGTCCCTAAGAGTCTGACTTCTTTCTACCTTTAACAGTCCTTGTATGTTTCTTCGTTGTGCTATGTCCAAGGATTTTTATTTGTAAAATGAGGATCTGAGAGGAATGGCAATGTTCTATCTCAGCTGGACCCAGAAGTGTCCCAAGCAGTTTTTGAATCCCTGTATACTGTATAGTCTTTTGATTTTTTTTTTGCCATTACACATAACAACTAGTTATCATTGATACAGACTATCAACAATTGAAGACTATGCCATCTCATATAACAAGTAATTATCATTGATGTAGACCGCCAATTATTGAACACTAATGTTATCTTTCTATATCCTAAGAACCACCTTTATTTAAATAAATTAAATTCTTAAAACTTTAACACTGTTGGAAACCTTAAACAAATCTCAACCAATACAAATATCTAACTTTACACATTGAAAAAAAAAATCAAAAGATTTAACCAGTAAGGCAAAATAGTTAAGCCAGGTCTCTGACTGAGTCCTGAATTCTAGCCTAGTGCAATATTTCAGCACGCTATATCTATGTAAAGAATGGGGAACATACTAAATACTCAGCCATTCCTCAATCAAATCAGGACTGTCACAAACTTGGAATTATGAGACCAGGGTATAAGGGCCTATATGCTATAAATAATTAGAATGTTAATACATTTTTTGATGACTTCAAAATTAGCCTAGGTCAAATGTGATTTACAAAGAAAATCTGTTATGATGGCTCATTTGGTACCATCAGGAAAAAAAATATACATATTATGGTTCCCACAGCTGCTCTCCATTCGTATGGATCACTTTCAACTTCAACCATTAGCTATGCTTGTAACTCACAAAATGCCTGGCAAGTGTGCAACACCTCCAGTTACAGGCACAGGCACTTCTTTCAAAACAATCTATTCTCTGTAGAATAGTTATTACCTACGAGTATATTAATAGTAAGCTGTAAAAAAAAAAAAAGCTGCTAGAATTTTCTATTGAAACAGATTTTAGGCAGTACTCATTGAGACAAATCTGCTTCTTTTTCTCTTCATCTAATTCTCCCACCTACCAAATCAAAACTACATCTGTGTTAAAACAATACTTACCCAACACCAAGAATGCCTTCATCAGGCTTGGTGGTGTTTTCCTGTCACTCGGCCTTACGTCCCACAAGGAGATAGTTAACTTGACTACATAAATTCTGGAGAAAAGGCAGCAACTCAGAGTTAGGTATATTTGAGTTGTCATTTGCTTTCTTTGGTAAGAAAGGGGATGTTGCATTTTTAAGATCATTTTCAAGAAGGGAATGGTTTTGTGGCACAATTTTACACTCATCAAGCTTTGTAGAATTCTCTCCACTAGATGCCTGTGTGCTTTTATCAATGTACGCTTGTAAGTTTTCAGTCACGTTTCCAGATGTCAATCCAGTTCTAAAAGGGAAAGGTGTGGAGGATGACTTGTCTAAGGCTCCTAAGGCAGATGAGCATTGTAGTCCAGTCATTTGCTTGTATCCAGCATTGCCCAACACCAACTGAAGCTGCTCTTCAATAGGAATACAATTCTAAACAAGATAAATAAGTAAATGTTAATATTAGTAATCTTGTCAGCTACCTTTTAGAGTAATTAACAGCTAACTTTTGGAGTATGAGTCAGGCACTGTGCACTATTTCATCTAATCCACAAAACATCCTTATGAAGTAGGGTAATATTACTATCACTTTATATTAAATTAAATTGAGGAGACCAAGGCTAAAGGTGGCCTGGCCAAAGTAACACACCCAGTAAGTGGCAGAACTGCAACATGAACTCAGGCCACTTAACCCCACAGTTGGGGCTTTTAATCATTTAACTGTAGTTTTTTCTAAAAATATATTAAAATAAATATAGAATGGTTAGTAAAATGGCATTGGCGTATTTCAATGTTTCCACTACAAAGACTTCTTTAATTTGCAGTAATAAAATGCAGTACTCTCAACTGAGTCACAAGAATTGACAATTTTCTTAGAAGTTTCTGCTTAGCAGTGCTAATCATAATACCAAAAAATTTGAGGAGCCTAAATACTCACTAATCTAGCAGTGATTAAATAAGTACAAAATACTCATAAAGTGACATAGTATATAGTCATTAAAAATGACATAGGGATATACTTCTTGCTTAGAATGTGGCCCATCTCATGTTAGAGGAAAATGACTATAGAGCAGCATAAAGGAACATGAAAAATATTTATGCAGAATTGTGTCAATATATATGAACATGTAAAGAACTATATATGTGTGTATACATAACTTCATATATTGCATACATGTAATTTCATATAAGTGACATTTCTGAAAAATCAAGTGTTTTATCTCTGAATATCTTATGGGATTTATGAAATAAGTTTTACTTATAAAACATTCATATATCATTTTGAAAAAACAAGAAAAAGTTATTTTTATTTGGAAGGGGAAAAAGTAAACAGTATAAATCATAATGGAATATATTTTGAGAAAATGGGGTGCACCATTCTTTCATTCAGATAATATTAAATGACAACAGTATACTACACACTTTGATATGGAATTCCTACTCAATATTCTAAATTGTGAAGCAAAAACAAAGCCAGCAATCTAAACTTCAAACACAAGGAAATAAGAACCTTTATATTTATCAAGATATCACACAGATGACCATTTCAGACTTACATGACTCAGAGTACTAAACTTTAGTAAAACTTTCAAGAAAGCAAGTAATCTCAATTCAGAAGTAAAGCTGAGGGGCTGAGACTTCCAACACAGGTCCCCAGGTGCTTCCTTTCTCCAGGACAGACCCTGCCTAGACAATGTGTATGGTTACACCATTACACAGGAGTTGTTTTAGTCATGAAACATCCCCATTTTATGCTCAGATAGTTACAAAGCTTATATGACATTTTCTAGGGAGACAATATATAGATGTCTGGTTTGTTAACTCCATAAATAAGAACTTTCTTACTAGGAAGTAAGTCTTTTATTAGCATGTTTAAAGGAAGAATTAACTTTATTTCTTCTCCAGGGTGTTCCCCAAATGTCTCCAGATGTAATGATTTAGAGTGTGTGCTGGGGGGAACAGGGGGTGGGAATTGGTTACAACACAATCTACTGACTGGAAGGAACTTGCTTCTATATGCGTAGAAAACTCTAGACAGATAGAGTTTATATTCGTAATACACTATGCATAAGACTCATCTGGAGATGCTTGTTTAAAATACTGATTCCTGGATCCCACTCCCTAGGATTCAGGGCACTGGTGAGGGCCAAGAATCTGCATTTTATAAACATTTCAAGAGATTCTTGAAGTTCCTTATCTCTTTCTTGAAATAAACCCATGTTACCCTGGGTACCTCCACATTCCAAAAACCCATTTACTATCAAATCCCTGAAAATCTGATTTCCACCTCATCACTATTCAAACTGACCCCCCGAAGATCTCCAAGGAGTCCTTAATTGATAATCCAAAGGGCACATTTATCGTACATATATTCCATACCATAAACAAGAAAGACCAGGTGTCTATTGCATAAAGCTTATTTTAATGAGATAAACAGACCAATACATAAACAACAGTAAAAATAGTCAAGAGGGCTCCGAAGAAAACATGATATAGATTTGGAGGGAAAGCCTACTTAAAACTGGGTGGTTAGGGAAGATCTCATTAAGGCTGTAACATTTAAGCCAAAATCTGATAGGACAAAGTCAGTTATGCCAAGATTTAGGGAAAGAAAACAGTTGTAAGTGTAAAGGTCCTGAGGTAGAAACACATTTGGATATTTATAGAATGCATACATCAGAATGTCTGGAGCAAGCTGCCCAAGGAAACATGGCAGGAGATGAGGTTGAGGAGGCAAGAAGGGCCTACACCTTAGAGATCAGGGTCAGGAATCAAGATTAATTCTAAGTGTGATGGGAAGCAGTGAGAAAGTCTTATACAGGATGAGAACTTTGAGGCCATTCTGAGTGCACTGTGGAGAATGGATTTTAGCAGAGCTGGAGGACCAGTTAGGAACCTCCTGAGGTATCCAGGTGAGATCACGGTGTGGGAGGAAGAAAAGTACACATTTCCATCTTTTTTGGAACTCTTCCGTCTTTTCCATAACTTCAGCTCTCCTTGTTCTCTTAACTCAGCCCACATGGTAATAGCGGCACTACATTAATATCTGTAGGCCACACATCTACAAGGAGTTCTTTACTTGCGTTATTTATTTTAAATTTTTACATCAATCCTGTGATTGTTACAGTGTTACCACTTAGATTTAGATTTTGCACATGAAGAATTTGTGTTAAAAAAAAAAAATGAATCAACTTGCCCAAAGGATGCAGAACTAAGAGGAGACAGGACAAGAGCTTGAGGTAATTTTACCTGACATCAAATCCTTTCTCTTGCTACTCTATCCCTCTGCTACCTTCTACATTTCTGGTTCCTTTTTCCTCTCCCTGTATCTGTACAAATGCAGCTATTCTCCAAGGATCTTTCTTCCTTGCTTCAGTCCCTCTCTTCACCACACTCCATCAGCTACTGTGGATACACCTCTAAACTTCCCTTCCAGCCACTTAAGGTTCATTCCATTTCTCCTAATCCTCTGTTTTCAGATGTTTGCAACATCCTCCCAGGGAATGTTTTATTCACAGCTAAAACTCAATATTCCAAAAACTAAACTTTTCTTCCCCCCAAGCATCCTCCTTCCTTGGGTTGAATTTAGATTATTTGTATTGCCATCCTTAAAGCCTCAATTTCACATTTGACTCTATTTTTCTCCCACAACACCAATATTAAGTTAGTTGTAAAGTCCCAACAGCTCCATTGTTTTAGCATTTCACCATACAGCATCATGTTACTATGTTCAATCTTAGACCCTCATTCTCGCTCATCTGGATGAGGGGAATAACGTGTAGCTGGTCTTCTCCTTGTAGTCTCACTTTCTTTTGATTTACCTTACACATGACAGTGGAAATACTTACAAATTTAAAGTAGCACTCAGACAGGGTGTGGTGGCTCATGCTGTAATCTTAGCACTTTGGGAGGCCAATGCGGGTGGATCACTTGAAGTCTGGAGTTTGAGACCAGCCTGGCCAACATGGTGAAACCCCGTCTTTACTAAAAATACAAAAAAAATTAGCCAGGTGTGGTGGCAGGCACCTGTAATCCCAACTACTAGGGAGGCTGAGGTGGGAGAATCGCTTGAACTTGGGAGGCAGAGGTTTCAGTGAGCCGTGGTCGTGCCACTGCACTCCAGCCTGAGCAACAGAGCGAGATTCCATCTCAAAAAATAAGTGAAGTAGCATTCAAAGCTCTCACTATGACCTAGCTGAAATCTACTTTAAACTTCCCCTATTCCCCTTCTGCTTCAGAGAAATGAACTACTACTCATTTCTCAGCTACATCCAATTCTTTTAGCATTGAAGATTTTATTCAGCCTATTTTTTGTCTGAATTGGCCTTCTTCCAAATTTACTTGCCTAATCCTGTCCTTTAAAGGCCTAGATAAAAATACCACTTCCTTTAGTGAGCCTTTCCTAATCTTCTTCATCCCTCCCCATTTATATGTCCTAGAATGTAAATCCTTAAAGACAAATTATAAACTGATATCTTTGCATCATGAAATGTACCCAAACTAGTGCCTTGTTCACTAAGAAGGTGCTTAATAAATACTTGCTGAATGAATGTGTGAATGAATTCATGAAAAAGTGTGAAGATTTGTAGTCAAAATATTTTGTAGGAGGGCAAGTCTATGAAATGTTATTTTTTACACAAGTAAATAAAGATAACAGTTAAATCAATTACAAAATTTCAAAGAAAAAATTTACATCACTACATGTATTTATAAAAAGCCATTACTTATAATTTTTAATGGTATCTGGAAAGTCATCCATTTCTACTTACCCACTGCTGAAACCTAACCATATTAATCAATTGCTGAGCTCCAGGAGATAACTTTGACCCCATGGACTCCATTATGGTTTGGATCCTGTCTAGTTCTATTCTTGATTTTACAGCAGGAGAGCCTGTTGAATAATTTGCTGAAACTGCTCTCATGTGTATCACAACTTTACTGATGAACACACACTGTCTTTCACCAAAGGAGCGCAACTATTACAATACAAAGTTCAGGAAAATAAATAATAATATTAAACAATATTCACTATTTAAGGTCACTCCTTTGTATTATCAACAAGAGTAAAGTATTCAGGAAAACAAATATAAACTTTAAATATATTTTCAAGTTTTCCCTAATACAGTAATGGTCAGAGGTTTCAATTTATTATGAAACTCAGAAGAACAATTTATATAAGACAATGTCATTTTCAAACTAAAAAAATATACTAAATATATGAAAGAAGGTAAAATTAAAGTTTCATTTATTTAAGCAACTCAGAATAGACTATGCCAATCTGAGACTTTAACACACAGCTGCTTACTATAATATTCTTTAATACAAAATAAGGGTGTTCAGAAGCCCATCCAAAGTGTTTACTGAATTACTAAATATAAATGAGCCATTTAGAATTATAAGGCAGGGTCAAGATGGTCTCACGTAACCCACTGGTTTACACATTTAAAAAGATGAAGTTAGAGGTAATTTTCTAACTTGTCAAAGGATTACCCAATTAGTAAAAGTCAGGCTTAGAACCTAGCTCTCCTGGCTGTTATAACAGTGCCCTCTCCAATGCTTTATGCTGCCTCTCTTCATTCATGTTTATGAACCAAAAGACATTTCATGTGTGGCACCAAAAACAGTATCAAAATGGAAAGGAAACAGGATTTAGAATGAGATAAACCAGAGTTCAGTTATGAGTCTGCTCTGTATAGCCTGTATGATCCTGGACAAATGCCAAAACACAAATCAGAATTAACATGAGGGAGGATCATATCAGTGATTTCACATGGTGGTTGGGATTATGTGCTAAAATTTCCAATGAGTAAGTATTTGAAAATATTCATCAGTAACTATTTTTGTAACTTTCATATTCTGCTGCCTCAGAATAAGCTTTAGTAGGCTTGGGATTTTCCTAAATGAAATGACCCTTTGCACTCACATATACTTCCATAGAATAGTTACAAAAAATACTCATCTTCAGAGAGACACACAGAACCATATGTAACCCAAAGACACAGGTCAATTCAGACCCATGGCACCAAAGATGTGACCATCCTTCACAATTAAGAAAACACTGTTAAATTTAAACAGTCGCCTCTCATCCTCTCTCTTATCCCCTTTCTGCTTCTTAATCCTTATAGCCTTTCTCACCACCAAACAAAACACAATTTTATTCAGAGTGTGCTCATTACCTGTCTCATCCCATTTGAATATAAGCAACACAAGGGTAGTTGCTCCATTTTATTACTGCTGCTTCCTAAATGCCTACTACAGTCTGTATCTGGTATCAGTAGGCACTCAAATATTTGTTGAATAAATCACTTTATTTAAATGACTTTGGAAGCGATTAATATATACTACCTAAAACAATGTCTTGGAACAATCTGATCTGTAAGTTTGTTACTTGCCTGCTATAAAAATCATTAACTTTTTCCTTATTCTTTTTATTTTTTTCTCTTTTTTGAGACAGAGTCTCCTTATGCCACCCAGGCTGGTCTCAAACTCCTGGGCTCAAGGGATCACCCTGCCTCGGCCTCCCAAAGTGCTAGGATTACAGGCATGAGCCACCATGCCCGGCCAACTTTTTCCTTAAAGTAAGTCTCACAACCCTGTATAATGTGGAGACAAAAAGAATACAATGCTTTATTTTCTTTAGTCTTCTAATTTACCCATGAGGTAGGTCCAAAGAAATGTAGAGATTTTCCCAAGGTCACTCAGGCAGTAACTAACAGAACTGCATTAATACCTTGGGCTATTTGTAGCTCAGTACTCTTAACTCTGATGACATCACTAAAGTTCACCTCAACAATATTTTTCATATTCAGGGTACCAGTCCAAATAGCTTTTAGGTGCTTTTCTCTGCAACTTCTCTAATTCTTGTCTTTTTAAACATAATGGGGACAAAACGTGGTTTTCTTGGCACCATAGTTTCATATAAAGATAAACAAGGACTAAGTTGGACTAACTGTATGAACAAACCAACAGTACATAAGTATATTATACATACATTTGCAATTGTCAAATTAGTTAAAATTTAGTGATGACCTACCTTTATTTTACAGGCATGAGTGGAGGATGCCAATATTAAGTAATTTTTGTAGAAAATAATTTCGCGTTTACTGAAAATAGAATAAAAATTATTTTTTCACTTATATAAATTATCAGTTTAAACAGCTGCAGTAAAAAAAAATTGTTTCCAGGCCATTACTTAAATCCTGAGATTCAGTTTGCCTGGTAGGGGACAAACAGTTGAGATCCCTTCTCAAGTGACCTGGTCAATAACCCTGTGTCGTGTATTTATTATTTCCAATATGCACAATATGTAAAATAGTTGACGTTTTGATTTATATTAAGGCGCGATTAGTGTAGAATGTTCCTATAAGGGACTAGGGAAAAGATCAAACTATAACACATTGAATATGGACTAAATAGGCTGGTGTGGCACCACCTTGGGCTTGTAGGTTCCTTAAAAAATATGTGATCAAAGTTTCAGACTGACTGTCAAATTAATTTCTGGAAAACAGACCATTGTGAGTTTATGGAGAGAGTCAAGAAGCAGCAATAAGGACTGCACTCTTGCCTGGACACTTTAACTAGTATGACCCTCTCCAGGCTCACCTCTCCTTTATTAGCTCTAAATTTCTGCATTCCTAAAAATGAGGAAGCTGAACTAGATTGCCTAGAAGATGCTTTAATGGTCTAACCTTCTATGCCATAGTAGGTTTTTATCTTCTCTTCTCTAATGTAAACATCAATGTCAGAGAGTCAATCAATATTGCAAAAGGTGAACAGAATAAAGACACCAATTCAGGAGAACACTTTCCCGTGTACAAGTCACACAACTGTCATCCAAGACAGTACAAACATTCTTGCCCCTACTGGTTCCACAGTACTCCTCTCCTAAGTACACTTCCATATTTCTTGCTGAACTTAAAATGCCAATAGAAGCGATTTCTTCACCTCCATCAGGGCCACACCTCAGGTAAAGGAAGCAGGGGTTTTCATCTTGGTTGTTCAATCTTCTCTTCTAAATCACCAGATTCTGGCTGAGAAGAAAACAGGTGAAAACATCACACAGTATAGTTTCTGAACATGGCTCAAAACCCACTTGTTAGGCCATGAGGTTTATTCTAACAAATGCTCAACACAGAATTCATAAGGAAATGGAGGCATCACACATCAGGGCTTCCCCCTCTATTTTTTCCTCAATCATCAACGTTCTACTCAGTCCCCTGCAATTGATTCTCGGATACATTACTGGACACCTACTGTGTGCACAGGAGTAGGAGCAGAACACAATAGAAGACAAAGTGTATCTTTTTCGAAATTAAGTCGACGGCGGTCGTCTATAGCTGGACTTTTTACACAGCCTGTTTTGGTGGAGAGGAGGTGGCTTGTTTGAGGGTAGATGGGCGGACTGACTTTGATAGCAGCCCTGACGACCCGTCACGCCTGACGGGGACGTTTATGAAATTCCAAGTCCTGGTCACCTTCCCCCGCTCATGCCTCGGGGCCTCGGGTACTTCCCGGCCAGACCTACCCCGCCTCCGCCCACCCCGGTCCTCGCCTCCACCTCGCAGCCCCGCTCCCCCGCAGAGACCCGACACCAACTGCTCTCCTGGATCCCGGACTCAGACCCTCACGTTCCCCGAGGAGCGCGGCAGTCGCCGAGCGCAGCGACCCGGTCGCCGGCGGCCCGGCGCACCGTGGCGCAGGTGGCGCCAGAAGCTCCTCCCAGTCGAAGTCGCGGGCGCAGACACGAGCCCGGGTGAGGAGGCTGTGAGTTAGGGCCCCGCCTGCGGCATCCCAGGAAGAGGCAAGCGTGGGGCGGCGGGTGAGGCCCCCGTCCTCGGACCGCGTGTCCACTGCGCCGCCTCCTGCCAGGCCTCTCTTCCAGTGCTTAAGTGTCGGCCAGTGCAGCGCAGAAACGGGCAGGCAGAGCGACTCCCGGCTTACATCATTTCAAATGCCCGCCGCTTCTGGATTTGGTGAGAACCTGCACCAGAGAAACGCATGCGCATAAGCCAACTGGACTCGAGAGGCGTTCAAACTTTGCTCAGGAAGCGCTAAAGAGCGGAGCATGCGCACTGGCAGGCCCTCGCTCAGCCTTTGGAGACCATGCGCAGGCGCGGTGCACTGTGCGCGGGCACCACGGCGGTTTTTCGACGCTGGCGGTGGACGCAGGCAGCATGGACCACGGTTGCTGGGCGGATGGGGAGCGTCTATGGTCAGGTAGGTGTCGTCTCTTCGCTCTACGCGATGTGCAGGACCGACTCCTGACCTCGTTCTTTCCCGAGTGGACGCCAGGGCCTTTTCTGCCTCCACTCCGTCGGGTCTGCAGCATTTGTGGCAGCGAACGCGGCGGAAGCGCTGTCCATTCGGGTTAATTTTACTCCGAACTCTCCCTGCCTCTCTCATACACATTCTCGCGTTAGAGGGGAGTTGAGGTAGATATTGAACGGCGTTAGTGGTGGACGCTGGGCCACACGGGCCTTCCCCAGGTGCCATCTCATTTGATGCTCCCTGATCCTACGGCGTTGCCAGGACTATGCTGGATGCCCTCGTGACAGAAATCAGAAGGTTGAGAAAGATCCCAGGTGTTTGGATGGAGCGGTCGCCTGAGGGAGTTTTCCAGATGCCCCATGGAATAGGAAGTAGATCTTGCCTCTTTCTTCCTTTTGTACTCCAGATGCATTCTAAGTTGTGTACACCAGACTTCCTGTTCTTTATGCCCAGCCCATTGTAGTCATAAGTTAACTTTGATACATGTCATCATAATTGGACAGTCTAAAGGAAAATAGGCTTTTTAGAATTACCTATCTGAAACTTCATGAGCAAGATCAATACTATAAGCTGGATTTTGACTTCCTTAAATAAGGCAGAAAGCCTACAGCATTTTGTCGTCTCCCCTTTCTTTCAATCTCGTATGTTCAGTATTATCACCCAGTCTTGTTTTATTTTTGGTTTTTAAAGAAAAACTTCCCTGTCTTTCTCCATCTCTGCCTCTCTGTTTTGAAATACTAGCTTTCATCGGAACAATTCCAGGAGTTTCTTTACTGGTTGATAGTCATTATCTCCTCACCTGCGTTTCATTTTCTGCACTGCCCTCTAATCTTTTATCAATTGTCCTGATGCTTGATGCTTTCTGACTGAATCACCATCACCATTACTTTTTTTTTTCTTTTGAGATGGAGTTTCAGTCTGTCACCCAGGCTGGAGTACAGTGGTGTGATCTCGGCTCCTGCAACTTCCGCCTCTTGGGTTCAAGCGATTCTCCTGCCTCAGCCTTCTGAGTAGCTGGGACTACAGGCGTGCACCACCAGGCCCAGCTAATTTTTGTATTTTTAGGAGAGACAGGGTTTTGCCATGTTGGCCAGGCTGGTCTCAAACTCCTGGCTTCAAGTGATCCGCCCGCCTCGGCTCCCAAAAGTGCTGGGATTACAAGCGTGAGCCACCGCACCTGGCCACCATTACTTCTTAACAGGCATACAAAGCCCTTTATCCTTGACTTCTGCCTGCCTCCTAGACCCCCCAGCTTTTGTACATGCTTTTCCCTCTACCTAGAATGCCCCTTCTTTTGGATAGGAAAAATCCTGTTCATCATTTAGTGCCAAGCACAGCCCTCCACACTGTGAGAGAATTTGTCAGTAATTTCTCTCTGCTACACTTAGAGTTTTTAGATACTATAATTCTCTTCTGGTATGGAGCTTTACCAAATAATTCTCACATTTGTTTTCCCAACCATCTGTACAGTTGTTGAAAATAGGAATTGTTTTGTGCCTAGTAGAGATTGAGTATAGGTTTGTTGTATGGAATTGATAGAGATAGCAATAGGGGTTGTTTGGGAACTCTATCACAGTATAACAGGAGTAGAAAGAGGTGAAACTGGCAAATTCAATCTTATTTTCAAAGCTGAAAAAACTTTGCAAAAGTTAGTGAGAAAATTATGACAGTGAAAGAGATCTGAGCTAATCCATCCCCAGTCTTGCCTTGATTATTCTTGGGCTTTTGGGACATTTAGGCTATAGTTTAAATTATCATAGGCCTTCCCCCAAACTCAACTGCTTTTGCATCAGGCTGGCAGGAGGAGAGGAGCCTGGGTCCTGCTAAGGTGCAGACATGAACTATTATCAGTTATTATTCAGAAGGTTATAAGATATGCAACTTCCCCAATTATTCCTGCAGATAACACCACTATTGTAGACTGGCCTTTTGAGATATCTTTTCAGGGTTTTTTTGCATGTCTGACACCCACCATTCCTACAGCCCCACCCAGAAGTGACTCAATGTGCAAGAGGACAGCTTCACCCCTTGTGATTTCATCTCTGCCCCAACTAATCAGCAGCAAGCCTAGCGACCTCCACCACTTCCCCCAAACTGCCTCTGAAAAATCCCTAACCTATAAGCTTTGGATGAGAATTGTGGCTGGCCTTATGTCTATTAAACTCTTTCTTTACTACAATGCCATGATCTTTGTGTAGCAGGCAGGAAGAACCCTTCAGATGGTTACAAAGCCAGGGTGTTGTGCTGGTGCCTAGGTGACCTCAATTTTAATGTAAATTACTCTTGTCGTGAATGGCAAATGGTATTTTTTGCTTTATTTTTATTTTTTCACTTGAAATAAAGAATAAGGCATATCTTTGAAATCTTTCCACCAATATCACAATGTATTTTTTTGGCTTGACTGTTTTAAAGAGAAGTTTATTATATATAACTTGTAGAATTTAGAGTAGAATCATATATGTATCTACTGTTGCTAACAGAGTGCCTTTGCATAGTGGCAATCAAACACTTTAGTCCCAGGACCTTTTACCCTCAAAATATTGAATATTCTAGAAAGCTTTTGTTTTTGTGTGCTCTTTTCTTATTTTTTAACACTTCTGGTTTCATCTGTGACACGTAAACCACTTAGAAGTCAATCACAACTGTCCTCACAAGAAAAAAGCTGAACAAATGGAACATTAACAGCCTTTAAAATATCCATCAGATAATGGAGGTCACAAAGCAAATGGCCACCCCCAAACTGGGTAGGCAAATACAGAAAATCACAACTGATATCAGCATGCTAGGAACAGAAATCCTCATGAGGCAGCAAATGGTAGGAACACTTAAAATGGTCATTGATGACTTGCTGGATGCTGAGTGTGAGTTAGCTTGACAGTTAGAAACTCCTGGGAGACCACTCATATGGTGCCCTTACACTTTTGGGAGTTTTACTTTTCAGAGCTGCAGCAGATTCTTAGGACAAGGATTGGATTAAAACTCCCTCCTGCTTTGTGCAGAAGGAGGGGGCAAAGTAACCTTTTTGAAAACTGCCCTCAGCATTTCCCTAACAAAAGCCTTCTCTCAAGGGAAAGTACTTTACCAGAGCCTTATCTGTTCTAGGGAAAGGGCAATTAGAAGATTCCAGCCCCCTCTAGCCTTCCCGTTGTTAGTGGTAGTGAATCTGCAGGGGGCTGCAGCAACCTCAATTCTTGTCAGAAGAAAGAATTCGACCAAGGGTCATAAGGAAGAGTGAGAGACCAAGGCAAGTTTTAGGGCAAAAGGAAAAATTTATTTAAAAGCTTTAGAGGTGGAACAAAAGGAAGTAAAAGTACACTTGGAAGAGGGCCAAGCAAGCGCCTTGAGAGATCAAGTGCGTGGTTGGACCTTTGATTTTGGGTCTTACATGTTGACATGCTTCCAGGGTTGCATTATTTCTTGCTAATTCTTCCCTCAGGGTGGGCTGTCTGCATGCTCAGTGGCGTGCCAGCACTAGGGCGGGGCTGTATGCATAGTGTGTTTACTGGAGTTGTATGCATGCTCACTTGAAGCATTCTTCTCTTACCCATCAAATGTTCTTAGAAGGTCATATACCAGTTAAACTCTGCCATTTTGCCTCTTAGTGCACATGCTTGAACCCACTTGTCCAACTCCTGAGATCTTATCGGCAAGCCGTTGATCACCAGTTTCAGGGTTTTTTTTTTTAATTAGGAGACTGCCTTTCCCTAGTGCCAGCTGTGACCAATTATTATCAGACTACATTTTATTTAAAAGGAGTCTCTGGGGATACCCAAAGACAATGACAATGTGGAAACTCAAAGCAAGAATAGTAGATTGAAGCCTCTGACACTGATAACTACAGCAAACATTAAACACAGCCTAACTTCTAGTCAGATTGACATGAATCAAGTAGCCTGATTACCTCAGTTTCTATATATTCTTCCAGATATATTATGTCTGGCTTTCAACAAAGATTTACAAAGCACGGTAAAAGGCAAGAAAGAACAAGAAACAAAGGAAATATCAGAACCATTCTTACATATGATGCAGATTTTGTAATTCTCAAGTAGGGAATTTAAGGTAGCTATGATTGATATATAAGGGCTCTAATGGAAAAAGCAGATAGCATACAAGAGTGAATGGGTAATGTAAGCAGAGATATGGAAACTCTAAGGAAGATATAAAAGGAAATGATAGAAGTCAAAAAACAATGTGACAAATGAATGCCTTTGATGGGTTTATCAGGAGACTGGACAGGCCAAAGAATAAATGAGCTTGAAGAACTGTTAATAAAAACTGAAAAGCAAAGAAAATAGAGATGAAAAAGTAGACTATCCAAGAACTGCTGGACAGTTATAAAACTTGTAATAACATGTATAATGGTAATACCAGAAGTAGAAGAAAGAGAAGAGAGTAGAAGAAATATGTGAGAAATAATGGTTGGGAATTATCCAAAATTAATGACACCAAACCCGTTCTTAGAGCAGGAAGCTTGGAGAACACCAAGCAAGATAAATACTAAAAGGTCTGTACCAGGGGTGCCCCTGGGCTACCCTGGGAAAAGAAGAATTGTCTTGGGCCACACATAAAATGCAGTAACGCTAACAATGGCTGATGAGCTTAAAAATTGCAAAAAAAACCTCATGCTGTTTTAAGAAAGTTTACAAATTTGTGTTGGGTTGCATTCAAAGCCGTCCAGGGCCGTATACAGCCCGCAGGCTGTAGGTTGGACAAGCTTAGTCTGTACCTAGGCATATTATATTCAAGATGGGAAAACCAAAGTCAAAGAGTCATTGAAAGGAGCCAGAGGAAAAAATACATGCTATAGAGGAACAAGAAAAGAATTATATTTCTGATTAGAAACCAAGCAAGAAGGGACTGGAGTGAAATATTTACAATGTTGAAAGAGAAATCACACCAACCTAGAATGTATCCACAAGAATTACCTTTCAGAAGTGAAGGAGACTTAAAGATTTTCTTAAACAAAAGCTAAGGAAATTTGTCAGTGATAAACCTGTGTTGCAAAAAATATTAAAATAAGTTCTCCAGAGGGAAGGAAAATGATCCAAGGTCATGAACTTGGATCTATATAAAGGAAGAGCATCAGAGAAGGAATAAATGAAGGCAAAATAAAATCCTTAATGTATATGTACCTAACAACAGAGCATCAAATATGTGAAGCAAAAATTGATAGAACTGCAAAGAGAAATAGACAAATTCACTATTACTCTTGGAGACTTCAACAACCCTGGATCAGTAATTGACAGTTTCAGCATGCAGAAAATCAGTAAGAATATAGTTGAACTGAATTGTACCATCTGTCCACTGGATCTAATTGGTATTAATAGGACACGTCAACAATAGCAGAATACACATTTTTCTGAAACACTCCTAGAACATTTACCAAGATAGAGCACATTCTAGGCCATAAAACACCCCTTAACAAATGTAAAAGAATAGAAATTATACAAAGTATGTTCCTAGATCACAATGGTATTTAATTAGAAATTTGTAACAGGAAAATACTTGAAAAATCCTAAAATATTTGGAGATTAACAGACATATTTCTAAAATAACACTTGGCTCGAAGTTTCAAGAGAAATTTAAAAATATTTCAAACTAAATGAAAGTGAAAATACAATTCATCAGAATTTGTAGAATTCAACAAGAGCAGTGCTTACAGGGAAACGGAGAGTACTGAGTACATGTTGGAAAAGAATGATCTAAAATCTATTATGTAAGCTTTCACCTTAAGAAACTAGAGAAAGAAGAGCAATATATAGGCACACCTAAGAGATACTGTGAGAAATTGCTATCTATGGCTACTAAAGCCTTATGAAATGTATTTCTTATACAATAAGACTTGAAAGTTGAAATTACTCCTTGATCCATGGGCTGCGGAATGGATGTTGTGTTGGTAGACATGAAAACATTAATCTCCTTGTACATCACCATCCGAGCTCTTGGGTGGCCCTGGCCAAGCATCAGTTAGCACTAATGTATTGAAAGGAACTTTTTTCTGAGCAGGAGGTCACAGCAGGGAGCTTAAAATATTCAGTAAACCAATGTGTTGTCATCCTGGTTTTGTTGTTCCATTTATAAAGCAAAGACAGAGCAGATTTAGCATAATTCTTAAGAGCCCTAGGATTTTCAGAATGGTAAATGAGCGTTGGCTTAAACTTGAAATCATCAGCTATATTAGTCCCCAGCAACAAAGTCAGCCTGACTTTTGAGTCAGAATCAGCTTTGAAGCCAGGCGTTGACCTCTCTAGCTGTGCAAGTCCTAGAGGGCATCTTTGTCCTATAGAAGTCTGTTTTCATCTATACTGAAAATCCATTGTTAAATGTGGCCACCTTCATGAATTATCCTAGCTAGAGCAGCTTCTAGATAACTTGCTGTACCTTCCTGTTACACCTTGCACTTTTATGTTATGGAGATGGTTTATTTTTTAAACCTCATGAACTGACCTCTATTAGCTTCAACCTGTTCTTTTTTTATTTTATTTTATTTTTGTATTGTTATACTTTAAGTTTTAGGGTACATGTGCACAACATGCAGGTTTGTTACATACGTATACATGTGCCATGTTGGTGTGCTGCACCCATTAACTCGTCATTTAACATTAGGTATATCTCCTAATGCTATCCGTCCCCCCTCCTCCCACCCCACCACAGTCCCCAGAGTGTGATGTTCCCCTTCCTGTGTCCATGTGTTCTCATTGTTCAATTCCCACCTATGAGTGAGAACATGCGGTGTTTGGTTTTCTGTCCTTGCGATAGTTTGCTGAGAATGATGGTTTCCAGCTTCATCCATGTCCCTACAAAGGACATGAACTCATCATTTTTTATGGCTGCATAGTATTCCATGGTGTATATGTGCCACATTTTCTTAATCCAGTCTATCATTGTTGGACATTTGGGTTGGTTCCAAGTCTTTGCTATTGTGAATAATGCCACAATAAATATATGTGTGCATGTGTCTTTATAGCAGCATGATTTATAATCCTTTGGGCATATACCCAGTAATGGGATGGCTGGGTCAAATGGTATTTCTACTTCTAGATCCTTGAGGAATCGCCACACTGACTTCCACAATGGTTGAACTAGTTTACAGTCCCACCAACAGTGTAAAAGTGTTCCTGTTTCTCCACATCCTCTCCAGCACCTGTTGTTTCCTGACTTTTTACTGATTGCCATTCTAACTGGTATGAGGTGGTATCTCATTGTGGTTTTGATTTGCATTTCTCTGATGGCCAGTGATGATGAGCATTTTTTCATGTGTTTTTTGGCTGCATAAATATCTTCTTTTGAGAAGTGTCTGTTCATATCCTTCGCCCACTTTTTGATAGGGTTGTTTTTTTCTTGTAAATTTGTTTTGAGTTCATTGCAGATTCTGGATATTAGCCCTTTGTCAGATGAGTAGGTTGCAAAAATTTTCTCCCATTCTGTAGGTTGCCTGTTCACTCTGACGGTGGTTTCTTTTGCTGTGCAGAAGCTCTTTAGTTTAATTAGATCCCGTTTGTCAATTTTGGCTTTTGTTGCCATTGCTTTTGGTGTTTTAGACATGAAGTCCTTGCCCCATGCCTATGTCCTGAATGGTATTGCCTAGGTTTTCTTCTAGGGTTTTTATGGTTTTAGGTCTAACATGTAAGTCTTTAATCCATCTTGAATTAATTTTTGTATAAGGTGTAAGGAAGGGATCCAGTTTCAGCTTTCTACATATGGCTAGCCAGTTTTCCCAGCACCATTTATTAAATAGGGAATCCTTTCCCCATTTCTTCTTTTTGTCAGGTTTGTCAAAGATCAGATAGTTGTAGATACGCGGCATTATTTCTGAGGGCTCTGTTCTGTTCCATCGGTCTATATCTCTGTTTTGGTACCAGTACCATGCTGTTTTGGTTACTGTAGCCCTGTAGTATAGTTTGAAGTCAGGTAGCGTGATGCCTCCAGCTTTGTTCTTTTGGCTTAGGATTGACTTGGCGATGCGGGCTCTTTTTTGGTTCCATATGAACTTTTAAGTAGTTTTTTCCAATTCTGTGAAGAAAGTCATTGGTAGCTTGATGGGGATGGCATTAAATCTATAAATTACCTTGGGTAGTATGGCCATTTGCACAATATTGATTCTTCCTACCCATGAGCATGGAATGTTCTTCCATTTGTTTGTATCCTCTTTTATTTCATTGAGCAGTGGTTTGTAGTTCTCCTTGAAGAGGTCCTTCACATCCCTTGTAAGTTGGATTCCTAGGTATTTTATTCTCTTTGAAGCAATTGTGAATGGGAGTTCACTCATGATTTGGCTCTCTGTTTGTCTGTTGTTGGTGTATAAGAATGCTTGTGATTTTTGTACATTGATTTTGTATCCTGAGACTTTGCTGAAGTTGCCTATCAGCTTAAGGAGATTTTGAGCTGAGACGATGGGGT